>NC_000002.12:124989618-125614618 GCF_000001405.40 Homo sapiens
ATTACCATATTTCTCAGCATAAATGTAGACTTCTTCTATTTTGCTTAAATAGAACATAATTTAATAATACTCCCTTAGAATTCTGAGAGAAAGCTGTTAGATTCAGACTAAAAAGTAATAGTGTTTTTAACTTATTACAGATAGGTACAGAGCAGAGGTACTATATAAAGTACTTTACAGGAAAAAGTTTATTTAATCTTCGCAATAAAATGGTGAGCAATTGGAGGCAAGGAAGAGTTAGAAGGAGTGCCAAGGTAAATTGGTAAGTGGCTAAGTTGATGTTCATTCTTAATATTGGGGTTCACTGTGAGGTAGGAGTTCAGCAGGACTTGTTTCTCAAGACATAGGTAACAGAGACCCCACTGATAAAACAGGATGTGGCAAAGAAGCCTGCTGAAGCCAGCCACAATCAAGAAGACAACACTCATTATAATTCACCAGCACCATGACAATTTACAGATGCCATGGAAACTCCTGGAAGTTACCCCATATTGTCTAAAAAGAGAAGAAATTCTCAGTTCCAGGAATTCCCAGCCCCTCTCCTGGAAAACTCCTGAATAATCTACCCCTTATTTGGCATTTAATCAAGAAATAATCACTAAAATATCCAAGCCACAGTCCTTGGGGCTGAACTCGCTTTCATTAAAAAAAAAAAAAAAAAAAAAAAAATTTAGGCCAGGTGCGGTGGCTCAGGCCTGTAATCCCACCACTTTGGGAGGCCGAGGCGGGCGGATCACAAGGTCAGGAGATCGAGACTATCCTGGCTAACATGGTGAAACCCTGTCTCTACAAAATATACAAAAAATTAGCCAGTTGTGGAGGTGGGCGCCTGTAGTCCCAGCTACTCGTGAGGCTGAGGCAGGAGAATGGCGTGAACCCAGGAGGTGGAGCTTGCAGTGAGCTGAGATGGTGCCACTGCACTCCAGCCTGGGTGACAGAGCGAGACTCTGTCTCAAAAAAAAAAAAATATATAAAACTTATTGGTAAAATAAAAATGTCTTCAAAAATTAGACATTTAGTCTAAATTTTACAGATCAGATATTAGGTTTGCTAAATGATTTAAGGTTATAAGCTGCTTTTTTGACTTTTGAAAATCGTTCGACTTACCTGCTGTGGAGCCATTAGAGTCTAGTTAAGTCCTGGGCACATGTGGAGTTAGCCATGCCTCCTAGCTTGCTGGAATGAGTCAGACTTTATCCCAACTTCTGTCTGGTGTCCTAGGCTCCACACCTGGTACAAAATTAGAATCACTTACTTACCAGCTTTTTCACCAAAGTAAAAGTTGCTAAGAGTTAACAGTGTAACACGTACTTGAGACTACTGGAAAAGTTTTACATGCAAGGTATGTAAGGAAAATAAAATGTGGTTTTGGGAAAAGATTATAAGAATTCATGTGAATGTAGTTTTTTTTGTTTTGTTTTTGTTTAGAGAGTGCATTAGTGTGTTTTCACACTACTATAAAGAACTGCTGAGGACTGGGTAATTTATAAAGGAAAGAGGTTTAATTGACTTAACGCTTCTGCAGGGCTGAGGAGGCCTCAGAAAACTTACAATCATGGCAGAAAAGGAAGCAAACACATTCTTCTTCACATGGTGGCAGGAGAGAAAAGTGCATAGTGAAAAGGGGAAAAGCCCCTTATAAAACTGTCGGATCTCATGAGAACTCACTCACTATCATGAGAACAACATGGGGAAACCACCCCCATGATCTAATCACCTCCCACCAGGTCCCTCCCCTAACATGTGCGGATTACAATTCAGATTACAATTCATGATGAGATTTTGGGTGGGGTATAGCCAAACCATGTCAAAAGGTTAAAGGATAGATACTTCTAAGCTGAATAGGATATAGCTGGACATTTGAGTAAGTTGTGGAAGTTTTGTGAAAATTAATCTTGTAAAAGAAATTATGTGTGGAAAATATTGGCTAAAGTTAAAGGGATATCATTCACTTTTTCCATAAACTGAACATTGGAATAAAAGAACAACTGAGTTTTCTTATAGCACTAATCTGCTCTTTAACAAAAATTTGTAAAGGGTTATAAAAGGTTCATAAGAAACTTACCTTATGGTCAGATATTAAAATTGAATATATTTGTCTCTAAGGTTTTATTAAGAATTGGGGTTGACATTAATGGTACACTAATGCAAGAGTGAAATGTGGCTTTAACTCGAACAGGATTTTCATGTCTAATTAAAAAATAGTTTAAAAAATTGTTTGGCTTTAGGATAAACTAAAGGAAAAATAAGGGAAAGACAAGAGACAAATTGTTTGGAAAGCTAAGTCTTCCCTCTATCAATGAGTAAAGGTTTTTACCTTCTAAAATTTTTGAGTTATCATTTTGGCTAAAGTAATGACTTATGTGACCTGGAATTCTATTTTATAATATCAAGTGTTTTAAACCTTTGATATTTTACAAACTTTCCAAGATTAAATTTTAAATTCTGTCTTATCCTGACCTAATTAATCTTTAGATAGTAGGTCCCCTACTATCTACAGCTGTTTGGTATAAAAATCATACCGGAAACATTGTCAAATATGAGCTGGTGTTTGGATTTCTTTGGGCTGTATTTGTATAAATATGTTATTGGTATGTGTTCCAAAATTATACGAAACTCCTTTAATTCTGATATGAATTTAGTGTATGTTATTAATAGTTTTAATTGTTATGTATAATTGTTGTATGCCACAGAAGTAACCAAAATTCCTAGTCAATTGTGGCTTCAATAGTGGCTATCCTAAGGCTTTTTGTCATCCACAGACAATTGTTGTCTTGTTTTGATCCTCTTCAAAAGATGGTTTGTTATCAGCTATAGGACTCTGACAGGTGCTTTTGAATGCAAGTTTCTGATAACTTTGGAGATTGTTACATTAGAGTATAGGGAAAAACTTTTAGGACTCTCATAGAGAGCTGAAATATTCATGAATATCAAGTGGAACAGGATTTAACTGCATATACTGAATGAACAGAAAACCGAAGTAATCTTTTCTGACTCTTTGTTTAAAAGGTTGCCGATTCTTTGTTTTGTCTTTTTGGAGCTGGGAAAAAATTTTTTTTTTTTTTTTTTTTTGAGCTATCGACAGCTTTAACAATTGAGTTAAGTTATGCTCCTGTGGACAAAATTTGGAGCATATTTGTTTCTCTCTGCTTTATTTCTCCAAAATTTGGAAAGTACTTGTGAGTATTCTTAACTTATGGCCATATAGTTATTTGCATAAGTGCCATAAGAATCCGTTTTCTTTTGTAACAGGATACAATTGGAGAAACTGGTTATTTTACCAAGGCTTTGACTGGAATGGCATGCTTTCCTTTAAGGAATTAAATTTGACTTATAGAATCAACAAAAGCCCATTGGGAAAACTGGCCTCATACCTTGTCTCCACAGTCCCTGTACAGGATTCCTGACTTGTGGTAATAAAGGATGTCACTTTCTGACAGGCTGAGGAGCACAAAGTTATCTTGGGACCTAAACAAGAGAGGAATTTACCCAGCTTATATAGGTATTTGATGGTGCAAATTGATGACTGGGCTCAGTTTTAAAAAGGTCGTGTCTGAGATTCCTTATGGAACAAAATTCCATTAAAGGCAGTTAAAAAGAACCTACATGGCAAATAATTATTCTTGCTGCACTTTATAGAAATAATCAGGCCAAGTATAATGAGACCAAAGTTTATTTTACAAACAACTCATTTCTACCTTGATTTGTCTTTAGTAAAAATGGGAGATTGGAAAAAGCAAAAATATGTTTCAAGAACTATGGTACCCTTGTTATTAGATTCTAGTCTCATCAGTTGTTTTTTACATTTTTTCCTGAAATTTAGATGGACTCTGCTTATTCCTGTGAACCAACCACTGATTTCTGGCTGCTGCTCAGAAGAAACAAGAGGTATGGGCAATTTAAATATCTGGATCAATATTCTAATTCTGGGCACACATTGGAATCAGTTAGTGACCTTATATCTGCTTGCTTCCAACAATTGCCCAGTTCGTGCAAAGCCTTATTTTATTTACTTGGGATTATTTTGCTTTACTGTTGTGGACTATATTGCTGTTGTACTCTGTGTAGGAATGCAGTATAAGCTTACTATATGTTTTCTTAAGTTGAACATTTATTAATCTTTTAGATATCACCTTTTGTTGGAACTCAGAGTTATGAATGGCCCTGGCCATACCTACACTTTCTGACTGAGATCTTCTCTACCCTAAATGTCAGAAATCCTAATAGTTAGGCTGGAATATCATCATCATTATTCAGACTGAAGAAGTTACAGAAGATGGATCTTCATCCCTCTACAACCCTAAGGATTAAGGGTTCCATTGTAAAAGGGCAGGGAAATATATTCAGAGGTGTTTTAACCAGAGCAACTCCATCTTGAACAGTGACTGGGTAAAATAAGTCTGAGACCTAATGGGCTGCATTACCAGTAAGTTAGGCATTCGAAGTCACAGGAAAAGATAGAGGTTGGAAAAAAGTACAAGTCATAAAGATTTCGCTGGTAAAACAGATTGTGGTTTTAAGCCAGGCAAAAGAAGCCAGCGAAAATCCACCCAAATTAAGATGGTGATGAAAGTGACCTCTGGTCGTCTATTGCTCATTATATGCCAATTATAATGCATTTGCATGCTAAAAGACACTCCCACCAGCACCATGACAGTTTACAAATGCCATGACAATGTCAGAAAGTTACGCTATATGGTCTAAAAAGGGAGGAACCCTCAGTTCTGGGAATTGCCCACCCCTTTCCTGGAAAACTCATGAATAATCCACCCCTTATTTAGCATATAATCAATAAATAACGGTAAGTATTCTTAGTCGAGCACCCTATGCCGCTTCCTTGCCTATGGAGTAGCCATTCTTTTGTTTCTTTACTTTCTCAATAAACTTACTTTCACTTTATGGACTCGCCGTATTTCTTTTTTGTGCGAGATCCAAGAACCCTCTCTTTGAATCTGGATCAGATCCCTTTCCAGTAACACTAGTGCCTGACAAATTAGCTATTGAAAAGTTGTTAATTTGGGATTTTTTTAAAGATAAATAATTAAAGCCATTTTTAAATGACTGGATATTGAATTGATTTTAAGTAATTAAAATTTTTAAAAAGGAATTAGCTGGAATGCTATAAAATAAGTCAGAGATGGTTATGTTTTAAAAAAAAATTTTAACAAATTAAAGTAAAGCAGACAGAGAAAAAAAGTGAGTAAGAAAGTTGTTTAAACGTCAGTGTACTTTAGTTTGTTGGGAATGAATGGTGCCTTTGCTGCTTTCTTCTTAGTAGCTTTCCTGCTATTCATTGAGGCCTGTGCTGAAGCTAAGACCCAGATACTTGAGATTGAAACCACTTTTGCAAAAAAACTGATGACAGTGAGAGAAATCTGACCTGACTCCATCTTGCTTCTTATCTCCAAGCCGTCCTTGTCCATTCCTGAGCATAGGCCAAGGTAACTATGGGAAGAATTTAAACATGGAGTTTGGAGTTGCTGAACTGAAGAAGCCTCAAGGTCTCTCTGACCTCATCCCTAACCCCCATCATCTCTCCAAAAGCACAGATGTTTATCTGCCTAAGATTTAGACCCACCAAGGAGAAAAATTGTTTTTTCTTCCTCTTCCTGTAAGACCAAAAATATAAACCACACCTGAATGGACCCTTTCACTAAATAGTATACAAGTTAATATCTATTCCCTGATCCACTTACTCTCCCTACTACTCCCCTCCACAAAATTCCACTTCTCATTGCTCCCGAAACCTGTTTTTCCAGGATGCTGTGTAAGCTTCTGAGCCACACTGAGGGGTGGTAATCATTCAGTGGATCTCCCCACATTTATGCAACCTCCCACTGGGTTCTTCTTGCCTGCTGCCCAGATGGAGATAATTTATCAAGGCAGGGGAATTGCAATAGAAAAAGTTTCATACATATAGACCTGGCTAAATGGGATACAGGAATTTTATTATTACTCAAATCCTCCTCCTCAAGAATTTGAAGGCAACGGTTTTTCAAAGATAGCTTGTGGCGGTGCGGGGGGTTGGTTAGGCAGTGGGTGCTTGTTGCTGACTGGTTGGGTTGCAATCATAGGGATGTGGGAAATGATCCTCATGCTTGCTGAGTCACCTCTGGATGGTGCCACAGGTGCAGTTGGTGGATCCAGGTGGAACCATTGTTCGTCAGATATGCAAAAAATCTGAAAAGACATCTCAAAAGGCCAATCTTAGGTTCTACAATGGTAATGTTTTCTGTAGAAGCAATTGGGGAAGTTGCATATTTTGCGACCTCCAGAGTAATGGCTGGTAACTGTTTATGTCTACACCATAGCCAAATTCAGTCTTCTCTTATCCTCCTATCCTTAGCCTAGTTGTCTCTCATTACCTTTACAAAGGCAGATGAGTTTTGAGGAAGGGCTGTTACCATTTAAACTATAAACTAAATGTCTCCCAAAGTTAACTGGGCCCAAGCCCTGGAATAACTAAGGACAGTTTGAAAAATAAAGGCAAGATAGGGGTTGGTTATATCTGATCTCTTTCACTGCGATAATTTTCTTGCTGTTACAGTTTTTGCAAAAGTGGTTCCATATACATATTAAATAAATTTGTATGCCTTTCCTCCAGTTAATCTGCCTTTTGAGAGTTGGTTTTTCAGTGCACCTTCAGGGGCAAGGGCCTTGGCCCCTACAATATCACACAATCTAATGGCAATAGATAATTCCTAAAAATGTTATAAGGGCTAAGGGAAAACTTCCCTTTCACCCTTTGAAAGTGTGCTGAAAATCAACTGAAAAAAAGGCAAATTGATAGAAAAGGCATACACTTTATTTTTTAACATGCACAGAAAGAAAAATGACATGATTACCTCAGCCCCCCAGTGGGGTACAGGAGTTTATATACCCTTTGTCCTAGAGTAGGGAGGATATAGGAATGTCAACAATTCTTTTGAAGGACAGTAAATGATGATTAAGGAGAATGGACAAGGGAGGCAGAAATTAACTTTTAAATGATTCTCTTTGGAATTTGAATGACCCAGAGGCAGGCATTATCTTGTGAAAAGGTTCATCTAAGTATGGTTGCATTCTTCAGTCTTCTTTTCTGCTGTAGATAATGAGAGTTCAGGGATGGCAGAGAAGGAAGTTGTGTTTCTTTTGGTAAGAAGCTTTCTTGGCCAGAAAAGGAAATTTCATAGAGATAGAGAGTTTCCCCTGTGCTCGAGGGGAGGAACAAGACAAGGTTAAAAGGACCTTGATTCTGAGGCTTATTTCTGAGGACTTTCAATTTTCAAAAGCATTCAACCTGTCTAAGCACCACATTTTGGAGAATTGTTTTCTGCACTACAACCATGTCTAAGACTTATATATGAATGAGAGTTTAATACTGGTAGTTCCTGGCCAAAGTTTTGCACTTGTAGGGATTGAAATCTAAGGAAATTTCAGGCAGATAAGTGTGTGAAGCTTTAGGCTACAGAAAGTTATGCTGTACTCACCTGATGGGTTCATCTTGCCTGCTTTTCAGAAAAGCCAGTGCACTGAGAACAGTGGTTTTCACAACAAAGAAAGATTTGAATAATCACAGGCACAGCTGAACAGAATGATGGGAGGAATTACTCAAATCAGCCTCCCCAAGAACTCAGAGGCTAGGGTTTTATGGATAGTTTGGTGGTCAGGGGTCTAGTGAATGGGTGCTATGATTGGTTGGGGATGAAATCATAGGGGTATGGAAAATGGTCATGTGTGCTGAGCAGCCACTAGGTGGAAAAAATAGGAATGGTTGAGGCTGAGCCATGACTCACAGGTCCAGGTGGGGTCAGTCACTTGGATGCAAATGTCTGAAAAACATCTCAAAAGACCAATCTTTGGTTCTGCAACAGGGATGTTACCTATAGGAGCAATTGGGAAAGTCACAAATTGACTTCTGGACACATGACTCTGGAGCAGTAAGGGATTATGGAAAAGCAAGCTATGGAACAATTGCTGATTATAATTTAACCATGCCTACATTTTAGCAGAATCAATGTCCCTCCATAATCCTAATCTCCTGGTCTTTCATTAGTTTTACAAAGGTGGTTAAGATATCTGACCAAGGTGAGGGTCAGTTTTAGGGTGGGACCATTATCATACTTGCTTCGAAGTTAAACTATAATATAAACTAAATTTCTCTCATTGTTAGTCGGGGTACAGCCAGGAATGAATGAGGACAGCCAACCTGTGAGGGTGGAAGCAGGATGGAATCAGCCATGCTAGACTTCTTTCTGTTGTAGTGTTTGCAAAGGCGGTTTCAATGTGATTTGAGTTGGCTTTTAGAATAGATGGGTAACTGGGAGTATCTTCAGTAAGGATTTAATGTGCTCCTGCCTTTTTGAGGACTCTTGTTCTCCCAGATTATTTAAAAGCAAAGCAAACCAGCAAAGGTAACAAACATACACAAAGCAAAGAAAAACACCTTAAAACCATAGCAATATTTGGGAGGCCGAGGCGGGTGGATCACCTGAGGTCAGGAGTTCGAGATCAGCCTGGCCAACATGGTGAAACCCTGTCTCTACTTAACATACAATAGAATTATCTCAGCGTAGTGGTGTATGTCTGTAATCCCAGCTACTCAGGATCCTGAGGCAAGAGAATCACTTGAACCTGGGAGGTGGAGGTTCCAGTGAGCCAAGATTTTGCAATTGTACTCCAGCCTGGACAACAGAGTGAGACTGTGTCTCAAAAAATAAAATAAAATAAAATAAAAATTAAGAAAAAAGAAAGAAAAAGCCATATCAACAAATAAATCTTACATTAAGCTCCTGTTATAACCTAGGGCATTTTCCAGAAAGACATTTAGTAGTTGAAAATGGCATAGATAATCTCTCCCTGTTTAAAATATGTACTGTAAAACTAAGGCTTTTTCATCTGAACTCATTTCCCTCAGGAACTCATCTTCTTCATACCTGGGAGAGGTTTTCGGCAGGACTAGAATGTCAATATCATTCTTTATTATACCTTTATTTTCTGTTCCACTGCTTTTTTTTTCTCTCCTCCAAATAGTTTATCTCCCTCTCATGATGTAGCTTTTAATGCTGCATTCAGTTTCCCAGTGTACTACCCCATTCTCCCTCATACTCTCTTGGCTAAGAATTAACTCAGTCGGGATCTGGTAGGACAGCTGCTTATTCTATTCCCAACATTCAGACACAGTCATCCTCTCTGCTCTAGGAGTTAAGCAGTACTTGTCTGGTTTCCATCATCCATAGCACCTTGACATGCCCTTTCAAATGCCTCTTTTTTTTCTCTCTCCTCCACCTGCAACTCATTAAGATAATTGACTTTTTTAATTTTTATTTTAGCTGTAACATAAATTTTACTCCTTAAAGAATGTGACTGCCTGACTGGTTTTAAATGATGTTAAGGTGAATGTAATGACAAGCACTCACAGTAGGAGAGGACATGGGGTGAATTGTGGGGGGTAGCAATTTCCATTTCAGTGAACAACATAGAATGGGCTTACCCTGAGGGAGTGACTTAGAATAGATACTCCCAAGCACCTCCTGAGAGATAGAGGTATGGGATACAGAAGAGAGAAGCAAAGAGAAGGTCATGGAATATCTGTTGTAGGGATGGAGAAAACTGCAATAACAAAAAGACCAACAATTGTATAAACGAGTGAAGGAAATACTAAGATTCTGGGGTCTTCACAACTAACTTTTGTGTCCTGGGTTTACTGCTTACTTGCTGTGTAATATTGAGCAAGGTCAGGGACTGTAGCTCAGGTTTTGGTGGGGACAGATGGTGGATGGGATGGAGGGTATAGGAGGTGAGTTTGTAGATCATGTGGAGGAACTCTGTAAGTTAAAATAGAATTTCGATTTTGTTAACCACAAAATAATCACTTTGTTAGAGGTACAGAGTATGTATATGATGAGTCAGAAAGGAATTAGAAAACAAATTAGTAGGTTAGTTAATTATAATCAGCAATTGGTTAAATTATAAGCAGCAATTTTTCCGTAGCTCGCTTTTCCGTAATCTGCTCCAGAGTAACAACCTAGGGGCCATAAGTAAGACAATAGCAGTGGTAGTAGCAGATATAGATAGATAGATAGATCGATAGATAGATAATAGATAGATAGAATTACATGTATATATAACTATATATGTAACTACATATATGTATGTATAACTATATATGTAACTGCATATATAGTTATATATGTTATATATAGTTACATATGTATTATACATAGGTCTATAATTATATATAGTTATATATTATATATACACTTAAATATATTTTATATGTAATTACATACAATTATATATATAATACATGTATATAAATATTGTTAAATGAAGTTTAGCTTAAAGCTGCCTCTTTACATATTTTAAAGATTCTTTATACATAGTGAACTGTACTCTAGCTGGATGTGTAGAACAGACTGCAACCTACTCTTGTGCCAATCACCAAGTTTTGGTCAGGCAGCCAACTGTTCAAACTAGGTTCACATGAGGCAAACTCTGAGCTGTAATGAATCTGGCTGTTTCTACACCTCATTTCTATTTTCCATACTCACTCTCTTTTTTTAACCATCCATACATCTTCCTCCACCACATGGCTATGCTGCAGCCTCTCTGAGCCTAATCTGGTTTGGGAGGATGTCCAATTTGCAAATCATTCTTTAGTCAATTCAACTCCTAAGTTCAATGTTTCAAATCTATGTATATTTGTCTAATGCAATATATATATATATATATATATATATATATATACACACACACACATATATATATACACACACATATATATATACACACACATATATATACACACACATATATGTATATATGGTGGTAATAGATATAGAAACTAATAAGAAATATCAATTATATGGATGTTGAGGTCAAGGGTGACTCTTTGTTTTCTGCTTTCGCAATTGGCATAACATCAGAACATCATAACATCAGGAAAAGATTTTATGGAGGAAAATGAGGAATACTCTTAAGGTTATTTGACAGAGAAGGCTTGTGTATTACACATGTGGAAGTGATATGCAGATGGTCATATTTGGATCTGGAATTCAACTGCATACTTTGATTGGAGGTCATCCCTTGTGCAAAACTATAGCACTGCCTTTAGATATGGACTATGAAAGCTTCAGGTGAGATTCAAGAGAGGTAAAGAGAACAATGTTGATGATCATGATGGCTATATTTCAATGGTGCACTTTACCATGTAATTTTTAATATAAATTTATTTTATCCTACACAATGGATAAGCTATACATGATAAATATCACATCCATTTTTTAAGTGAAACAATAAGTTCTGAAGGTTATATATTTTCACATTATGCTGGACCTAAGGGAACTTCCCCTCCACTGTAGTCAGGTCCAATTTCATACTGCTCACTGCAAGACAGCCAATTAGTCAAGAGACATGATGTTGGGGTAAGGAAGGAGACTATTTTGGAAAGCCAGCACATTGAGAAGATAGCAGACTAAGGTCCTAAATAAGCTCTTAAAAGGTATGAATCTCTAGCTTCTTTTTATATTGGGGAAGGGACAACAAGGAGGTGGTTGGGGTCAAGAGATGACTGGTGGCCACAGATAGTTGGGCATTAGCAGCGTTCAGAAAAGGTTGCAAAACATGTTTGTTCAGAGTCAACTGTTTTTCAGATGACTAAACCAGACCATCTTGTTTCTATACATCTTTAGCATAATATTATTACTTCTTTGTATACTTCCTTATCTCCTCAGGGCCATTTTGAAAGAGAAATAGTCATGAGTTCTAAAGTTAAACTATCATCTAAGCTATTTTTGTGATTTAGCTTAGCTTACATACAGGAAGGGGCAAAGGCAGTTAGCTTGTGAGGTTAGAAGCAAGATAGGGTCAGCCAGGTTAGATTTTTCTCACTGTTATATTGCCCTTGGAAGGTTGCTGAAAAATCAACTCATAATAAGGCAGATGAATATGAGAAAAGGCAAATTTATTAGATCATAGTTTTAAATGACATAAGAGCCTTCAGAATGAACACCCAACACCCCAGTGGAGTGCAGAAACTTATATACCATGTTGACATAACAGAAAGAAAGGAAGCTTGGATCCTTGCAAAACACATTATGGGAAGAGGGAGAAGAAGAATTCTCTTGAGGGTCAAACATAATTACTAGGTAGAATTTAATGGGCTTGATGAACTTACAGTCATCTAGGGCAAAAAATGGTGAGTTCTTAGAGTGGACAATGATTTGTGGACACAATTCTATCCAGGTTTGTTGACAGACTTTAGTCTTCCTTCTTCAATATGGGTTCATTTCATGAAGACTCTGGGAAGGGACTGGAGATAATTGTTTTTCTCTTTGACAGGTCTAGAATGTATGCAAACAAGGAAGCTTCAGAGTATCCTATGCTATGGGAGAAGTGATAGGGGAGGAGGTCAGAGAGACCTGAGGCTTCTATATAAGTGCAGCATGTACAAAGCACTACATTTTGCGGTATCAGTTTCTGAACCCCCAAAATTGAAATACACCATAAAGTAATAGACTCAGTGCCTTTCTGCTATCCTTGTCCTGAGTGCCTAACAATGAAGGGTAGCCGAAAACTAACATCAGATGTAAGAACATCTGCAAAGCTGGAACATTCTGATGCTGCAAATTCCAGTTCTACTCCTCTGTTCCCACCCATATGTGAAACCCTCTGGCTTTGAGCTCTCTTTAATTTGAACTCCTATGTCTCCATTAAAGAGATAATTGTATTACCCTATCTTGTGAATATTTGTTTTCATACCCTTAGCAAAAAAATATTACCAAGAACTTGGTTTTGGGCTGAACCCACTTCAGCGATCTCATCCAGCTTCCTGAGCAAGGGGTAGAAAACTCTAGTGCTAGAAAGCCGAGAGTATCGTATGTACTACATGGGAATTAAAAACGTTGATCTTATCGAGGTAAAGAGTAGAATGATTGTTACCAGTGGCTGGGAAGACTAGGGGGGAGGATAGTAAATAGAGACTGGTTAATATGCTCAAAAATACCTTTAGATAGAAGAAATAACTTTAGTGTTTAATAGCACAATAGGGTGACTACAGTTAACAATAATTTATTGTACATTTCAACATAGAAGATTTGAAATATTCTCAACACAAAGAAATGATAAATGTTTGAAGTTACAGGTGTTCTAAATATCCTGATCTGATCATTATACATAGTATGCATGTATCAAAATATCATGTGCACCTTATAAATATGTACAATTATATGTATCAATTTTTTAAATTACCAAATTATTATGGATCATTTTATTATGTATCAATTTTAGCTAAAAAAATCTTGAAAACTTTAGCACTTTCAGGGAATATGTGTGTTGAATTTTTAAAAAGAGAGAAAAAAGTGAAACATTAAAGAAAAGAAAACCCTAATAGTTTGTTTCTCAAAATTCCACTTTTTTCAAAATGCTTTATTATAAACTGTGAAGAGATTCTAATTACAGGAGTGATTGGTTCTTTTACCCAGGAGAGCCAATGATGTTGCTTTTCAAGAGATAAAAATTGGGGTCAAGAAAAAGAAGTCAGGCCCATAACGTGGAAGTTCAGTGATGGCAGATCACCATATTTTCTTTCTTGTGGACAGGAGGAATAAAAGCAGCCTCTCAGACCATGTCTTCTGGCCATCTGATTGGTCCAGCCTAAGTTGAATGTTTATTCATTGACCAATCAACTGTGACTACTGTGAAAAGAGTTATGTTGAACAAACTTGCTGACCTGGTGCTTCACCAATCTAACAAAGCGAGTGGGAGAGAGAAGTTGTATTTTTGGGAATTCAGTGCATGGGTAGGTAGGTGTATTTAATGTAACCTATTTGTGTTCATTACAAAGACAAAATCTTTCAATATTATAGTAGGTATCTATGTCAAGAAGAAAAATAGGTTAGTATGACAAAATTGAATTTTATGAGCATTATTTCCTAAAAACTGGTGACTTTTTAAATCACACAAAACGCTCCAATTAAAAAATATATATTATAAAGTACCTATGATGTTCTAGAAATTTAGCCCAGTACCTCTCTCTGTTAAAATATGTGAGAACCCAAGGTGATAAAAATATTAATAAGAACCAACACTCACCAAAGTCCTACAGCTAGGAATAAGGAGAAGGAAATGGAGAGTAATAGAAATAGCTATCAGAACTCTTTTCTAGTTTACATTTATTCTAGTCCTAAAATGTATTCCAATTAGGTTAGCAGATTGATGCTGGAAATGACAAGGAGGCAGAGAAAGTACATTTTTGAGCAGTCATAGATATCTGTGGTTCTTTATTACACATGTTCCCCTGAATTCCATACCAAACTTGCCAGTATTTCAAATTAGAGCTTCACCTACATTTCTCCTAGAAAATATTGCTATAAACAGCTTTCAAGATTGTTTGGCATTATGCTTCTTGTAGTACGTGAGTCACTATATGAATTTTCTAAGCCCAGTCTGAGAACTAAACCTGATCTACATAATTTTTTCCTGTGGGAAAATGAGTTCAGAGTGTCAAATGTAGAGCCTGTCTTACAGTTGGGAAACCCTTAGCAGACCTTAGTGCCTGGAACTACATTTATATCTGGTACTCGGGGACGATTCTCAGCCCTCGTGGAAGAGGTATCCAAAACTCATGAGCCGTCAGCGGTAGCATATGGACAATGGAGATGAATGAAATGTTTGAAATCAGTTGACTGTTGCCCAGTTTTCCTCCTCATGGTTCCATAATGAGTCATTAAGTTCTGGGCACTGAGGCTGCAGGTGATTCATTAAAAAAAATAAAAATAAAATAACACTTTGTTAATCTTTCCCATTTCTAAACCTCTGAAATATTAATGCCTCAACTCTGAATCTGTCACTTACCATGCAGTAAACTGTAGGAATCTGTGCACAAGTCTCTTCAATCAGCTGTAGACTTCTAAAAGGTAGGACATGATTTTGGACTTGGATTCCTCACCCATGGAGCCCAGCTCCTTGCCTAGCATGTGCTCAGGGAGTACGTGCAGCCTGGATAAACATACTGGCCTGGAAGTTGCTACATTTTCTGGAGTATTTTATTTGATTATTCAGCTACTCCAGTGGTGATTTTCAAATTCCTCAACTTCTGAAATGGCATGCCTGACACACCAACTGGTTAGTGAAAGCTACTATCGCTGTGAATCAACCAATAGATGAGAACATTTTGTAGTTGGAGAGACACAGATAAGTTAGTTTCATGCTATGAAAGACTCTACACTTTCTGTTTTTTTGTAATGGCCAAGAACGGTTCCATACAGCAATATGTATTCAGAGGAGCCAAAGGACACTAGACTTCCCAGGAAGACAGGGGAAGATATTTAGGGTAGAGGACAGATTATTAGAAAAAACACAATGGCAGAAATGGTACGAATGAGACTTAAGAAACCAAAGGTTGGTCTACTTGTTTTTGTATTCTTTAACATCAAAATGAAGTTGGTATAAGCTAACAGCATTGTCATTGGCTTCAGATTCTTGATCAGCAGATTAATTGCAGTGGGAGCTTTTAGAAATGGGCAGTAGAAGAGCTATCATCCTCTTTATTCTCATGTTCAGGTGGAGTTTCCCCCTTTATATAAGGCCAAAAATCACAGCAGCAAAAACAGAAAAAGGAGATTTGCAACTTTTCCTCAGCTTCTGCAATAACATAATATTGTGTTTTCATGATTAAGCATGTTAATTTTAATCTGTGACAGTTGTATATAAGTGCTTCAGATATGACTACCCATTGTATGACTTCAAATATGACTACCATTTGTATGACAGTTCCATATTCAGTACACACTAAACAATGCAAAATTAGTGAACCATTTTTAATAGTAGTTTTATACAACTAGGCACAGATATTTATAACGGTATATAATTTTACTCAACAGATATAAAATATTCTCAATCAGTGAAAAAAAAGACCTTTTCTCAAAGGAGATTAGCATTCCTGGGTGTGAAGGGGTTATGGTAGTGAGGTTAGTGTCAACTAACATATTCAATATGCTGCTATGATCTCATAGTTAGAAAGTAAATATATATTGTTTTCATAATATAAACTGTAGAAATTTGGTCCCTCAAAATCTCCTTGATTGGAGAAACAAAGGATAAAAATGGCTGGAAATTATTAAAATCCACTATAAGTTTCTTGTAGGAAGAAAATATGTCTCCTGGTATTTTTATCTCTCTGCTTTGCTTTTCTTCCTGGCACTTAAGAGGCTCATGGTCCTTGCTGTCGAAACTCTAAGGTTGTGACTTATTAAATGTGAGCTCTCTCTTACATTATCCTCATGAATAGGCAATATTTAGGGGGTAGTCCTCAAGATGTTTACATTCTAGTGGAGAAGACAGTTCAATAAACAAACAGTTAAAATGTAGTATGTTAAGGTTTAAGCCTAGGGTGTTGTGGGAGTGGATTAGAACATCCAGTCCATACTGGAGTTAAACAGAAAAACAAGCAAACAAGCAAACAAAGAAAAACACCTGATAAAATATTTGTATAAATACTGTAGAATAATTACCTTAGCAAACCTTGATCAGTAAAGACCACCTATTCTCAGAGATCCTCTTACAAAGAGAATATTCTGTATTTTCCTTGTTCCTCATTCATTGTGAAAAGGAAAAAATGAAACACTCTTCAATCTACACATTAGCTTCTGTGGGAGTTATTGCTGTACATTTGGGAAAATAACTTATGGATAAGATGTTTTGAAGTGTTTAATTAGAAATATCTTCCTTTCTGCCTTCATGACATAGAATGTGGAGGCATTATTCAGAACCCTTTCAAAAAATATTTCTAAATCAAATTACTTTTAATGTAGTGAGATGTTTGTTCACATGAATAAATATTTTTTTCAATTGAGATGTATGAAACCAATTAGGTCTCTATTTATCTCTGCTTGGCAACTGGGTACTGACTTCTCAGCATGAGGCTGAGAACGGCAGTACGTGTTGCAGGCGGCTCTATGTGCAATGAGGAGGCCGAGTGCCTCAGTCTCTTCCTGCCCTCAACAGTGTAACTGACAATCCCAGGAGTTAGTGAACCGCATTAAGCCTGAAAGCAATAATGCTTTATCAGAAGGTGGATTTCCAAAAATAAGTTGTTTTCTTTCCTTTAATCATGTAAGCTCACTGATTAAGTAGGATAATAGAGCATAGTAATTAAGTTTGTCCTGGACTCAGAAGGCATGGCTTCTAAGTCTCGTTTTTACCAACAATGGGACTGCATTCATGTTACCTGACTTCTTTGTGGCATCATCTCCTCCTCTGGGGAATGCTAGTCATGACTGTACCTCATGCATGAGTTGCGAAAAGGATTGAATCATGGGTGATCGGTGATGGGAGGAAGAATACTAGGAAATGCTGCTTTGCATGTTTTCCATGAGATCTCTGTGCAGGCCAATAGCTGTACAACGAAGATAATAACATTGCTTATTTTGAAAGGGTTGGGAAAATCAAATAAGTTAATACAAACAAAGAGTTTAGAGCAATACTTAATATATTATAGGCATGGGTTAGTGTTTAGAAACATGCACATGTTAGACTATGACACTTATAGTTCTTGAATTATTAGTATGGGATATTCACTTTATATTATCTTCCTTTAATTTTATTTTCATAATGACCTTATAAAGTATTATTATTCCCTTCATAGATGTCAAAACTGAGACTCAAGCTCAGTGGAGATCAGTTACACTGCATTACTTACTTAAGTGGCCAAGACGGAATTTACTTAAAGTTGATTGACATCTGAGGTTGTGCTTTATTTTGAACACTGACTGGAATAATTCCAGAAAATTCTATTTTTTATAATAAAAACGTGAAGCTCTTAACCACAGCTGGAAAACCATTCTTTCAAGTTAAAGAAGTCGAATCAAGAACCTCTTTCACTTAAATATGATGTAGCCAATATGCAAATGAGCCGGCACTGAAGGTTCTACTAATGACAGTGAGTTCAAGTGGGTGCCCCATAGCACAAAGGGGCACCAGGCTTCAATCAGCTCTTAGCCACAGGGAGATGGACAGCTGTGGGCCTGAGTGTTTTCCTAGAATAATTCACTTTCTCTAAGAATCCAGGGACTTCTCCTAGATATTTTAATCATCTCTATTTGCTCTGAAAGGCCTGTGTGCATGTGTGAGAAAATGTGTTTGGTTTTCATGCAGTGCCATTTGTAAAGAGGACCTTGAGGCTGAGCCATGATGGCTGCATTTAGTAAATAATGAATAATGAATGGAGGGAAATATTGAAAGAAAAAAAATCTGTGAATTTGCACAGCCCCAATGAAATTAAATGGAACAAGTCTCTATCAATTTAAGCAAACTTATCATACAGAATTTAATACTTATGAAATTGATAAACTAATAATAAAAAGATAAAAGCTACCATATATTAATTTCCTACTCTGAGCATGTTACCTTCCATACATTATCTTACGTATCTTTTACACCAATCACTTGGGGCAGATAATTCTTTCATTTTGCAGATGTCAAAGCAGAAAATTAGAGAGATTAAGTAATTAAGCAAGGCTACACAGCAAGTAATAGTAACAATAAATGCCATTTATTGAGCCATTAGCATATGTTAGACACTGTTTCAAGTGGATATCAGGTATTTATTCATCATTAATTTATTTAATAAATATTTATATCATGCCTACCGTGCACCAGGCACTGCTCTGAGCTCTAGGCATACAGCAGGGTACAAAACAGCATGCTGTCACACAGCTCATGTTTTAGCTGAGTAACAGACAGTAAACAAATGGGTCCATTTTATGTTACAGCTTTTTTTGTTGTTGTTTGTTTGTTTGTTTTTTGAGACAGTCTCGCTCTTGTCACCCAGGCTGGAGTGCAGTGGAGCTATCTCAGCTCGCTGCAACCTCCACCTCCTGGGATCAAGCGATTCTCCTGCCTCCGCCTCCCGAATAGCTGGGACTACAGGCACCCACTACCATGCCCAGCTAATTTTTGTATTTTTAGTAGAGATGGGGTTTCACCATATGGATCAGGCTGGTCTCAAACTCCTGACCTCAGGTGATCCACCCACCTCGGCCTCCCAAAGTGCTGGGATTACAGATGTGACCCACTGCACCTGGACTATGTTATAATATTGCAATATATAAATGCTATGCAGAGTAATACATCAGGGGAGGGCAACAGAGACGGCTGAAGTGTGTGCAATTTAAAATAGGATGGAGGGCATTTTGGGGAAGCAAGTGAGGAAATGAATTTCAACACCCAAGATGAAGCACTGATGGGTTACATCTGTGCAAATCTAGTTACCTGTCATTGCAGCAGGGACCAGAATGAAAACTGAGGTCAAGAGCATGAACAGTGTACTCAGGGAATGTCAGACTTAGGGGCTTACACAGAACTTGGCTGTCATGTTCCTTTCCCCACTCACTACTATAGTGTAGTTGTTAAGAATGCATTCTTTAGAAACAGTCCTCCTTGGTTCCAATAGTATCTCTAGAGGAGTGCCTGAAAGCAAACTATTTAAACTCATTGAAAGTTTCCTTAGCTGTGAGTCGAAGAAAGTGATAAATTATGCCTAAAATGAACTGAATGATTATGTCTCCCCCCAATTCATATGTTGAAATGCTAACCCCCATGGTGATGGTGTTGGGTAGTGGGCCATTTGGGAGGTAATTATGTTATGAGGGCAGAGGCTTCATGAATGAGATTAGTGTCTTAGGTCTCTCTCCCTTTCTACCACGTGAGGATACAGCAGAAAGGTATCATCTTTGAGCCAGAAATCAGGTCCTCACCAGACACCAAATCTGCTCTGATCTTTTACTTCTCAGCTTGCAAAATTGTGACAAATAAATTTTGTCTTGTTTAAAAATCACCAGTTTATGACATTTTGTCCAACAATAGCAGTTGAAATGGACTAAGACAATGTCCCATAAAGTGCTGGTAGGATTAGTAAGTTCTTTGATCTCACTTCCTACCACTGTCTTTATCACGGACTCTTCTGAATGCATGCTGCCCCCATATCCCGTGCTCCTATCCAATTCTGTCACGCATACCCTTGTTTAAATGCTTTGCTCTTAAACTTCGCTTTACCTACATCACTCTTACCCCAGATATTATTATTGCTTCTCCAGTTTTCTTTTTCATGTCTTTGCCCTAATGTTATCTCCTTAGAGTCTCTATAAGGACCTTACAAAAGTGTGTGCCTTGACTGGGCACGATGGCTTATGCCTGTAATCCCAGCACTTTGGGAGGCCAAGGCGGGTAGATCACAATGTCAGGAGTTTGAGACCAGCCTGACCAATCTACTACTAAAAATACAAAAATTAGCTGAGTGTGGTGGCGTGTGCCTGTAATCCCAGCTACTCAGCAAGCTGAGGCGGGAGAATCGCTTGAACCAGGGAGGCGGAGGTTGCAGTGGAGATCGCGCCACTGCACTCCAGCCTGGGAAACATAGTGAGACTCTGTCTCAAAAAAATATATATATAATAATAATGTGTGCCTTGCCAGGTGACGCTTGTCCTAACTGGAGGTCTTCCTTCACCTTCATCATTGTCTTTAGTCTGGTTAGGAGGTCAAGTCTCAGCACAGCACAAACATGCAGTCCAATATCTGGAAGGAAATAAATTCAAACAGAGAAAGAAGAAAAACAACCAGCATCTACATAATAAGACACCAGTAGGAATTAGGGGAGGAGGACTGGGAATGGATATTGAGAAGGTTGGAGCTGGAGGGGCAAGGCTGGAGTATAAATTTGGATAGAAAAGAATTTAATAACCTGGGAGCAATGGCCTATGCCTGAAGTTTAACATCTGAAGAGGTCAGCCAGAAGGAGCTTCAATGTACTGTGGGGGTAGAGCTTCAAAGCTCGAGCATAAGAATGATTAACAGTAAATACCATAGAGATGGCAGGGCTGCAGTGTCAGAGCATTGAAGTAAGGGCCAGGAGGTTTAGGGAAGCAGAAGTGGAAATGTGGTAATTGATTTATTCTGTAAAACCAAAACAACAACAACAAAAGTCTTCATTATGTTTCCCAGGCAGGCTGATGGGGCACACCTTTAATATTGATGCAGGCCCTCCTCTGGAGGCTAAAGCTCACAACAGGAGATGCTGCCATAGATCTGAGCTCCCTAGAATAAATGCAGATAATGAGCAGATGGTATCAGTGCAGAAGATGAGATTCTGGAAGGGCAGAGGCCAGGTGATGGCATTGAACTGTCAGGGGCAAGGTGTAATTACGAAAATGTAGGAAAGCTAGAGTGACAAGGAGGGTGGCTTTGTACCCTGACATCTGTGGTGAGGGCTAACAGGTTATGGCATTCAATGAGGCACGATAGGTCAATGCCTGGTTGTGGTGTTATTTCACTTGTATGACAAAAGAAAAAGAAACAAAGACACACAGAGAGAGATAGAAAAGAAAGAAAAAGAAAGAGAAGGAGAGGAAAAAAGGAAAAGAAGGATGGAAGGAAGGAAGGAAAGAAGGAAAGAAGGAAGAGAGGGAGGGAGGCAGGGAGGGAAGGGAAGGATGAAAGAAGTGAAGAAAGGAAGAGCGTAAACTGCTGCCCAGGAGGCAGATGACAGCCTGCACAGAAAACTGTGGCTCCCAATGTAAGACAGTTCATAGGCCTGGAACTCACTGAGGGAGACAGCATAAGGGAGAATTCTGCAATGCCACCACAAGTACTAATGCTAAATGTTCCCCAGGTCCTTCCCCACAAAAAACCATGATCACAAATATGACTAAAATTGCACAGGAGACAAAAGGAACTCAGGTTTTTAAAATAGTTGTTGGCTTTGAGTTCTGATGTAACACTGGTACCAGAAAAACCGAAATGCTATCAGAGTCTTCCAACTCTAAAGGCCCTATTGAGACCAGTTATGATTGGAGTTCTTGGCCAAGCCATCTCTCAATGGATTAAGTCTTTCTGCAGATTGCCCCGGTTATCGTTTCCCTAGTCTTCAAGTGTATAATTAGGATAAATATATTTGATAGCTGGCAGAATCCTCATTTTGGTTCCATGACTTGTGGAATCAGAGGTATGTTGATAGTAAGGAGGAAGTGAAGTCCCTGACATGACCCTGTGTCCCGCTTTCCCCCTTCAGCAAAGGTAGTAGTAAATCAGGAGTTATAAATGCACCTATAGGAATTGTAGAGATTAAGCCACCATTAAAGATGCAAAGTTCTAAAGGATGCTGCCATATGTTGCCATTATAATCACATTCAAGGAGTTTGCCTGACCCCTGAAAATAAAAGTGGCTCTTGAAAAATGTTCACTGGCCTACTGTAAACTTTGTACAGCATGATGCCACAATCGTGGCAATCCTTTGGCAAAGTTTACAGTAGGCTACATATCAAAGCCTCTGGCATTCAGTATGTGGCTATGAATCTGGTGAATATACTCTCTTCAAAACACATAAGTAAGAAGGAACAAAAAAAGCTGCAATCAATGCGGGAAAAACTGCTATGTTAACTGTCCCCAGGCATAGTTAATATGTTTGCTTTCTGTTACAATATAGAAAGGGACCTTGATCATTGCTATGGACTGAATGCTGTGTCCTCCTAAAATTCATGTGTTGAAACCTACTCCCCAATAAAAAGATATTAGAAAATGAGGCCTTTGGGCTCTGCCCTCATGAATAGAATTAGTGTCCTTATAAAAGAGGCCACAGAAGGACCTGCCACCCCTTTCACTATGTGAGAATACAGTGAGAAGTTGGCCGTCTATCAACCCAGAAGCCGACTGACATCAGAAACCAAATCTATCGGCACCTTGATTGTGGATGTCCCAGCCTCTAGAACTAAAAAAAATACTCTTTTGTTGTTTATAAAACACCCAGTCTATAATATTTTTGTTATAGCAGCCTGAAGGACTAAGTCAGCTTTATTATCTCTAGAACTTTTGGCTAATCCACTATACTGATGACATAATGTGAAGAAGGTCTTATTTGTAGGGTAGCAAGTAGACTATAAATATTCTAGTAAAACACATATGTGACAGGAGACAAGAGATAAACTCAACAAGCATTTAGGGGTCTGAATATAATTTGATTCTCATGGACCCGATAGTTTGGAACATGCTGGTACCTTGTGTCTGAGGTAAAAGACAAGTGGTTGCTTCTCATACCTGCTATTATCAAGCATGAGGTGTAGCAATGGATGTGGCTCTTTGGTTTTGCTGTCAGCCTATTCTGTACTTGGAATAATGCTCCATATTATTTGTCTGGTGATTTGAAAGGCTGATAGTTTTGAGTAGGATCTAGAAAATGAGAGAATCTTCAGCAGGTCCAGGTATGGTGGACATCACTACAGTCATAGGACCTTATAGACACAATGGAGCTATGGCATATGTAATAGATAAGGCTGCCATATAAAGTTGGCAAGCTCCAATACAAGAGTTGCAGAGCTTAACTCTAGGGTTGTAAAGAAAGACTATGTCTATGGTGGCAGAAGATGACTGAATGTTTTAAAAGCAGATGTTGGCTGGGCGCGGTGGCCCACACCTGTAATCTCAGCACTTTGGGAGGCCAAGGCAGGTGGATCACCTGAGGTCAGGAGTTAGTGACTACCCTGGCCAGCATGGCGAAACCCCATCTCTACTAAAAATACAAAAAAAGAAAAAAAAAATTAGCCGGGCGTGATGCCACGCGCCTGTAGTCCCAGGTACTCGGGAGGCTGAGGCAGGAGAATCACTTGAACACAGGAGGCGGAGGTTGCAGTGAGCCAAGATTATACCACTGTACTCCAGCCTGGACACAGCAAGACTCCATCAAAATAAAATAAAATAAAATAAAATAAAATAAAATAAAATAAGATAAGATAAGATAAGATAAGATAAGATGAGATAAGATAAGATAAGATGAAATAAAATAAAAAATAAAGCAGCTGCTATTATGGCAAGTGCTGTCCTGGAGAGAGCTCTTGCCCTAGGAATATCTGGTGATGATGCAACTGGAGCTATTGAAGTCTTAAGTGAGAAATGATATATTAAACTCTCAGATAAGGTGCCTGCTCAAGGACAGGTAGCATTGAGGAGCCACCTTCTAAAGGTATGGGCTGAATAAGCAGTTAATATACTAGGTCATGTTCCTAAGAGCTAGAGTCTATGAAACCAAAGGTACAAGTAACATGCTCGTTTCACCATCATTCACAATGATGTGCTTATAAAATTTATTTTCACTTTCCCCACAAACCTAGCCTCTGATGTAATGAAAATGCTTGTTTTGGGGGCAGAGGTAGAAAAACCTTTTCATCAGTTTGCAGGGAAAAATTAACCCTCATTGCAGAGCTGCTGCTTCATAATATGGACAGTGACAAGTGTATCTCACAATCTGTGAATTCACTAGAGTGACTCTTGATGCTTCTATACAGGTAGTGAGGGTGAAGGGGCCATGATAGCAATCCTGACCAAATAGCACAAGGCAGCTGAGGACATAAAGTACTTAAGGATAAAAGTCTGGATCATTCTACCAGGAAAGCAAATTAGTTTAGCCAAAGTACGGAATTTTATAATTTGGGGTGGAAAAGGAAAATAATAAAAAATCAATTATTGCTTCAAGTATAGCTGCAATAGTAAGGATTCTAGCTTATTTCATTAATCCTTTGTATGAAACCTTTGCAGAAGTTGTAGTTGGCCAACGAATTGAAGGAAATTCTGTGACAGGGTGGACGTAATATAAGGCAAAAATAGGACAGAGAAGAGCAAGGAGTGGGCTGCCTTGCTGCCTTTGTGCACTGTGTCATATCCTCCGAAGCCCACCTCGTATTCTAACCACTGCTGGGCTGACTAGTTCTGCATAGGTGTTAATCAGTTCACGCAAGTGCAACCTGCTGGTGATTTGCCTTGGAACACTTCTGCCCTAGGGTTTCTTTCACTTTGCGACGTGCCATATCCACAGGAACCTGCTTATCACTCATCATGTGCATCCAAAAATAGAAGTTCACGGTCATGTGGTCACTTTGACCAACTGGGGGAAGAAGTCAATGGATGAATGCTCTTCCCTTAGCCCCCCAGGCAGCTAGTTACTTGTCAGGAAAGCCTGTGATGATGGACAACTGACTAATGAATGATTTGGCTTTCTCTCCTTTCTTGTCCACCCCCCAACCCTGCTACCTGTAATGACATAAAAATGTGTTTTTTAAACAATTCAAATATTTTATGATAAAGATAACTTCAATTTCAGGGTTGGAAGTAGGTAAAGGCAGCTAAAAAATTGATACTCCATGCCATAATTAAGCAACCTAATCCAAATATCAATCTCACCACTGATTTTTCAACAAGCTCTCCGTTCTGCCTGATCATCTCTAATTGGAACCAGAACCCTGTTCACCCAGATGCAAATTACTGTTTTCCTCTTGACTTCATGATAGCCAGGAAGAAACATGATTTTATTTATTATTATTATCATCATCATGTTTTTTTGAGACAGGGTCTTGCTATGTCACCCAGGCTGGAGTGCAATAGATCTCAGCTCACTACAACCTCCACCTCCCAGGCTCAAGTGATCCTCCCACTTCAGCCTCCCAAGTAGCTGGGACTGCAGGTGCATGCCACCATGCTTGGCTAATTTTTTGTATTTTTGGTAGAGACAGGGTTTTGCCATGTTGCCCAGGCTGGTCTCAAACTCCTGGCCTCAGGTGAATCTCTCGCTTTGGCCTCCCAAAGGGCTGGGATTACAAGAGTGAGCCACTGTGCTCAGCCAATTTTATTTTTAAAGAGAACAGGATAATATGAAAAGCATCAGCTCTTGGAATCAGGAGACTTGAGTCCCAGCTATGGTTCTGTTACTATTAAGATAAAGTCCTTGGATAAATCACTTAACCTCTCAGATCCTCCTCCTTCTCCCTACTACAGTGAAGTCCTTGGGCTCCTCTTCAAGGTAACTTAAGAGGCAAATATTTGTGGGAAAAGAATTTTCCTATATGAACCCGTCTATAAAAAATTGGGAGTGGGCCAAAAGGAAAAACAAATCATTATCAAAGTGATGTTATTTTTTCGCATGCATACCAATGATGAAAAAGAGGTTAGTGCATTTTTCAAACACCTCTAGTTTTTATGGTGTTATTGTCAATGTCATAAACAATTGTGTGACTCTGACCTACATGCCCTGTGGGGAAGAGACTCTGAAAGTTGTTCATTATTTTGAGATCTGCTCACTGCTCCACTCATTTTATGAGATTATCTGCATTTGGGCCTAGCCACATCTTTTTCCAACTAAGTAATCCACTTTAATTTTTTTATTTTAATTACACTTTTTCTCTTTGAATATACTCTAAAAGTTCTGAGTTAGAAGACGCAGGTGTGAGTACTCCCCAACCCCTGCCCAGATACTTGATTTTAGGCAAGCCAAGTGCTTAAGCATCAGTTCATCGCATCTTTCCTTTCCTCTCTTTTACTCACTTTCTTTTCTTCCTTATTCCTTTTCTTTCATCTCTTCCTCTTTCTTCTCCTTACATATCTGCTTAGAAGATGAAGATCTAATTAAATATTGTGTACACAACCTGGGATAGGGGAGTGAGGACCTCCCTAAATCTACTCCTTCACAAAAGTAACAAAAACACTACAAAAATTTGTCAAAATCAAGTTCTTCAGAACTCTGTAAATTAACCAAAAGTTTACAATATTTTGAAAAGTGTTTATATTCAAGAAAAAAATGTTGAACCTTGGCAAGAATAATGAGCTGTTTGCCTTTTCACTTTTCCCTATTCCCATCCCCCCATCCAACTCAGGAGCAACTTTGAAAATCAGCAGCCTTTTAGCCATTGGAGAGGAAAGAACAGTTTGGGACACTGAATTTAGTTCTCTTTTCTTAATGTATAAAGCACTTTTATGTGCATTTATCCTCTATGGCATCTCAAAGAACCAGTTTTGCAGTAGTTGTGATAACAAATCTAACACTCTAGCAGGAGGTAGGCTGAGTAGAAAGCCTCTCTGCTATGAATTTGAAAAATGTTCTCAAACAATTTAAAGATGCCCACAAACACATTTGGGAGACAAAAATCATTAAGGGCTTTCTCAAAGAGTGAAAATCTTAGGCAAGGTTGGCCATCTTGCTTGCTTGGATGTATAGAGAAATTCATAGAAGAGGAAATTCGGGAAGTGGTGTTGGGGGACTAACAGTCTAATTGGATTTATGATCCCCTGAAGGTTTCTTATTTTTAAATTTTATACTTTTCAGGTTTTGTTACATTAGGTAGCTAGTCAGGTATGAGCAGGGGAGGAGAGGGTTCTCTGCCAACACACCTAGGCAACCATCAGGTGATAGTCATTCAGATGTTAACTGTTTTTCTAAAGTAATAATTGCTCACAGCTGGCACCAGGAAAAAGGCAGTCTCCTAGTAGATAGAAAACACCTGAAACTGATCAGCAGCTTCCCCATAAGTCCCAGGAGTGAGGAGAAGTAAGGCACCATCCCAGAAGTATGTTAATGTATAAAACGCCAAGTCAAGAGGTCAAAACTGAGCACTTGGTTTCTCAAGTCACCTACTTGGTCCTCTTTCAACTTGTACTTTCCGTCTTCTTTTTTTTTAAATTTCTTTCCTTTTTTCCTTACTGTTCTAAAGCTTTTTAACAAATTTTCACTCCTGCTCTGAAACTTGCCTTGGTCTCTCCTTCTGCCTGGTGCCCCTCAGTCGAATTATTTCTTCTGAGGAGGCAAGAATTGAGGTTGCTGCAGACCCATCTGGATTCGCTGCCCGTTACTCAAGGTAACTAGGATCTCTGCCACTGCTAACAGTTTCTTCACATTTTTTTCTAAAGCTGATTTAACTAACTGTGTCACAATAATCACCTCTTAGGTATCTCTGAGCAATTTCACATTCAATATGGGTATTAACCACACTTCTAAAGTTGTAAGTTTAATTAGTATTCTATCTATTCCATTTACTAAACCATGAATGAAGATTTTCTTAAGATGAGCCTCATAATCTCATGGAATGTAGCAGAACTTATTGTCAGCTTAAATAATTTATCATTTACCATTGGAGATGAGGGATGGCACAATAATTTAGTTCAGTCTTGCCTCAGAGATGCTGATAATCCAATGAGTAATCGGTTCTGCGGGGAACTCAGCTGTTGACACCTGTCACTCTTGAGGTCACTAAATCTTCCATTCAGTATCAAGTCCTCTTAATTCTCCTGTCATCCTCTTTCATTTATCCGTGATTCTCCATTCTTCTGCATCTGCACTTGGTAAACCCCTACAGGGTATGCTCAATTCCATATATTTATACACCTTTTGTACATATATAGTTGTGAATTTACTCATGAGCTGTAGCATCACCTTTCACCTACTCCTATTCTTGCCTTTTGTCCCTGTGCCTGGTTACACATGAGTGGGTAGTTCCTGCTCTAAGTTAAACAGAAGCCTAGTCCAAATCACTTTACTTACCTCATTTATGTCTTCTCCCTCAATTCACAGGAACAAACTCAGGAGCAAAACTTCATCGCAAAAGGTAGGCTTTCTCTTTCCTAATAGTTCTCTCGCCTTCAAGGTACCCTGCACTTTCCCATACATTATTAATAAAGATCCAATGACCCAAAATGTTTTCCAACACTGTTTACATTATAAGCTTTCTCTTCACTTCAATATAATTGCTTGTGATACTTGTTCCGATTAGCTGTGCTATTCTTATTATTGCTACTATGTTAATTATTTTTATCACACATTTTCATTGGTAGCATTCTTCTAATCAGGTAAAGATACCTTTTATGAGTTTCCTCTGAATTCCCACCTTCTCTGCCCTAGTCGAAACCCCTTTGCCAGAGTATTGCCAAAGTCATCTAATTGGTCTCCCTATTGTTTGTCTTATCTACTCTGATCTTTCCTCCCAATTATGGCAGAATAGTCTATTGCTTAAAATCTTTCCTCTGGTTCTCTTTCGTTTTGGATAAAGAACTAATAAATTTTTGAATTTTTTTCCATTGTAACTGTAGAAGATACTTGATTTCTGTCCTTTTAAATTAATTGAGTTTTGTTTCATGGCATATGATGTGGTTTATCCTTAAATATGCCCCATATACACTTTAGAAGTATGCATATTCTGTTGTCATTGGGTGTAATATTCTTTAGTTGTCTGTTAAGACTAGTTGGTTCATAGTTTTTTTCCAGTCTCCTATTCTCTTCTTGATCTTCTATCTTGTTGTAGCCATTACTGAAGGTAATTTTCTATATGTTTCTTCATCTCTGTTTTTGCTATTCACATTTTGGTGCTCTGTTACTAGGTACACATATGTTTATAATTCTTTTATCTTCTTGGTGGATTAGCCCTTTTATCATTATTCAAGGTCCTCTTTACCTCTAGTAATCATTTTTTTTTTTAATTCTGTTATGTCTAATATAAGTATAGCCACTCCGGTTTTCATGCTGTTGCTGTTTTCACAGTATTTTTTCCATCCCTTTTTTTTCATTTGATTTTTGTCTTTGAATCTAATGTGTTTTTCCTGTAGATAATGTTTTGTCATGTTTTTAATGCAGTCTGATGATCTTTTATTTATTTTTTTCTTTTTTAAGTAGAGATGAAGTTTTGCTATGTTGCCCAGGCTGACCTTTAACTCCTGCATTCAAGTAATCTTCCTGCCTTGGCCTCCCAAAGAGCTAGGATAATAGGCATGAGCCACCATGCCTGGCCATGATGCCTGGCCAATATCTTTTTATTTAATTGTTTAATCCATCCACATTTAATGTTGTTGTGATATAGCCAAATTTATATATGCCATTTAAATGTTTGTTTTCTACATGTTTCTTTTATATTCTTCCTTTCTCCTTTACTGTTTGGTTTTGGATTATTTTGAAATTGTAGCATTTTAATTGCATTAATGATTATTTTAGTATTTCTTTATGGTTTCTGCATGGTTTACTGAATATTACTTTACTTAACAAAATAAGCTTTGGATTTATGCTAGCTCAGTTCCAGTAATATATGAAAATATTTCTCCTATATAGCTCTATTTCACTTTGTAATATTATTGTTATACATATGACATCCACTAATGTTAGAAACCCAACCATACGTTGTTACAGTTATTACTTTACCATCTGTCATAATTTCCTTAGCATATCACAGCTTTGCTCCCACCCACCTCCCTTGTACTATTTTGGCAAATATATCATACATATATTATATTTTTTATATGTTATAGTCTCAGCAATACATAATCTACATATTATTTTATGCACTTTTTAAATAAGAAAAGATGAGAAAATATACATTTACAGTGTCTTCTATAGTTTAAATAATTACCTTTTCAATTGGTGATCTGTGTTTGCTCATGTGGTTCCTGATTACTATCTGAGGTTACTTGCTTTTAGCCTGAAGAACTTTTGTAGTGTTTCTTGTAAGACAGGGGTGCCAGCTACAAATTCTACCAGCTTTTGCTTTTCTGAGAAAGTCTTTATTTTGCCTTATTTTTGAGAGAGAGTTTTGCTGTTTATAGGAGTCTGATAAGTCTTTGTTTAATTTGTTCCCTTTGAGCACTATGAATATGTTATTCCACTGCCTTCTGTCCACTGTTTCTGGTGAGAAGTTCACTGAATAACTCACTGGGTTGATTTGTAGGTGGACACATTATCTTCCTCTTGATTTGAAGATTTTTCTCCTTGATTTTTTCAGCGTTTTTACTATGATGTGTTAGTTTGTGGATTTCTTTGTGTTTATACCACTCGGAGATCATTGAGCTTCTTGGATGTGTAAGTTATTGACTTTTTAATTAAATTTTGGAAGCTTTCAGGCATTGTTTATTCAAGTAGTTTTTCTTATACTTTCTCTCTCTTGTCTTTCTGGTACTTCTATTACTTTTAAGTTGGTGCACTTAATGGTATCCCATATTTCTGTGAAGCTCTGTTCTTTTTTTCTAAATTTTTTTTCTCTATTTTCCAGCTTGCATAATCTCCATCGATCTTTGTTTAATTTTGGTAATTATTTTATCTGCTAGGTCAATATATTATTGAGCCTCTCTAGTGATTTTTTTAAAGTTTCAGTTATTATAGTATCCGATTTATGAGCATCTGTTTTTTTATAATTTCTATTTATTAATATTCTCTATTTGATGTGGCATTGTCTTTTTTTTTTTTACTTTAATCATGCTACATTTTAGTGCTGTGGGCATATTTATACTGGTTACTTTGAAATAATTTTTGTTAAATCCAACATATGGTTTTTCTTACAGGCAGATTGATCCCCATTGTGTGGGTTATATGTTCCCCTCTTTCTTTGCATGACTCATTTTATGTTGGGAGCTGGATATTTTAGAAAACAAATTGCAGCAACTACAAGTACTGGTCTCCACATTCTTCCGAGGCTTCTTATTGTTATCTGCTTGTTTATTTGTTTAGTAACTGGCTAGATTATTTTAATGAAGTCTGTGTGCCAACCCCCCCCCTTTCACACACAAACATACACACACAGACACCCCTAGTGATCAGCCTCTGGGTCTGCTTCTTGAGGATGTGCAGTTTGTGGGTGTACCCACAGTTACTCTGGGAAGACAGTGATCCTGGAAGGGCTATACTCCACTTTTTTTTCAAACCATATTCAACTGGTAAAATCTACTAATAGCCATTGCTCTACTATTTTTAATAATACCCTGGGACATATGTCTCTTTATAAACAAATCCAACCCAATTAAGGCTACTTCGAAAACATAGTTTCTGGGGTCAATTTTTAATACTTATTCTGATTCCAGGAGGAATCAGTTCTCCCAGTTCTCCTATTCTCTGGTTTTCTTTTGCAAACAAGCTAGCCTGTAGTTTGGCTGTATTTCCATTAGATCTGTGAATATCTTACCAGTCGTCTTCACCACAACCTCTTCAAATGCTGGGGAAATAACTCTTTGGACCCTATTATTCTTGACATGTGATTTCTGAAGCACAGCCTTCGTTCTCTGAGTGAAGCCTGGAGAGAAGAAGGCACCCCCTCACCTGTCTAATGCACTATCTGCGACTTGGCCTCAACAACAGGCATGTGGGAGCAGGATTATTGACATCCTATTGAACAGAAAGAAAGTGTTTCAGCTTGGGAGAAATGAAACCCTGTGTTCTTCACTGTGGTCCTCTGGAGTGGAGCCTCCACCTCACAGAGCTGAGAGCAGTGGGAGGAGGAAGTGTGCAATCTTGGTTCAAATACCACAAAATCTTGTTCTTTCAAACCAATTTTTCATACATTGTTTGAATAGGTCTTTATTTGCTGCTTCACTTTTAGTCCATTTCCAAAGTCCTTTTTTAATAGTTACGACCAATTTCATTTGGGAGCATGCTAGCAGAGTCCCTTGTGCTCTCATGCCTGAAATTGATCTCCCAAACTTAACTAAAGATTTTGTTGACTTTCTTCCTTCTTGGAACACTTCCTGGAGAGAAGAAGAAAACAGGGGTAGGGCCCTTTCTCAAACATCTCATCAGTTCACCTATTTTAACTTTTCTTTGTCTCTTTTCTCAATCCTCTGGCCTAACAATTTTAGATCTTCTCCAGGATGTAGGCATTTCAATCTCCAGGTATCTTTTTCCAAAATCTTTCTATTGCTGGACTTGGAATTTTGCTTTTTTCAACATGAAAGCCAAGCATTTGAGGTCTATGTTTTCTTATTCTTAGTGAATAATACTTCTTAAACCTAACAGTCTGGATTGAAAGAAAATAAGTACAAAGGGAGTGTAGCTTGAGAGAGAGAATGCCTTTGGCTTTCTCTAAAAACATCTGGTCATATTTACATGTTATTTCCTCTGCCAGGATTACCCTCTCCCAACCTATTGACAAACTTCTGATTGACTCAGATCAGATGTCAATGCTGAAACACGGATTACCTGCCACCGAAGGTTAAATTACCCCCGCATGTCTCCCCAGTGTGTGCTTACATGCATTTTTATATTTATTCTTTTACTTTGATATTCCTGTTGTTGTTGTTTTGAGTTGTCTACAGCCTCTTTTAAACAGTGAGCACTTATAATGCTGGCTTTGAGGTCCTATTACTGCATGATAAATATTTTATGAGTTAAAGGATGAAGATATGAAAGAAAGAATGTCATACTGAGAACAGAATTCAAGAAGGAGATGTTGGAGACAGGGGTAAACTGCCTAGGGCACAGTTCATATTAAGATCTTCCCATAGGAGGAAGAAATTCCAGACCCTTCAATTTCTAGGAGATAAAAAGTTTTCATAGAAACTTAGTGCTAATTCTAGAAACAAAAATCTATTTAGGTCAGTAGACAGCAGTAAGTTTGAGAGCATTTGGAAGTAAGCAGACAGACTCTTCTCACTTTGCCAATAAGCTTTGTACACAGACTTCTGATTCTCATCTGTTAAGGGTAAGAATAGGAAGGCTCCATTATGTGATGAATGTTGCCTTCAGCTGAAAATATTAAACTATGCAACTTTCAGAGATCCAGGACTATAAGGTTCAAATGGAGACAGGATTTTTCTAGCATATCAATATGTATCCTAGTTTCTAAAGATGCAAAACATTTTTTGTCCTTTCGTACCTGCTTACCAAGGATCTCAAAAGCAAGTAATTCACATTTCAGGGTCAGCTCTGCAGATTCTTTGCAGTAGCTGACATTTGTTTCTTCTCTAATTAACTGTATTTGTAACCTATGAGGAATGCTTTCTTTGAACATACAAGGAATCTGAGAAAACAGGAGGGGATGTGGATGGCTGCTGCAGGCCAAGTTTAATGGTCTGGATGAGTTTGATTATAGCTGATCATGCACACCTCTTTCCAAATTAGTGTCCAGTGATGTCACTTTGCAGCTTCAGATTGTCCAGATTGAACACATTTAGGAATATTTACATCACAGAAATCCGCAAAACTGCAAATCTTGGCTTTTTTCCCCACATTTCCCTCACAGAGCCAGTATATCATCACACCTCTGAATTATTTTCTACCACTTTTTGGGACAAAAAGAATTGTGTTATCTGCGATAGAAACACGGAAACATGCTTCACTTGCAATCAAATTATACTTTATAGCTTGGGATATTATAAAGCATGCTGCCCTGGGATTTAAGACCTGAGTTTTCATCCTGGTTCTGCCATCTCTGTTGCCTGATATAAACTGCTTTATCTCCCTTGGACTCTGTATCAGTTTTAAAACAAAAGCATTGGGTTAAATCATATGGGATAAAATTTGCTACTGATTATCATTTTAGTTTTAGAAGGAATATATATTAAAAATATTTGCCTGATAACACCCATAAAATTACTTAATGGAAAAAAAAGCCTGGATAATATCTTAGAGAACAGATATTGTGCTGTATTGATACAAGAACACTCCTTTTACGCAGACCCAGTTATCTATACAAGGCAAGAAGTTTTTTCATCCCTTGAATATTTATTTAAAATTCAATATTTCACAAGCCTTTTATCTAAGTTTATCTTAGTGCTTTTGAAATCATTTGATATTAACACCCCTCTTTCCTTCTTTTCATATGCCTCCTCTGAGATGGTCTGAATCAATTCTGATCTGTATTGCAATTAAAAGAATGAATCAACATTTATTCTCAAATGCTCATTATCTCAATTTCTCTTATCATTACTAATTTCTTTTTCTTGTTTCCCCACTTTTTTACGTTTGTGGAAAAACTTTGCAGCCAATTATAGCAATTTATTCATTTATTTTTAACTATTGATGCTAAGCAATTTTTCTTCGGTCTGAAGGGGCAATATTGGGGAAACCAGCCCCACACCACCCAGTGGGTACCCTGAGTCCGGCGGAGACAAAGGAGTTAGAAAGAGACAGAATAAGCGTTTAAAAGGCGGGTCCAGGGGTCTGGAGCTTCGAGACTTGCTCACGGCCCAGAGCTCTCGGGCTCCACCCAATTTATTGGTTTACAAGCTCTTTGTTCTTAGGGCAGATGGGACGGGGAGGAAGGGATAAGGAAAAGGATTAATCAGTGAAGGAGAACTTGTGAGTCATTCGATAAGATGTATAGCAGTGGGGGTTTCTGTGAATTTCCTTGAGCAAAGGTGTGTGTCTAAACTACTTAGGATCTTTAACTTATTAGGAGTGAAATGGGTGGGAGCGGGTTTCAGGAGGAGCCAAGAAGTCTGATTATACTCCACTGCTTCAAGGGAGTGTTCTCTCCCTGAGCAACCTGTGGAATGCCGCTGAGCGGTTATGTTCTCGAGGCATAAAGACATGAAGGCAATAAGGAGACTTTTCTCCATAGAGGCTGCCCATGGCTTCCCATGGGTTTCTCACACAGGGGAGACCAACTCAACTGGCACCCCGGAAACTCTTTCCCACAGGCAAGAAGACTGGACCTGGGCAAAGTTATAGAGTAGGTGAAGCTTGTCCTCCTTGCATTCTCTGTCTTCTATTTCTGGTAATAACCATAATGAAAACAAGAGAAAAAAATAAATAACCACCATTGGCTTAGTGCTTACCATGTGCAAAGCTCATCATAGGTTGAGCTTTCCAGGAGCAGACATGGACATGGAATTTGAAGTGCAGGGTGTTCAACACCTACAGAAGGAAAGGTGTGATCATAATGCAGGCCCACAACCCATCAGAATATCTGGTAGGAGCCCTGGAGTGAATATTTGTTGATAGAGGTGTTCTCACATAGGGCTAAAAGGCTGGGCCTTGATACCTCCACATTTGTCAGTTACCACGTGTGGACCACCACAGGAAGATCATGTCCTGAGGTGGGTGCAGCAGAGGCAGATCCTGAGACATCTGATGCCACTTACTGATGGTGCCCCTGTATCTGGTAGAAACTATTTCTTGAATGAGGATTTGAGCAATGCAGCTACATGTTGACCATGTCCAATACACATCTTGTACGGATGATTTCTGTCATTAGATGATAGAAAAATAAAAGATAATCCTTTCCCTGAGTATTTGATGATCCAATGAGTCTTCAGAAGAATGATCCACTTAAAAGTTTACAGTTCTCACAAATATTGCCATTGTGTATCTGAGTCTTTAGAATGCTTGCTCTCCCTTTCTGGCATTTCTGAAATGTCCACCCCCTACCTCCTTTAAAATATGGTCAGGGTTCCCAGGTTATTTAGTTGGTGCGGAGACTGGGATGTGAAGTTTTTCCTGATTGGCTTTTCTCAGACAATAATTTGTGTACTGATATCACTAGGCTTTGAGCCTCTCAAAGATTGAGGAGATGCATAAAATACAGGCATTCCATAGGTATTTACAGAATTAATGGATAACAATCAACACAAACACACATACAACATACATCTGAAGTTAAAAAAGAAAAAAAAAGACAAATCCATTGGCCAGCAAATCTCACTAATATTTCTTCACATTTTCCAATTTTCTGAAGACATATGGCATTAAAGTTCCTTCTGCATCCTAGTCTTCATGAATTCTTCCACAGCACAGCAGTTGGTTGCTTGGAAGGTGCCAGGTGGTGCTGAGACAGCCATCACACCCTAAGGAAAGTCACACCAGGAGATCCAGGGTACCAACTGTGTTCCAAATTGTCCTGGTATTTGAGCTACTGGTATGCAGAAAGCTACATGAAGGGAAACACGGTTTTGTCCCCTAGCAAGGCTTTTTACTGTTGCCAATAAAATAAATTGGGGTGCTGATGAGAATATTATCCAGATACACATTAGGACGGGGAAGAAAAAATGATTCTGATAGCAGTGTGATGAAAAACAGCAGCTTGCATTTTGCAGAGCATGTTGAACTATTCACACCATCCTGGCATTGAGCCTTCCTTGCATCCCTGTAGCATTGTGAGAATTATCCAAAGGCACATTGTGTGGCATACATTTGACAGAGGGGAAGCATGAAGCACCCTATTATGAAGACCAAGTCATTGCGCCTTAGGTTACTTTGACTGCCCTTTGTACAGGTGAATGATCTCCCCTCTGCTAAATGTGCAGAAGGCTCTTCCATGCAATAAACATGGTGGTGTTCCTATATCCGTTGAAGGCCAGACCTGCTATGTCACAACTCATTCTTTCTCATCTACTTTGCAACTTTGTCCCTATAATCACCTTACCCTTTCATATCTCTTTTTTTTCTATCTTTTTTGTTTTTTTCCTTATGACACTATAATAAGCTTGTAAACAAGTTCTAAGATCTTCCATCTTAATATCTGTTTTGACACACACCTTATCTAAGTTTTCTTTTTTAATTATACTTTAAGTTCTAGGGTACATGCATGCAACATCCAGGTTTGTTACATATGTATACATGTGCCATGTTGGTGTGCTGCAACCATTAACTCGTCATTTACATTAGGTATATCTCCTAATGCTATCCCTCCCCCCTCCCCCCACCCCACAACAGGCCCTGGTGTGTGATGTTCCCCATCCTGTATCCAAGTGTTCTCATTGTTCAATTCCCACCTATGAGTGAGAACATGCGGTGTTTGGTTTTTTGTCCTTGTGATAGTTTGCTGAGAATGATGGTTTCCAGCTTCATCCATGTCCCTACAAAGGACATGAACTCATCATTTTTTATGGCTGCATAATATTCCATGGTGTATATGTGCCACATTTTCTTAATCCGGTCTATAATTGTTGGACATTTGACTTGGTTCCAAGTCTTTGCTATTGTGAATAGTGCCGCAATAAACATACGTGTGCATGTGTCTTTATAGCAGCATGATTTATAATCCTTTGGGTATATACCCAGTAATGGGATGGCTGGGTCAAATGGTATTTCTAGTTCTAGATCCCTGAGGAATCGCCACACTGACTTCCACAATGGTTGAAGTAGTTTACAGTCCCACCAACAGTGTAAAAGTGTTCCTATTTCTCTACATCCTCTCCAGCACCTGTTGTTTCCTGACTTTTTAATGATTGCCATTCTAACTGGTGTGAGATGGTATCTCATTGTGGTTTTGATTTGCATTTCTCTGATGGCCAGTGATGATGAGCATTTTTTCATGTGTCTGTTGGCTACATAAATGTCTCTTTTTCAGAAGTGTCTGTTCATATCTTTTGCCCACTTGTTGATGGGGTTGTTTGTTTTTTCCTTGTAAATTTGTTTGAGTTCATTGTAGATTCTGGATATTAGCCATTTGTCATATGAGTAGATTGCAAAAATTTTCTCCCATTCTGTAGGTTGCCTGTTCACTCTGATGGTAGTTTCTTTTGCTGTGTAGAAGCTCTTTAGTTTAATTAGATCCCATTTGTCAATTTTGGCTTTTGTTGCCATTGCTTTTGGTGTTTTAGACATGAAGTCCTTGCCCATGCCTATGTCCTGAATGGTATTGCCTAGGTTTTCTTCTAGGATTTTTATGGTTTTAGGTCTAACATTTAAGTCTTTAATTCATCTTGAATTAATTTTTGTATAAGGTGTAAGGAAGGGATCCAGTTTCAACTTTCTACATATGGCTAGCCAGTTTTCCCATCACCATTTATTAAATAGGGAATCCTTTCCCCATTTCTTGTTTTTGTTGGGTTTGTCAAAGATCAGATGGTTGCAGATGTGTGGTCTTATTTCTGAGGGCTCTGTTCAGTTCCATTGGTCTATATCTCTGTTTTGGTACCAGTACCATGCTGTTTTGGTTACTGTAGCCTTGTAGTATAGTTTGAAGTCAGGTAGAGTGATGCCTCCAGCTTTGTTCTTTTGGCTTAGGATTGACTTGGCAATGCAGGCTCTTTTTTGGTTCCATATGAACTTTAAAATAGTTTTTTTTCCAATTCTGTGAAGAAAGTCATTGGTAACTTGATAGGGATGGCATTGAATCTATAAATTACTTTGGGCAGTATGGCCATTTTCACGATATTGATTCTTCCTATCCATGAGCATGGAATGTTTTTCCATTTGTTTGTTGAGCAGTGGTTTGTAGTTCTCCTTGAAGAGGTCCTTCACATCCCTTGTAAGTTGGATTCCTAGGTATTTTATTCTCTTTGAAGCAATTGTGAATGGGAGTTCACTCATGATTTGGCTCTCTGTTTGTCTGTTATTGGCGTATAAGAATGCTTGTGATTTTTGCACATTGATTTTGTATCCTGAGACTTTGCTGAAGTTACTTATCCACGTATGGAGATTTTGGGCTGAGACAATGGGGTTTTCTAGATATACAGTCATGTCATCTGCAAACAGGGAAAATTTGACTTCCTCTTTTCCTAATTGAATACGCTTTATTTCTCTCTCCTGCCTGATTGCCCTGGCCAGAACATCCAACACTATGTTGAATAGGAGTGGTGAGTTTTCAAAGGGAATGCTTCCAGTTTTTGCCCATTCAGTACGATATTGGCTGTGGGTTTGTCATAAATAGCTCTTATTGTTTTGAGATACATCCCATGAATACCTAATTTATTGAGAGTTTTTAGCATGAAGCACTGTTGAATTTTGTCAAAGGCCTTCTTTGCATCTGTTGAGATAATCATGTGGTTTTTGTCTTTGGTTCTGTTTATATGCTGGATTACGTTTATTGATTTGCATGTGTTGAACTGGCCTTGCATCCCAGGGATGAAGTCCACGTGATCATGGTGGATAAGCTTTTTGATGTGCTGCTGGATTCGGTTAGCCAGTATTTGAGGATTTTTCCCTCGATGTTCATCAGGGATATTGATCTAAAATTCTCTTTTTTTGTTGTGTCTCTTCCAGGCTTTGGTATCAGGATGATGCTGGCCTCATAAAATGAGTTAGGGAGGATTCCCTCTTTTTCTATCGATTGGAGTAGTTTCAGAAGGAATGGTACCAGCTCCTCCTTGTACTTCTGGTAGAATTCGGCTGTGAATCCGTCTGGTCCTGGATTTTTTTTTTTGGTTGGAAAGCTATTAATTATTGCCTCAATTTCAGAGCCTGTTATTGGTCTATTCAGAGACCAACTTCTTCCTGGTTTAGCCTTGGGTGGGTGTATGTGTCCTGGAATTTATGCATTTCTTCTAGATTTTCTAGTTTATTTGCATAGAGGTGTTTATAGTATTTTCTGATGGTAGTTTGTATTTCTGTGGGATCGGTGGTGATATCCCCTTTATCATTTTTTATTGCATCTATTTGATTCTTCTCTCTTTTCTTCTTTATTTGTCTTGCTAGCGATCTATCAATTTTGTTGATCTTTTCAAAAAACCAGCTCCTGGATTCATTGATTTTTTGAATGATTTTTTTGTGTGTCTATCTCCTTCAGTTCTGCTCTGATCTTAGTTATTTCTTGCCTTCTGCTAGCTTTTGAATGTGTTTGCTCTTGCTTCTCTAGTTCTTTTGATTGTGATGTTAGGGTGTCAATTTTAGATCTTTCCTGCTTTCTCTTGTGGGCATTTAGTGCTGTAAATTTCCCTCTACACACTGCTTTAAATGTGTCCTAGAGATTCTGGTATGTTGTATCTTTGTTCTTGTTGGTTTCAAACAGCATCTTTATTTCTGCCTTCACTTCATTATGTACCCAGTAGTCATTCAGGAGCAGGTTGTTCAGTTTCCACGTAGTTGAGCAGTTCTGAGAGTGAGTTTCTTAATCCTGAGTTCTAGTTTGATTGCACTGTGGTCTGAGAGACAGTTTGTTATAATTTCTGTTCTTTTATATTTGCTGAGGAGTGCTTTACTTCCAACTATGTGGTCCATTTTGGAGTAGGTGCAGTGTGATGCTGAGAAGTATGTATATTCTGTTGATTTGGGGTGGAGGGTTCTGTAGATGTCTATTAGGTCTGCTTGGTGCAGAGCTGAGTTCAATTCCTGGATATCCTTGTTAACTTTCTGTCTCCTTGATCTGTCTAATGTTGACAGTGGGGTGTTAAAGTCTGCCATTATTATTGTGTGGGAGTCTAAGCCTTTTTGTAGGTCTCGAAGGACTTGCTTGATGAATCTTGATGCTACTGTATTGGGTGCATATACATTTATGATAGTTAGCTCTTCTTGTTGAATTGATCCCTTTACCATTATGTAATGGCCTTCTTTGTCTCTTTTGATCTTTGTTTAAAGTTTAAAGTTTAAGGTTTAAAGTCTGTTTTATCAGAGACTAGGATTGCAACCCCTGCCTTTTTTTGTTTTCCATTTGCTTGGTAGATCTTCCGCCATCCCTTTACTTTGAGCCTATGTGTGTCTCTGCACGTGAGATGGGTTTCCTGAATACAGCACACTGATGGGTGTTGACTCTTTATCCAATTTGCCAGTCTGTGTCTTTTAATTGGAGCATTTAGCCCATTTACATTTAAGGTTAATATTATTATGTGTGAATTTGATCCTGTCATTACGATGTTAGCTGGTTATTGTGCACGTTAGTTGATGCAGTTTCTTCCTAGCATCAATAGTCTTTACAATTTGGCATGTTTTTGCAGTGGCTGGTACCAGTTGTTCCTTTCCATGTTTAGTGCTTCCTTCAGGAGCTCTTGTAGAGCAGGCCTGGTGGTGACAAAATCTCTCAGCATTTGCTTGTCTGTAAAGGATTTTATTTCTCCTTGACTTATGAAGCTTAGTTTCGCTGGATATGAAATTGTGGGATGAAAATTCTTTTCTTTAAGAATGTTGAATATTGGCCCCCACTCTCTTCTGGCTTGTAGAGTTTCTGCCAAGAGATCAGCTGTTAGTCTGTTGGGCTTCCCTTTGTGGGTAACCTGACCTTTCTCTCTGGCTGCCCTTAACATTTTTTCCTTCATTTCAATTTTGGTGAATCTGACAATTATGTGTCTTGGAGTTGCTCTTCTCAAGGAGTATCTTTGTGGTGTTCTCTGTATTTCCTGAATTTGAATGTTGGCCTGCCTTGCTCATCCTTTTTCTGAAAGTTCTTTAAAAAGTTATCTTCTGTGACACTACTTCCTCAACTCTTGCTTCCTCCAAGTTACTGCAATTAGGCTTTTGCCTGCATCTCTTCATGGAACTGCCTCCACCCTTGTCAAAGTCACAAAAGGTTAACATTTTCCCAGATTCAATGGTCAGTCCTCAGTTTGTATCTTATTTAAGCTTTCAGTAACACTTAACCCAGGTGATTACTTTGTCTTTCTGTAAACACACACTTTCTATCACTTCTAAAACACCACTTTCTTACATTTTTCTTACCTAATATACTATGCTTTTTCAGTTTCCTTAGCTGAGTCTTCTCTTGCTTTATAAATTCTTAATGTCTGCATGCCACGGGGCTAAGGTTGAGGCTTCTTGTCTTTCTATCAAAAGAAGGCATCTCATACAGTCCCATAGCTTAAAATGCTATTTATATGTTGAAGACTTCCAAACTATTTTGGATAGCAACCAGAAAAGCATTTGTATGGGATAAAACTAACATGTACAGCACTTAATTGAAGTCCTAAAAAAAATAAACAGCTATGACTAAGCTTGCCCATGATCAGACAATGGCAGCTACATGATGACCACTACTTGACTACCAGCGACTAAAGCAAATATCAGTTGTAGAAGGCAACTCTATTTTATTTATTATTGTTTTTAAAATTAATTTTTTTACTTCAATAGTTTTTGGGGTACAGGTCATTTTTGGTTACATGGATAAGTTGTTTAGTGGTAATTTATGAGATTTTGGTGCACCCATCACCCAAGCAGTGTACACTGTACCCAATGTGTGGTCTTTTATCCTTCCCCCCAAGTCCCTGAAGTCCATTATATCATTATTATTCCTTTGCATCTTTATAACTTAGCTCTAACTTATAAGTGAGAACATACGATATTTAGTTTTTATTCCTGAGTTACTTTAGTTAGAATAATGGCCTCCAGCTCCCTCCAAGTTGCTGAAAAAGACATTATTTTGTTACTTTTTTGGCTGAGTAGTATTTCCTGTTGTATGTATATCACATTTTCCTTTTCTACTTGATGGTTCATGGGCACTTAAGTTGGGTCCATATCATTTGCAATTGCAAATTGCACTGCTTTAAACATGGGTGTGCAAGTGTCTTTCTCATATAATGACTTCTTTTCCTTTGGATGGCTACCCAGTAGTGGGATTGCTGGATCGAATGGTAGTTCTACTTTTAGCTCTTTAAGAAATCTCCGTACTGTTTTCCATAGTGGTTGTACTGGTTTACATTCTCACCAGCAGTGTAAAAGTGTTCCCTTTTCACCACATTCACACCAACATCTATTGTTTTTTGACTTTTTAATTATGGCCATACTTGCAGGAGTAATGTAGTATCACACTGTGGTTTTAATTTGCATTTTCCTGATCATTAGTGATGTTAAACATTTTTTCATGTGTTTGTTGGCAGCTTGTATATCTTCGTTTGAGAATTGTCTATTCATGTTATTTTCCCACCTTTTAATGGGATTGTTTTTTTCTTGCTGATTTGTTTGAGTTTATTGTAGATTCTGGACATTAGTCGTTTGTTGGATACATAGTTTGTGAATTTTTTCTCCCACTCTGGGGGTTGTCTGTTTACTTTGCTGATTATTTCTTTTGCTGTGCAGAAAATGTTGGGTTTAATTAGGTCCCACATATTCATTTTTTTTTTTGTTACATTTGCTTTTTGGGCTTTAGTCATGAATTATTTGCCTAAGCCAATGTCTAGAGAAGTTTTTCCAATCTTGTCTTCTAGAATTTGTATGGTTTCAGGTCTTAGATTTAAGTCTTTGATCCATCTTTAGTTGATTTTTGTATAAGGTGAGAAGTGAAGATCCAGTTTTATTCTCGTACATGTGGCTTGCCAGTTTTCCCAGCACCATTTGTTGAATAGGGTGTTCCTTCCTCACTTTGTTTTTACATGCTTTGTTGAAGATCAATTGGCTGAAAGTGTTTGGTTTTTATTTCTTGGTTCTCTATTCTATATCATTGGTCTATGAGTCTATTTTTATACCAGTATCATGCTGTTTTGATAACTGTAGACTTGTAGTATAATTTGAAGTTATGTAATGTGATGCCTCCAGATTTCTTCTTTTTCTCTTTGTATTGCTTTGGCTATGTGGGTTCCTTTCTGGTTCCATATGAATTTTAAGATTTTTTTTTCTAGTTCTGTGAAGAATGATAGGGGTATTTTGATGGGAATTGCATTGAATCTGTAGATTCCTTTGGGCAGTATTGTAATTTTCACAATCTTGATTCTACATACCCATGAGCATGGGATGTGTTTCCATTTGATTTGTCATCTACGATTTCTTTCAACAGCATTTTGTAGTGTTCCTTGTAGAGAATTTTTGCCTACTTGGTTAAGTAGATTTCTAAGTATTTTATTTATCATTTTTTGTAGCTGTTGTAAAAGGGATTGAGTTCTTGATTTGGTTCTCAGGTTGGTCATTGTTGATTATAGCAATGCTACTAATTTGTGCACATTGATTTTGTATCCTGAGATAAAGTAAATGAATTTATCAGATCTAGGAGCTTTTTGAATGGGTCTTTCTAGGTATACAACCAGTCATATCATTGGTGAAGAGTGACAGTTTGACTTCCTGTTTTCCAATTTGGGTGCCTTTTATTTTTTTCTCTTGTCTGAGTGCTCTGGCCAGGACTTCCAGTAATATGTTGAATAGAAATGCTGAGAGTGGGCATCCTTATCTTGTTCTAGTTCTTAGAAGGAATGCTTTCAACTTTTCCCCATTCAGTATGATGTTGTATATGATAGGTTGTCATATATGGCTTTTATTACTTTGAGGTAAGTCCCTTCTATGCATATTTTTGAGGGCTTTTATCGTAAAGATTTTTATCACATGCTTTTTTACTATCTACTGAGATGTGCATGTGCTTTTCATTTTTAGTTCTGTTCATGTGTTGTATCACATTTATTGACTTGTGTGTGTTAAACCATATCTCCATCCCTAGTATGAAACCCATCTGATCATGGTTTATTATCTTTTTGATATGCTGATGAATTTGGTTAGCTAGATTTTTGTTGAGAATTTTTGCATCTATGTTCATTAGGGATATTGGTCTGTAGTTTTCTTTTTTGTTGTTATGTCCTTTCCTGGTTTTGGTATTAAGGTGATACTGGCTTCATAGAATGATCTAGGGAGGATTCACTCTCTCTCTGTCTTTTAGAATACTTTCAGTAGGATTGGTATTAATTCTTCTTTGAATTCAGCTATGAATCCATCTGGTCCTGGACTTTTTTTTTCCTTGGCATTTTTTTTTAAATTATTGATTCAATTTTGCTTCTCATTGGTCATTCAGGGTTTCTATTTCTTTCTGATTTAATCCAAGAAGATTGTATATTTCCAATAATTTATCTCCTCTAGATTTTTCTAGTTTGTGTACATAAAGGTGTTCATAGTGGCCTTGAATGATCTTTTATATTTCTGTAGTATTGGTTGTAATATCTCCAGTTTCATTTCTAATTCAGCTCATTTGGATCTTTTCTCTTCTTTTCTTGGCTACTCTTACTAATGACCTATCAATTTTCTTTAATCTTTTCAAAGAACCAGCTTTTTGTTTCATTTATCTTTTGTACAGTTTTTTTGTTTGTTTGTTTTAATTTCATTTAGTTCTGCTCTGATCTTTGTTATTTCTTTTCTTTGGCTGGGTTTAGGTTTAATTTGTTCTTATTTCTCTAGTTCTTTGAGCTGTGACCTTAGATTGTCTATTTGTGCTCTTTCAGACACTTTGATGTAGACATTTAACGCTATGAACTTAGAACAACTTTTGCTGTATCCCAGAGGTTTTGATAAGTTGCATCACTATCCTTCATTTTTAAAATATTTTAATTTCCATCTTGATTTTATCATTAATCCCAAAGTTATTCAATAGCAGTTTATTTAATTTTCATGTATTTGTATAGTTTTGAGGGTGCCTTTGCAGTTGATTTCCAGTTTTATTTCACTATGGTCTGATAAGATACTTGATATGATTTTTATTTTCTTAAATTTATTGAGACTTGTTTTGTGGCCTATCATATGGTCTACCTTGGAGAATGTTCTATGTGCTGATGAGAAAAATGTATATTCCACAGTTGTTGGGAAGAGTGTTCTATAAATATCTGTTAAGTGTATTCATTGTAGGGTATAGTTTAAGTCCACTGTTTCTTTGTTGCCTTTCTGTTTTGATGATCTGTTTAGTTCCATCAGTGGAGTATTGAAGTGCCCCACTATTATGGTGCTGCTATCTATCTTATTTCTTAGGTCTAGTAGTAGTTGTTTTATAAACCTGGGGGTTCTAGTGTTATGTACATATACATTTAGGATTGTAGTATCTTCCTGTTAGACTAATCCTTTCATCATTATATAATGTCCTTTGTCTTTTTTCTTTTTTTACTGTTGTTGCTTTAAATTCTGTTTTGACGGTTTAATAATAGCTACTTCTGCTCACTTTTGGTTTCCATTTGTATGGAAAAAGCTTTTTCCGCCCCTTTACCTTAAGTTTTTGTGAGTCCTTATTGTTATGTGAGTCCCTTGAAGACAACAGATACTCACTTGGTGGTGTTTTTATCCATTCTGTTATTCAGCATCTTTTAAGTGGAGCATTTAGGCCATTTATATTCAATATTAATATTGAGATATGAGGCACTGTTCTATTCATCATGTTAGTTGTTACCTACATACTTTTTTTTTCATTGTGATATTGTTTTATAGGCCCCGTGACATTTATGCTTTAGGGAGGTTCTATTTTGGTACACATTGAACTTTTGTTTCAAAGTTTGGAGCTCCTTTCAGCATTTCTTGTAGTGCTGTTTTGGTAGTAGCAAATTCTCTCAGTATTTGTTTGTCTGAAAAAGACTTTATTGTTCCTTCATTTATGTAACTTAGTTTTGCTGGAGACAAAATTCTTGGCTGTTAATTGTTTTGTTTAAGGAGACTGAATATGGGACCCCAAATCCCTTCTAGTGTATAGGGCGTCTGCTGAGAAATCTGTTGTTAATATGATAGCTTTTCCTCTATAGGTTACCTGATGCTTTTATCTCACAGCTCTTCAGATTCTTTCTTTCGTCTTGACATTAGATAGCCTGATGTGATGAGCCTTTTGCAAAAATTTCCCAGGGGTTCTTTGACCTTCTTATATTTGGATGTCTAGATCTCTAGGAAGGCCAGGGAAGTTTTTCTGAATTATTTCCTCAAATAAGTTTTCCAAACTTTTAGACTTCTCTTCTCCCTCAGAACATCAATTATTCTTAGGTTTGGCTGTTTTACATAATCTCATATTTCTTAAATACTTTGTTCATTTTTTAAAAATCCTTTTTTCTTTGATTGGGTTAATTCAAAAGCCTTCTCTTTAAGCTCTGAAAATTTTCCTTCTACTTGTTGTAGTCTATTGTTGAAAATTTTAACTGCATTTTGTATTCCCCTAAGAGTGTCTTTCATTTCCAGAGATTCTGATTTTTTTTTAAGATTTATGATATCTATTTCCCTGGAAAATTTTTCATTCACTTCCTGAACTGTTTTTTAAATTTCTTTAAGTTGTTTTTCACCTTTCTCTTGTATCTCCTTGGGTAGCTTAACAATCAACTTTCTGAATTCTTTATTTGGTATTTCAGAGATTTCTTCCTGGCTTAGATTCATTGCTGAGGAGCTAGTGTGATTTTCTGTGCATGTTATAGGTCCCTGTTTTGTCAAATTACCGGAATTACTTTTCTGGTTTCTTCTCATTTGGGTAGACTGTTTCTTCAAATTATTCTTGAATTTATTTTTGATTGGACTGTGTTTTTTTTTTGTTTTTTAAGTTTCTTTTTTTCCCCCTCTTAAGAATCTTAAGTTTAATGTTTATAGTTTATTTTAGCCTAATTTAATTCTTGGTGCTTTAGAGGTAAAGACTCTGAATGAGTTCCTTAGTTACAGTGAGTCTTTGTGTGCTTGCTCTCTTAGATGCTGGTTGTAGTAGTTATGTACTCGTGAGAGATGACAACATGGTAACAGCCCTCGCTCGCTCTAGGTGCTTCCTCAGCCTCGGCATCCACTCTGGCTGCGCTCCAGGAGCCCTTCAGCCCACCAATGCTCTGTGGGAGCACCTCTCTGGGGCTGGCAGAGGCCGGAGCTGGCTTCCTCTGCTCCCAGGGAGGTGTGGAGGGAGAGGCGCGGGCGGGAGCTGGGGCTTCGAGCGGGGCCGGCACATCTCCGGGTGGTCGTGGGCTCAAAGGGCCCTGGCGCTCCTGGGCCAGCACGGGTTCAGGGTGGGCGCGGGCTCCGGGGCCCCGCACACTGAGCGGCCGGCCAGTGTCTGCTGGGCTTGATCAGGGAGGAGCTCCCTCTGGGCTGCCCCAGTGCCCAGGCTAGGTGCTGCAAAGTCCCCTGGCCAGTGCCATTGAGAAGTGAAACTGGCTGGGCTTCTGGAACAGGTGGGGACTTGGAGAACTGTTCTGTCTAGCTCAAGGTTTGTAAATGCACCAATCAGCACTCTGTCAAAATGGACCAATCAGCTCTCTGTAAAATGGACCAATTAGCTCTCTGCAAAATGGACCAATCAGTAGGATGTGGGTGGGGCCAGATAAGGGAATAAAAGCAGGCCAGGGGCCATCGGCTGAAACTGACTCACCTCCAGCTTTGGTTTTTAGCTTTTCGCAATAAATCTTGCTGCTGCTCACTCTTTGGGTCGGTGCAGGCTTTTATGAGCTGTAACACTCACCACTAAGGTCTGCAGCTTCACTCCTGAAGCCAGTGACACCATGAACCCACCAGAAGGAAGAAACTCTGGACATGTCCGAACATCTGAAGGAACAAACTCCGGTCACACCATCTTTAAGAACTGTAACACACACTGCAAGGGTCCGCGGCTTCATTCTTGAAGTCAGCAAGACCAACAACCCACCAATTCTGGACATAGTTGGTGTGTGGGCAAGCTCACTGTCTCCTATGGGGTTGGGATGGCGGGGATCTCTTGAAGCTCACCTCATTCTGTCATAGTGTAGAGTTTATTTCTTTCTGTAATTTTTTCCCATATTTTATTTACTGATTTGGTGATCAGGCTTCAGGCCAATAGGGGAGGTATCTTTGGGCAGGCACTGGTTGTAGCTAAGGCACATGGGCAGAGGTCCCAGCCTTGATGAAGTGCTTAAGGGTGCTCTCAAATATGGTGAGGTGTTATCAACATGAAAGTTGGGAGCTCAGCCAGGTCTGTAGGAAAGTTATCCACCTCACAGCCTCACTTCTGTCCCCAGTGTTCCAGCTATTCAAATCGTACAGGCATCTCTTTTCCATTATAGTAATGTTGATCTTCCAAATAGGAATTGACTGCCTGAATCTGGAAAGTGCTCCTCCTGTGGGGCTGCAATCACCCTGAATTGTTCCAGGAAGGCTGTTTATCGGTGCATCCGTGCTTTGTTCCCATGGGAGAAGCCCCAGCTACATTTGCAGTGGTTTGCAGTGGTGTACCAGAGGGGAAAGTATCCCTTCTCCAAGGCCTTTCATAATCACAGAGGCTGCCAGTCTGTTGGGGTATAGGTGGAGACTTTCCCTATTATGACCAGCATTGCAATTGTGTCTCTGCTGTAAGAAACTTCCCACCAGCAGAAAGATCTGGGACTCGGGACCACCATTGATACTCTTTTGTCCCACAGGGTATTCCCTTGATATATGGTGCTTTCCCCCTTGCCCTAGGAATGAGACTTCCTGAGAGCTGAACTGCAGTGATTGTTATTGCTCTTCTGGGTCTAGCCACCCAGTGGGGCTATGAGACTCTTAGATGTAGTGCTGGGGAAAGTCTGCAAAAGATCCAGTGATGTGATCTGTCTTCATGTCTCCGAAAAGTAGATACCAGCACCTGCTCTGACGGGTGTGGCAGGGGAATGACGTAGACTCTCTGAGATTCCTGGATTGTAGATGGGTTTAGTGTGCTGGCTTTCTCGAATGCTGGTTATACTAGCAGTGAACTTGTCATGGGGACAGACACAGGACCCTCTGGTTAGCTGAGGTGTTGCAGGCAGTCGTGTTAGCTGAGATCCTGCAGCTATTTTCTCCTTCCTGGGCAAGGTGTAATCCTTTCCAGAGGAGAGGTATTGTAATGGCCTGAGTGGTTTGGCCTCTAGCCATGTGGTGGTACTTTCAAGAGAGAAGCAGCTGCAGTATTAGCAGTGGGATCTGAGCTTGCCCTAACGTGGCTAGGGGAAGTATTCTGGTTTCTTAGGTGATGGGCAAGTGTATAATACTCCCAAACCTTATGTCTTCTGTGTTCCGCTACTAGAACAGGTGGAGAAATAGCATCACGTAGGGGCAGGATTAGGCAGATCTGAGCTCTGACTCTCCTTGGGTGCTGCCAGCCATGGCCACTGTGGAGAATGGGGCATGGTTCTCAGGCCACTGGGGTAATGTTCCTGAAGGGAGTATAACTGCTTCTGCTTGCAAAAGAGTTCACAAAGGGACTGGGGAGTAGTGGGCAGCAGTAAGCCTCACCTAGCTCCCATGCAGTTGGCAAGGCTGGTCTCATTCCTGCAGTGCCCCACTAACAGTACCAGGTGGCAGATCTAGGCACTCTGTACACAGAACTCAGAGCTGCCCCACACCATAGGTTTCCCCTCAGATAGCAAACACAGGGGCTTTCAGGCCCCGCCCCTCCCCATCTGCTCATAAGACTGACCGCTCAGCTCCTGTCTGCCACACATTTCCCTCTTGCCCTGGATTCTGTTCAAGGGAGTTCGTCCCCATCAAAATTACATCACAAATTTCAGTTGGGAACTTCTTTCACCCTGCGACTCTTCCCTATGTTCACTGGCTGACTTCCCCAAGGGCCCCTGTGAGATACAGTCAAGGATGGCTTCCCTGGGCTTGCACTGGAGACTGGGAATGCTGGCAAGTCTCTTCCCACTGCTGCTTCTACCTTTATATTTCACATGGCTCCCAAAATCTATTCCAGCTCTTGATTGGGTTAAGGCCTTCCCCCATGCATGTTCTGGATTTTCAGATTCCCTGGTGTGGATGTATGCTCAGAAGCAGGCTCTTCCTCTCTCACACTCTAGAAACTTAGTTTTTTACCTGTCTCATGGGGTAGGCTGCAGCCTACAGCTTTTTTGAAAGGGTTTGTGGATTCTTTTAGTTTTCCTGGTAAGTTCCTGTGGTGGTTCTTGGGGGGAAAAAGTATTCACAGTGTGAGTCTTTACCCACTATTCTGTCCTTCCAAGTGGGAGAGTCACGCCAGTACTGCCTCCTATATGCCATCTTGAGGAAAAAAAAAAGGCAACTCTATTTTACACAGTTATTAAAGCATGCTTGGAAAATGAGCCTTGGAATCAATAAAATCAGAGCATATTCCTCTGCTTATTCTACATTCTTACTTGCACAGCTTAGAGACAAGCCAAACTCACCATGCCACAAACAGAATGTTTAGCTCACTAACCCCCAAAATTTACTCCTACTCAGTTTTCCCCAAGATCGCTCATTAGACATACCATGTTCCCTGTCACTCAGGCAAAACAAACAGAAAACAAAAATAAAAATGAGCTGTTTTAAATTCCCCATTTCTTTCATTTCCAAAATTGAACTTATCCGTAGGTCTTACCAGTTCTTCATTATTAAATATTCCTCATCTGTCTACTTCCTATTCCACTCCACTACAGCCTCTTTACAACAGCATCACCTCTTGTCCAGAGAGCCAATGAGTCTCCCTGTTTCTATTCCTGAACACTATCTTTAAATCTTAAAAAAGATCATGGTACTCTCTACTTCACAATCTTTCAATGGTTTACCCTACACCAATAGTTAAAGCCCAAGTCTTTACATTGATCTTCAAAACCCCACATGGACGGGCCCTGCCAATCTTCCCATCTCATGTATCATTCTACTCCTGCTACACTAGCTTTCTTACTCTTACTCAGCAAGGACAGGCTACTTGCTTCTCCATCCTGCAGAGCCTTTGCACTTGCTGCCACTTCTTCCTGGAACACTCCAATACCACCTCTAGCAAGGCACTGTCTTCACTTCTGTTCCCATCTCTGTGTACCAGTCCCCTTAGTCAGAAAGCTATTATTGTCCATTTTACCTAAATAGTGCATTTCCTCCCCAGCCAGTTCCTGACTTCTTTCTCTGCTTTATTTCCTAGACATAAAACTTATTTTCACTTGGGATTATGCTACCTATCTCTACTTTTGTTTGTATGATTTTTCAAGAATGTAAGCTGCCCAAGAAAAGTTTTGATCCATCTTAATCATGTCCACTGTTCTGTATTTGAAACACTGGCTGGCACACAGTCAAATCTGAGTAAGTGTTTATTTAATGAATAAATGCACACTGATCCAGGAGCAGAAGAACTTGCGTCTAAATCTTGGCTGGCTACTTTCCCTGTTGTGGTTGTTCTTATTAACTTTGTTTTCTTATCTGTTAAATGGGAAGATAATACTTATTTCACACAGTTTTGGTAAGAAATTCTTCAAAGATTTTGGATGTTAAGTATTATGTGTAGTACAGAAGAACTAACAAATATCAGTTTTTTATTTTATCTGTTATTTCTTTATAATGTAGAAATGATAAATTGTTTCTTTCTATTGTTAAACAGGTTGAAACTACCATCAAATGAAATAATGAGGGCACTTTGAATACTCATTTATGAAATATGAAGCTTTTTATTTTTCCACGCAGGAAGGGTAAAAGAAAACTAGAAAAAAATCATTCCTTAGTCTTTCAGTAATTGGTCCTTTCTTCAAACAGTCAAGAGAACAAGAGTTTTACCTTATTATTTTTTATTCTAAGTAATCATGAAGAACATGTTTTAGGTAATATGATGATACAAATACTTTTCTACTGAAGTCGGGAAAAGAGCCAGCCAGAAGGGCATAATTTTGAAACGTGATATTTTGTTCTGTTTCTCCATAGCTTGGTCTTTAAAAAAAAAAAGAGAGACTTATGCAATAGCAGGATTGAGACATGTGGATTAAGGTAAAGAAATGCATCAATCAAAGCACATTTATTTTAAATGTGCCAGACAGGCCTCCAGCCTTCACAATTTTTCTCTATCAACATCTCACATTTGGCTAAACTCCATTCTTAGAAATGGACTCCCTTTGGAATTTCAATTTTTGGGTGGGGGGTGGTGGTTTAACATTGCAAATAAAATTAGAATACACTATTTTCTTCTTTCTTTCCTTTCTTTCTTTTTCTTTTTTTCTTTCTTTCTCTTTTTCTCTTTTTCTTTCTCTTTCTCTTTGTTTCTCTCACTCCCTCGCTCCCTCCCTTCCTTTTTCTTTCTCTTTCTTTCTCTCTCACACAATGAAGAGTTCTGTTTTTGATTATTCCCAAGGAATAAGCCAGATTGCTTGGAAAGAGATAAGTGAATATTAGCATTTCTGCTTATGTAAACATTTACATTTATTTATATTTTTGTTCATTTTATAGTTTCAATAATTTTAAAATATTAAGTATCATATACTCAAGCTATATAAAATATTAAAATATAGTACATATTATTGCATAATATATAGATACTATACACTTAATAAGTAGCATATATATTACAATGTGGTACTAAGTAATTATATATATAGGTAGCACATGGTAAAAATACATTATGTTTATTAACAGGATAAAATCTGAACTCCTTTTTAATGCATTGCATAAAATCTTTGACTTTTTTTTCCTTCTGCAACAGTTTATACTTAAATAAAATAGCACTAAAGTGTTTTGAGTTCCTGGACACTTGGGTGTAACCTTATGCCTCCCTGCATTTGCATCCCTAGGTTCTCTGCCTAGAGCCTCTTTTTCTTCTCTGCCTACAAATTCTTACACCAAATGTAAATGGAACCTCAGCTTCTCTGGGAAGTGCTCCCTGACTTTTTAAACAGATTTATTGAAATATAATTTACACACCCTAAAATTCACATATTTAAAGTGTACAATTCATGATTTTAGTATATCCAGAGTTGTATCCTCATCACTACTATTTAATTCCAGAACATCATTCCCAAAAGAAACCCCTGGCTTATTAACAGTCACTCTCCACTCTTCTTGATTTGAAAACATTCTGTACGCTCAGTAATCAAAACAGTGTAGTACTGGGATAAGGATAGAGTCATAATACATATTTCAATTCTATATAATTGAGGGGGCAGAAATAAACCCTTTAATATATAGTTCAGTGACCTCCAACAAGGGAACCATGACAATTAAGTGGGGGGAAAGAACTGTCTTTTTAAACAAACTTTGCTGGTGTTAACTGGATATCCACATTCAGAAGAATGAAGTTAGATCACAACTTCATATCTTACACAAATATTACTTTAAAATGGATTATAGATCTAAATGTAAACCTATTTGTTTTGTAAATGTATTATGAAGAAAGTGATAAGGCTGGGTGTGGTGGCTCATATCTATAATCCCAGTGCTTTGGGAGGTTGAGGCAGGAGGGTCACACAAGTTCAGGAGTTTGAGACCAGCCTGGGCAACATAGGAGACCTGTCTTAAAAAAAAAAAAAAACAAACTCAGCCTAGCTACTCTGAGGCTGAGATTGGAGGATTGTTTGAGCTTGGGAGTTCAAGGCTAAAGTGAGCTATGATTGTGCCACTGCATTTCAGCCTGGGTGAGAAAGCAAGGTCCTGTCTTTAAAGAAAAAAAAAAAAAAGTGAAGAGAACCTACAGAATGGCAGAACATATTTGCAAATCTTATATCTGACAAGAAACTTGTATCTGGAATACAAAAATAACTCTTCAATGTGATATTTAATGTGATAATAAAATGTAAACCCAATTAAAAATGTGCAAAAAATTTGACTAGACATTGCTGCAAATAAGTTACAGAGATGGCCGATAAACACATGAAAAGATGTTCAACATCATTATCCATTAGGAAAATGCAAATCAAAATCACAAGATATCTCTTCATGTCCACGAGTATGGCTATAATCAGAAATATAAAAAATAAAAATGTTGAAAGGGTTAGAAGAACCTACTATACACCCAGACCAAAAAAAAAAAAAAAAAACTGTCAGAGAAAACTAAGCAGAAAACTAAAAACTTTAATAAATAGAATATGCCTCATGTAAGTGTGTTTTCCATATTCTGAGTCTAACTTGGTCTTTAGAACTCAAGTTTCCAGAGACTTTTTAGAAAATGTCACTATTGTTGGCTGGGCCTGGTGGCTCATGCCTGTAATCCCAACATTTTGGGAGGCTGAGATGGCAGGATAACTTGAGTCTAGGAGTTTTGAGACCAGCCTGGGCAACATAGTTAGGCTTCATCTCTATAAAAAAAAGAAAAAAAAAAAGAAAGAAAAAGTAAATACAATAAAATATATCATAATTGTTTTAATAAAGTCAATTCAGCTGTGCAAATTCTTTTCTATTAATTAAACCAGAAAAAGATCTCTATCCATGAATTTGCTATAGTCATGCCTACATATCTATGTTTATGCACAAGTGTGTTTGTTCCTAATATCCAGGGTGGAATTTTTGCTGAAATACAGTGACAAAGTTGTCCTTCAAACTTCATCATCACTTTGACTCTCTTAGTGCCATTCCTTCTTTATCCTAAATCATCTTCTTTTTCCCCCCCAACCTTTTTTTATGATCTGAGTCCATTTTCAGGAAAGTTTGTTGATAATCACTTATAAATATTAGCCACTGTGCTTATTCCCCAAGGAGGGTGGAGTTTTTAGTTGTCTCTTAAAACCTGACTGACTGAATCTCAGCAAAGCAATGGTGGAAAAGTTTGAAGGCCAATGCCTCAGCAAGTCCATCATGTGGACCATGAGCTTGTCCGCTTAATCATAACCATGGACTTAACTCCCAAGTCTGAGGATATCTTCAAACATCAAATATTTTGGAGTTCTCTGGTATGGAGTCAGGAACCCAACATCTATGAAAACATTCTGAAGAGAAAAGCAGAAATACTCCGTTAGATGAGACCTTATGCTCCATTCTCAGCAGGCATGCAGCTCAAGGACTTCTAAATCTGTGGTACATGGAATGTGATTTATTCTTAAGCTTGAGTCAAACAGTACTTACAAATTTCTATTTGTTCTTATATGTGGAGTATATATGCATGTTTTAAGGGTGAATCTTAGGTAAATTTGTTCAACTATCAGAATCTTAACCCAATAACAGGCATAAGTGGGCATGAACAATGACCAGTTACAAAAACAAGCAAAACAACAATCACACAACATGCTTAAATTATCTTGCTCTCTCTCTTTTGGCTTATTACAGTCACTTTTCTCAGAAGTATGATCTTGAAAGCTGGCTAAGGCAGATTCACCTCCTCAGATTAAAGGGATCATGGTCCTTATTTTTGGGATTGTACATAGAGGAGAAATGCTTAACAAAATATCCCATTCACATTTATCTCCTGCAGTCTGCACTTTGCAGTGAGCTTGTATAGTGATTGTCAGCTCTGGACAGACGTGCACTGACAGAATGATGTATGGAAGCTCCATGTCAGCAGAGTAGCATCTGCAGCAAACATCCAATCTGCCTGTATTTACCGGGATTCTGAGACAGACATCTCTTTCCTTTTACTTGATGCTTTCCTTTGCACAGACTCCCCTTGTTTGTTTTAGATAAACCTTGTATCAGCAATGACCTAAATAACTTTGAACAAAGAAAACAAAACAAAATGGCAGAGGACTTACTGAAAATGAAAGCTGGCCTCCTAAAGGAAAGTTAATCTACTTAAGAAGCATAAATAGTCACTATTGATATGGACATTGATTGAGGCAATGGATAAATATCTGATACTGGTTATGGAGAACATAGTAATATCTACCATTTATGAAGCAACTATTGTGGGTTTTGTTTGGTCGTAGGAGCTTTTCATGCAATATGAATTATCCCTGTTATCACCACCATCTATCAAGGGCCTCCTATGCATGTGGTCCTGACCTAGATACCACTCACCTGCTGGATTGATGTAAGAACGGTCTTTAGTCTACCTATACCACACTGTGCAGCTATCATTTATTTTTTGGCAGTTATATATATGGTATTCTGTTTGATGTTCTACACTTACTACGAGGGTAAAATAGTAATAACTATAATACTAGGCACTATCTCTTAAATAACCTCTATATATGTGGCACTATGCTAAGTTCTTTGTAAGTATGGAAGAAAATACTATTGGCCACCAGATGATGAACGTCTGTTTGCTAGGCAATGTGCCAGCATTATTCAAACTGGTACAATCAACTTGAGGAAGTTTTGCAGTCAAGGAAACTGAGGCACAAAGATGTTAAATGTGTTTTCCAAGGTCACAAAGCTAAGTTTATGGGCTTCAACTGAATTTGAGTGAGGCTGATTCTGCAGCATGATCACGTTCCAGTCTGCTGCACAGGGTGTGTGTGTCTGTGTGTATGTGCGCACATGGACATGACTACAGTGGACTCACTCGTTTTATGCTTCTCTATGCATCTGAAACAAAAGCTCTTGACAAAAGACTTATAATCTTACAGCTGACCTTTTAAGAATTAACTAAAATTACAAGTTGTTTAGAGCTAAAAGGGTTCTTAAAAGATGGAATCTGATTTATTCAAACCATGATTAATGTGATGGATTTGATCTTTAAAATTTTTTTTAGTCTTCCTCATTCAAGAAAATGTTTTTCTTACCTACTTCATTTGTAGAAAATAACAACCAGAGTTCAGCAGCCAAGAATATAGCAGTCATACCTATTTGTAGGTAAATAAACCAAAATAAAACAAAAAGCAAACTGAGGCCAGGCATGGTGGCTCACCCAGCACTTTGGGAGGCAGAGGTGGACAGATCACTTGAGGTCAGGAATTAGAGACCAGCCTGGTCAACATGGTGAAACCCAGTTTCTACTAAAACTACAAAAATTAACCAGGCATGGTAGTGTGCACCTGCAATCCCAGCTAGTCAGGAGGCTGAGACATAAGAATTGCTTGAACCTGGGAGGTGGAGATTACAGTGTGCTGAGATCGCACCACTGGACTCAAGCCTGGGCTACAGAGTGAGACCCTGTTTCAAAACAAAACTGAGTTTCAACAAAGCAAGCCAAGTAAATAGGACCCACCATTGTCTATAATGAGAATTAAGCAAACAAACAAAACAAGCAATTGTGGCTCCTTTAGGCACTGATGCGTTAATCACCACCCTTCTTTTTTATGAGCTCAGATCTAACCAACAACTTCATTATTTATAGTTAACATGTCTGTGATAATTATGGTGTTGGTATTTTGCCCAGTCATGCATATTAGTACATTCTCAGTATTTCTAGATCATGTAAAACAAAGATTCTTAAAGATATAAGAAATTGAACTAGCATGTTACTTTGGTAAGGGCTAACGTGTGGTATAGTTCAAAAGAGTATTTGCTTGGTTGCGTTTTATCTCTCTTGACTCTAGGAAAATCCCACCTTCCATACCCAGAGACCATCATTCAAGGGCCATGCATGTCCAGTACCCTTTTCTGTCCAAGGATATCAGGAATCCTTCATCTCACGTTAGCTTCTGCTACCTGAATTACTCGGGAGGGATCGAGACACAGTGACAGTGAGGTGGAAGAGAGGAAGGAGATGCTTACAGGAAAAAACTACTTTTATTTCCCCTCAAATAACAATTCATAAGTATCCATCTACTCCTAGTCAATGTTTGGATTAAGAGTAATCAGAGTTATTAATGAGTTATCTATAGACTTTTATGACTCATATATTAGGTATTAGGGAGGAAAAGGAAACTACTGTATATACATTTAGAGCTCTATAGCGGTCAATTATGCTTATCAATGTCATACATTAACCTATTACCATTTTAAACTTTTAAAGTATGTTCTAGAATAATATAGATTTTATGAAGGAGGAAATCAAAGATTAGAAGAGTTTTTTAATTGCTCTAAATTCAGAGGACAAGTAGGTAGATGAGCATGGATTCACAGCCTGGTATATTTTTCTCAAATATGACACTTCTACCTCACCACACGTATCTTTAGGAATAACTTTAGGAAAAATGTGTAAGTTAGCAAAATATTTTTACAGGTATACATTTTTTTCTAGCCCCCTTTTATTTCTTATACAGAATTACCCTTTACTAGTTTCCTCATTTGCCCAGGTAATAATCTGATAACTACTTATGCCTTCATATTATTGATTTTAAACTATTGTCTACCCTCCACCAAGGGATACTGCAATGAGAAATTACTTTTTTGCTTAAAAATTATTGAGACACTAATGATATTTCAAATAAAGAAAGAGTTTTCAGAGGAGAAGGAGCCAGAAATTATCCCATGTAGGTGACCAGCCACCAACTAAGCATGCGTCATCAGCTAATAGAAGTTCCAGGAAAGCTAGTGCAGTCTTTGGCGGTGGAATGAACTCAGTGTTTGACACCAGATGGTGACAGTACCACTTTACTTCATGCTCATTGCATTACATTTTAGAATCGTGAGTAAATCTTGAATAAAACCCATTAAAATTACCAATATAAACTAGAGATGAAGAGAGGCCAAGAAGGTAGCGGGGGTGCAACTGAGGGTGTATAAAGAAAATAATTAAATTATATAGCTTGTGACAAAGACGTAGGTTGGCATGATTGCTGTTTTCAATTATTTAGCAGCCTGTTTTAAGAAGAAATTGTTAGACCTCTTATTTTTATTTATTCTTTATTTTGTAGCCCTAGAAAAAAACTAAGCTCTATATGTGAAAAATTATTAGGTGCTAGATTTTGGTTTAATGGAAGCAAGGACTTTCAAATAATTAAAGTTGTCCTAAAATGGAATAAACTGCTTGGTGAGGCAGTGAATTTCCCATCACTGAAAGTGTGTAGTGAGAGGCTACATGGTCACTTATTAGGAGTTTATGACTCTAGATTGAGGGTTAATATAGATGACCTAATCTCTCTTCCCATTCTGAGAGTCTATGATTCAATACTTGCTTGTGTGTTCCAAGAATGTTTTAATGTGATTACTACAGCCAGAGCCAATTTGGTGGATCTATGACCAACTTGGGAGCCTCTCAATACTTTTTGGTATTTTGTTATTTGTTATATATCTTTTTGAAGTCTATTACAATTGGAGTCAATAAGTTGGCCCTCTTGTGTTGATTAGTGGCTCCTGTCCCAGCAGAGCTCCTTCCCATACAAAGAGAGAGCAGCTGAGCATAAAGTATATTGAGTTAAGACCCCATCACTATCCTGAAGAATCATTTTGTTTTCTGTACATAGGACAAATTTTTTTCACTATTCACAATTTGTGAAATTATGAACATTTGAAGGAGAATTAGGACCACAAAGAAGCCAATTCTGAAATGGGTTTGCAGCACTACAAAGTTGTAGATTCACGAGAAATGATCACACACACACACATACACACACAATCTCTATTTAGCCAAGAATACAGAACTAAATAGAAGTGAGAATCTACTTGCCCCTTATGTCCACATGAGGCATAGAACTATGGTTGACAGTTTCTATGCTGGTAGGACCCTTGAAACAATTATAAAAAAGCTTAATTTTTGCTAAGTCACTGTTCTTTTAACTTTGGTTATACCATATTTTCAAAAGAAATGGCACTAACCATGTATTTATTTTTATTTAAGTAGACATTTACCATTAACATTTAATACTTGAACTTGACATTATAAATGAGCTGAAGTACAATAAAGGAAAAGAAAATATAGTGTTAAGAGATCCCTGGCTACTTGAATATGTGAAAACCACATATATGATATATCCTAGGCCATTCAAGTCTTAATTATTTTAACTTGATGAACTTGATGCTCTTATTTTCATTTTCCTTGAATTTATATATTTCATTTGCTTTTGTATGCATTTTGTTGCTTTCTGGTTTAAATGGTGATTTGTCATCTTTTGGGTGCATGATAGATTTTCTGCTTGCCTTTGACCTCATCACTGTATTGCCTTGGCATACAACACTTTCCAATCTTCTTGCTCATTTTTCTGTTGTTTATTCTCTTTTCCATAACGTTAATAACAATGACAAATTAAATGCGACCCAACTCTCAGCTGCATAGCACCTCACGGGAAAGCCTCTTAGCTGAATAAGCATTCATTTTTCACCTGACTTTAGATCTAGCAAGTTGGTCATTCTTCAATCCATGAAACAATGCTTCAAATAAAATCCAAGCTGAATTCATGGTTTCTGGTTACCTAATAGAATTAAGACTTTTTATCTTTTGTCTATTGTTAATTTTAATGACACAAAGTCAGGGATGAGTTTGATCTGCAGTAATATGCATTTTCTTCATCATAAATGCACCACGTTCTTGAAACATATTCATTTGCTCTATATTTTGTTTCTGTTAATAGCTCTGACGGTTGACATTAAATATTATAGAAGATGATGGCGAAGGTCAGCTGCTATTTCTACAACTTGAAGGGAAGTACCCCAATAGACTTCTTTTACTTTTTTTTTTTTACAAAATATTTATTTATTTATTTGCTTTTCACATTTGAGAGGTTTCAGATGCAAATACAGTGGCTTGAGAAATGCATCGGTCATAGCCTTTCAAGATACTCAGTCACCCATTTCTTGCTTAGCTTCATAGGAAACTCTTATCTGTGATGTATCAACATATTGGTCACAGTTTTAATTATCAGCTGCTCAATACCTAGAGGAAGGACAGGTTTACTTGCAAAAGATAGACTGTTGAGATTTCTCCCTTCAATATTATTATTTATTTCATCTTCTTTAATAAATCAAAAGGATAGCGTTCAATGAAAAATTTTTTCTTTTTCCAACATATTTTAAATCTCTTTTTCTACAATTCACTGATTTGTCTACCAAAACAATCATATCAATTTAAGTTTCTCCATCTGTCAGTTAGAAAAAACTATAATTTACTTGGAAGATGGTCTTGTTTAGTTTTTGCTTGTGATTATAGTATCAAAATTGAGAAGCCGATGTAAGTCATAATAGTACAGGATTTTTTAGTGCTTCAAGATGCATAAAAAATAAAATTAACAAATTCGGCATCATTTTATTCATAACTTAAACTCTAAACTAAATGTTAAGGAGGAAATTTGAATCTTATAGAAAATTGAGATAAAATTTAATATGAGTTAAGAAAAGATAAATACAGTAATTATAAATAATTTTATTAATGTTGTATGGTTTTAGATAAAACCTGGCCAGAAAATAAGATCATGCCTTCTATAAGTTTTTCAATGATTCTGTGATTATGTGATCTAGCCACGTCAATTTGCATCTTATTTGCTAATTTTTGTAGAATCTCAGAAGAATGTATCTTTATACAACATTACCTGAGAAAGGAAAATATATCTTATATCTATAGAGAAAGAAGTAAATTGGGTAAAATGAGGTCAGTTAAGTTAATCAAGCATATTTTTTGGATAGCTTTGACAGTAAGCTTGAGATGTGTATATTGCTGTGATAGAAAATAGGGGGCCCAGGCTGATTTTTTGTAGTAAGATTGACATGCAGGACAAAGGATGTAGAAAAACAAGTCAGCTAGAAAGTATGAGGCAATGCACAACAGCCAGAGGTGGTGACACACACAGCCATAAAGATGCTGTTTGGAATGTTTTCTGGGGGGGAGTGGTGAGGATGGCATTTCCACTGAGAATCTGGTAAAATGCACATAAATGATAATTTTTATACAATCAAGATTGCATCAAATATCTGAAGGCCAAAACACCAGATGAAGAAGAGAGATGGGTACAAGCAATAGGGGTAAAGCAAAATCAGCAAAATTGGCTGAAGGGAAACAAGAGCTCACAGGTTAGTTTAGATTTGAGCCTAAGTGACATTAGTCATGTTGGTACCATCATCTGGAGTGCAGAGACTTAGAAGAAGTGTAATTTTAGGCTTTGACTGTGAGTCCTATTTCACACTTGTGGAAATGATTGTAATGAGGAGGCATGTAACAATTATAATAGAGGATGATAATAGCTAATGTTTATTAATAGTTTATGTTACAGGCACTGTTGTAAGCTATTTTTATTAATTGATTTTCTCTCTCCATTAGTCCTAAAATATACATAATACTATTATTCTCATCTTATAGATGACAAAACTAAAATGTTTAGAGTTAAAATAATCCCCTACTATGACACAGTTTGTTAGTGGCAAACTTGGGATTTAAATACGGACAAACTCATGAGCCTGTTCTTTCTATCACTAAGCCAGAGACAGGGCTGAGATTTTGGTCGAAATACATCTAGAGACAGACGGTAGAGTTTAGATTGGGCAAGTGAAGCACCTGTGATACAAATTTGAGGAGGGACTTGTATGATCCCAATTGTGACAGCCTCCTTAAACCTTGTTCCTTAGGAGCCTTGCTTGTGTCACTGTTGTTGTGGGTCTGAGACACAGAGGCTTAAAAACACTTAGCATGAACCTGCGTTCTCGTCAAGTGACACTGTAGAGCTGAGAGAAAGATTTAGGGAGGAAATCTTGGGATCATCACAGGGCAGAAAGACAAACTAGAACAAAAGAGGATTTATAACAGGATCAGGGTAAAAGTCTAGAACATTAAAGTGTTTTAGCCCTTAAATAGGGGAGAATTTTCAGAAGGAATGGTTGGTAAGGAATATGTTCCAGTTACCAGGTCTGAGAAAGTAATTACCTCAAAATCTGTGACATAAAGCATTTATTAAGTTTGTAGAGTCATGGGTCAGCAATGCAGATAAGGCACAGTGGAGACAGATTGTTCCACAAGGTTTGGAGCCTCCACTAGGAAGATGCAAAGGCTTGAAGGACATAGTTGCTAAAAGCGGGATTCGCCCTAAGGTTGTTCACTCACATCTGGTGGCTGATGGTGGCTGTCTGCTGGAACTCAGTGGGGCTGCAAGGCTGGAACACCACACACAGCCTCATCCTATGGCTCAGTCTCTTCACTGCAGGGTGGCCGGACTCAAAGACAAGTATGTTAAGACATCCAGGAAGAAGCTGCATACGTTTTATGGCCTGGCCTCGGAAGTCCCATGGCATGGTTTCTGTCATATTCTACATGTCAGAGCCCTTACAAGTCTGCTCAGAGGGAGGAGAAACAGACTCTACCTCTTGATGGGATTGGTGAGGTTCTGAAAGGAAAGACATACTGGAGGGCTGCAAATATGTCTGTGACCATTTTTGGAAAATATAACTCATCACAAAGTATGACAGGAAACATGCTTAGGAGAATGGTCAGGGTGTGTGATTTGACATTGGATTTGTATTGATTTATCACAGGATTATGGTTGGCAGGGAGCTCCTGTTTAAGAAAACTTGTTAAAGAGCAATGGACATAAGGTCACTCACTTGAGAATTCCAGAAATTAGGGAAAGAAAAAAGTAAGATAGTGAATGAAAGAAGAAAGAGGTCACGTGAGACATTTCTCAAATGTGATCAGAAAGTCACCAAATATTAAGTTAAATAAACTTTGTGATACAAATCATAGAGGGAAAAAATAAGAAAAGGAGACTGAGTTTTTTGTGCATCTGTAATTTGGTGTGTTAGGTACTTCACCCATGTGATATCATTTAATCCCTGCAATAATGTAGATACATATTTTAAAGCCCATTTTGTATACAGAAAATGGAAAACTCCCTGGTCTGATAACATTACGGGCATATAAACTAAGCAACAGAGTTGAGTTGAAGGCAAGCATGACTCCAACATTTGTGTTCTTTTCCAACTGCTATGCCTTATGCCTGAAGGTAACCCTAATTAATCAAATTGCATCATTGTAACAATTGTTTTCTTAGAATTAGTTTGTAATAAGATTTGCAGTCCACTGTGCTGCTTTTTATCTCTCTAACAAGACTGTCTCAGATTATGTCTTCTTTTCTTCTTGGATTACTCAGAGAATAAAGTGCAAGTATTTTGCAGACAGCGAATTCTTTCCACAACTACTTGGAATTGAGGGAGAAGGCTGGGATACCTTTATTTATAGTAGTAGACTCCTAGAATGAATGCTGAGAAGAAGGATGTGAGAAGCAAACAAATTTAGTGAGTGCCTGCAATATTTCTGGCATTGGGCTTTAGGGTTCTGGTACCTGAGATTTAGACAGATAATGTGTATTGTTCTAAGTGATTCATCTAGATGTAGTTGAACCACAACTAAATTCATGACTTTTCAACCCCCAAAGGCCTTTTCATGCTGCCTTCTTAGAGAAATATAATGGTAACTTTTCAATGTGGTAGCTGATCAAAATGAAATTTTAAAAAAATCTGTTACATTTGCGAAGTTGGTATTGATGCCTTACATCTTAAATTACAGAAGTCAGGTAATAGTTGTGGGAGACAATTTTCCATGGGTCTGTCACATTTCTACACCTCTCATGAGTGGCAACATGGACAGCTTTTTCATTCTGGACTGTCTTGTCAAGGATGTTCACAGATTCAACAGCTTTGGAAGACAGAGATAGTGTCTCCCTTTAGAAGAGAGGACAGGTTGGGTTACTGTCCAGTATAATAAAGATTGTATCTCTCTCCTGAGTGAAAGTTGGGCAGCTTTGCTTGCAGCCCATTATAAAAGATCTGGGTTCCTTAAGGTCCATGTTCTCAGCAGTGACACAAACTCACTGCCTGGGCAGTGTCTTTCTGGGGCTTCCTGTTTGTCCCTGTGGGACTGGGGATGGAGTGATAAGAAAAACCAACGTGAACCTGAAGCCTGTGTAAATCTTTTGTGCTATGAGTATACATCTTTTGCCTCTCACCTAGGAGTCTTGGTTTCTTCTCTTAGGCCACTGAAAATATAGCAGTCTAACTTCTTAGCTTGTGAAGAGAGTAAAATCTTTGACCTGCTGTAATTTTAGACAATGGACCCAATGGATGTTTTTTTTTATTTATAGAGAAATATTTCACTTCATTTCCTCTTTTTACTTAATAGACTAATATGTTTTCTTAGGAGAAACTTGGAAAGTATTTTCAGAAAAAAAAGAAAAAAGTTAGGTAAGACTAAGAATGGGTCCAGGAGGTGAGAAAGGATAAACAACAGGTGGGTACAAATAAAAGCCATAAGTGGGGCAATAAAACATTTTGCAACTAAAACTTGTATAGACCAATTATTTTTGCATGTCATACACAGTTTGTGTCAGATAATGAAAGAAGATTGACTTTCTAAACAACTTGACCAAATTGACAAAAATAAAAGTGTGCAGAGGTCTTCTTTTGCTTTCATTCTGTTTAGAAAATGAAGGCTCAGTCACTCTTTAGCCTAAAGCCAATGACTAAAATGAATAATATGCACATGTAATAGGAAGCAGATAGAACATAAGAAAGCCCCTTACACTGACAAGTATAGATCCCCAAATTGGTTTGAGAAAAGAGGAAACAGAAGCCTCATTAATCAGCGTTTCAGTATACGTTGCAAAAGAACATATTTAATATGCACAGCCTCTCCAGCTTGAAGTATAAACTTCCTTCCATGAGTATTACAAAAGATGCATCAGTTGGACATATAACTTCATTCAGAACTCACCTGTAAATGAAATGAGACATGTTGATATGAGGAAGCATGGCAATAGAATGTGTCCTTAATTCATACACAAGAGAAAACCTAGAGGACACAGGTTTGTGTGAACATTCTTAAGTGGCTATAGCAGTTAATACTTGAAATTCATGTATGTTACATATCAGTATTACAACTAATCAGGAAAATACCTAGTTAAGACACTCCAAAGGTATATAGCAACAGCTACAGTGTATAATTCAGGCCCTCACCATTTCACCAGGGTCAGACAAATTATCTTTTCATCCTTGCTATTCCAAGTGCTGCTCATAGGCCAGCAGCCTTATATCTTCTGATGTTAGAAATGTTACAAATGCAGAAACTCAGGATGCACTGAGATTCTCTGAATCAGAATCTGTGTTTCAACAGTATCCCCAGGTGAATTTCATATACACAATAAATGCTGATAACCACTGGAGTAACTATTATGGGATCATTCTGTCTCTTCCTACCTTCCTTCATTCTCCATTATAATGACAGATTTCTCAAGATTAGCAATCTTATCATAGACCTTTCTAATGACACCATTTTATTAAATAAATCTCAGGCCTCAGGCTCCATGATATTCTACATCAAGTCTTCTAAAATGTACTTCTTGTGTTTCTCTAACCGTGTGCCTTTTCCACCCACTACATTCTCCTGAAAACATGATTGATACCATCTTCTCAGCATCCCAAACCCCAAATCACATGTACACACACACACACACACACACACACACACACACACACACACACACACACACACATCCTGTCATTTGGACATGTCCAATTATGTTCTGTGAGCATGCCTTGCCACTGTGTGCTTGCCTGTCTTTACACAGGATAATCCTGCTGTCTGAAATGACCTTTGTTTTGTCTTTGTTAGACTTTGGCTCAGTTATCAACACACCTCTTCCACCTTTCCTGCTCTCAGGGACCCTCCCAACCCTCTCAGTTCCTGGGATCTTTCTCCATTTTCTTCCAACCGCTAACAGCCAGCCTCCTCTCCAACAAAGGCCAGTATTTTTATCTCATGTGGCCCCATTCTGTCTCCAGATTATTTCTTAAGCCAACCTTCTTTCAATTCCTTCTACTACGATGATCCACAGACCAAAACAATGGTTCTTCTGGAGATCTGATTCTTTTAACTTCCTTAGCATTAACTGTTTAGTTTGTTTATTTAGATGGCATCATCTTCCTGCCACCCCAGGTCGAATCAGACTCATACCAAACTTATACATCAATTCGTTCTCTACAACTGAAAGCCTAGCCTCTCATTTTTTCTGGGGAGATAAATATTAATTGTTTTTAAGGATACAATACAAATTGCACTATTTCCGTTTCTTGACTATATTAGCCTCATAAAAATGCTACCATTTACCATTATTAAATGTGGCACTCAGGATATTGATCACAAAACACATCTAAAGTAACAATTTACTCTCTTATGCTTTTCTATAACTTTGTATCTATATACTATATGTGCATACTTGTCTGTACACACACAGAAATGCACATATATTTTCTTTTCCTCCTTCTGGGATTGAAAGTTACTGGTAGGGATTGAGAAAACCATCCTCAGGATTCTACTTCTCTGCATTCTCTTAGCTCATCTTCCATATTTTCTCTCTTTATTGCTTTATTTTAATTGACAAATACTGTATATATTTTTCACATACAACATGTTGTTCTGAAGTACCTATACACCGCGGAATGGCTAAATTGAGCTAATTAGCCTGTGTATCTCCTCACATCCTTGTCATTTTCAGTGGTCTATATTTTCTCTTGAACGCATCATGCCGTTGTTTCCATCTCCACCACCTTTCCTTGGGCCCAGCAATCACTGCTTTGTTTTGATTCTGTTAAAATCATTTTCTCATGTGTTCTGTTGCTTCTAACCTCCAAACTGCTCGTCAGCTCTGACCTTGTTATTTTCTTGTCCCAAATTCTCCTGTATCACTTTGTCATTTTCAGAATGTAACCCAAGCAACTTAGCTTGACACACAAAGTCCGATATGAGGCAGCTAAAATTCTAATCTCCGGGTGCTTTTCTCTGTAAGAAAGCACCATCTCAACTGCACTGACCTTGAAAAAGTCAAAGACTTTCCTGTTTCAGTGTTTTCCTCAGATCATATGTTCTCTTTTTCTCTGGAATAGCCGTGCTCTCTTTATCGTCCTGGTAAACTCTTTTTTCTTTCAAAATGCAGCTTAATCTCTTGGAAATATGTGTGTATGTGTTTGTGTGTGTCTGTGTGTATTTGAAATATTTAGAGTGTCTGTTTATATAGTTTATATATATAATGTATGTATATTATATATAATATATATTTTATATATATAATTTTTTTTGTGTATATATATACATATATGTGTATATATATACATATATATGTGTGTGTGTGTGTGTGTATATATATATATATATATATATATAATATGTTCTTCCCAAACTGTTAGGTACCATTTTTCTGTTCCCTGAGATAATATGTTTACTGATTTTTATGACATTTGCCATACTAATACTATTGTTAATGTATCTAGTCTGAGTCCTTGAAGCAGACAGTATAAATTTTATTTTAATAAATGCAGGAGGTGGGAAAAATGTTTGCTGAATGAATGGTGATATTCCTTTTATACATCCTTAGCCTTTTTCCACCTCAGGTAAGACACTCAGTATCACAAGTTTCACATGCTGTACAAACTCCCTCTGTCATGAGTGTGAAGCTAAGGCCTGCCTATAGTTTTCTTCTTGTATAAGTTATTTCAACTGATTCATATTACCAAGCAGAATAATTCAGCTGTCTTGTGAATGGATGTGTCAGCTTCTCTGTGGACTCTATTCTTTCATTCTCCTGCTCTAGTCCCCTGCTCTTTCTCTCTTTCTCTTTTGTACATCTACATCCTCTTATTCTCCATAAGACGACTGCACTGAATTTCTATTTGACTCAGAATATTCTCTTCCCATTTTGCCCCGTCTGTCTACTTGTTGAACATCTATTTGAACTGTTTCACCTTGTCTTTTCTCTTTGAATCAGTGACTCTTAGAATTTAAGGAGGTAAGTGATTTCAGCAATAATTCAGTTGTACTCTTTCATTTTTGAGATGAAGAAACAAAAGCATTGAAGGTGGAAGAGGATGGAAAGATGCCCTAGAATTGCGGTCTGATCCTTTTTACACTGGACAAATGTTTGTCATTTGATTTGGTAGCCCATGCTCTTAAATTCCTTCCTGTCTCAGGAATCCTCCATTTAAGAATCAGAGGCTAGCCAGGTGTGGTGGCTCATGCCTGTAATCCCAGCACTTTGGGAGGCCAGGGTGGGTGGATCACTTGAGGTCAGGAGTTTGAGACCAGCCTGGCTAACAAGGTGTAACCCCATGTCTACAAAAAAAAAAAAAAATTAGCCAGGTGTGGTGGTGGGCACCTGTAATCCCAGCTACTGAGAAAGCTGAGGCAAGAGAATTGCTTGAACTGGGGAGGCGGCTTGAACCAGGGAGGCAGAGGTTGTAGAAAGCTGAGATCACATCACTGCACTCTAGCCTGGGCAACAGAGCAAGACTCTGTCTCAAAAAAATAAAAAAAAAAAAATCAGAGGCTGCCTCATACTCTATAACTAAAAATGCCACATGCCAACTGTTACAGCCTTTTCCTAGTTGCTAGGAAGGCTAAGACTCCACTATAAGATGCACCCACCTTAAGTTGGAAGCTGGTAATATGACTAAAGTGGGGCTCCCCAGTTTCCTTGACAGAGGAGGCAGCTGCACCCACTGTCTCAAAGCGGCAGTTACATGATTTCCAGGGATTTCTGGTGATAAAGGTGCATGATAACATAGACAGCACCAGGTGGTGACAGCACTGGCCTCCTTCACTGCACCAGTTTCATGGCTTGATTTTGGTCATTGGAAATGCTTGATTCTCCAGGATCGCTTGAGATGCAGTCATTGCATTTGTTTTCTGTTGCATTCAGCAAAGTCAGTTTTGTTGCTTACAACTCTTTTTTTTTCTTTAACCTACTTAATTAACTTCTTAGTACTACTGCTACCTGAAATTATATTTATCTTGCTAATGTCCTTAATGTCTGCTGTTCCCACTAGAATGTAAGCTTCATGAAGGCAGAACATCATGTATCTGCTTTCTATGATATACCCTCTCTATTTCAACAGAGCCTCGCTTATAGCCTCATAGCAAGTGCCTGGGAAATATTTATTAATTAATAAATAATAGATTATTTTCTGTTCTGGAAAGAAAATGCCTTTAAAAACACTTTTTTGTTGTTAAGTTCTTTGTATCCCCTCAAATACCTATTTTGATTATTTGGATACGTGAATTTTTTCCTGAATTTTTCATTTTGTTTTTGCTATTCTTACATTTGATTTTCTTAAATGTCTCGTGGTGTCTTGGCTATTCATTTATGGTTATGGATTAAGGCAAGTGTTGTTTAGCATAAGAAGCCATCATGTGTTTCCTCTGTTCTTTGGTCTGTCTCTCCACTCATAGGTTTCTGTTTTTGAAGAGGGTGAGGGGCTCGTTATAAGCTTGTATGTGTGTCTGGTCTGTTTGCTTAGAAGTAAGATAAGTATGAGATTTTCTACCCCACTTCCACTCTATAGATTTAAAGACTAAGTCCTTATGTTAGGTACAAACCAGGAGTTCTGGCTTTCCCAAGGCAGATAATAAAACACTACTGGATGGGAATTCTCTGCTTTTGGATGAGAACCTACTCTCTGGTGCCTGTATCTGTGCATGGGGAGGGTTCAGGGAGAGGTAATATGACAGCTCTGATTAATGAATCCCCCGATCTTTGCCCTCTTTCTTTTCTGAAGTTCTCTTCCCACCAATCTCAAAGAGACTCTCCATTAATGGGAAGAATAGCCCCAGCTCCCAACTTCCTGTAGCTTCTCTGAGCTGAGATTTTAGCACAATTGTAAGATCCTATTCTCTTTCTGTCTTCCAGAATGTCATCAAAAACACTGGTGCCCTTCACCTCCTTTTCTCTGTTACTTATTTATTGTCCTTTGTGTATTTTCTATATAATTTCACTAAACTTTGGGGAGGTTGGTAGGTAAATGGTATAAATCAGTTTGCATCTTAAGCAAAGAATGGAAAGAAGATAATAACATGTGTATCCCTAAATTCCACTTCAGTCCTTCTGAATAGAATATATAGTAATAGATCTATAAATAATTTTAAGTTAATTTCTGCTGCAGTGGTGTAGGCAGGCCCAGGTGTGCAGGTCCGAATTTAAAGTGATTTGCCTTAGAGAAGATCTGGTCAGAGCTTTTGCTCAAGTCCTGTCCCCTTTCCTTTTTTTTCCCTTTGAGACAGAGTCTCGCTCTGCCACCCAGGCTGGAGTGCAGTGGTGCGATTTCAGCTCACTGCAACCTCTGCCTCCCGGGTTCAAGCGATTCTCCTGCCTCAGCCTCCCGAGTAGCTGGGATTACACGCATGGGCCACCATGCCCAGCTACTGTTTGTAGTTTTAGTAGAGATGGGGTTTCACCATGTTGGCCAGGCTGGTCTTGAGCTCCTGACCTCAGGCAATCCGCCTGCCTTGGCCTCCCAAAGTGCTGAGATTGAACCAATTGGCTTGAACCAATGCACCTGGCCGGCCTGTCCCCTTTCATAGCATCTCTGAAAATGAACCCCACCTTTGTTTATACATACTTCTAATTGATTAGCCATGAACCCCACCTTTGTTTATACATACTTCTAATTGATTAGCCAGTGAACATTCAATAAACATACATTAGAAGAAGAGAAAAATAACAAAAAAAGGAGGGAAGGAAATAGTATACATTATTACATTCTGTAATAAGTTTGAGAGCGTATTTTATGCCAGGTTTTGTACAGATGCTAGAGTTAGAATAGCCTTTGTCCTTGTTTAGGTCAGCCTATCAAATTTCATTTGCCTTAACTATCAAACCAATAAGATGACACCATGTAATTGCAGGGATTCCTTTAAGACCTTCCTCTCACCAAATTTTTTTTTATTACATTTTTCTGGACTAATAACCTTTTGCAATGCATGACACTAATACCAGTTAATTTAAAGAGTGATTCCCCCTGCCAAGATAAATTGTAATAATTCCATCTTGAATATCAAAATCCAACAGGCAGCTAATTGTCTTTGAATCAAAAGACCCAAAGACATTCAGTGTCACTGCGGCAAACATCAAATGCAACCCCAGGAAAATATTTGATTATGAGTCATAAAGATCTGTTCTGAGCCATGAATTATATTTAGGGGGGAAGGTAAACACACTTTGCTTCCAGGTTTATGTCTTCAGCACACTCATTTTCTCAGGTGTTAATATGAAGAGACGTAAATAGCCCAGGAACTACTTTTTGAAACACAAGCTATAAAATTAATGATCTCTGCCAAAGATTCCCTCATTTCTCATCACGATAAACAAATTGGACATAAAACAGTCTGGCTGGATGTGCCTTTGCTGGTGGATAAGTGTATGTGGGGGGGGGTAATTTTGGGTAGTGGGTAGTGCTATAACCTTTATTTAGCAAAGGGGAGAGGAGAAGAAAATAAAAAACAGTGCTTTAAATTATATTGATCTAAAAATGACAGGTGTTCATTAGAATACCTGAAAGACACAAACCAAGACAATCAAACTCATGACTTCCTTGGAAGGTTGATGTGTGAAAGTTTAATTTGAAAATCATCCCACTGGCAAGGTAAGAGGGTGCCAAGTCTCAGAGATGTGAGGCTGTGAACCTGTCAGCTTGGACATGATTGCTCACTGAAACAGGCGTCTCTGCCAGGGTAGACCCATTTATAATTTATTTTTCTCCTTTGTAAACTATCAACTGTACAGAATGACAGAATGTGGCACGACTACATAGACCCTGCTAGAGACAGATGTCAAAGACCAAATTCCTTTATAAGAAAAGATAGTAAAAAATTACAAACATTAAAACATAAATTTATTTTTTTAATTTTCTGCAAAAAAAGGTCAGTCTTAGTCAATACTTAAATTTTCTAAAATTTCTTCTATTAGGAAATATATACAAAGATTGTATATACAGAGGTAGATTTTCAATACATACAGACACATAGATAAGATTTCCATTTTCTCATGAAATTCGATTCAGCCACGTGTTTATTTTTATTCAGATGTCTATCATTTATTGTAGAAAAGCCACCTATAAAATCAATTAAGCCCATCAGAAATATTTGATGAAATGAATCCAGATAATTTCATGTTCATCTGAATTCTCTGTGATAATAAATGTGGTGGGAAATAATCTTTAAAAAGGAATGGACGAATAAGCACACAAATAAATAAATAGAAAATTCTTCCAGTAACAAATCACACCTGAATGAATATGAATTACTTGTTGGGTGATCTAAAGGCTTATTCATGCCTCCAAAGCATAACCACTGGATGTCGTTATCCTTTGGAGGTATGAATAAGCCTTTAGATCCAATACTAGATATCTTACATAAACTAATTTTTCGCAATAATCCTATAAGGTAGGTACTATCATTATTTTGATTTTGTAGATAATGGCACAACTGCAGAAGAGAAAGGTTAAATAATCTTCCCAAAGTCCCTCTGTTGCCAAGAAGTACAGCCAAGATTTGAACCAAAGTCATCTGGCTTCTTGTCCTGAGCTTCTCAAGAATGTGAACAGTGAACAGTCAGCGAATGGTGATTATACACAGAAGAATGCTGAATGAATTGGAGCCCACTATGTGAATGATCCTCTCCCAAGTGGTCATCCTCCATGTCCCCCATCTTTCGTATCTCAAATAACTACATGTGACTGCAAAGGAATGGATACAATGGAAAGAGATAAATGGATAAGCAGTATTCCTCTCTTTGACAGAGATATAATCTTGAAAAGGAGATTTTAAGTTGGGCTTCATTGAAGAGACCAGCTTTTCACAAATGGAGAGGTGATTAAGAACATTCTAATTAATAAAACTCTGGAAATGAGACCAATATCTAATAAGCATCTACCCAGTTCTAAGTGAAGGCATTCATCCCACAACAGCCTAAATTATTGGCATGGCCATCATCATTTAACACATGAGAACATTTCATTTCTGAGAGATTAAGCAGCTCGATTGAGATTGCAGGTATCAACAGGAATAGAACAAGATTTTAATTAGCATTCATATAATTCCTAATTCTACATTCTTCCATTAGGAAAAATTCCACGATAGCTGGTGACTGTATTCAGCTTAGAGAATGGAACTTGTCTGGGTGGCACAAAGAGTCTGTATTCAGTGTAGTTTGAGCGATGGTCAGTGTGAGGTGCATTTGGACCATTGTTGCTGTGACGTCAAATCTTACACAGGTGAGTCTCTCCCAGTGGAAGATGGAAGGAGTGGCTCTGTATGAGTGTTTGTGTGGGGAGGGTGGTTGGGAGTGAGAGGAAGGTGGAAGAGAATAGCTGGTTTATTCTCTGGTTTCTGTGGTGTGATCCTCTCTCCTCTCTACTGGGTACTACAGAAAAGATAGGAACACCAAAGATCTCATTTGATTGCTGTTGTTTCTGTTGTTTTGAGCACCACTGCACTCAGATACATTTCTCAACCTTCTTCTCTGCTCTATGATTCAGGGCAGCTGGCCCTTGCTGACCGCATACCCAGCAAGAGGTGAACTTCTGTCTGGGCTTGACCAATGGAAGTCACTGGAATAAGATTATGACAAAGAGAAAAAGAAAAGCTATGGCATTTCTCTCCCTTCCTGAAATGTTTCAGGTGGCATTTCTTCTTTGCTCTTGTCTCTTGTTTATAGGCCCTCTGAGGTTCCTACCAACCTACCGTTTGATAACTCCAGCCCTTGGGCTCAATATCCCTTCCCCTTCTCATTGCCTCTTGAAGTGGTAAGGGCTTCTTGCCATGGTAAACCTGTAAGCTCCTTCACTGTCCCTTGCTCAGCTTCTCAGGATCTCCTGTGCCCCTTTGGTTCTCTGTTTCCTTATTGGCCCCTATTGATACATTGGAACAGATATATATATATGATCTGCTCAGCACAGTGAACTTGGAATGTGGGTTATTTGGCTTATGGCAGTCTCAGAAATTTCTCTGCCAGAACTCCCTGCAGGATGTAGCTTCTCCACCTCCCTTCTGATGGCTGCTAAGGTGTCCCATGAGCTTCCACACTCAAAAGCCTGCCTCACCAGAGAGACAATATCTACTGAGGTTAACTCTCAAGGAACTCTCATTTTGTGGGTTCTTTTCAAAATTATTCTTTGCCCAAAATTGTTAGATATGCTACTTGTTCATCAACCCTCTTCAGACCCTTTACCTAGCCTTTCAAAAGTCAGTTTATTCAGCAATGAGTATGGTATGACTTTACACTGTGAAAACTTTAGAGACAAAGATAAAGCTCTCTGAAGGGGTTCCCCTGAAGCTCCCCAAATCTGTATGAAGGTGAAGAAAATCACTCCTCTTCTTTTTTAAGGATTGTGGGAGATGCAGGTGCCACAGAATATCAACAACTCTGTAAAAAACCTAATACTTTCCAGTCTTCTCAGCTTCCTGATCAATCCCTGATCATTCCATACAATGTTACAATCTGTATGGAATGTAACATTGCAGTGGATGATGGGTGAGAGCGGAAGAACCAGGTTTTGAACACCTTCTCTATCAGTTATCTAGTATTTTGCTTTGGAATGTGGAAATATTTGGCAACTCTTGTTTTATTTCTTAGTCTTCTAGTTGCAGACAAACATGAAAAACTAGTAATCCCATTCTATCACCCATTCTGTATATTGTGTAATTATTTTTTTAGTAAGTCATATATGAACATTATAAAATGGATGCTATTCTAATAGATATACTGAGAAATTTTTGTATCTTTTCATCCTCCTTGGCTACCCTCTACCCCTGTCAAGTAACACCTCCTATTGTTTTCTTGTGTGTCTTTCCAGGAATATTCTGTGTATCAAATATATAATGTATTTTTTTAACCAATGGTAGCATATTATAAACATTATTCTAGTCCTTCTTTCATCTTTGTTGAGTATCATATACCTCAAGAATTCTTCTATATCCATCTACAGACATCTCAGTCTTTGTTGCAGGAACAGCAAAGCCAAACAAAGTTAATACTCAATTATATACATTTACAATGCCAGTCCTTGATGGATGGACTTCTAAGTTGTTTTTTATCTTTTGCTAATACACACACATACTCCATATGCAACCTGTGCATTTGTCATTTTGCATGGGTACGAGTACATCTTTACAACATAGTCACAGAAATCCAGGTTCTGTGTACTTCAATGTGCATTTGAAATGTTGATGTTAAATGTTAATGTGCACTTTAAATGTTGATGAAGGTTGCCAAAATGCCATCACAGAGAATTGGAGTTTTACACTTTTTCTAAGAAAGTAAGAGAATTACTGTTTCTCTATCAAACAATGCAGTGTATTATAAACATATTTGAACTTTATCACTCTAAATAAACAGTTATCCTGTTGTAATTTAAATGTGAACACTTCTTTGAGTGACATTGTGCCCCTTTTCAGCCACTTCAAGACATTTGCTTTTCATTGTTTGAGCTGTTTGCTCACATTCTTTGCCATTTTTCTGTGTCTCATTAAACTGTTGTATTAATTTATAAAGTTGATTTATTTATTGAAGACATAATCTAGTTATCTCTACTATGTATTGTAAAGATTTATCCCAACATTAAAAAAAATGTTATTCAGGGGTCCAAGTGCTGGATCATTACATAGGTAAACTTGTGTCATGGAGGTTTGTTGTACAGATCATTTTATTACCCAGGTATTAAGTCTATACCTTTATTTTTCCTAATCCTCTCCCTCCTCCTACTCTCCCCTCTCCAAAGGCTCCAGTGTGTGTTGTTCCCCACCACATGTCCATGTGTTCTCATCATTTAGCTCCCAACTATAAGCGAAAACATGTGGTATTTGGTTTTCTATTTTTGTGTTAGTTTGATAAGGGTAATGGCCTCCAGTTCCATCCACGTCCCTGCAAAGGACATGATCTCATTCTTTTTTATGGCTGCATAGTATCCATGGTGTATATGTAGCACATTTTCTTTATCCAGCATGTCATTGATGGACATTTAAGTTGATTCCGTGTCTTTGCTATTGTGAATAATGCTGCAATAAACATATTTGTGCATATGTATTTTTAATAAAAAATTATATTTATTTGGGTAGATATCCAGTAATTGGATTACTGGGTCAAATGGTATTTTTGTATTTAGATCTTTGCAGAATTGCCATACTGTCTTCCACAATGGCTGAAATAATTCACACTCCCACCAGAAGTGTATAAGCATTTCCTTTTCTCCACAACGTCAACAGCATGTTATTTTTTGACTTTTTAATAGTAGGCATTATGGCTGGTATGAGGTGGTATCTCATTGTGATTTTGATTTGCATTTCTCTAATGATCAGTGATGTTAAGTTTTTTCCATGTTTGTTGGCAACATGTATGTCTTCTTTTGACAAGTGTCTGTTCATGTCCTTTGCCCACTTTTTTATGTGTGTGTTTTTTTTTTTTTTTTTTTTTTTTTTTTTTTTTGTAAATTTGAAGTTCCTTACAGATGCTGGATATTAGAGCTTTGTCAGATGCATAGTTTGCAAAAAAAAATAAATTACTCTCTCGATAGTTTCTTCTGCTGTGCAGAAGATCTTTAGTTTAATTTGGTTCCATTTGTCAATTTTTGCTTTTGTTGCAATTACTTTTGGCACCTTCATCATGAAGTCTTTGCCTGTGCCTATATCCTAAGTGGTATTACCTAGGGTAATGAAGAAATAAGAAATTATTCTTATTTCTAAAAATTGTTTGTGTTATAATACTGGAAGCAAAATGGTATATTAAAAAATACACTGAACAATTCTTTATCCTCACCATCAGCTAAAACAATAATTGCAGATGAATGCAGTTGAAGCTTTATAAAACTGTCTTCCTCTTTCTTTATTACATATTTATGATATTTAAATTCTTTGTAATAAATATATTGTATCACTTTGTTATTTAAAATATTTCTCACAAAGAGCTATACTTATTCTTCTGGTACTTACTATTTTCTCTCAACATTACATCTTATACAATACATTCGTGTTAATATGTATGGGTTTAGTTTATTTGTTTTACTTATACTGTATCATATTTCATTTAAAATATTTATTGCTACAAAATTATCCATTGTATAAACATATGTGTTTAATTTTTCACTCAGTTATTGATAAGCCTATCAGTTATTGACTTTCTAAAAGTCAACAGTGCTGTTACAAAGATTCTTCTATGCATCTCCTAGGGTATGTGAATGATAGACGAGCAAAATTGATATCATCTGAGAATAGGTGCACAATTTCAGGCTGTCACTTCTGCAAAATCAGAATTTTAATTATAAAAAACAAGATAATTCCTCTGCACAGTGTAAGAAGCATGGTAGTAGGTACACATGGAAAAGAAAAATTGCTGGGCTTTAAGGTTTGCATACCATTAACTTTACTAAGTTTCCCAAATTGTTCCTAAGAGTAGTATCACAATCTCATTTACCAGCATATGAGTTTTCTTTTCTTCATTTTTCATCCAGGAGTTGATACTGTCTGATACACACATTTGCATTCTGAATGGTATAACATGGAATGTTAAATGAAGGTTAGAATTTTTGTATTTCTCTTCTTATTGGTGAGTTTGAACATTTAAAAAACATTTTTAATGGACATTCTGACAAATTTTTTTATGGACATTCTGACACATTTTTAACAGTTTCGTACAGGTATAATTTAAATATAAAATTTATCCATTGTAAAGGTAAAATTGAATATTTTTAATATGCTCATAGAATGTTACATTCATCATAACAATCCAGTTTTAGAAAGCGTTCATTATCTAATGAATTTTCTTCATGACCATTTGCAGTAAACTCAGTCCCCACTCCCAGTTCTACGCAACTATTGTTCTGTATTTTTGTCTTTATAAATTTGCCTTTTATGCACATTTAACATCAAGGACTCATAAAATAAGTTGCTTTTTGTGTTTAACTGGTTTCATTAATGATATTTGTATAAGATATACTTATCTACATTGTAGCATATATTAGTAGTTGGTTCCTTTTTATTAATGAAAGTATACCATTGTATGAATACAATGGGAGTTTGTTTTTCTCTTTACAAACCGACAGCTATTCTAACAGTTTCTAGATTTTGACTATCAGGAACAATGCTGCTGTAATATCTGTGTGCATGCCTTTTTGTGGACATATATTTTTTATCCTTAGATAGATTCCTAAGAGTTAAATTACTGAGCCATATGAAAAATTTATGTGTAGCATTTTAAGAGACTGCCACATTTTTTTAAATGTAGATTTACCATTTTATATTCCTGTCAACAGTGAATGAAGGTTCCAGTTTCTCTACATCTTTAATAATATCTTATATTATTTCTTTCTTTGATTATAGTAATTATAGTTAGTATATAGTGATAACTCATTGCAGTTTTAAGTTAACCTTCCTCTAATGTTGATTTGGAATATCATTCCATGTGCTCATTAGCCATCTGAATATCTACATCACTGAGACAAATGTTCAAATATTGTGTTTACTGTGTAATTTGGTTGTTTTCTTGTTAATAAATTGTAACTATATATAGGGTATATATATGAAAATATACACTTCGAATATAAGTAATACATATGTGTGTATGTAACTCTATATATACAACACATATACACTCTGGATAAAAGTCATATATATGTGTACGTAAATATATATGTATGTATACACATATAACTGTATATATACAGAGACATACATATATATGTACTCTAGATACAAGTTATATATATAATTTTTAAATGTTTTCCTCAAGTTTGGGGGACTGTGGCTTGTTTTTACATTTTCTATTGGTGTCCTTTGAAACATAAATGTTTTTTATTATTATGTAACTGGGTCAATTATTATTTTATCTTTTATGAATCATGCTCTTGGTATTTTATCTAAGAACACTGTCAAACCCAATGTTGTAAACTTTTATATATGTTCTTCCTAGAAATTTTGTAGTTTTTGCTCTTGCATTTGGTCTAAAACATCATCAAGCAAACCAATAAACAAATTAGGGGAATCCTAGAAGAAAAACAGAAAGAGGTAGAAAGATTACTTAAAAAATAATTACTGGAAAATCTGAAATCTGGAAAGAAAAATAAAGATTCCTATTTATGCAGCCTAAAGGATCCCAAATTGAGTTAATCTGAAAAGGCCTATAATAAAGCACAATAATTTAATTATTAAAAGTCAAAGATGAAAAAATAAAAATAACTTTTCACATATAAAAAACATTCATAAGACTATCAGTGTATTTCACAGTAGAAACTTTGCAGGCCAGGAGAGGAGAATGATATATTCAAAGTGCTTAAAGAAAACAAACAAAACAAAACTGCCAACCAAGAATACCATGTCTGGCAAAACTGTCCTTTAAAATGAAGGAGAGATAAAGACTTTCCAGAAAAACAAAAACTGAGAAAGATAATTTATTGCCAGTAGACTTGACTCATAAGCAATGCTAAATGGACTTCATCTATGATCAATGTTGAATTAACTTTTGCTTTGGTATCAGAATTAATACTTGCCTCATAGTTTTAGAAAATGTCCTGTATCTTTTGTTAACTGAAGGTGTGAAGACTGTCATTACATTATCTTTAAATATTTGGGCTTTTATTTGGATAAATATTTACAATTATTAATTCATTCTGTTTGTTTTATCTTTACTCTTGTTCAGTTTTGGTAATTTTCAACTTTATAAAATTTTAAACTAATTTCCTGGCATTTTATTCATAATCTGGAGGGTTGGTAATTATGCCCCTGTTTTCAATTTTAATTTCTCAAGTAACTAGCATCTTTTTAAAAATCTTATTCAGTCTGTATCAGGCATTGCATTTTTTTATTTTTTTCTGTAAAGAACTCAAAGTATTTGGAGGAGTGATGTCAGCAATATGGCAGAATAGAAAATCCCCTGGCATCATTCTCCTAACAAAAATACAACTAAAAACTATTCAAAGACCAGAATCTAGCCTTATTTTACCAGAACTTACCAGAACTCAGGAGAGAAGCCCCTGGGACCAAAGGATCAAGAGCAGTTGCCAGATAGAGAAATTGTCATCAAGACTGCATTACTACTCCCCCAAGCTGGCATAATAACACTCACAGATAATTTTCCTAGACCCATGATTGCTGAGGGGAGAAGAGAGAATTAAAGGTAGATGTTCAATCTTCCCACCAATCTGGGAATTTTCATGGGAATTCCACTCTGATTCTCTCACAGGAACCACTGGGAGTGGTAGGAGGGCTAAGCCATTCAAAGTGAACTTGGGACCAAGAGACAGGTGCTAACCACAGCAACGGACCTGTGGTTTGTGGCTGTTGCTCTGTAGCTCCAATTAGTGGAGATGCAGCATTGAAGAGACTGGCCAGTGCCACAGTGCTGCAAAGGGCACAATCCATGGGAGGGCCTGAATGTGTACCTGGATTTTTCACAAAGCCCAGGTGCTCCTGTGGAGCCTCCCCCTAACACTGAAACACCTGAAATGTAAGGATTAATTCCCCATGCTCACTTAAGTGTTTCCCAAACTGAGAAAAAACGGCAAGGCAGCAATATAGTTCTGGGGAAAATTTTAAGTTCCAGCGATCACTACAAGTCTTCCCCAGAACAGGAAGCAACAACAAAGCAGTAATTTAGTTCTGGAGCAGTGTTTATATTTTAAGTGCTCATTATAATTCTTCCCCCAGGTCAGGAAATAATAGAAGGACAAGTTAGTTCCAGTTCAATGTTTTAGTTTTTGTGGCTCACTTTTATTGTTCCCTAGAATGGGACAAAACAGGCCATTGTTTAAGTTAGATTAAGTCCCATGGTAACCGCAAAACAAAAAGTTATAATAGATATGCTAAAAATAAATAGCACAGAATCAAACAGACAACTAGAGAAAACTTAATCACAAAGAGAAAGAGTAAGAATAAAAGAAAGAAAGGTACATATGAGGTCTCCAGTTCCCTACCCCCATTCCCCTTAGGATTGTATTGGTTATTTGTGTGTGTGTGTGTGTGTGTGTGTGTGTGTGTGTGTGGTTCTATACAAATTTTAGGATTAAAAAATATGTAAAGTATGTCATTGGTATTTTGATAGGGATTGCATGGAATCTTTAGATCATTTTGTTAGTATAGACATTTTAACAATATTAATTTTTCTGACCCATAAGCATTTTTTCCATTCTTTTGTAATCACTTCAATTGCTTTCATCAGTGTTTTATAGTTTTCATTGTAGAGAACTTTCACTTCTTTAGTTGAATTTATTCCTGTCTTTTATTTATTTATTTTCATTAGCTATTATAAATAAGATTGCTTTCTTGATTTCTTTTGCAGATTGATCACTGTTAGCATACAGACACACTACTCTTTTTTGTATGTTGATTTTGTATCCTGCAATTTTACTGAATTCATTTATCAGTTCTAACAGTTTTTGGGTAGCCTTTAAGTTTTTCTAAATATAAGATCATGTTATCTGCCAACAAAGGTAATTTGATTTTTTCCTTTCAAATTTGGAAGCCCTTATCTTACTTCTCTTGCCTAATTGTTCTGGCTAGGACTTCTTGATATTTCTTTTTGTAGTTGATATGCAATTTCAGTCTGTTGTGGTCAGAAAGCACAATTTGTATGACTTCAATATTTTTAACTTTATTATTTTGTGTGTGGTCTAATGTGTGATTTGCACTAGAAAGTGTTCCAAGTATGATTGAAAATAATATTCTGCATTAATTGGGATGAGCATTCCATATATGTTATGTCATGTTTGTTGTGTTTTTCAAGGCTATAGTCTTATTTTTCTGTCTCACTCTATTATTAATAATAATGTACTGAAATCCTCAATTATTACTCCTGAATTGTCTCTTTCTTCTTTCAGTCATTTCCATTATTGTTTCATATATTTTGGGTCTGCTCTGTTATAAGGCCATTTATGCTTGCTATGTCTTCCTTATATATTGCTTTTTTTTTTTTAGGAAAGTTCCCTCTTTGCCTTCTTTTTTTTTAAGTCTATTTTATCTCACATTAATCTAACTCCTTTATTTCTGTTATGATTTATGTTTCTATAGTATATATTGTTTTATACTTTTAAAGTAAAAACTTGTTTGTTTATTTGAACCTACCTTTTTTGCTTCTAGGCAATATATAATTAAATGTTGCTTCACCCAGTCAAATATCACCTAATGTTTGATTGGTTCTTGGTTAACTTTCCTTTGGATTTACATTTCATATTTTGCTATGTGTTTTGTATATATCTTCTGTATTTATTGTTCCTACATTTTTCTACTTTATTGCTTCCTTTCTGATATATATATATATGTATCAGATATATATATATGTATCAGATATATATATATGTATCAGATATATATATATATATACACACACACATATATATATATATATATATATACACACACACATATATATATATATATATATATATATATATATACCACTTCATTTGTTGAAAAATTTTACTGGTTTTTGAGTTATTTTAAGTCTAATGTAATTCCATTAAAATATAAAATAAAACCTTTACTACCTACCCTGTTTTTCTACCTCCTCTTTATAAATATATATAATAGATACATAGAGATATATTATATTATGATATTCAAATATGTTTCCTATCATATATATCATGACCTAAAAACCATTATTTAAAAATACTGTTATAATTATTGCTTTATACAATTTTATGTATTTTAAAGATATTAAAAGAAGAAATGAGAAAATAGATTTATGTAATTTTTCACATAATCACACATATATAACATTTTTTGTGATTTTTTAACATTTGAGTTACCATGTGGTGCTATTTTTTATCTGTGCGAATAACTTTATTATTTCTTATAAGTCAGTTTTGCTAGCAATATATGCTGTTGGTTTTTATTCGTTTAAGTATGTCTTGGTCTCACTTTAGTTTTTTGAAGAATAGTTTTGTCAATCAAGTAAAATTCTTAATTGACAGCTAACACCCCATGCATCAAAACTCTGCATATGTCATTCCACTGCTTTGCATCTTCCATTGTTACAGATGAGAAGTAAGCTGTTAATTGTCTTGGAACTTTCCTGTATATGATGAGTATTTTTTCTCTTGCTGCTTTTAAGACTTCTGTTTTTCACACTTTTACTTGTATATATATGTGAATGATTTTGTATTTATAATATGTCTTATTGAGCTTTGTGGTGATCAAGAAGAACTAACGCAATATGCTAATGTTTATGTTGTCTCCGATGTAGGAGAATGATATCTTCTGCCAGTACTTGGGAAACTGTGGCAGTTCAATTTATTAGCTTGTAGGAAGTATAAAGTATTATAAATTTTCAATTTACCAACAGCATTTTATTTATGTAATCTGTGTATGTTTTCTGAGTTCATCTGTCATATACTGAAAAATAGACCAATATTTACTAATTCTACTGGAACTCTGTGTCCCTTTTTGTTTCTCTACTTTTAGTTGGTGGATTTGGATGATATACTATTTGATACAGAGACATTTATAACCCATTAATTAGTCATTATAAATTAAACACATTTTTATTCTTTAATGTTTTCTTTTTGCCCTAAATTCAATCAAATGTTATACTAATGAATATTTTTGCTTTATTATGTATATTATTAGCAAGGCTTTGCTCTTTCCTTTATTATAAACATTTAAAAGAAAATCAAAGAAAAAAAAAGAAAACACCCCCAAAAAACAAGTAAAAAATATTCTTTCTATAGTTTATCTTATATACAATGTGTAACTGTGTTTTACTTTGTGGACCAATCCAGTCACTCTATTAACTCAAGGGTCAAAAAACTATAGCCTCCAAATCAAATATGCTCACACCCTTTCATTTATGTATTGCTATGGCTTCCTTTATATTAAGATGGAAGACTTGAATATATGCAAGTGAGACCATATGATCTTCAACTTTTAAAATATTTACTCTTGCCCAGGCACAGTTGCTCACGTCTGTAATCCCAGCACTTTGGGAGACCAAGGCAGTTGGATCACTTGAGGTCCAGAGTTCAAGACCAGCCTGGCCAACATGGTGAAACCCCGTCTCTACTAAAAATACAAAAATTAGCCAGGCATGGTGGCCCATGCCTGTAGTCCCAAATACTTGGGAGAATGAGGCTGGAGAATCAGTTGAACCGAGGAGCCAGAGGTCGCAGTGAGATGAGATTGTGCCATTGCACCCTAGGCTGGGCGACAGCGAGAACTCCATCTCAAAAACAAACAAACTCAAAAACAAACAAAATCAAAAACAAACAAACAAACAACAACAAACAAAATTACTCTCTGTTCCTTTACAGAAAAAGATGTATAACCCTCATATTTAATATTTTATGTGCCTGTTGGCCTCTGTTATTTTGCTACCTTTATTTCTTATTTTTCTGTATATCTTCTGTTTTCTTTTTCATTTGGGTAAATATATATTTTTCAAAATGTATGCTTGTAGTTTAAGCTTCTCTAACCATTACTATTTTTTTTTTTTTTTTTTGAGACAGAGTCTTGCTCTGTTGCCCAGGCGGTGTGCAGTGGCATGATCTCGACTCACTGCAACCTCTGCCTCTGGGTTCAAGCAATTCTCCTGCCTCAGCCTCCTGAGTAGCTGGAATTATAGACATGCACCACCACACCTGGCTAATTGTTTTCTATTTTTAGAAGAGACAAGGTTTCACCACATTGGCCAGGCTGGTCTCGAACTCCTAACCTTGTGATCCACCTGCCTTGATCCCCCAAAGTGCTGAGATTACAGGCATGAGCCACCGTGCCTGGCCACTATTACTATTTTAACCACAGCTTTATATAATATACCTACTCCTCTTCTACCTTAGAAAGTAACCCTTGATTTTCTTATCTGAGCAAGAAATAGATCAACATACTTTATAATTTTCTACACTTCCCCTTCCTCCTCCTCTCACCTTCACAATGAATTTTAGTTGATTATTTTTTGTTTTTAGTATTTGACATTTTACCTCACTATCTCTAATCTTTGGTTTATATTTTATAAATTATATTTTGACACCAGTGCTGTTAAAATTGAGAAAGCCATTGTACTTTATAATATTCCCAGTATTCCAACTTATTTTCTTTCCTACCTATTATTAGTCATATTATTTCTACCTTAATGTAGTTTATAATGTATTCATTTTGTTCTACAATAATAAATCACACAAAAAAGTTTAGACTTAATTATACGTTTCAATCAATTTATTTCTCACAGTGACATTTTGCTGTTAATTAGACATGTAGTGTTTCTGTTAAATTATGTTTTATCATTTTTTTTATAAAGGGCTCATGCAAAATATACCTTGCAAATTCTCACATATTCATAAGTATTCAGTTGTAGCATTGGAGTTGTGGAAGTTTGATTGGCTACAAAATTATTGAATCACTCTGGACAGCAGGACTTTAAAGGCATTATGGAAATATCCTCTAAATTTAAATTTTACTGTAGAAGTCTAAAACCCACCTCAAGTTTATATGTTTCTTTGTTTTATTTTACCTATAGTGTGATATTTTATTTTGCCCTATGTCCTTCTATATTAGTTAGCTATGACTGCCATACAAAATACCACAGACTGAGTGTCTTGAACAATAGAAATGTATTTTCTCACAGTTCTGGAGGCTGGAAGTTCAAGGTTAAGGGTCTGACAGGGTTTGTTTCCACTGAGAGCTCCCTAAATAGGAAGACTTGCAGATGGCCACCCTCTCACCTCCTCTTTACTTGGTCTTTCCTGTGTGTACACAAATCCCTGATGACTCTTGTGTGTCCAATTTCCTCTTCTTATAAGAACACCAGGCAGACTGGATTGGGACCCACCCTAACAGCCTCATTTTAACTTAATTACCTTTACAAAGGCTTTATACAGTCAGATTTTGTAGTACTGGGATTTATGACTTCAATACCCCTCAGTGGTTTGTAAGTATCTATTGATTTTTCAAGTTATGTTAATGATCATTTTTATATTTATTTCTTTAGGAGAATGATGTTACCTTTTAATCCAAAGGTTTAAGTCATCTTTATATCTTGGAAAATTTTCTGGAGTTATATTTTTGATTAAGTTTTTTTTCAAATTATACTTTTATTTCCAGAGGAAAATAATTATGTAAATATTATATCTCTATTCTCTTTCCTAATGGAAATGTATTCTTTTTTAATTCTCCTAATTCATTTTTAATTATTTCTTCCTAATTGTTCTTTTTACTTATTCAATCTCCATTCTATTCCCTATTTCCTTGTTTTTCATAGTGACTTCTTTTTCTTTATGCTACTTCATAGAATTTCTGTGGTGTTTTATTTTTCTTTCACTTTTTAACTGATATGTTATTTTCTGAATTATTTCTTGCTGTTATTTTTGTAAGATATTTCAAAATTTTGAATGCCTCTGATTCTATCTCATTGTATTATTAATTTCTTTGAATTTATTTGTGGTCACCGTTTTTATCTGCTTTGTGGTGATTTTTTTCCACTGCATATTTCTTCTCTGCAATTCATTTTATTGGTTCTAACTATCTGTTTACTTTTAGTATTTTATTTATTCATTTTTTCATTTCTTTATTTTTAGAGATAGGGTCTCTCTCACTCAGGCTAGTGTGCAGTGATAGGATCATATTTCACTGTAATCTCAAATTCCTGGACTCAAATGATCCTCCCATTTCAGCCTCCCAGATAAGCACTACAGACTTGTGTGACCTTGCCTGGCTAGTTTTTTAGTTTTCAATTTTAGAAGTGAAGTCTCTCTATGTTGCCCAGGCTGTTCTTAAACTCCTGGCATCAAACAGTCCTACTGCCTCGGCCTCCCCAACTGCTAGAATTACACACATGAGCCACCATGCCCAGCCTACTTTTAGTATTTTTCCTAGTATCTTTGTACATTGTATTGCCGAATTATTTTAGTGTTACTTATCTTTGAATAAAATGTATTTTTCTTGGATCAATTAGTTGCAGCACGTTCTTAGGAATGGAATAGAGAAGCATCCTAAGCCAGAAGGATTTTTTTTTTTCTAGATCACAGTGAAGCTTTAATATGGTTTGGATATTTGTCCCAGCCCAAATCCCATGCTGAATTGAAACCCCTAGTGCTGGAGGTGGGGCCTGGTGGAAGGTGTTTGGATCATGAGGACACATCTCTGATGAATGGCCTAGCTCATCCTCTTAGTGATGATGAGTGAGTTCTCACAAGATCTGGTTGTAAAGTGTGCCCCACCACCGCCATTCTTTCTCTTGTTCCTGTTTTCTTCATGTGATGTGCCTGTTCCCCTTCACCTTCTGCAATGGCTGCAAGCTTCCTGAGGCCTCCCAAGAGCCAAGAAGATGCTGGAACCATGTTTCCTATACAACCTCCAGAACCAAGAGTTTATTAAACTTATTTTCTTTATAAATTACCCAGTCTCAGCTATTTCTTTATGGTAATGCAAGAATGACCCAATACAAGCTCCACAGATATGCAGTTGTCAGGTCCACATTGATTTGGCCTTTTCTTCTTCCTAGTCAGTAGAGATCCAAAACTATATGGTTACTCAGAATGGCACTATCTCTTTAACATTTTTTTTTTAACTGGCAGATTGATTTCTGCTAAAATAGCTTCTCTGTGTATTTTCATTCAGGTCTGTCTCCTTTGTTACGTTACCATGTACAATGGGGTTGGAAAAAAGTTGTGCTATTGGAGGAAACATCCCATGGTCACTGTACTTAACAGGAACTTTGAACATGTAGCTTTAAGGCAAGCTACCTACTCTGGCGAATTGTGCTTAGTCTCTCTATGTATCCAAGCTCTTCAGCAACAGGTGTCATTGCATGTGTCTCTCCACTCCACTCTTGTATTTAATCCTCAGTAGATTTGGAGGTAGATTTGGTAGATTCTTCTTCTTCTCCTTTTTTTTTTTTTTTTTTTTTTTTGATAAAGCTTCGATCTTTTGCCAGGCTGGAGTGCAATGGCACAATCTCAGCTCACTGAAACCTTCACCTCCCAGGTTCAGGCGATTCTCCTGCCTCAGACTCCTGAGTAGCTGGGACTACAGGTGTGCACCACCACACCCAGCTAATTTTTGTATTTTTAATAGAGACGAGGTTCCACCATGTTGGCCAGGATTTTCTCGATCTCTTGACCTTGTGATCTGCCCGCCTCAGTCTCCGAAAGTGCTGGGATTACAGGTATAAGCCACCACACCTGGCCAGATTCTTCTTGAATGTAAGAAGACACCAGATGGAATACCTAGTTTCATTAAATGTCAAACTTGAGTTTCTGTTTTATTCTTTAAAATGTCTGGGGATGTATTCTTTTCTATTAGTAAAATAATTATGTGTAGCATTTAATGCAATGACTAGGTTCCAGACATTTTTCAGTTTTTACATCTCTATTAACTAATTTTAATGAAAGTCCCAAAATACATAATGTTTTATATACTCTGTTTTATGTATTTCAATGGTGGGAAGAGAGCCAAAAATTTTATCAGATTTTTTAAAGAGTTTCAGGATGCCAAAATTATTTTAAAACACTAATTTCATAATTGATATAATTAGCAAATTAAATGGTCTCGAATTGAATCATGCTAGACCCAATTGACCAAAAAACTATTTAAACCTACTTACAAATTCAAATGTGCCCCAAACATCAACTACACACTGAATAAATATCTCCCACCTTTATTAGCCATTATTTCCTTTTTCACAATATATGCATACATATCTGTGGTAAATACACAAATTCACACGGCCTTTTTGTCAATGAATATTCTCTTTTATTCTTTATATATATTATACTTTAAGTTCTAGGGTATATGTGCACAACGTGCAGGTTTGTTACATATGTATACATGTGCCATGTTGGCGTGCTGCACCAATTAACTCGTCATTTACATTAGGTATATCACCTAATGCTATCCCTCCCCGCTACCCCCATCCCACAACAGGCCCCGGTGTGTGATGTTCCCCTTCCTGTGTCCAAGTGTTCTCATTGTTCAATTCCCACCTATGAGTGAGAACATGTGGTGTTTGTTTTTTTGTCCTTGTGGTAGTTTGCTGAGAATGATGGTTTCCAGCTTCATCCATGTCCCTACAAAGGACATGAACTCATCATTTTCTATGGCTGCATAGTGTTCCATGGTGTATATGTGCCACATTTTCTTAATCTAGTCTATCATTGTTGGACATCTGGGTTGGTCCCAAGTCTTTGCTATTGTGAATAGTGCCACAATAAACATACGTGTGCATGTGTCTTTATAGCAGCATGATTTATATTCCTTTGGGTATATACCCAGTAATGGGATGGCTGGGTCAAATGGTATTTCTAGTTCTAGATCCCTGAGGAATCGCCACACTGACTTCCACAATGGTTGAACTAGTTTACAGTCCCACCAGCAGTGTAAAAGTGTTCCTATTTGTCCACATCCTCTCCAGCACCTGTTGTTTCCTGACTTTTTAATGATCGCCATTCTAACTGGTGTGAGATGGTATCTCATTGTGGTTTTGATTTGCATTTCTCTGATGGCCAGTGATGATGAGCATTTTTTCATGTGTCTGTTGGCTGCATAAATGTCTTCTTTTGAAAAGTGTCTATGCATATCCTTCACCCACTTTTTGATGAGTTTAATTGTTTTTTTCTTGTAAATTTGTTTGAGTTCATTGTAGATTCTGGATATTAGCCATCTGTCAGATGAGTAGATTGCAAAAATTTTCTCCCATTCTGTAGGTTTCCTGTTCACTCTGATGGTAGTTTCTTTTGCTGTGCAGAAGCTCTTTAGTTTAATTAGATCCCATTTGTCAATTTTGGCTTTGTTGCCATTGCTTCTGGTGTTTTAGACATGAAGTCCTTGCCCATGCCTATGTCCTGAATGGTATTGCCTCGGTTTTCTTCTAGGGTTTTTATGGTTTTAGGTGCAAAAATCCTCAATAAAATACTGGCAAATCGAATCCAGCAGCACATCAAAAAGCTCATCCACCATGATCAAGTGGGCTTCATCCCTGGGATGCAAGGCTGGTTCAACATACAAAAATCAATAAATGTAATCCAGCATATAAACAGAACCAAAGACAAAAACCACATGATTATCTCAATAGATGCAGAAAAGGCCTTCGACAAAATTCAACAGCCCTTCATACTAAAAACTCTCAATAAATTAGGTATCAATGGGACGTATCTAAAAATAATAAGAGCTATTTATGACAAGCCCACAGCCAATATCATACTGAATGGGCAAAAACTGGAAGCATTCTGTTTGAAAACTGGCACAAGACAGGGATGCCCTCTCTCACCACTCTTATTCAACATAGTGTTGGTAGTTCTGGCCAGGGCAATCAGGCAGGAGAAGGAAATAAAGGATATTCAATTAGGAAAAGAGGAAGTCAAATTGTCCCTGTTTGCAGATGACATGACTGTATATCTAGAAAACCCCATTGTCTCAGCCCAAAATCTCCTTAAGCTGATAAGCAACTTCAGCAAAGTCTCAGGATACAAAATCAATGTACAAAAATCACAAGCACTCTTATACACCAATAACAGACAAACAGAAAGCCAAATCATGAGCGAACTCCCATCACAATTGCTTCAAAGAGAATAAAATACCTAGGAATCCAACTTACAAGAGATGTGAAGGACCTCTTCAAGGAGAACTACAAACCACTGCTCAACAAAATAAAAGAGGACACAAACAAATGGAAGAAGATTCCATGCTCATGGATAGGAAGAATCAATATCATGAAAATGACCATACCACCTAAGGTAATTTATAGATTCAATGCCATCCCCATGAAGTTACCAGTGACTTTCTTCACAGAATTGGAAAAAAAAAAAAAAAACTACTTTAAAGTTCACATGGAACCAAAAAAAAGCCCGCATTGCCAAGTCAATCCTAAGCCAAAAGAACAAAGTTGGAGGCATCTCACTACCTGACTTCAAACTATACTACTAGTCTACAGTAACCAAAACAGCATGGTACTGGTACCAAAACAGAGATATAGACCAATGGAACGGAACAGAGCCCTCAGAAATAATGCCACATATCTACAACTTTCTGATCTTTGACAAACCTGACAAAAACAAGAAATGGGGAAAGGATTCTCTATTTAACAAATGGTGCCGTTAAAACCGGCTAGCCATATGTAGAAAGCTGAAACTGGATCCCTTCCTTACACCTTATACAAAAATTAATTCAAGATGGATTAAAGACTTGAATGTTAGACCTAAAACCATAATGAATGTCTTTTCAATCTAAACAATAGCTAATATTTACTAATCACAAAATGAGTTAGGAACTTTAAAAATTGTTTCTTGTTTTTTACTGAAATTCTTAATGTTATAAACTGGTTTTGCTGTATTTAGAGATTAGAAGACTGAGTGTTATGGTTTGAATGTCTTTTCCAAGGCTCATGTTGAAGTTTAGTTGCCAGGAACTGTGTTCTGAAGTGCGGTCTTTAAGAGGTGATTAGGTTGTGAGGGCTCTGCCATTGTGAATGCATTAATGTTGTTATCACAGGAGTGGATTTCTGATAAAATGAATTAATTTGCCCCCTTCCCCTTTTTCTCTTGCTTATTCCTGCCCACCTCCCTGTTGTGCGTGCTTGCTCTTGCCATGCCATGCATTCCACGTGCCTTTGTCGGATGCCAGGGCTATACTCTTGAGCTTGCCAGCCTCCAGGACCATGAGCCAAATGAACTACTTTTTCTTATAAATTACCCAGTCTGTGGTATTCCTTTATAACACCAGGAAATGAACTAAGACACCAAGGTATGGAGAAACTGAGCAGCTTGCCAGTGGACATATTCCTAGGAAATGGTGGAGTGGGACATGAAGCCTGGCTATAAATTTCCAGAGCCTTATTCTTAACCATTGCATTAAAATATCTTATACTCTGAAAGTCATCCATTAATATTTGAGATCTGTGGAGTTTTGGTCATTTGTTTAAAATGTCGAAATGATAACTTCATTATAAAAATGCTGAGAAAGCCTGTGTAATAATGAGTTAAAACTTTTTTTGATAGTCCATGTGTTGTTCCTTGGAGATTTATTTAGGTGATACTTGCAGAGAGGTGTTTGAAAGTTAACCTGATGGTTTGTAGTAAAGAAAGACCAGTTAGGGAAGACTTAGTAAATACCTGCTGAAATGGGTCCAGTCTGAAGGAGCAGGACTGGCAATAACATTTGAAGAAGGGATGTGAACAGATTCAGAACATATGAGTAAATGCAGTACTATTTAGATTTTTCTCAGTGAATAATATGGAAATGGCAGGGGAGGCAAAATCCCATGGAATGTCCTCTGTTAACGAGGCAGCACAATCCATGACAGGCTTAAAGAACATGTGAAATTTGTCTTGAATCTAGCTGCAAGACATCAGTATCCGTATTCTGTTTCTGCCCTCTTTGCTATAACCTCAATTTCTTCTCTGTATTTTCTTGTCTGCTTAGCACTTCTTGTTGGTCTTTCCAAGGGTGGATGGTTTCTTCATCTTTCTGGTGCACTTTAGAATCACACTGCATGTCCCCTCTTCTAGCTCTACACTTATTTTAGACTTTGAGCCATTGTTTTAGACACTTGAGAACTTTGCCAACTGGTATAGTCTTACATCATTGACCCTGTCCCAACTCTGGCACCTGAGGAAATAGAGAATTAACAATGATTGAAGAAACTTGGTATTAGACATGTTGACAAAAGATAAATATTGAATACTATGCATATAGAAGAATACAGGTCTCATTTAAATAATCCAGTTACTTTTAAAATTCCCAGCTTCATCAAAGTTTTTTTTTTTTTTTTTTTTTTTTTTTACTTTTCTTTCATAATTGGCCTGAGTTCTACCTATATGTCATGGTATAAACCACCACGAGCATAGTGCAATGAACAGTCTTCTGAAGGACTGAGATGAGCAAGTGCAGGAAGATTACAATTGAATTTGTAGTTAAATTTTAAAAGAGAAAGGGAAGTATAATAGTCTATAATGCTTCTTTCTCTTTTGATATTGTCTGGTTTTGTTTCTACTGTCTTGTCATTAAGAAGTTTAACATAGTTGTTCACTTTTGGAGTTTCTAAGTCACAGATATCATTCCAAGCAAATCTTGTTTCTAATCTTCATAACAACTGTGTAAGGTATTATTATACCCACTTTAAAGATGAGAAAACAAGGGTTTAGAAGGCAATTAAAAATTTTTCTATTACATTGGTAAATTAAACACATATAATCTACCCAAAAATTTCATGAGAATTAATTTAAAGATTTGTTTACAGGCATAAATGTGCAATTAAATAAAAGAAGAGACAACAGCTATAATTTATTTTTAAGCTGCAGATCAAGTAGATACATGGAACTTACTTAACAAACCATAGAGTATTCTTGTCTTAGTTAGCAATGGAAAAAGAAAAGAAGCAACTTGGGAGGAAGAAAGGAAGGAAGGAAGGAAGGAAGGACAGGGCAGGCCAGGGAGTCCAAAATATCCAGATGATGGTGTAAGCAGGTACTTAAGTTAGGAGAGGTGAAGGAACAATTGAATATAGCTCAAGGTAGTGACACTAAAAGAGAGAATTCTAATAAACATTTCCAAATAGAAAATATAGTTAAACATTGCGAAAACTCTGCACACTCTGAAAAAAAAGAAGATTCTTATAGAATCTCTACCTAAGAGAAACACACACACACACACACACACACACACACACACACACACACAGTCTCATCCAAAGGACAAGAAAATAGAAAAGATTCTCAGATTTTCAAAAACAAACCTCACTCCTGAAAGGCAATGAAGCTTACGTTTAAAGCTTGGAACAGTGGCTTCCAATCTGGAATTCTATACTTATCCAGCGTACTGATTTATTTTGAGGGTACAATAAACACTTAAAGGTCTATACAATTTTACTTCCTATTATCTTTTCTCAGAAATAAACCAAAGGATATTCTCTACCAAAACCTGAGAGGAAAAAAAAAAAGGAAGAAAGAAAGTAGAATATAGGGTTATAAATCAATAGAGAGGAAAGTAAATTTTCCAAATTTATGTAGAAATGATGTTCCATATGCCAGCACTCATAGCTATTGAGCGCTCGAAATGTGTTTAGTCCAAACTATGATGTGTTCTAATCAGGGTCAGCAAACTTTTTCTGTAACAGCCCAGATAGTAAATATTTTAAGCTTTATGGGTCAGACAACTCTGTCATAGCAACACAAAACAGCCGCTGACAGTAAGAAATGGTAGTGGCTATATCCTAATAAAAGGGTAGTTGCAAAATCAAGTGACAAGCAGCTTTGGACACACAAGTTGCTGACCCCTCCTCTTAGTATAAAACACGCCATGGATTTCAAAAGTTAGTACATAAAAGTATGTCTGTGTATATCTATCTATCTATCTATCTATCTATCTATCTATCTATCATCTATCTATATATCTACATACTATCTCAAACTTTTATATTGATTATAGATTGAAATATTTTGCACATACTGGATTGAATAGAATATATTAATGAAGTTGTTATTATTATTTGAGAGATATGGTCTACCTATGTTGCCCAGGCTGGTCTCGAACTCCTGGGCTCAAGGGATCCTCCTGCCTTAGCCTCCCTAAATGCTAGGATTACAGTCGAGAGCCATCACACCCAGCCTGAAATTAAATTTTAAATGTGGTAACTAGAACTTTAAGCTTAATATGTGGCTCCCATTCTGTTTCTGTTGGACTATGTCTTATCTAGAATGATGCCTATGTCTTGTATATAAAAGACTTTCTGTCAAAACTAGAGCAGTTCAGAAGCTTGGAGTTATGACTGAACATATGGAAGAATTACATAAATGAGAGATGGCTGAGAGTTGAGCTAATTAGAAATTTATCTAGAAAATTAGACAGATAAAAAATACGAAACAACAACAAACCTTAACTTCTGCAAAACCAAACCAATTAAATGAGAAAGAAAATGTCAACAGGGTATATGTGCCTCAACTGTGAATAGCTGCAGTGACTTAATCATGGAAGTGTTAACACTGCATTTTCATTTAGTTACAATTATATCTATCTATTGACAGAATGTGGATTATGGAAGATGGACAGGTAGGGGTGTGTGCGTGTGTGTGTGTAGGGGTGCGTAGAGGTAGATTATTGATATACACAAATCTAAATCTTCATCTTTCATGGAAGATGTCAATAGAAAATAGTTTTTGAATAAAAAGAATAATAAATAGTAGAAAAATATTTAGAAACAAACACCAAAATAATCAGAAAGAAAAAGTATTGCTTTGGGAAATAGGAATTGGGGCGACAAAAGTGGGAGTCTGCTGGTTTTTATAGTAATCTTTATAGAATTAATTCTTTAATATATATGCAAGCCTAAATAATTAAAATAAATATTATAAAATAAATACACTAGAATAGAATTTTCAAATATGGAAGAAAGGAACAGAAAGAAGAAGGAAATGTGGGAAGGAGAGTATACAATTTACCCAAAGTCACATGGTTAATGACTGGGCTGAAGTTTAATCTGAAGCAGACTTGTCTGGTTCTATTACATGATACTACCTAACTACAGAAGTAATGAAAGCATGATCAAGGCAAACAAATTAAATGCCAGCTTGTTACATAGACATCAGCATGGATGTCAGTCACATCTCAGTCATATACATGTGTACTTTAATTCCAGGAAAGATGTCGTAAACAAAGGACCCCTGCCAAAATCCTGAGCCACTCCAATCCAGCCTTTGCTGAATTCCCAAAGCCTCCTCTGAAATTGCAGAACTATTGTCTCTTTCTGAATGAGACCATTTCACTATCTCTCATTACCTCAGGAAAGACATAAGTAAGAAAATAATCAGGACTTTGCCCTTGCCTTTCTATCCTAATTTCTTGTAAAAATTTCATCCTTAGAGGTAGCTCCAAATTCTGGCTTTGTAGGTTGGTGTAGACTTTAGTACTCTTCCCCACATTCTCTATCAGAACCCAAAGCCACTCTCAGTAATTATTAACAATGTGTTAGGCAAATGCGGTAAATAGGCTCTTTGCATTATTTTGCATTTCTAAAATAAATTGAGTAAACATAGTCTACACAACTTCCATGTTGCAGCCCCTATGGTTAACAGTCTTGGCTGAGAAAATTTAAGTCTTCTCACAAAAAATATAGCAAAAGTCTGAGGAAAAACAAATAGCCAAGGTACAAAGTTCACTAAACATCTGCCACCTGTTTCGCCATACCAGGAACACTGTCTATAAATACAGCAGTATTCTTGATTATTGTGGGTATGCTTTTGTTCATGATTTTGATCGAGAACATGGTTTATTTCTTTCCTTTTGTAGGTCTATTTTTATTTGTTAAAAAATGACAAACTTTGTGAAGTTTGAGCTTCCTTTTTGGCATAAATAGATGCAATATCCAATTGTGTCAATATTTGTTTAGTTCTTTTAAAAGGCTCAGCATGGCTCAAAGCCATTGAAACAGAAAGTAGTTCATTTATGTGTGTTTACACAAACACAGGGACCTGTTCATATTCTAATCAAGATCTATAATATTTCGAGCTTATCTGTGATGTTTTCAAACTTTTTTTTTTCTTTACCTACTCCTCATATACACACGAATCTCTCTTACCTCATTAAAATGGATACCTGTTCTTTCTTTCTTCTCAGGATGACATTCAATATATTTATCTTTCTTATTCTAGCAAAATATTTACAGTAATCATCTTATACCTCCATGCGATCACCGATTACCCCATAACTCACATCTATCTAATTCCTGTCCTCAGCATCATTCAGTTAACGACCTGAACCTTTTATATTTTGGTCCCCTACATCTTTTTGTCCCCTACAGCTCTCATGATCTTTAACTCCCGAATTATTCAAGTTGATTTTACCCCTCCTAGAAACTTTTCTCCTTTTGCCCTTGAATCAAAGTCTTTGTTTATCCTCTTGACATTATTTTTTTCTTCTCTCATTTCTTCCTCTCTACATGGAGGCCTTTACCTATTACATTTGATACATTCCCTGATTTTCCACCTTTCTCTCCATAGCAGGTCACATTACTTCAGCAAGCGCCTCTGTGCAAAATATACTTCCTAAAAGTTATTCTACGTATTTTACTTAGCTCTAATTCCAAATCACCATCAGCTCATTGCACATTTTTGCTCTGCCTTCACACCGAGGACAAACATCCAGCTTGTCCTTGCATAGAGATGGAAGGAAAGAAATCACAGTAAAATCTGGCTCCAAAAACAAAGAGAGCAAGAGTGACATAATATTCAACGTAGTGCCTGAGTCACAGAAGCTATGTCCTTCTTCATTGCTCCTCAGGTCCAGTCATTATGCTGCTGAATCTGTTTTCCCTAACCCTTTTCTTCTCACTAACATCTTTTCCTTTTCTTCCAACTGCCATCATTTAGTTCAAATGTTATGCCTTATTGCAGTTCAACATCTGAACTACTCTGCTGATCCTTCTCACTTGCAATATATCCAGAAAAATGTCACCACAGTATTTTTTATAAAGCTGTTTTTCTTGTTCAAAAGTCTTCTTTTATTTCTCACTGGTAACAGGTACATTTCTTATTCCTTAGTCCAGTTAAAAACCTGGGAGGTGTTTTGGCTCCTCGTCTCCCCAGAGACATACGGTAGTGTCTGAAAACAATTTTGATAATCACACTTGGGGGTGCAGGTGCTATGGGTATGTAGTGGGTAGAGGCCAGTGGTGCTGCTAAGCGTCTACAACACAGAGAACAGCTCACTACAGCAACACATACAAAACGCACGGCACAAAATGTCATCAGTGCCAACACTGAGAGACCCTGCCTTAATCTTTATATATGTATAACATCTATATAAGCATATAAATATTTATATACATATATGTTTGATTTAATTTTTTTTTTTTTTTGAAATGGAGTCTCGCTCTGTCGCCCAGGCTGGAATGCAGTGGTGCAATCTCGGCTCACTGCATCCTCTGCCTCCCGGGTTCAAGCGATTCTCCTGCCTCAACCTCCTAAGTAGCTGGGATTACAGGCGCACACCACCACACCCAGATAATTTTTGTATTTTTAATAGAGACGGGGTTTCACCATATTGGTCATGCTTGTCTCGAACTCCTGACCTCATGATGTGCCCACCTCGGCCTCACAAAGTGCTGAGATTACAGGCATGAGCCACCACGCCTGGCCTGATATAAATATTAAATATGTTATTTATATAAAATATGTGTGTGTGTATATATATATATATGTTATCTGAATTTGCTTTGATGGTACCTTTGCAATTGTATTATCCATTATTCCCTAGTATTAGTCTTATTCTCTTCTCAATCTGTCCATCATCCTGGAAACATATCTGAAACATTTTGGTCTCACTGCCAGACAGGTTGTTTCCTTTTTCTGCCTTTTGACTTAAAAGAAAAAATCTTTTTAATCTTCTTCATGAAATGTTAATATAGCCACCATGTAAAACAGTAATTTCCTTTCTCCTGTAATGTTGAAAATGTAAGCCTTAGCCAAAGGACCTTATCCTCTGGGGTAAATCATTAGTTTCAGAAAAGCCCTATCATGCCCCCAGAAAGTGACCAACTTATCTAGATGGAAAACATCCAGGACTTTTCAAATACTGAGGAAGATTTAACTAGGAGATGTTCAAGTAGAATTAAGTTGAATTTCAATAGATACTGAGATGGCAGGCTTTCTAAATCTACCTGAGCCTTAAAAAAAAAAAAAAATCCTGAAAAATCACTCCCTGTAAAGCCCAGTGGCTAATACTCAGCTTCTCTGTTTTCCTAGTGGAGGTCTTTAATGTAGGTACTGTCACATTTAACATAGGAAGATGACCCTAGGTGATCACAGGCACACGTGGGAAACAGTCTATATGCTTACATGTTTCTATTTATAGTAAACTATTGCTCCCTGGCGTTCTGCATCCAAAGAGTGGCATTCATGCCCAGAAACACTTCTGCCAAACAGTTCATATATTGTAATGAGCAAATGTATTCATCATTTCAGAATAGACTAAGCAGAACTGTGTCTCTAGAGAGACAATTTCCTACATGTTTGCTTGAGAGTTCAGGTGGATTACTTACATACTTTTAGTGATCACGGCACAGAGAAGCCTCTTCATCGCCACCTAACATTTATAATTTGTGTGACCTAGGACTTTGATTTAAAGATGCCAGAAATTGTAATGGACACCTGATGGAACATTTGGACCTGATGACCAACAATCATCACCCTGAGCAAATTGGAGAGTGTCTTATATCCAGAGCTTTTGTCCAGTGTTCTAGCAATTTTTGTTTTTGTTTTTGGTGGAATAAAAGTCTGAAAATTATCTTTAAAAGTCATATACCCAATAGTGTTTTTGATTTTTGGCAATGCCCTCAGTTAAAACAAGCCAAAATAAAACAAAATGTATGCAACAATATTTAAACTATTCGAGGGTTTCTAGTTCTTAATAGAAAAATGAGTATACATCCATTTTCTCCCTTCACAGATTGTACCATGGTCAAGAGGAAAGAACGTTCTCCTTAGTGTTGAGAGTAAGAGGCTAGGAGGCAAAAGAGATGGTGGAGAAGCCCTTGACAAATCATGGCTGGAACAGTAGCATAGAAGAAGTGGAATATGAAAGTGAGGGTCCAACTGTGGTTGAAGGCCAGGCCATGCAATGGGCATGCGTGCTGTTCCTGGTCATTCAGTTTGCTCCAGAAGCACTCAAGCCCAGGTGCTGGTGAGGAAGCTTAGGATCGTGAGAAAATCCTGGTTGGAGTATTTGCAGACAAGAAATCTTATGGCCAAAGTGGGGGAGTTAAAAGTATTGACAAAAGTGGTAAAATGGTGAGCCATGGAGCCAAAGCTGAATCGAGTATTCAAAAAGGGGACTAATTGAAAGAATATAGAGGTTGGGTGTGGTGGCTCACGCATGTAATCCTGGCACTTTGGGCAGCCAAGGCGGGTGGATCACCTGAGGTCAGGAGTTCAAGACCTGCTTGAACAACATGGTGAAACCCCGTCTCTACTAAAAATACAAAAATTAGCCGGGCGTGGTGTCATAGACCTGTAATCCCCACTACTACAGAGGCTGAGGCATGAGAATTGCTTGATCATGAGAGGCAGAGGTTGCAGTGAGCCGAGATTGTGCCACTGCACTCCAGCTTGGGCGACAGAGTGAGACTCTGTCATCCTCCGCATAAAAAAAAAAAAAAGAATATGGAACCAGTAGCTGCATATTTGAAAAAAAGAAAAAAATATTTTTAAGTTGATAGATTCTCAGAACTCATGTCATATCAATGAATCAGAATCTCTACAGGTGGGGTTTCAGCCAATATATATATTTTTCCACTATATGTGTCAGCACTGAGAATCATTGTCACCTAAACTTCATGAAACTTGAGATGTGGATAAGACATGAAGGAGGCCTAGAAAACAACATAGTGGAAGGAATGGATCAAAATACCTACCAATGATATGAGGTAGTAGGAGAGAGTAAGATACTTGAATTTGAGATTTAATTAGTGAAGCAGTTGAAAGCCATTGAAATTGAAAAAAATCAAGTAATTGAGAGATGGGTGTGTTGGATGGTGAATACAGCATCTTTATGGTAAGGAGAAAGAGGAGTTTCCAAACTATTCTATAAAAGACAAGCCATGATGTACAGAATTATTTTTCAAAAGCCACTGGATAGATGAGAAGAACTAGTGACCATTTTTGTATGGTTTTCTAGAAGTCGTAAGTTAAGCCAGGAGTTACAGAGTGGTTTTTTAAAGGAGAAGGTGTTTATTTAAAAAAGAAATAGGTTTTGGAGGAAGGGGCATCATATAAAGGGCTCTTGCCAGTGTATCTGGTTACTTCTTTTGTATGGGGGCACCTAAATTTGGAAGCATCAGTCACACTAGGGCCAACACAAGAACACTTGGGATACCAAGGCTGGAAAGAGAGAAAAAAAGGAGACACCTGGCAACAAGACATTTTGCCTACAATGATTTCATCAGGGTTATTCTTAGAAGAGGCAGTGAACACAGACTCTTATGTTAACTTTAGGCAACATAGGTGACACCGAATGTTGTGATAAGCCATCATTAGGTTTTCGTAGATAAACAGCAAATTTGTTTTCTCCTCACATTTCAGTCTGGTGAAAGAGGTTGCAGATGAGGAGGCTCAGCTCCATTTAACCCTTCAGAGAGACAGGGGCTCCATCATCCCGTTGGAGTCTCCTTCCATATCCACAGCAGCCAATCAGCCAATGACCCAAGAGAAAGACCTTGCAGGCTCTCATAACAGTCCTGGGGGTGATGTCAGCATTTTAGCCCAATTGCCTTCAGTTAGAAAACAGAATGAGGTTTTCTTCAGGAAGAAAATTAGGGATAAGACTATTCATGATCACCCAGCATTTTTTTTTTTTTTTTGGTCACACTATGTAACTTTAGGCAAGTCACTTAACCTGTTTGGGCCTCAGCAATCTCATCTGTAAAAGAGAGATAATTTTTATATTGTCCAACTCATGAGGTTTTTATAGAGTAAAAAAAAAATAATGCCTGGAATATATTAGGCACTAAATGCATATTATGTACCAGTACTGAATATGCATTATATAATGTTATCAGGTACCATATCTTGAGCACCAAGTATAAAGCTTTGTGATAAGAAAGTTTATATTCCACTTTGATGCTCCGTAGCACCCCTGTGAGGTAGGTACCCTTTTTACATTTTATAATAGAAGAAATAGATGCTAGAGCACATAACCAGTAAGTGGCCATGCTGGACTAGAAATGTAGAATTATCTGACCTTAAACCCAAGATCTTTCTAGTACTCCATGTTGCTTCTGCATGCAATTTCCTAATAGCTAAGTGACTTCTGTGTGTGTGTATGTGTGTCCATGTGCACGTGTAGGGAGCAGTCTATATGCTTATGTGTCTCTATAAATAACATGAAATTGCTCCCAAGTGTTCTACATCCAAAGAATGATGTTCATGCCCAGAAACACTTCTGCCAAACAGTTCATATATTGTAATTACAATGAGCAAATGGATTCATCATTTCGGAATTGACTGTGTAGAGTGATAGTGAAAGTAAATGCCTGTAAAACAAAATTTAATTAAGCTTAATACAACCTACACATATTTTTTAAATAAAAACTAGTGAGAAAATTAATTTAGTCAACTATCAATAGTGTTCCTACATAGAGAAATCTGAAGGGCTTTGGCACTAATATTCCAAGCATTCTATTACCATTTAAACAAGCAGAGCAATTATCACAAGCATTGAACGTGACACATCAGTTAAAAAAATGTGAGAGCCCATTGAGCTTTTAGGTTACCCAAGGGAAATTATCAATTTGCTCATATATGTGCTTTGTAAATGGAGAAGAACAGCATAAATATGTTGGGTATTCTCTCTCTCTCTCTTCTCTCTTTCACACACACACACACACACACACACAAACACACACACATACGCACACACATTATTATGGATTTTTTAAAAATTGCCCCGTATCTATATATTTACCATGCTATTTTCTTTTACTTAGGCTGCCAGATTTCTTTGAATTATGTGTCCATTCTTCCTAAGCTTAAGTCCTACTCTTGAATATTCTAAGCATGATTTATGTAGCAATGTAAGACGGCAAAACCTTGAGTTGGTTGTAGATGCCAAGATGTTGAGCTCCCTAGTCTTTAAGCATCCAAACAGGGAAGCGGGGAGAGAAACAGCTGGAACCCATTTATCCCAGCATGCCATTCAAATATTATTTTCTAAAAAGACAATGTAAAATAGTTGGCAAAACGTTGATATATTCTGCACTAATCACCACTTATTTTTGTAATAGAAAGTTTCCACTCACCCATCCTTCCACCCTTTAACCAAGAATTATATTGTCAGGGAAGCACCACATTGTACAATTTGACTATGATAATTCACAAATTTGTGTGAACTTCTGTCAGTGTGACAGCTCATCAAAGCAGAACCATGGCTAATCAGCTAAACCTGGGAAGATAAAAGCAGGTAGCAGTGTACAGCCATGACACCTGCCAGGTCACCGTCCCTGCACTCCTTTCTCCATAACAACACCACTTTCAACTCCTATTCATTGAGTTGTGGATGTTTTCATGGTCATCTTTGTTGTTTCACTATTAATTTATTTCTGAAAAATGTATGTTATAATAATTCCAACTTTGAAAAAATTAGTGTTCTGTGTTTGTTGGATACAAAGCTACATGTTTTTGCTTTTAATTGCTATTAAATGCATGGTTTATTTACCTCTTTTTCATTATTAACAATTGTTTAATATTTGATGATCAAATTTCATTTTATGATTATAGATTATAAAAAGTTTTACTTTATTTTTATCAATGTTTATTTTGATGAGTAGTATAAATATATATAGATACAGAAATGTACATGACCGATAAATATTGAGAGTTAATTGTAAAATTTATAAATGGAAAGTAATCCTTTTTGTCCTATTTAATATCCACTTGAAGTCTATTTTCTTCTGATATACTGAGCCATCTACTTTTTGTTTTTAATTTTATTGCTATATTTTGTATTTCCCACAGTTGTACTTTTTATTTTGCTTTCTCGTTTTTGAGTTGCCTATTTATAGATGGTGTGACTGTGATTAATTTTCTGACTACTTATATATTTAATTATTTTTTAAAAATTTTAATGCTAATGTTGCTGGATATGAGATTATATTTCATTCAGTAATTTCAGTATACATTTTGAAGTTATTGCCTAATTGTATTTTTCCAAGAAATAGTATCATTCCTTTTCTTTTGGAAGTTTTATATGTTTTCCTTGCCCTCAACGTTTCAACATTTCATCACACTATGCCTCGTTATTGGTCTTTTTTATGTAAATACTATTTTGTACTATCAAGTGGCAACTTTCATCATTTGATGACCAAAGTCTTTTATTTAACTTTAAAACATTTTCTAGGTTAAAATTTCTATTTCTATTCTTATCTGTTGAATTCTCTCTCACAAATAATATCTTTGACCTTTTTTGCCATGTTCTGAGAGTCTAAAGACGATGCACGTTACAACTATTTTCTTTATGTATTTCATTTGTGTGACTAAGTCTCAAACATCAATATTTCTGATTCCTTTGCATCACTGTATATGTATGACACAATATTCTATTTAATCTCTCTGACGATAAAAGCTTTTTTATTTTTAAATGCTTTTATTTGGTCTATTGACTCATTTTCCTCTCCTGATAATTTTTCCAGTAATTGTTCTTTTGTCTTGATTTTAGTTCCTACAAATATTGGTTGTTTGGGGGTATGTTTGCTTCCCTTTCTGTTCTGTGATCCTCTTCTCTCATCATGGTAGGTACAAGCTGTGATTATACATGATGACTTCTGGTGGGTTAAGGAGTAGGGTAGAAGATCTGTACTTAAAAGTGAGAATTGCCTGTTGTTTGTCATCTCAGTGTATGGTCTGTACATATAAGTTATTTTATGATTTGTATGGAGATATGGCCCTGTCTCTCTATGGAGGGTAAATGTACCTTCTACAGGTCCCGTGTCCCCATTCTGACTATTGCCTTAGGGGTGTTTCTGCTCTCACCTCTACTGACCATGAGCTTGAGCTCTACAGGAACAATGACAGTCTTCACCTACAAGGGGTGGACTTCTTATTTTGCTGCCTCATTTACAAGAGGTTTTTAAGATTCAGAAAGGCCTCAATATTTTGGTTTGCTAATGGCATCCTTTTTGTTTTTCAGAAAATTATATATTATGTTTTTATTTGTTCAACAGACTTTTTTTTAACAGAAAAAATATACAGATTTTTATACTCAATCAATATTCTTGATTCAATTATGTATTTTTGTTTATGCCTTCCATGTACTTATTTGGGTTCTTTATCCCTGACCCCAACAGTAACTTTAAGTATCAGATCTTTCATAAAATGTATTAATTCTACAAATTGTTCCACATTGGAAGCTCCCACTTCCCCACTTATAAAATGGGGATAATACCACAAAATTTAGAGAGGCGGGAGGAATTTTACATTATATCTGCCATGTAAAAATAGTGACCCTCACATAAATGTAGCACCTAAATCTCAGTTCTCTTCCTCGAAGTTCTCGTACTTTTGCATGTACTTACTGCCCACCACAGTTCAGTTTGCAATGCTTCCAGGAGTAGGGATTGCCCTTGAACATTTTTTGTTAGCCCTGAAGCACCTAATGTAGAACATATACTTTTAAAAGGCTAGTTGATTAAGCACATTATGTAGAAAGACACTGTTTTAGAAAGTGACTGTAAGTGCTGAATTTCCAGCACTCAAGGGATGACAGGACCAGAGGAGAGGAGCTGCTTTTTGCCATGCTTCTTGACAGTTTCCTGTGCAAATGCCTAACTCTGCCCTTTTCATTTTGCCCTCTTATTCACTTTCTCTTTTATCTAAGTAATTGGGGAAAAATATAATCCAACCTTCAATTACTCTATCCTTTCACTTCTGGAAAGTGATGAAAGTACATGGGAAAGTTGAGATGTATATCTGGGGGAAAAGGACAAGAGCACATGTGAAGATGGTGAGTCATTTTTTATCACTTGCCCTTATGAAAGATTGTCTGTGAGCAGAGCTTGTAATATAGAAAGCTTGAAGGTTGGATTTCAGAAAACAGCTCTAATGGTGCTATTTCTAGAACTCTCTGGAGTACCTAAAAGGTTTGGCTTTAAATAACAGATAACTTGTCCCATACTACCTTACACAATTATGAAATTCATTAGTACACATAGTAGGCCTAGGGTTAACACAGATTTTGGACTCATTGTGAACCTCTTTTTCTACTTCTATTATGCAGTCAACATTGTTGGCTATACCTCAAAGCTTGTTCCTCTTTTATTAATGGGTAATTTTTATTAAGAATTTTGCTTGTTGCTTGTTTTTTTGTTGTTGCTTTTGTTTATATCATAAGGGAAGTAAAGTCTGTGTTCATTTAGTCTTTCCATTTTATTTATTTATTTATTTAGATGGAGTCTTGCTCTTTTGGCTAGGCTAGAGTACAGTGGTGCAATCTAGGCTCGCTGCAACCGCCACCCCCCAGATTCAAATAATTCTCCTGCCTCAGACTCCCAAGTAGCTGGGATTACAGTTGCCCACCACCATACTCGGCTAATTTTTGTATTTTTAGTAGAGACAGGCTTTCCTCATGTTGACCAGGCTGGTTTCGAACTCCTGATCTCAAGTGATCTCCCAGCCTCGGCCTCCCAAAGTGCTGGGATTGCAGGCGTGAGCCACCGCTCCTGGCCCATTTAGTCTTCAGTGAACAAAGTGTATGTTTTCTCAGATCTTGTAGCAAGTTTGTTTTGAATTTCATTGGCCAGAATTTAGGCAAATGTTTATTTGTGAAACAAATATTGTCAATAGGATTATCTTTAGACCAATCAGGTGCCCATCTGAGCTCAGTTTCCCAAATGGCACTGCTGTTACTTCATGTAGCTTAACCACAATGCCCACTAACCTCATAATAATGTCTCATTATTATCTTTGATTAATTTTTTTACTTGTAGTTACAATGCCATTATTTCTGTTCTTTCTTACATGTACAAGATAAATTTAAAATACTAGTAAACCAAGCTTCAGAATTTTGTGGGAGTTTTTAGATAATGGCCAATTCTAAAATTCTTAAAGATCTGAGAGTGTACAGGTATAAATATTTTGATTCAAAATTTAAATTCTCCACAATTCCAATAAAATCTTTATTTTTATTACCATTTCAAAGGCAAACAGATATATGTCTTCTAATTAGGATCAAATATATTTTCTAGTTTTAGGTAATAAATTTATAACACACACACTTCACTCTCCTATGTAATGCAAAAATTAAATATCATTAACACAGTATTGTTGTTTAAGCTTGAGTTTTTTTGAGACTGGGGAACTTGAATTTCATAGAGTTACATAAGCACTGAAGTATATTTTGGGTTATCTGAGATGGAGAAATGTTAAGAACTTTTGGGATTTGATGCTTACATAATGGTAAATCCAATATATCCCTTAATCCCTTGGTATTCTAAAAAATACAGTGCAGTATACATAATGCAACAAGAGATTCTTGGATCTATAATCCTCAGACTTTTTCTAATGTTTTATTACTTCTTTCTAAAAATATAACTGCTTGGTATTTTATGTGTTCCTTATCAATAAAAAAGTTATTTGTTTTGAGTTTTTTACTTTTATTTATTAATTACACAACTCCCCATCTTTCACAACCTGCCTGGGAATAAAATGTCTCAAGAAATATAGGCAGTTTCCCAAAGAAGTAGATATAACTAAATATATAATAATCTTCACTATTTTATTTATTTTTAAAATGTTGAGGACATTTCAACACACATATATTAAATATCTACTTTGTACTCAGTACAACTCTTGGCACTGAAAATCTTTAATGTATAAGACTTTGTGTCTTCCATAAAGGAGCTTGTAAACTACAGGTGGAAAAGATCATGAACAGATATATGCATTGTAGCAGTGGAAATAACATCTTACTACAGCAGTGAAAGTAAAAGTGTTAAGTCTAGCCTATATAATTAGGAGTAAAAATTGATTTTTCATGAGAGGTACATACCATCAACCTCAATGCTCTTAGAAATCATTATAAAAGTTCAAGTTCCAAAATCAAGGGAAAAAAATTCTGTCTTATATGTGTTAAGATATGTGCTAATGTAAAAATAAGAGATTTCAACTATGCATTCAACTCAAAGAATAAGAAAATACTAATAAAAAACCTACCATGAATATGACAAAAATATTTCTACAAATAAAAAATGATTTTTAAAAAACTCAGAATATCAAATAATAGAATCAAGTAAAAACTTTTTATTCCACTTTGGTGCTAGCAATCCTAGCTCAATTTATATCCTCAAAATGTTCTAAACACATCCCTGCCTCAGTGTCGACATGGCCAAGGTCATGGACTCTGGAGCCAAACTGCTTAGTCTGGAAACAACTCTAATTTTTCACCTCTGAAACAGAGATATTTATAAGTACCAAACTCCTGTAATATAGTGACAATGAAACAAGCTAATATAGAGTGAGCACCAAGAGCATTGCTTGGCAAACACTGAGCACTCAACAAATGTCAGTCAATAGAGCGCTCCAGTATGGAAATTTGGTTAAGACTTTGTGTTCTAGAGCCAGACTGCCCAGTTCCTGCCCTTTTGAGGCCAGTAAGTCAGTGTCTCTGGACCTCAATTTTTTTCACCTTTAAAATTGGTGTGCATAATTGTACTTACCACATAGGGCTATGGAAAGAATCAAATGGATTCTACATAGGAAACAATTAGAACCATGCACGACACTTAGTAAGTGCTAAATATTGTTTAGTTAACATTGTTATGATTGTTGTAGCCATTGTTATTTTGACTCTTCCGTCTCTAAGAATCCTTTCCTTCCTTCTGAAATATCTGATTCTTTCTTACCTCCAGATTTGAGTTCAGATATAGTTTCCTGATGCCCAGAATAATTGAGTTTTTGAGGGTGCAGCAGGCAGGGTTTGTAGTGAGTGTTTATTTTTTAAAAAAATAGTTGTCAAAGAAGATAAAAACTGAAGAAAATGTACCCTTATTTAAAGTTATTGTTTTACTTTGGTTATTGTATGAGTAAATGGCCCATAGACTTTGCAGTGTTCAAGGCTGAAATTAGCCCTGCTGATGACCTTGTTAAACCCTATCTCCCCCACCATCTACTGTGCCTCACAAAGTCAGTTTTTATTTTACAAACTTATCTATTCCCCTCTTATAGTTTTATGTTACATAAAATTATCATTCTTATTTATACTTTTATTATCTGTTCTTTCCCCAGTATATGAAGTCAATGCGGTAAGAATGTCACCTGCTTTACTCATCACTTGATCTGCCTGCCTTCCATAGTGCCTGAATGAATGTGGACACTCAATAATAATTCTAAATTATTTTAGTGCTGTTACAGTACGTAGCTAGTCAGACATGAGCAGGGCAGGAGAGGCCCCCCACCACCACCCACCAGAATGCCAGATGACTGTCAAATGATGGTCTGCACAGTGCAGGTGTTGCACCGTCTCTCTAAAATAACAATTGGTCACAGCCAGTGCCAGGGAAAGACAGTCTCCCAATAAACAGAAACTCCTGAAACTGGTGATCAGCAGCTTCCCAATAAGATCTCAGGAGTTGGGTGAGTGGGCTCACATTTGTGCACTAAGAGGCAAAATGGCAGAGTTTAATTGGTATATGACTGCCCAGGGACATTCGGCTAGGAAGGGAAGAACACCTTATGACCTTATGGGAGCATGCGTACAACTCCACTAAACACACTGCTCATGAAGCCCCTCCCAAGTGCTGATAGGCACTGCTCATGCAGACAGCCTACCCCAAAGGAAGAATCAGGGGGAAGGGGCGCAAGACTCCTCAAGTATGCCAACATATAAAACCCCAAGTCAAAGGTCAAACAGTGCACTTGACTCTCTTAAGTCACCCTCTTGGGCCCCTTCCAAGTGTGCTACCTTTTATTTCTGCCCTAAAACTTTTTAATAAACTTTTGCTCCTGCTTTAAAAGTTGCTGTCATCTCTCACAGTGCCCTATGCCCCCTCAATTGAATTCTTTCTTCTAAGGAGGCAAGAATTGAATTTGCTGCAGACGTGTACAGATTCACTGCTGGTAGCAGGACAGTTTTAGATTGAAGGAAATATTGTAGGGCTCAGTGCGGTGGCTCTTGCCTGTAACCCCAGCACTTTGGGAGGCCGGGGTAGGTGGATCACCTGAGGTCAGGAGTTCAAGACCAGCCTGGCCAACATGGTGAAATCCCACCTCTACTAAAAATACAAAAATTAGCTGGGTATGGTAGAGAGGGCCTGTAATCTCAGCTACTTGGGAGGCTGAGGCAGGAGAATCTTTTGAACCTGGGAGGCGGAGGTTGCAGTGAGCCGAGATGGCACTACTGTATTCCAGCCTGGGCGGCAAGAGTGAAACTCTGTCTCAAAAAAAAAAAAAAAAGAAAAAGAAAAAGAAAATAAAGAAATATTGTAAAGATAATACCAAGAGCGTTCATATATCCCAGACCCAGTATCCTTTCTTTCTAGTATCTTACATCATATATTTGTTAAAATTCAGGAGCCAATATTGACACATTATAATTAACTAAAATCCATACTTTATTAAAATGCCCTGAGTTTCAGCTGTTATCCTTTTACTGTTCCAGGATCCTTTCCAGGATTTTATATTACATTTAGTCACCATATTTCTTTAGGCACCTCTTGGCTATGAAATTTTCTTAGTCTTTCCTACTTTTGAATGACCCTGGTGATTCTGAGGAATTCTGGTCAAATATTTTGTAGACTGTCCCTCAATTGGGATTTGTTTGTTGTGTTTCTCATGAGTAGACTTGAGTTCTGGGTATTCGTCAGGAAGACCACAGAGGTAAATTATCATTTTCATTGCATTGTATCAACAGCACACACTCTCAACATGTTAGTCTTGATCACATGGCTGAGATATTATTTCTCAGATTTCTTAACTGTGTTTTCTTTCTGTTTTCATACCCTGTTTTTCAAAAGGAAGTCACTATGCACTCCACACACTTAAGCAGAGGGAAGCAGCCTCCATCTACTTCAGGGCAGGACATCTAAGTAAATTATTTGGAATTATTCTGCACAGGAGATATGTCTTGTTCTCCCAAATATTTGTGTATTTAACAATTTATTAAATTATTAAGCCAAGGTGGACAGATGTTTATTTTTAACTTTAGATTATAATCCAAAACCATGGTATTTATTTTGATTGCTTATTCCAACTTTCACCATTGGAGTTCTTGTGTTGTAAACCCATCTCTCTCTCTCTTTGTTTTGTTTGTTTGTTTGTTTGCACTTTCTTTCTTTTTGGCACTATAAAACACTCCAGGCTCATATTGTTTTTTTTTTTTTTTTTTTTTTTTAATTTCCAGCCCCAGCCCCTAAATCAGCCATTTTTCTAAAGAAGCCTGTTTCTTTAATTGAAGAATCGTCATGCAAACCAAGATCTGGGCATTAAATGTGCTTAATGATACTGAATATTATTCCTTCTAGGCTTTCTTACCTGACAGAGCAAGGAATACATATTTATATACTAACTAAGTGTATATACACATCTCTATAAATATTTTTTATGTGATCACCTGCATCTGTAGTAACGTAACTATGAGTTCTTATTGATATCTCCAATTCAAACCCCTAACTGCATAGATCATTCTAATCTCCATCCTTCTTCTCTGTAACCTCCCACTCCAACACCGAGAAGACTCCAGATGGCTCCCAGCATCCACCGTCCATACATCTAAACTTTCAGTTCCAGCATACTTGTATAGAAGTGTTAAATTATACCACTCTGGTAAATAACTCTATCAACTAGAATATAGCACTTATGTAAATTTTCTTTTAGTCTTACAGACTCCACTCATTTGCAGAGTTACTTAGGTCAGCCCCTTTTCCCTCCGCCCTCTTCGGTTAGTTTGGTACATACATTTGAAATACTGTTAGATTGCTTTTATCATGTTCTGCATTCTATCCTGGTATCTCACAATCTCCTGAATGAGTTTTTAAATAATTATACACTTTGAGGCTCACTCTGTTTGGTCAAGTTCTGTGTGTTTTGACAAATGGAGAGCATCATGCATCCATCCACAGCCCTAAAATGTCCCCCGCCCTTCACGTCTTCAAGCTTTCTTCTCTCTCCTGAACCATTCTCAGCAAACTATCAGAAGGACAGAAAACCAAACACCACAAGTTCTCACTCATAGGGGGGAATTGAACAATATCACTTGGACACAGGGCAGGGAACATCACACCCCGGGGCCTGTTGCGGGGGTGGGAGGCTGGGGAGGGATAGCATTAGGAGAAATACCTAATGTAGATGATGAGTTGATGGGTGCAGCAAACCAACATGGCACATGTATACCTATGTATCAAACCTGCACGTTGTGCACATGTACCCTAGAACTCAAAGTATAATAAAAAAAATATAACATACACACACACACCCACAGAAGAATCACAGAACTGTGCCTTTCCCAGAATGATATATAGTTGAATTACACAGTAGATAGCATTTTCAGACTATCTTCTTTCAATTAGCAATATGCATGGAAGATAAATTCACACCTTTGCATGAGTTGCAAGTTCATTTCTGTTTATGCTGAATAATATTCCATTATATGGATGTACCAGAGTTTGTTTACCCATTCACCTATTTAAGAATATCTTGGTGGCTTCCAGTTTGGGGTGATTGAGAATAAATCTGCTGGAAACATTCACATTCAGGTTCTTATATGAACACAATTTTTCAAATTAGTAGGGTAAATACCTAGAAGCACTGTTGTTAGATAATATGATATGACAATGCTTATACCTTCATAACTTATTAACTGCTCAACTGTCTACCAAAATTACTGCACCATTTTGAACTCTCACCCACAATTAATGGGAGTTTCTGTTCCTCCACATTCTCATCAGCATTTGGCAATGACAAATTTTAGATCTTGGCCATTCTGATAGGTGCACAGTTATATCTCATTGTTCTAATGTGCATATCCTGAATGAAAAATCATGTTGAATCTCTTTTCGTATGTTTATTTGCCATCTGTATATATTCTTTGGTAAGGTGTGTGTTCAGATCGTTTGCTCATTTTAAAAACTGGGTTGTTTCCTTTCTTATTGTTTAGTTGTGTATTTGTATTATTGTTGTCTTTGTAATTTTTTTTTCATCAGATTTGTGTTTTTGGCTTATCTTTTATTTTTCTTAGATTATCTCACAGAGCAAAAGTTTTTATTTTAATAAAGCTCAAATCAATTTTGATTTCATGGATTAGGCTTTCAGTTCTGCATCTAAGAATTGTCACCAACCCAATGGTAACAGATTTCCTACTATGCTTTCTTCCAGATGCTTTGTTATTTTACATTTTACATGTAGATTTATATGTTTTGAGGCAATTTTTGTCAAAGGCGTAAGGTCTGTGCCTGGGTTTGTGTTTTTGCGTGTGAATGTCCAATTATTACAACATTTTTTTAAAAATGCTATTCTTTCTTAATGGAATTTCCTTAGTTCCTTTATCAAAGATCAATTATTTATTTTATTTATTTATTTATTCTTTTTGAGACGGAGTCTCACTCTGTCGCCCAGGCTGGAGTGCAATAGCGTGATCTCGGCTCACTGAAACCTCCACCTCCTGGTTTCAAGCAGTTCTCCTGCCTCAGCCTCCTCAGTAGCTGGGATAAAGGCGACTGCCACCATGCTCAGCTAATTTTTGTATTTTTATTAGAGACAGGGTTTTGCCATGTTGGCCAGGCTGGTCTCAAACTCCTGGCCTCAAATGATCCGCCCGCCTCGACCTCCCAAAGTGCTAGGATTACAGGCGTGAGCCACCACACCCGGCCCAAAGTTCAATTATTCATACTTCTGTACATCTATTTTTGAGCTCTTGATTCTGTGTCCTAAATCTATGAATCCCTTCTTTTGTCAATACCACCCTGTCTTGATTATTACAGCATTGTAGTCACCCTTGATATAGATTTGTTTCAGTTTTCCAACTTTTTGTTTTTATTTTTTAGAATTGTGGTGAATATTCCAGGTCTTTTGCTTCTCATATAAAATTTTTTGAACACTTTTGTTAATATCTACAATAAAGATCGTTGGGATTTTGATTGAGATAGCATTGAATCTATAGATTAGAATGGGTAGTATCAATATTTTAATAACATTTAGTTTTTCAATTCACAAACGGAATAACATTTGTTATATATTCATTTGTTTAGGTCCTCCTTGATTTATTTTATGAGTGTTTTGTATTTTTGTCTGCATGTAGATCCCATACTTTTTTTTTTTGCAAGATTTATACTTAAGAATTTTTTTTTTTTTGCATGGAGATATATAAAAAGTATTGAGTTTTAAATTTTAAGTTCTAATACTTTATTCTTGGTTTACAGAAAAGTAATTGTCCATTGTGTATTAATGTATATCCTGAAACTTATGCTATCTTTTAAAAGTGTCAATAAATTTTTTGTTTGTTTTTGCTGCTGTTGATTCTTTTAATTTTTTTTAAATGTAGTCATCTACAAATATGGACAGCTTTATTTCTTCCTTTCTCTGTGGTATACATTTTATTTCCCTTTCCTGATTTATTACAGTAGTTTGAGCTTCTGGTACAGTAATAAATAGGAGTGGTGAGTGGGATATTTTTGCTTTTTTAATCTTAGAGGGAGGGAGGATGAGTTTATTTTCTTACCAGTAAGTATGATGTAACTGTTGATTTTTGGAGATGTTATTCATCAAGTTGAATGTGTTCCCCTTTTACTCCTAGTTCACTGAGAGACATTTTAAAAATCATGAATGGATATTGGATTTCATCAAATGTTCCTTCTCTACCAATTGATCACATTTTTATTCTTTAGCCTGTTGATTGATTTTCAAATGTTGAATCTGTTTGCGTGACTGCAATGAATCTAACTCTGTTATAGTGTCTGATTCTTTTTATACATTATTGGGTTCAATTTGCTAATTTTTGTTGAGGATTTGTACATCTATATTTGTGAGATATATTGTTTATTTTCCTCCTTCATGTAATGTTTTTAACGGTTCTGACATTACAGTAATGCTGATCTCATAGATACAATTAGGACGTGTTTCTGTTGTTTCTTTTTTTTTTTTTTGGATGAGATTGTGAAGAATTGGCATTAGTCTTCTTGAAATTTTTGCTAGAATTCACCAGTATAACCACTTGGACCAGGTGCTTTCTGTTTTAAAAAATTATTAATCATAGCTTAATTTATTTAATATATGTAGGATCATTCTAATGATCTTTTTAACTTGCCTGAGTATGCTACTTTGTGTCTTTCAAGGATTCGTCCAAGTTATCAAATGTGTGGCAAAGAGTTGTTTACAATATATTTCATTATTGTTTTAATTTCATGGGATTTGTAGTGATGAACTTGTCTTTTGTTTCTGACATTGGAGATTTGTGTCCTCTCCTTTGCTTCACTAGACTGACTAAAGTTTTATCAAGTTTATTAATGTGTTCATATGACCAGATTTTTATGTTGTTGATTTTCTTTATTGTTTTATTCTGCTTTAAATTTCATAGATTTGTGCTTTACTTTTTATTATTTTTTTCTGGTTATTTGGCTTTGAATTGCTCTTGTATCTCTAATTTACTAAGAAGGAATATTAGGTTATTGATTCAAATCTTTTTTTTTTCTTTTCTAACACTTTTATTTAGTACTACACATTTTCTCTAAGCACTGCTTTATCTGAATTTCATGAATTTTGATAAATTGGACTTTTATTTTTTATTTCATGCATATATATATATTTTTTACTTTTCTTGAGATTTATTATTTGACCTACATGTTATTTAGGAAAATGTTTATGTATTTTCAAACTATCTTTCTTTTATTCATTTCCACTTTAATTGCATTGAAGTCTAACATATTTTGTATGATTTCTATTTTTAAAAGTTGCTAAAGTGTTTTATGGCTTTGAATGTTGTCTATGTTGGTGAATGTTTCATGTGAATTTGAAATCAGTAGTGTAGTTCAGGTCATCTGTATTATTACTGGCTTTCAGCCTACTTGATCTGTCAGTTACTGGAAAAAATGATATTGAAATCTACATTTATAAAAGTAAATTTATCCATTTTTTTCTTTCAATTTGATTAAATAACATTACACTAATTTATGTGTAGTACAGGTAACTTATAACAAAGTATTCCAAATACCTCTCTCATGACATTACTGTCACGCAATATTTATTCATCTTGAGTGTCTCCCTTTTTCTACCATGTGATGATATAACACAAAGATGGTGGTCTACAATCCAGGAAGAGTGCCCTTTCAGACACCAAGTCTGATAGTGCTTAAGACAAAGATGGTGGTCTACAATCCAGAAAGAGTGCCCTTTCAGACACCAAGTCTGATAGTGCATAAGACAAAGATGGTGGTCTACAACCCAGAAAGAGTGCCCTTTCAGACACCAAGTCTGATAGTGCTTTGACTTGCATTTTCCAGCCTTCAGAAATGTTAGACATATATTTCTATTTTGTAAATCACCCGGACTATGGAAATTTTGTAATGGCAGCCCACACTGACTAAGATATCCATAACCTGTACTAACCTAACACATTGTTGCTGTTATTACTCTAAACAAACAGTTATGTTTTGATCAATTAAAAATAACACAAAGGTATTATTTTACTTTCACTATTTCTTTTTCATCACTTTTTTTTTTATTATGTAGATCTGAGTTGCCAACCTATATCATTGGCTTTCTGAAAACTATTTTTTTTTTAAATTTTATTAAGGATGAGTCTGATGGTGATGAAATTCCTCCATTTTTTAAAATGACAAATAATGGTTGTATATATTTATGCATGCAATGTGATGCAATAATATATTGTATGCATTGTAGAATGATTAAATCAAGCTAAACAATATATCCATCACTTCACATACTTACTTCCTTGTGATGAGAACATTTAAAATCTACTGTTATAGTAATTTTTAAAAATACAATATGGTGTTATTAATTAAAGTCACTGTGTAGAGCAATCAATTACTAGCATTTATTCCTCCTGTATAATTGGAATTTTGTACCCTCTGACCAACATCTCCATTTTCCATTCACCCCCACCCCCAGCCTCTGGTGACCACAATTCTTTTTTCCACTTTTATGAGTTTAACTTTTTTAGATTCCACATATAAGTAAGATCATGTAGTATTTGTCTTTCTGTGCTTGGCTCATTTCATTTAGCATAATGTCTTCCAGGTTCTTCCATGTTGTCACAAAAGATAAAGTTTTCTATTTTTACGACTGAATAGTAATATATTGTATATATACACCACATTTTCTTTATTCATTTATCCATTAATGGACATATAGAATGGCTTCCATATCTTGGCTATGGTGCATAATGCTGCAATAAACATGAGAGTGAAGATAACTCTTCAATAATAATGATTTTAGTTCCTTTGAATATATACTCTAAATTGGGATTGCTGGATCATATTGTATTTCTATTTTTAGTTTTTTGAGAGACTTCCACACTAATTTTCATAACGACTGTACTAATTTACATTTCTACCAACAGCACATTTTTTGCATCCCATATGGATGCAAAAGTTCTCAACTCTTTTCTGCATATCATCACCAACTCTTATCTTCCATCTTTTCAGTAATAGCCATTGGCCCAGACAATGATTTCTTGGATATAACCTTAAAGCTCAGACAACCACAACAAAAAAAATGAAATTGCAACAAATAAAAAGCTTCTACACAGCAAAGGAAACAACTGACAGAGTAGAGAGATATCCCACAGATTGGAAGAAAATATTTGCGAACCACATACCTGATAAGGGGCTAATATTGAAAATATATGAGGAGCTCAAATATCTTAATAACAAAAAAAACCTGATTAAAAATGGCAAAGGACATGAATAGAAATTGCCCAAAAGAAGATAATATAAATGGCCAAAAGATGTATGACAAAATTCTAAACATCACTAATTGCCAGAAAAATGCAAACAAGAATGGTTATTATGCAAACAAGCTTTCAATATTACCTCATATCTATTAGAATGGTTATTATCTATTAGAATGGTTTTTTAAGAAAGTCTTTAATTCTCCTTAAGTTCATACAGATAATTTTGCTAGATATAGGAGTCTAGTTTAGTAAATTTGTTTTCTTTCAAAATGTTAAATATTAAATATTTTATTGCTGTCTCTTTGCTTTCATGGTTTCTGATGAGAAGTCCTTTGTAATTCTTATCCTTCTTTAGATAAGTTTCTCATCCTCAGCTTCTTTCAAGACTTTTTTTTTTCTTGTCTTGTATTTCTGCAGTTTGAATATGACAAGACTTGTAATTTTTTGGCAATTTATCTTGTGTGATGTTATTTGAGGTTTCCTGGATCTGTGGCTTGGTGTCTACTGTTAATTTTGGAACATTCTCTGGCACTATTACTTCAGATATTCCTTCTGCTAAGTCTTCTCTTTCTGGTATTCAAGTAAGCATAGGCTAGAGCTTTTGAAATTATTTTATTGTTTTTTAATTTTCCATTTTGCATCTTCCACTTATTTTTTCTTTGAATTTAAGCTTGCAAATTTTTTATTCACCTATATTTAAGCTCAATTATTTATTTATAAGTTGTGTGTAGTCTAATCATGACCCCTTCAAATGCTTCATTTCTGTTAGTGTTTTTTTAATTTGTAACATTTCTTTTGATTCCTTATTGGATGTAAAATTATCTTTCTGTACTTACATTACTTATCTAATATTGCACGTTATGTATCCAGGAGAACTCTTAACATACTAATCAGAGTTTTATATTTTCTGTCTGATAATTCCAACACCTGTGCTATATTTAAGTCTGGTTCTAATATTTAATTTTTCTTTTCACATCTTGTGTTTTTTTTCCTTTGGCAAGCCCTGTAATATTTTATTAAAATTGAACATCTACAATGTAATAACCACTGAGTATGAATGTGAGTATTATGTTAATTGATAGGAACTGGGTTGTTTTTTATTGGGTTTAATTGGGTTGTTTTCTGTAGCAATAGGTTCCTAAGGGTTCACATTCCTCTAGAGTTTTTGTTTTTGTCTCCCCTGTCTTCTCTGGATTTTTTCTAAGAACTACTTCGTGAATGGAATGCGTGCCTTGAAATAATATTAACTGTAATCCATTGTGAATTTATTGTACCTCTGTTAGTGTAGTGGTCATTTATGGGCAAGGGGAAATGCTATATAATATTTTGATTCAATGACAGTCTTTAGTGTCCCTCTGTCTCTGGGCTGTGACTTTCAGAAGTGTTTATCCAATGATACGGGTTTGCAGTAGGAGAAAGCCTTTCTGCTACTGGGATAAGCCTTTACCTTGGAGAATAGGCATATGTTATGGAGAACACTTCAAGTTTATTCCAAAATGATTACTCTTTTTTTCCACTAGCCATGAGAAAATTTTTTTTGGAGTTTTTACTATGATAACCTGGTAGGTTTCATGAAAGAAAAATTCGTAAAATTGTGGCAACTTTCTAAGGCTACACTTGCAGTAGTTTCTGTCTCTCAAATTATTCCACACTCAACCTATGTCAATTAATTAAAATGACTATTTCAGTGTTTCTACTACTCATAGCGCTAGAATCTTCTAATCCATATACCCAGATATTGAGTGTGACTCTCTGGATTCACCAGTTTGTCCAGAGTTTGGGATGGCAGTTTTTCCTGTGACTTCAGTTTTCTGATGTATCCAAAAAACAATCATTAATTTTTACTTTTTCACTTTTTTCTTGTAAGAATGAGAGAGAAGACTTCCATGTTCTTTATATGGCAGGGCTAAAAATCAAAGTCCTCCATAATGATGGTTTTTAAAATTCATTAAAAATATGTCCTTATATTTTAAGAGACAAATGTAAAGATACATGTTGGAAAATATGGCCAAGAATAAATAGAGAAAAAGACAAAATGTAATGAAATAAGTACGACAAAGTTTAATAACTATAGACACGGAATATATTGAACTACTCTGTACAAATTCTTAGCAAAATTAGAATACCTACATGAATATATCTATTTATAGGAATAAATACATTTTATGTACACTGAAAAGGTTATATAAGAGAAAGGCAGACACATGATTATTTCAATATGCATAAAGGATACGAAGCTGTAGTTCTATCCAGATAAATAGGATCTACTTTTGATGGTTTTACAGGTGGTGACTATCAGAACTTTGAAAACTAGATAATTGCCATGTAATGTAAACTTTCTCGGATATGATGAAAATTTCCTCACTCACTGTAACTTTAATATCCAAATCAGATAAGAATGCCATATGTGTCTATGAATATAAACGTAAATAGATTAACACAAGTCTGCTCATCTCACATACTGCAGGCTTGCTTATGAATACGAGTTCTTAAAAATGTCATTAAATCCTATTAAAAACCTTATTAATAATCAATATTGAATTAGAGTTCTTAGTCAAAGTAATAAAGTAAAATATCATATGTATAAATATTAAAAAAGTGGTTACCATTTTTATTTGTAATTTCTATTATAGTAAACTATAAAAAAGTCACCTGATCATATGATCATACTATTAGCACATACAATAATGAGCTTTTTTATTCTAGATATGAATCAGCATAAAAACATCAAGTACTTTCTTATGTGTTAGCAGAAGTCAATAGAAAATAAAATCATAATCAAATTATAGAAAAAAACTACTAATGACAAGAAATAATAAAGATCTAAATAAAATGGAAAATAAACACAAAAAATAACAATCAGAGACCACAATGCTGTCACCTCTTGGTGAAAGACTTATTTGACCAGCAGCTCTTTTGTTTTGTTTTGTTTTTAAAGACAATGAATTTGAATGATAAATATAAATACACATAATACGCATAGTACTTTTTCATAACCTACCTGTTTCTATTTCTTTCGTTTATTTTTAGTAATTGTGGGTATATGATAGGTGTATATATTTACGGGTACAAGCATACAATGTATAATGATCAAGTCAGGATAATTGGGGTATCCATCCCTCAAGCACTTAACATTGATTTTTGTGTTAGGAACATTCCAATTCTACTTTTTCAGTTATTTAAAAATATATAATAAATTACCATTGACTAATTTTCTATTTTGTTTTACTCCTAATCAGCTTCGTTTGTTAATATTTCTTCCTTTGGCACTAGAGACATGGGTACTTGCTACCCCCACCATAAATATTTTCTAGAAATTGGATAAAATTGGGTAATATATTATTTAAACACAGGACCCTATTTTAAAAATAATAATTATCCTCCTAAGTAGTCTATAAATTTAATCAGTAATATAAATTCTAGATATAATAACTCTAATATAATTCCAATCAAAAACCAAATATAACTTTTTAAGCAACTTTACAACCTAAGCCTAAATTTCATATGAAAAAGAAAAACAGGCAACAGTAGTTATGACTATTTTAAAGATGGGTGATGTGGTAGAATTTTCAGTAAAAGTGGAAGCCCCATGTAAGTTAACAGAAATGAATATAATGTAGTATTGACATAGCCAAGAAATTGACATTCATATAACAAATATGCCATATCCAATAAGTTGGATAAAGAATGCTCTTTTTGATGTAATTCAGGATCATGATTATATAATTGGCAAAACATACAAATACTGTATCTGTAAGCTTGGAAATGAGATGGTATGTTTAACTGCAAAATAGAATGAAGATGTAACAATTGGCTAAAATTACCATGTTATAATTTAAACATTGTATTAATAATAGACAACGGAGAGGTTCAAAAAACCTTATTACCAACATATATAAGTGACAAATCATTAATATCCAGAATATATGGAAAATTTCTAAAAAATTAATCAATTCAAAAAACACCATGAATCTTTTAAATATAAATCTCAGCATCACACAATATACCCATGCACATGTAACCAACTTGCACATGAAACCACTGAATCTAATACAAAATATAAAATTATACAAAAGTCAAATATTCATATCATGTAATACAATATCATTTGACTAAAAATATGGAGTATGATTTTATTCTCTATAAATTGTTTAATATAAAATGTTATGTATATTCAAATTATTTTGTGATTTTATTTTAATCTTAATAATTTTTGTTTTTGAGATGTCCTAAAACTTGAAAGTTGCAACTTTTATAATAAAAATGTATTATTTACAAAGAAGAGAAAAGAAAAAGAAAAGAACTCTGGCATATAAAACCTGAATATAATTTTGATTTTATCACTTCCTAGCTATGTAATACTGAGAAAATTATTTAAGCTCTTTGACCGTCAGTTTTCTCATGTCTAAAATGTAGGTGGTAATAGTTATGTCATCAGTGTATGGTTCAGATTAACATGGGATAATGCAGTTAACATACTAGTCATTTAACAATAGCATTTTTTCACCTTTTCCTAAATTAAATATCCAGATTCTGATATCTATTTTTAATATGTTCTGGTCTAGGTTATAGAGCTTCAGTTCCATATTAACTTCTTTTTAACCTTTATTCTTTTCCTGTGACAATAAGTTCACTGTGTTCACAAGATAAACAATGGTTGGGGACCTGTCAACCTTTTTAAGTTCCCTTCAGATCATTTCCACATGGTAGAAGAGAAAATAAATGTGGAAAAGCTCAGTCGGCTTTTTATCTTCCACAGCTGTCTCTTTTCAGGACAAAAGTTCTGGCTTTTTTTTTTTTTTTTGGTTGATTCATTATTTATAATTTTCCAGTAAGATCATGAGATCAGGATCATGAGGTATCAGATCATGAGGTCAGGAGATCAAGAACATTCTAACACAGCGAAACCCCATCTCTACTAAAAATACAAAAAATTAGCCGGGTGTAGTGGCACGTGCCTGTAGTCCCAGCTACTCAGCCAGCTGAGGCAGGAGAATCACTTGAACCCGGGGGGCAGAGGTTATAGTGAGCCAAGATCCTGCCACTGCACTCCAGCCTGGGTGACAAGAGTGAGACTCCTTCTCAAAAGCAAAAAAAAAAAAAAAAAAAAAAGGAAAAGTAAAAAGAAGCAGCACAGCCCCCATACTCTTTATATATGTAAAACAAAAATACTTTAAAATGTAAATAAATTAAAATTTTCATTATTTCACTCACAGAGATGACAGTTTGTCCAGTTTGTATAGGTTTCTTCTGAAAATTGATTTTCTATGTATATATTGACAGAAATGCACATACCCATAATTATAGTAATGCACATATATACATTTAAATATGTACAAAGAAAATTATTTGTATGTGTGGGTGCACATGGAATATATGTGTGTGTGTGTGTGATGTATCTTCTCACTGGGAAGGTGTTACATATGTTTTAATATTTGGTATAGATATTATGGCATTGGTAATTTTTAATTAAAACTTTGTGGATCTAGGAGTACCAAATCAATACACTGATGCCAAGTTTATGCAAATTGTTTGATAAAGTTGATGAGAAAATGGTTAACACTTAATGGAAACTTAGTACGTTCTAGGTAAGGAGATCTCTATATGCAATAACTCACGCAGTTCACACAATATCCCTAGGAAATATGAATCCTTATTGTCTGCACTATATAGATCAGGCATTAGAGGCCTTGGTAGGAGCAATTTGCACAAGGTCATGTATCTGGTAAAGAGTGAAGCTAGGATCTAATGACTGACATTCTTACCTTAGAGCATGTGCTCCTACCACTCTCTGATGCAGAATAATTCAAAAGTATTTTCAGAAAGAATCAGTAAATAAATTTATAGTAGCACTTTTATTATTTATTAATAAAATTTGCTGTTAAACATTTTAATTAAAAGATATATGCCTGAAATTATGTTCATTTTTTTTAGCTTGTGATAGCCAATCATTTGGACTTTTGCCTTGAGTGAGCTAGATTGATGATTTTTATAAAACTAATTAGCAGAATTGGCTACATTTTGCTAACTGCATATGGTATTCATGTTGATTTGATAGGCTGCTTAACTTTAATTGTATTACATGCCAGACAAATATATACACTACCAAACATAAATATACACATGTAAAATTTGGAATATTTACATAGTCTTGCAATATTTCATAATAATTATTAATTTATTCATACTCAAATAACCTAATATTTGGCTCCTATGTTTCTATTATTCCAAACATAGTTTTCTGCTTTCTGAAGCAACAAGATCTCTCAATGTCATCTTGCACATTTCTGCTCCAGCCTCTAGAACAATCTTTTATCCAAGGCCCGTAAATCTTCTTAGTGTAGACTGGTATTCAGAAACAACCAGTTTAAGATATGTTCATTGTCACTAGTGTGTAAATAATTTTAGGTCCTTGTAGCAAACAGAGCTGAAACACACACACACACACACACATAGACATGGAAATGCATAGATATTTATAAATATATATATATGTCTAAATATGTATACATTCATATATCAACTCTAATCCTATATTTATGCATATGACTCTTATCTGTGTATCTATCTGTAATATGTTAAAAAACGTATGTTAAACCCCAAAACTTAGGGTATATTCTACTATTCTACTTTCCGTATTTGCAACTTCCTTATCCAGCAGCTGAAAAGTACAGTAACTGTAATAAAAAAATCATTAGTGGGGTTCAGTAGCACATTTGAACAGGAAGAAAAAAGAATCAGTAAACTTGAAGACAGGAAAATTAAAATTTTAAGTTTGAGAAAATGAAAAAAAAAGTATGAAGAAAAGCGAACAGAGTATGAGGGACTTGTGGCACACCATGAAGTGGATTGATATACATATTGAGGCTATCAAAAGGAGAAAAAGAAAAAAATATGGAGCAGAGAGAATATTTGGAAAAGTAATGGCAAAACAACCCAGATTTGATGAAAGAAATATATCTACAAATTAAGAAGAGCAACAAACTTTGGTAAGAATAAACCCAAGGAAATCTACGGTGAAACATATTATAATCAAATTGTTGAAAGATAAATACAAAGAAAATTTTGAAAGCAGAAAGAGAAAAGAAACTAGTTATATACAAGGAATCCTTATAAGATAATCAGCCAATTTCTTATCAGAAACCCTAGAGACCAGAAGGCAGTTGGATGATATTTTTAAAGTGCCACAAAATTAAAAACCAACTGAGTACTATGTATCCAGCAAAATTAACCTTCAAAAGTGAAGAAGAAATATATTCTGAAATAAATAAATCTGAGGGAGTTCATAACCCTCCCCCTGCCCTACAAGAAATGCTGAAAGATGTCCTTCAGGTTGACAGAATAGGACACTAGACGGTATCTCAAACCTGTATGAAGATATAAAGATCTTCACTAAGGGGAAATAAATTGGCAAATATAAAAGCCAGTACTACTGTAATTTTGGTTTGTAATTTCACATTTTACAGAATTTAAGAAGCAAATGCAAAACATGAGTATTGATCTATGTTACTAGGCACACAACATATAACAATGTAATTCGTGATACATAGAAGTTGAGATTTTGTATGTGTTTTACGTTAATTTCATATGAATTCATACAAGATTGTTAAGTCTTAAGGATATTTTATATATATATATAATATCCTTATATACATACAATATAATCCATGCTAACCACACAAACACATACAAACTATAAAATATTTTAAAAAGGAAATGAGAAATAAATAAGAAATTTTACCACCAAAAATAAACTACAAAATTGGTAGAGAAATGAGTAACTAAAAAGTTATAGCATGTACTGAAAACACATACCATATACAGAACTGTATACAGAACACTCCACTCAACAATATCAGAACGCACAGTTTTCTCAAGCATCAGTAGAACATTTTCCAGTATAAACAATATATTAACATAACATATTGTATGTATTTTATCTGTGTTTTATGTTAATTTCATATGAGTTCATACATGATTGTTAAGTCCACAAAACAATTAGAGCCACAAAACAACTCTAAAAAGATTGAAATAACATCAAATATCTTTTCTGGTTACAATGAAATGAAACTAGGAATCAATAAATACAACTGGAAAATTCTCAAATAGATGAAAATTAACACACTTTTAAACAACTAATGGGTCAAAGAGAAAATTAAAAAAGAAATTAGAAATTATCTTAGGAAAAGTGAAAATGAATAGACCAGCCTGGGCATCATGTCAAAACCTCGTCTCTACAAAAAATACAAAAATTATCTGGGCATGGTGGCATTTGCCTGTAGTTCCAGCTACTCAGGAGACTGAGGCAGGAGGATCACTTGAACCCAGGAGGTCAAGGCTGCAGTGAGCTGTATCTTACCCCATTGGGCAACACAGCAAGCCCATGTCTAAAAAAAAAAAAGAAAAGAAAAGAAAAAGGAAAGAAAGAAAGAAAATGAATAAACAATGTACCTAAATTTATTGAAGGCAGCAAAAGCAGTAATAGCAGAGAAATTTATGGCTTTGAATATATAAATTAAAGAACAGGTAATACCTTAAATTGATAACCTAACTTTATAACTTAAGGAAGTAGAGAATACAGAGCAAACTCAATCTAAAGCTAACAAATAGAAGGGAATAATAAAAAGTAAGCACAGAAAAATAAAGAATAAAAAAAAATTTTAAAATCCAAAAACCAAATGTTGGTTATTTCAGAAGATCCCCAAAACTGTCCAATCCTTAGCTAAAATAAATGCTTTAAAAGAAGCGAGACTCAATGTATTAAAATCAGAAAAAAGTAAGGACATTACTAAAGTTTTACAGAATAAATAAAGATTATGAGATAATACTATGAGCAATTGTATGCCAGCAGAAAGGATATCTTAGATAAAGTGGACAAATTCCAGATTTCTGTAAAAACATAATCTACTAAAACTGATTTAAAAAGATACAGAAAATCTGAATATACTTATATTAGAAAGGAGATAGAATCACAAACTTCCGAGCAAAAGTTCAGAACTAGGTGACGTGACCAGTGAATTCCACAAAATATTTAAAGCAGAAAAAACAATCCTCTTAAAACTGTTCCAAAAAATAGAAAAGGAGGGAGCACTTTGTAGTACATTTTATGAGGTGAGCATTACCACGACACCAAATCCAGACAAGACAAATAAAATTATAGGCCAATATCCTATGTGAATATTGATACCACAGTCCCCAACAAAATACTAGCAAACAGATCTAAGTAGTGTACTAAAAAATTATAAATTACAGTCAACTGAAATTTATTCCTGGAATTAACAGTTGATTCAACATACACAAATTAATATAATATACTACATTAATAAACTGAAGCTAATTTTTTTTATATTGTTGTAAACATGAGGTCTCACTATGTTGCTTAGGCTGGTCTTGAACTCCTAGTCTCAAGCAATCCTCCCACTTCAGCCTGCCAAAGTGTTGGGATTACAGGCATGAGCCACAGTGCCAGGCCTAAATGCCATGTATTTAAGAACCACAGATCACTTCATACTCAATGGTGAAAGACTGAAATAGTTTCCCGTGAAATCAGCAACCAGACATGGATAGTCATTTTGTCATTTCCATTCAATGTAGTATTGGAAATGTAGCCAGAACAATTAGCCAAGTAAAAGGAACAAAAGACATCCAAACTGAAAAGAAATAAGCAAAATTAACTGCTTTCACAGATGGCAGTATTTATATGTAGAAAACATTGTAGATTCCAAAATAAAACGATTAGAGCAAATGAACAAATTCACCAAGGTTTCAGGGTATAAAATTTACAAACATTTTACACACAAAAAAGAAACCTAAAAAGGAAATTTAAAAAATTATTTACGGTATCATCAAAAAGAATAAAATACTTAGGCACATATTTAATAAAGGAAGTGAAAGACTTGTGCACTGAAAACTCCAAAACATTGCTAAAAAATTAAAGACAACTAAGTAGAAAAACATCCCATGTTCCTGTATTGAAAGACTATATTCTTACCATGACAATACTTATATAAATTTAAGCACAAATAAATATAAGTTAATATAACTATATATTTTATGTGTTATATAAATATATAACGTTTATCATTGATGTGTTTTAGATATTCTGAATTGTGTTTTCTTACTCTGAAATGTGTCGTTTTTGTTTTAGTAGGTAGTTAAATTGGCTGGACTGAAACTCCAAATTTCGTCTTCCTCGCAGTGGAAATCAGTTCATTTTTCACAGTCTTACTGCTGCTACCTTCTGCTGAACTCTTGGTTGAATCCCACACTTTTTCTCAAAGATTCAACCAAGAAGCTTGGCAGTGTTTGCACATAGATCTTGAGGCTCCATTTATTAGTCGCGTTGAGGTCCATGAACTCTTATCTCTGATTTTTTCCTGTTGCTGCAAAGATCTTGGATTGTCATCAGGTGAAAAGTCATACAAACACAAACATTTCCATATGCCTTCCTTTCTTTCAAGGAATGACTACTCTCAAGTTTCTCCCTAATTTTGTTCACTTTCTAGTGTCTTCAAATGTTTGTTTTCACATTTTTAATGTTGTTGTCCAGGGTTTATAATTATTGTCAGCTAGAGGGAAAGTCTAATAAGAACTACCATTACTGGTTCTCTACCTTTAATAACTCAAAAACAGTACCACTGTCTATATGCCTTCATTTATTTATCTTACTATGTTTATTGACAACAGATAGACATTCTCAAACAATGCTCATTAATGATATTTCAATAATCTACAATAATGATAATTTGTCTTTGATAAAATTTAATTGCTGACTTCAAGCCATTCACTGATGTCTTCAGTCAGCACAGAACCGTTGTGTGTCATTTTTTGCTTCTCTCTTTGTGGAGCCTTTCAGACACCCCTGTTACGAAGAAAATACTTTTCAACTTTTAGTAACTTTGTCTACACTTAGGTAAGCACTTCTTACTAAGACAAGCAGGCACAGTAAATCCGGCTCTCTTTCCTTCATTTGGTAATCATTCAATCACATATAAGCTTGTATACCAAATTTAATCCATTATTCCCGGATGCTGTAAACATGTCTGTCACTCTTGCCAATGAGTGTCATCCAGACAGCAGATTAGTATATAATGGCTTTGTACAATTATTGTTGTATTGGAGTACTGAAACCCATTATAATGTACTTTTCATATTTTTGTAATGTGGTAACGTTTTTAGTTTAGTGTAAGCCCAAGTATTTTGCAGTATTTTGCAGCAAATCTATTGTTTGTTGAAAAAAAAATAAAAAATACAAGCATATCTCATATTTATTGAGCTTCATTTTATTGTGTTTCTCAGGTATTGCCTTTTACAAATGAAGGTTAGTGGAAACCCTGCCACAAGTATGTCTATTGGTGTCATTTTTCCAGCACTATGCATTCAGTTTTGCAGGTCACTTTTTGTTAATTCTTGCCGTATTTCAAACTTTTTCGTTATTATTGTATGTGTTATAGCGATTTGTGATCACTGATTTTTGATGATATTATTGTAATAGTTTTGGAGTGCCACAAACTGCGCTCCCATATAAGATGGTGAACTTAATTGAGAAGTGCTGTGTGTGTTGCCACTGCTCCACCCAACCAGGTATTGCCCCAAGTCTCTACCTCTCTTCAGGCTTCTCTATTCCCTAAGCCACAACAATATTAAAATTATGCCAATTAATAACCATACAATAGCCTTTAAGTATTTATTTCAAAAGAAGAAGAGTTGCATGTCTCTCACTTTAAATCAAAAGCTAGAAATTATTAAGCTTAATGAGGTAGGCATGCTGAAAATTGAGACCAGCTGAAAGCTAGGCCTCTTTTGCCAAACACATGGCTAAGCCATGAATGCTAAGAAAAAGTTCTTGAAGGAAATTAAAAATGCTGTTCCAGTGAACACATGCATGATAAGAGAAGCAGCGTTGCTGATATGAAGAAAGTTTTAGTGGTCTGAATAGAAGACTAAATTAGCCACAATATTTTCCTAAGCCAAAGCCAAATCCAGAGCAATGCCCTAACTTTCTTTAATTCCATGAATGCTAAGAGAGATGAGGAAGCTGCAGAAGAAAAGTTGGAAGCTAGCAGAGGTTGATTCATGAGGTTTAAGGAAAGAAGTCATCTTCATAACATAAAAATGCAAGATGAAGCAGCAAATTCCAATGTAGAAGCTACAGAAAGTTGTCCAAAAGCTCTAAGATAATTGATAAAGGTTGCTATGCTCAACAACAGATTTTTCAATGTAGATTTTAAAAAATCCTTTTATTGAAAGATGATGCTATCCAGGACATTCGTTTAAAAAATATTTCCATAGGTTATTGGGGAACAGGTGGTGTTTGGTTACATGAGTAAGTTCTTTAGTGGTGATTTGTGAGATTTTGTTGCACACATCACCTGAGCAGTATACAATGCACCTAACTTGCAGTCTTTTATCCCTCACTTCCTTCCTACCCTTTCTCCCTGAGTCCCCAAAGTCCATTGTGTCATTCTTATGCCTTTGCATCCTCATAGTTTAGTTCCCATTTATGAATGCGAACATACTATGTTTGGTTTTCTATTCCTGAGTTACTTCACTTAGAATAATAGTCTCTAATCTCATCCAGCTTGCTGCGAATGTCATTAATTCATTCCTTTATTTGGTTGAGTAGTATTCTATCGTATACATATACACCACAGTTTCTTTATCCAGTTGTTGATTGATGGGCATTTGGGTTGGTTCCACATTTTTGCAATTGCGAATTGTGCTGCTACAAATATGCATGTGCAAGTGTCTTTTTCATATAATGACTTCTTTTCCTCTGGGTAGATACCCAGTAGTAGGATTTCTGGATCAAATGGTAGTTCTACTTTTACTTCTTTCTTCATACTGCTTCTCATGGTGGTTGTACTAGTTTACATTTTCACCAGCAGTGAAGAAGTGTTCCCTGTTCACCGCACCCATGCCAACATCTATTTTTTTTTATTATGGCCATTCTTGCAGGAGTAAGGTGATGTCACATTGCGGTTTTGATTTGCATTTCCCTGATCATTAGTGATGTTGAGCATTTTTCCATATGTTTGTTGGCCATTTGTATATCTTCTTTTGAGAATTGCCTGTTCATGTCCTTAGCCTACTTTTTGATGGGATTGTTTGTTTTATTCTCACTACTTTGCTTGAGTTCATTGTAGATTCTGGATATTAGTCCTTTGTCAGATGTATAGATTGTGAAGATTTTCTCTCACTCTATGGCTTGTTTGTTTATTCTGCTGAGTGTTCCTTTTGTTGGGCAGAAGCTCTTTAGTTTAATTAAGTTCCAGCTATTTATCCTTGTTTTTATTGCATTTGCTTTAGGGTTCTTGCTCATGAAATCCTTGCCTAAGCCAATGTCTAGAAGGTTTTTTTCCGATGTTATCTTCTAGAATTTTTAAAGTTTCAGGTCTTAGGTTTAAGACCTTGATCCATCTTGGGTTGATTTTACACAAGGGGAGAGATGAGAATCCAGTTTCATTCTTCCATATGTGGCTTGCCAAATATCCCACCACCATTCGTTGAATAGGGTGTCTTTTCCCCACTGTATGTTGCTGTTTGTTTTGTCAAAGATCAGTTGGCTGTAAGTATTTGGGTTTATTCTGGGTTCAGTATTCTGTTCCACTGGTCTATATGCCTATTTTTATACCAGTACCATGCTGTTTTGGTGACTATGGCCTTATAGCATAGTTTGAAATCAGGTAATATGATGCTTCCAGATTTGTTCTTTTTGCTTAGTCTTACTTTGGCTATGTGGTCTCTTTTTTTGTTCCTTATGAATTTTAGTATTGTTTCTTCTGGTTCTATAAAAAATTATATTGGTATTTTGATGAGAATTGCATAAATTTGTAGATTGCTTTTGGCAGTATGGTAATTTTCACAATATTGATTCTACCCATATGTAAGTATGGGATGTGTTTCCATTTGTTCGTGTCATCTATGATTTCTTTCAGCAGTGTTTTTTTAGTTTTCCTTGTAGAGGTATTTCACATCCTTGGTTAGGTATATTCCTAAGGTTTTTGTTTTGTTCTGTTTTTTGCAACTATTGTAAACAGGGTTGAGTTCTAGATTTGATTCTGAGATTGGTCACTGTTAGTGTATAGGAGAGCTACTGATTTGTGTACATTAATTTTGTATCCAGAAACTTTTCTGAGTTATTTTCTCAGTTCTAGGAGTTTTTGGAGGATTCTTTAGGGTTTTCTAGGGAAAAATGTATCGTCAGTAAACAACAACAGTTTAACTTCCTCTTTACCGATTTGGGTGCCCCTTATTTCTTTCACTTGTGTGATTGTTCTGGCTAGGACTTCCAGTACTATGTTGAATAGAAGTGGTGAGAGTGAGCATCCTTGTCATGTACCAGTTCTCAGAATGCTTTCAACTCTTCCCTATTCAGTATTATGTTGGCTGTGAGTTTGTCATAGAAGACTTTTATTACATTGAGGTATGTCCGTTGTATGTTGATTTTGCTGAGAGTTTTAATCATAAGGAAATACTGGATTTTGGCTCAGGTGAAGTGGCTCATGCCTGTAAACCCACCACTTTGGGAGGCCGAGGCGGGTGGATCACCTGAGGTCAGGAGTTTGAGGCCAGCCTGGCCAACATGCTGAAACCCTGTCTCTACTAAAAATAATAATTTAAAAAATTTAAAAAAAAGTTAGCTAGGCATGGTGGTGGGTGCTTGTAATCCCAGCTACTCAGAGGGCTGAGGCAGGAGAATCACTTGAACCCATGAGGCAGAGGTTGCAGTGAGCCAAAATCTTGCCATTGAACTCGAGCCTGGGTGACAAGAGGAAGGCTCCATCTAAAAAAAGAAAAAAATACTGGATTTTGTCAAATACTTTTTCTGCATCTGTTGAAATGATCATTTGATTTTTGTTTTTAATTCTGTTTACGTGGTGTACCACATTTATTGACTGCATATTTCAAAAAAAATCTCTGGATCACTAGTATGAAACACGCCTGATTATGGTGGATTATCTTTTTGATATGTTGTTGGATTCGGTTAGCTAGCATTTGGTTAAGGATTTTTGCATATAGGTTCATCAGAGATATTGGTCTGTAGTTTTCTTTTTTTGGTTATGTCTTTTCCTGGTTTTGGTATTAGGGTGATAGTGACTTCATAGAATGATTTAGGGAGGATTCCCTCTGTCTATATTTTGTAGAATAATATCAATTGGATTTCTACCAATTCTTCTTTGAATGTCTGATATAATTCAGCTGTGAATTCATCTGGTCCTAAACTTTTTTGTTGATGATTTTTTAATACCATTTCAATCTTGCTGCTTTTTATTTGTCTGTTCAAAGTATCTAATTCTTCCTGATTTAAATTAGGAGAATTGTATCTTTCCAGGAAGTTATCCATCTCTTCTAGCTTTTCTAGTTTGTGCACATAGAGGTGTTCATAGCAGCCTTGAATGATCTTTTATACTTCTGTGGTGTCAGTTATTATAGTTCCCATTTCGTTTCTACTAGAGCTTATTTGGATTTCCTCTATTCTGTTCTTGATTAATCTTGCTAAAGGTCTATCAGTTTTATTTACCTTTTCAAAGAACAAGCTTTTCATTTCATTTGTCTTTTGTATTGCTTTTTGTTGTTGTTTCAGTTTCAATTAGTTCTCTGATCTTGGTTATTTCCTTTCTTCTGCTGGGTTTCGACTTAGTTTGTTCTTATTTCTCTAGTTCCTTGAGGCGTGACCTTAGATTGTCTGTTTGTGCTCTTTCAGACTTTTTGATATAGGCATTTAGGGCTATGAACTTTCCTCTTAGCACTGCCTTTGCTTTATCTCAGAGGTTTTGATAGGTTGTGTTACTATTGTTGGTCAATTCAAGTAATTTTTTAATTTCCATCTTGATTTCATTGTTGACCCAATGATCATTCAGGAGCAGGTTATTTAATTTCCATGTATCTGCATGGTTTTGAAGATTCCTTTTGCAGTTGATTTCCAGTTTTATTCCATGTGGTCTGAGAGAGTGCTTCATATAATTTAAATTTTCTTACATTTATTGAGGCTTGTTTTGTGTGGCATATGATATGGTCTATCTTGAAGAAAGTTCCATGTGCTGAATAATAGAATGTCTATTCTCTGGTTGTTGTGTAGAATGTTCTGTAAATATCTGTTAAGTTCATTTGTTCCAGGGTACAGTGTAAATTCATTGCTTCTTTGTTGACTTTTTGTCTTGATGACCTGTCTAGTGCTGTCAGTGGAGTATTGAAGTCCCCCACTATTATTGCGTTGCTGTCTGTCTCATTTCCTAGGTCTAGTTGTAATTCTTCTATACATTTGGGAGTGCCAGTGTTAGGTGCATATATATTTAGGACTGTGATATTTTCCTGTTTACAAGGTGTTTTATCATTATATAATGTCCCTCTTTGTCTTCTTAAACTGCTGTTGTTTTAAAGTCTGTTTTGTCTGTTGTAAGAATAGCTACTCCTGCTTGCTTTTGGTATCCTTTGCATGGTAGGTCTTTTTCCACTCCTTTACCTTAAGTTTATGTGAATTTTTATGTGTTAGGTGAGTCTCATGAAGGTAGCAGATATTTGGTTGGTGAATTCTTATCCATTCTGCAATTCTGTATCTTTTAAGTGGAACATTCAGGTCATTTACATTCAACTTTAGTATTGAGCTGGATTCCATTCATCGTGTTATTTGTTGCCTGTATACTTTTTTTTAATTATATTTTTGTTTTATAAGTGCTGTGAGATTTATACTTTAAAGAGATTCTGTTTTGATGTATTTTCAGGATTTGTTTCAAGGTTTAGAGCTCCTTTTAGCAGTTCTTATAGTGCTGGCTTGGCAGTGGTGAATTCTCTCAGCATTTGTTTGTCTGAAAAAGACTATATCTTTCCTTCATTTATGAAGATTAGTTTCACTGGATACAAAATTGTTGGCTGATAATTGTTTTATTTAAGGAGGCTGAAGATAGAGCCCCAATCCCTTCTAGCTTGTAGGGTTTCAGCTGAGAAATCTGCTGTTAATCTGATAGGTTTTTCTTATAGGTTACCTGATGCTTTTGCCTCTCAGCTCTTAAGATTCTTTCCTTTGCCTTAACTTTAGATCACCCGATGACAATGTGCCTAGGTGAAGATTTTTTTGTAATGATTTCCCAGATGTTCTCTGAGCTTCTTGTATTTGGATGCCTATGTCTCTAGCAAGGCTGGGGAAGTTTTCCTTGATTTTTCACCCAAATACGTGTTCCAAACTTTTAGATATCTCTTCTTCCTCAGGACTGCCAATTATTCTTAGGTTTGGTCATTTAACATAATCCTAGACTTCTTGAAGACTTTGTTCATATTTTCTTATTCTTTTTTTCTTTGTCTTTGTTGGATTGGGTTAATTTGCAAACCTTGTCTTCAAGCTCTGAGGTTCTTTCTTCTGCTTGTTTGATTCTATTGATGAGAATTTCCAGAGCATTTTGTATTTCTATAAGCGTGTCCATTGTTTCCCGAAGTTTTGATTTTTTTTTACTTATACTATCTATTTAAGATTTCTCCCATCATTTCTTATATCATTTTTTAAATTTTCTAAGATTGGGCTTTGCCTTTCTCTGGTGCCTCCTTGATTAGCTTAATAACTGACCTTCTGTATTCTTTTTCAGGTAAATCAGGGATTTCTTCTTGGTTTGGATCCATTGCTGGTGAGCTAGTATGATTTGTTGAGGGTGTTAAAGAACCTTGTTTTTTCATATTACCAGACCTGGTTTTCCGGTTCCTTCTCATTTGGGTAGGCTATGTCAGAGGGAAGGTATAGGGCTCAATGCTCTTGCTCAGATCCTTTTGTCCCAGGGGCTGTTCCCTTGATGTACTACACCTCCTTTTTTCCTAGGGATGTGGCTTCCCAAGAGCTGAGCTGCAGTGATTGTTATTTCATTTCTGTATCTAGCCACCCAACAGGTCTGCCAGGCTCCAGGCTGGTACTGGGGGTTGTCTGGACAGAGTCCTGAGACGTTAAACTCTCTGTGGGTCTCTCAGCTGTAGACACCAGTACCTGTTCTGGTGGAGGTGGTGGTAGGGGGAAATGTACTCTTTGAGAGTCCTTACTTCTGGTTGTTTAATGCACTATTTTTGTGCTGGTTGGCCTCCTGCCAGGAGGTGGTATTTTCAAGAAAGCATCAGCTGTGGTAGTATGGGGAGGATCAGAGAGTGGGCGGGGCCCTCTAACTCTCAAAACTATATGCCATTTGTCTTCAGCTGCCAGGTGGTATAGGGAAGGACCATCAGGTGAGGCAGGGCTAGGCATGTCTGAGCTCAGACTCTCCTTGAATGGGTCTTGCTGCAGCTACTGTGCAGGATGGTGGTGTGGATTCCAGGTCAATAGAGTTGTGTTCCCAGGAAGATTATGTCTGCCTCTGCTGTTTATGCAGGTTGTTAGGGAAGTGGGGGAAAGCCAGCAGTCGTAGGACTTATCCAGCCCCCAGAAAACCCAAAAGACCAGTCTCACTCCCACTGTTGCCCCCACTCCCAACAGCACCAAGTCTGTTTCCAGGCAGTGGGCAAGCAGGGATGAGAACTTGCCCAAGGCTACCATCCTCCCAGCTGTGAAAGCAAGTAGGGCTTTCGTGCTTTCCCACCTGTGGAGTCTGCGTATGGGATTCACACCCTCTCCCAAGTTCTGGCCAGGAGACTTCTCATTCATTTGGAATTGTTTTAAAGTTTGGCTAGATGTTTTCTTCTTCCTGTGGCCTTTTCCCAGTACCGCTAGCAACCTGCCCCAAGGTTCCCTGTGGGGCAAGGCAGAAATGGCTTCCTAGGGGACCCAGATAGCCCACAGGGCTTTATCTGCTGCTTCCTCTACCCCTGTATTTTTCTTGGCTCTCTAAACTGACTCAGCTTCAGGTAAGGTCAGAATCTTCTCCTGTGATCTAGACATTCCTGTTCCCTAGTGAGGGTGTGTGTTCAGGGGTGGATGACCCTCCTTTCCCGCTTTCACAGTTTGGGCACTCACAATATTTGGAGTATCTCCTGGTTCCTGCAGGAGCAATGTGATTCCTTTAGAGGGTCATGGGTTCTCTTGGCTTTTCAGACTTATTCATGTAGTAGTTCTAAAGCAAACATTCACAATGCAATACTCCACATGCTGCTCTGTCCATCCAAGTGGATGCTGAAATCTAGTCTTGCTTCCCATCCACCATGATCCCCCATCCAGTACTTTCTTAACTAGAGAGAAGTCAATGCCTGTCTTTAAAGCTTTAAAGGACAGGCTGACTCTCTTGTTACAGGCTAATGCAGCTGGTTACTTTAAGTTGAAGGCACTGCTCATTTACCATTCTGAAAATCCTAGGACCCCTAAGAACTATGCTAAATCTACTCTGACTGTGGCCTAGAAATGGAACAACACAGCCTGGATGACAGCACATCTGTTTAAAGCATGGTTTATTGATTGATAATGCACATGGTCACCAAGATCTCTGATTGAGACATTCAAGGAGACTAATATTGTTTTCCTGCCTCCTAACACTGTATTCATTATGCAGCCTATGGATTAAGAAGTAATCTTGACTTTTGAGTCTTATCATTTAAGAAGTAAGTTAAATAAGGATATAGGTACCATAGATAGTAATTCCTATGATGGATCTGGGAAAAGTAAATTATAAGCCTTCTGGAACTGATTCTCCATTCTAGATATTATTAAGAGCATTAGTGATCCATGGGTAGGATAAATTATCAACATTAACAGGAACTTGGAAGAAGTTGATTCCAACTCTTAAAAATAATTTTAAGGGATTCAATACTTCAGCAGAGGAAGTAACTGTAGATGTGGTAGAAATAATAAGAGAACCAGAATTAGAAGTGAATCCTAGAAATGTGAGTCAATTACTATAATTTCATAATAAAACCTTATTGGATGAGGAGTTGCTTCTTATGGATGAGCAAATAAAGTAGATTCTTAAGATTGAATCTACACCTGTTGAAAATGCTGTGAACATTGTTGAATAGACAACAAAGAATTTGGAGCTATCTATGACAAACCCACAGCCAATATCATACTGAATGGGCAAAAACTGGAAGCATTACCTTTGAAAACTGGCACAAGACAGGGATGCCCTCTCTCACCACTCCTATTCAACATAGTGTTGGAAGTTCTGGCCAGGGCAATTAGGCAGGAGAAGGAAATAAAGGGTATTCAATTAGGAAAAGAGGAAGTCAAATTGTCCCTGTTTGCAGACGACATGATTGTATATCTAGAAAACCCCATTGTCTCAGCCCAAAATCTCCTTAAGCTGATAAGCAACTTCAGCAGTCTCAGGATACAAAATCAATGTACAAAAATCACAAGTATTCTTATGCACCAATAACAGGCAAACAGAGAGCCAAATCATGAGTGAACTCCCATTCACAATTGCTTCAAAGAGAATAAAATACTGAGGAATCCAACTTACAAGGGACGTGAAGGACCTCTTCAAGGAGAACTACAAACCACTGCTCAGTGAAATAAAAGAGGATACAAGAAATGGAAGAACATTCCATGCTCATGGGTAGGAAGAATAAATATCATGAAAATGGCCATACTGCCCAAGGTAATTTATAGATTCAATGCCATCGCCATCAAGCTACCAATGACTTTCTTCACAGAATTGGAAAAAACTACTTTAGAGTTCATATGGAACCAAAAAAGAGCCCTCATTGCCAAGTCAATCCTAAGCCAAAAGAACAAAGCTGGAGGCATCATGCTACCTGACTTCAAACTATACTACAAGAATTTGGAATGTTACATAAACATAGTTGAAAAAGCAGTGACAGGGATTAAGAGGATTGATTCCAATTTTTAAAGAAGTTTTACTGTTGGCAAAATGCTATCAAACAGTATCACATGCTACAGAGTAATATTTCATAAAAGGAAGAGTCAATGTGGCAAACTTCATTGTTTCATTTTAGTAAATTTCCACATACAATGATGATAATACAGTTCAGCAGACAAAAACTGATTCGCAATATTAAGTGTTTCACTCATTTCTGATGTAAAACAAAATGTTACAGCCACTCAAACTTCAGAAACCATCGTCCTGATCATTCAGAAACCATCAACATCGGGGAAAGAGTAATCAGGAAAAATACAATAAATAAAAGACACCCGTATAGGAAAAGAGGAATCCGAATTATCTCTGATTGCAGATGATGTGATTTTATACCTAGAAACCCCATAGTCTTTGCCTAAAAGCCTATTGACCTGTTAAAGAACTTCAGCAAATTTTCGAGATATAAACTCAATGTACAAATATACACCAACAACATCCAAGCTGAGCTCCAAATCAAGAATGCAATCCCATTCACAATAGCCACACAAAGGATTAAAAAAACCTAGGAATACAGCTAACCAGGGAGGCAAAAGACCTCTACAATGAGAAATACAAAACACTTCTGGAATAAATTAGAGATGACATAAACAAATAGAAAAACACTCTATGCTCATGGATAGGATGAATCAATATTGTTAAATGAACATAATGTCCCCCAAAATTTACAGATTCAATGCTATTCCTATCAAACTACCAATGACATTCTTCACAGAACTAGAAAAAGCTATTTTAAAATTTATATGGAACCAAAAAAGAGCCCAAGTAGCCAAAACAGTACTAAGCAGAAAGAACAAAGCTGGAAACATTACATTTTCTGACTTCAAACTATGCTATAAGGCTACAAAAACAAAAACAGCATGGTTCTGGTAGAAAAACACACATAGACCAGTGGAATAGAATAGAGAGCCCAGAAGTAATGTCACACACCCACAACCATCTGATATTTGACAAAATTAACAAAAGTAAGCAATGAAGAAATGACTCCCCATCAGTAAATGGTGCTGGGATAACTGACTATCCACATGCAGAAAACTGAAATTGCACCCCTTGCTTACATCATATGAAAATCAATTTTTGTTGATATACAAAAATAAACTCAACACGGATTAAAGACAAATATAAAACTCAAAACTATAAAAAACCTGGAAGATAACATAGAAAACACCCTTCTGGACATAAGACCAGGAAAATATTTCATGACAAAGACACCAAAAGCAATTGCAACAGAAATAAAAATTGACAAATGGGACTTAATTAAACAAAGAGCTTCTATGCAGCAAAAGAAACTATCAACTATCAACAGAGTAAACAGACAACCCACAGAATTGGAGAAAATATTTGCAAAGTACGAATCTGACAAAGGTATAATATGCAGAATCTATGGGGAACTTAAACACATTAACAAGCAAAAACCAAACAACTCTATTAAAAAGTTGGCAAAGGACATGAACATACACTTTTCAAAAGAAGGCATAAACATGGGCCAACAAGCATGTAAAAAAATACTCAATGTCACTAATCATTAGAGAAGTGCAATTTGAAAACCACAATGAGATACCATCTTACACAAGTCAAAATGGCAATTATTAAAAAGTCTAAAAATAACAGATGCTGGAAAGTTTGTGGTGGAAAAGGAACACTTACATACACTGGGAATTTAAATTAATTTGGCCATCATGGAAAGAAGTTTGGCAATTTCTCAAAGAGCTTAAAACAATACCACCATTCAGCCCAGCAATCCTGTTATTGGGTATGTGCCCAAAGGAATATAAATTGTTCTACCATAAAGACACATGGGTGCATATGTTCTTTGCAGCACTATTCACAATAGCGAAGAAGTGAAATCAACTGAAATGCCCAACTATGGTAGAATAGATACAAAAAAAATATGTAGTGCATATACACCATGGAATACTATGCAGCCATAAAAAAGAATGAGATCATGTATTTTTAGGGAACATAGACAGAGGTGGATGACATTATCCTTAGCAAACTGACACAGGAACAATAAACCAAATATGGTATGTTCTTACTCATAAGTGGGAACTAAACATTGAGTACATATAGACCCAAAGAAGGGAACAACAGACACTAGGGCCTACTTGAGAGTGGAGATTGGGAGAAGGGTGAGTATCAAAAACTACCTATCAGGTATTATGCTTATGACCTTGGTGAGGAAACTGTCTCTACACCAAACCCCCATGACATGGAATTTACCTGTATAACAAAGCTGTACATGTAAACTTGACTCTAAAATAAAAGCTAAAAAAAAACTGAGGCAAGACCCTCCACCAGCAAAAAGATTATGACTCGCTGAAGGCTCAGATGATTATTAGCATTTTTATAATAATTTTATTTCTAATTAAGGTATGCACTATTTTAGACATAATGCTACTGCACACTTAATAGACTACAGTATAGTATAAAGTTAACATTTATATGTATTGGGAAACCAAAATTTGTGTGACTCTTTTTATTGTGATATTTGCTTCATAGTGGAGGTCTGAAACAAAACCTGCAACATTTCTGTGGTAAGCCTGTAAGTAAAGTGAAATATCATTTTTTATATGATAATTGCTGAAAGAACTTATAGGCTAAAATATTTCTGGTTTTCCAGATTAGGAATGTAAATGTACATATGTGTGTATTTAGACATATACATACACAATGTTAGAAATATACTGGTAAGAATGTGAAGTGATAGCCACACATATGCATTACTTTTGAATATCACAGATCTAGAAAGAAATTTGGCAAAATATATCAAATAATTTGAAATCACTACTTTCTTTGATTAATTACATTTTGGGGATACTTAAACAATAATTTAATATGTGAGGGTTAGTAATGTGCTTTAAACCAGGGGATGGCCAAATACTATTTATGGGCCAAATCTAGCCTATAGCATTTTTTAAAAAATAAAGTTTAATAGGAGAACAGCCCATGGAATTTATAGAAAGACTTTATTTATTATTGTTTATAGCAATTTTGTGTCACTAAAGCAGAGTTGGATACTTGGGACAGAGACAATATGGCCAACAAAATCCAAAGTATTTGCTCTCTGGCCTTTGACCAAAAAGGTTTGCAGACTTTTTTTGTGCCAATATTTTTATTTATTTATTTATTTTTGTTGCTGTTTTTTCACAACTTTTTTTTTCTTTAACTTTTACATTCTGGGGTACATGTGCAGGATGTACAGGTTTGTTACATAGGTAAACATATACCATGGTGGTTTGCTGCACAGATCAATTCATCACCCAAATGTTAAGCCCAGCACTCATTAGCTTTTCTTTTTGCTTCTCTCCCTTCCCGCATCCCCAACCAATAGGCCCCATGTGTGTTGTTTCCCTCATGTGTCCATGTGTTCTCATTGTTCAGCTTCCACTTATAAGTGAGAACATGTGGTATTTGGTATTCTGTTTCTGTGTTAGTTTGCTGAGGATAATGGCTTCCAGTTCCATCCATGTCCCCACAATATACATGATCTCATTCCTTTTTATGACTGCATAGTATTCCATGGTGTATATGTACCAAATTTTCTTTATCCAGTCTATCATTGATGGGCATTTGAGTTGATTCCATATCTTTGCCATTGTGAATAGTGCTGCAATGAACATAAACATGCATGTATCTTTATAATATAATAATTTATATTCCTTCTGGTATATACCCAGTAATTGGATTGCTGGGTCAAATGGTATTTCTGCCTCTAGATCTTTGAGGAATTGCCACACTGTCTTCCACAATGGTTTAACAAATTTATGCTCCCACCAGCAGTGTAAACATGTTTCTTTTTCTTCACAACCTCACCATCATCTGTTGTTTTTTGACTTTTTAGTAATAGACAATCTGACTGGTCTGACGTAGTATCTCATTGTGGTTTTGATTTGCATTTCTCTAATGATCAGTGATGTTAAGCTTTTTTTCTCACGTGCCTCTTGGCTGTATGTATGTCTTCTTTTGAGAAGTGTCTGTTCATGTCTTTTGCTCAATTTTTAATGGGATTGTTTGTTTTATTCTTCTAAATTTGTTTAATTTTCTTGTAGACTTAGATATTAGACCTTTGTCAAATAGATAGATGGTAAAAAATTTCTCCATATATGAGAAACCTACAGCCAATATCATACTGAATGGGCTAAAGCTGGAAGCATTCCCCTTGAAAACAGGCACAAGACAAGGATGCCTTCTATCACCACTCCTTTTCAACATATTATTGGAAGTTCTTGCCCTGGCAATCAGGCAAGAGATAGAAATAAAGGGTATTCAAATAGAAGAGAAGAAGTCAAATTATCTTTTTTGCAGATGACATGAGCCTATATCTAGAAAATCTCATAGTCTCAGCCCAATAGCTTCTTAAGCTGATAAGCAACTTCAGCAAAGTCTCAGGGTACAAAATCAGTATGCAAAAATGACTAGCATTCCTTTACACCAACAACAGGCAACAAGGGAGCCAAATCATGAATGAACTCCCATTCACAATTGCTAAAAAAGAATAAAATACCTAGGAATAACAAGGAAATTGAAGGACCTCTTCAAGGAGAACTACAAACCATGGCTCAAGGAAATTAGAGAGTACACAAACAAATGGAAAAGCATTCCTTGCTCATAAATAGGAAGAATCAGTATCATGAAAAAGGCCATATTGCCCAAAGTAATTAATAGACTCAGTGCTATTCCCATTAATCTACCATTGACATTCATTACAGAATTAGAAAAAAGCTATTTTAGAATTCATAAGGAAACAAAAAAGAGCCCAAATAGCCAAGACAATCCTAAGCAAAAAGAACAAAGCTGGAGGCATCACATTACTCAACTTCAAACTATACTACAAGGCTACAGTAACCAAAACAGCATGGTAGTGTTACAAGAAATGACACATAGACCAATGGAACAAAGTAGAGAACTCAGAAATAAGATTGCATGTCTACAACCATCTTATCTTTGACAAACCTGACAAAAACAAGCAATGGGGAAAGGATTCCCTATTTAATAAATGGTGCTGGGAAAACTGGCTAGCCATATGCAGAAAATTGAAACTGGACCCCTTCCTTACACCTTATACAAAAATTAACTCAAGGTGGGTTACAGATTTAAATACATAAAACCCAAAACCTTTAAAACCCTAGAATATAATCTAGGCAATATGATTCAGGACATAGGCATGGGCTAAGATTTCATGATGAAAACACCAGAAGCAATTGCAACAAAAGCAAAAATTGACAAATGGAATCTAATTAAACTAAAGAGTTTTTTCACAGCAAAATAAACTATCATCAGAATGAACACACAACCTATACATTGGGAGAAAATTTTTGTGTCATTATTTGTTAGAGAAAAATGAGGACAAACTGCATAACTAACAACAAGCTACTGGTTAGATAAATTATAAAATATCTTTGAGATACATAACAATGTTAAAATGAAACGGGTTTATTGAAGGTTTTAGTGTGAGAAAATGATGATAATTTAATGAGCAATTGTACTTGGTGCTTTTGAGTCTTCTTTGTTAGTTTACATTCATGCTGCCACTGTACATTAAAATCACAAGCTTGTTAGATGTTTGCTCAGTGCTAGTCACTAGAAAAGATTCTGAGGCTCCAACCTTAAGAGCCAGAACTTAATGATTGCAGAATAAGTGAAAAGTCAGGGAAATTGAGAAATAAATACGCAATGACAGAGCTTAAGAGCAAACTCTAAAGGAGTTGAAAATAGTTACACGGGAATACATTTTACTGAAAGTCAATTTTCAAAGTGTGTTTACGCATGGGAGTTTTGATTGGTCCTAAGTGATTCTTTGCATTTTAAGAGGGCTACTTTTGAGCTTGTCTTTTTGGTCCAACTCTCTGAGTTTGGTGAGTTTTAATACTTAGGCCATAACAAGATTCTGCTGCTCTGCTTGCATCTACTGACTCTAGGTCTTTTGGTGTAAAAGGGAGAAATGAAAACAGCCATGGGAGAAAGAGCTATAAACCAGGCTCTGGAGGTATAGTTGTGACTTGTATTATAGACTCTTCTTAGGTTGACTTTTTTTTTTTTTTGTATGGGGTGGTGTACAGAGTAGCTTTATTACCCCCAAGCCTAATACAGTCTGGTTGTCTTCATGGCAGAAGCAGGTCAGCTGATGTCACCTGTGGGCTTTTTCATTTTAGTGACTAAATTAATTTTGTCTTTGCCTTCTGCACCTGTACACACAAAACAAACATAGGCAGGGAATGGAATAGAAAAAAAAATAAAAGCTCAAGAATAAATAAAGCCATTACAAGCAATTTCCACCTCCTGTAAGACGGATATATCCCTTGACTGCAGTTCCTAACTATAGGCATTACATTTATTCAATCTGAGCAATATTGTGTAGGCTGATGCCCTAAAAACCTTGTGGTATAGGTTTTGTGTAAGATTTCTGCCTTCAGATCACCTGGAATTTTAGAGATTTCTACTCTTACTTTTTTCAGTCACACCATTAACTTATTTTCTTTCTATCCTAATGTTAACTTGCTCTGACCAGCACCCATGACATTCTAAATAAAAAAAGAACACTATAATGTGTTTTGCAGCAACTTAGATGGAATTGGCCATTATCCCTAAGTGAAGTAACTCAGGGATGGAAAATGAAATACTGCACAGTTTTGCTCATAAGTGGGAGCTAAGTGATAGGCACCCAAAGGCACACAGAGTGGTATAATGGACATTGGAGTCTCAGGAGTGGGGGGCAGTGGGACAGCATGAGGGATGAAAAATTGCTGATTGGATATAATGTACACTATTCGGGTGATAGGTACACTAAAAGCCCAGATGTCACCACTATAAAATTAATGCATGTAATCAAAAACCACTTGTCTCCCTAAAGCTATAGAAATTTTAAAAAATGAAACCAATAAATCAATAACATGTATAAGCCTTCTCTTTCTTGGAATATTTGTACTCCCTGACCCTTTGGCATAGGCTGACCTTTCCCCAAGTAGTTCTCTTGTTCTTTCATTATTTTAATTCAGGTCAAATGTCCCCTCTACAGTGAGGGAATTTTGACACCTCTATCTGAGTGACCTACTGTCACCTCCACTTTGCTGCCAGTGTTTTCTATCTCATCATCTGTAAGTTTAGCAGTCATTGCTATATACAGTTATATTTTAATATTTTTTTGAGACATGGTATTTGCTCTGTTACCTAGGCTGGTCTTGAACTCCTGTCCTCAAGCCATCCTCCTGCCTTGGCCTCTCGAAGTGCTAGGATTATAGACATGAGACACCATGCTCAGCCTATCTCATTTTTTAAAAATCCATGTATTTATGTATATAATTTACCAACTTTATTTCTTCCAACTGTACTCTATGTTCCATTAGAGCATGGGCCTTGACGTTCCTTTACGGCATGGACATTGCTTACCTGTCTTCAGCACCAGTAATATTGCCTGTCATTTAATTATTGCTCAGTGTCCACTTGCTTATTGAGGATCTAATGGATTATTTATGACAAGTTCCTTTTCTCTTTTTTTTTTCTTTACTGGATGAAGAAACTGTATCTCTTGGGCATTTTATCATCTCTTATGGTTTTCAGTCATCTCTACAAAGATAATTTCCAAATCTCTCTCTAACTCTAATCTTCCTATCAAGGTTTGGACACGGGAACTTTACTCACAATCCACTGCCAGCTGTATTGTAAAACTACATGTAGTCAGGATGACCCATGGCTTACTCGCATCTGTGGCATAGCCATGGGGTTTAACATCCTGCCTTTTCTTACATTCCCCATGCCATTGTTTCCATATATGCTTTTTTCTTTTTTCACTTTTCTCCTGGGTTTATGTTCTCTTAATAAATTGATTGCCATTAAGCCACTTCTTTTATTATATTCTGACACATGAAACAAAGTTACTTTTCTTCAACAGTAACTATATAATTGCAGTACTTATTTTATAAAAGAGGCAGTTGATAGTTTCTTTAAGATAATAAAAATCAACCATCTCTGTGGTACGTGAAGTCATTCTCAAAAATTCACCAACTTCAATTATTAGTTCATTTTTCTGGGCTGCCTCTCTTACGCGGTGCACAATGCTCGTTGCTGCCAGGCCACGCTCTGGTAGCATTTGATTATAAGCCTAGCAGGATGGAAGAGAAAAAGTCAGATAGTACTTGGAAGAATTCTAACCCTGTGTCTGCCATTCCTTGGATGCTCGAGAAATGTTAGTTCAACTTTAAATAATCTCATTGTAGTTTTTTTTCTTGACCTCTTTTCTACATATTAATGCCTCAAAACTTTGTTCTATCCTTTTTTGCTTAATTCCAGTACTACTTCATCAAGAAATAAATAATTATGTTATAGTAAGTGCTTGTTACGGTCTGTACTATGTTCAAGAAAATATACTCAATAATGTAGACAAAATTTATATATATGCATGCTCAATTTGGTATGATTATTATTATTTAACATGACTCTTTTGAACTAGTTAAAAAATGTCAACATTTTGACCTGAGGAAGTAGAGGCTCATTTAGATTAGGCCACTTGATGAGACCACGCAGGCAGTCAACACACTTTGGGACACCGATGAAAGAGGACGGTAGCCTTTTGAAATTTCTGCAATACCCAAATAGACAGCAAATGCCAATCTTCACATTTCTGCCTTCTGTAACAAAAAGAAAAATACTTCTTTTTTTCTTAAAGAACTCCTTTGAGTGCATAACTTTAAAATTTCCAACACCAAAATAAATATTTTTCAGTCATATCCTATTCTCTGAGACATAGTAGGTGAAAAGCCACAAATTTATACAATTCACCTCAAAGAATTTGTCTTATATAGATAAAACAGAAGGAAACATTTCATGCTATTTTTTACTAATAAAAACAATCACTGGAACCAAATATGTTTCCTGGCCACACAGCCTTTTGGACAATAAAACTATTGTTAGGGCGTAAGTCAGGTCCTTCTTTGCTCATCCAGATGACAACTAGCATATCTCATTTAATCATGGGCTTTCAAAGACCCATCTACAAACATTTAATAAACAACCAACAAGAGGTATAGAGTTCAATTCAACAATATATAAAAATCAGCACTTTAGGCATGACAGGAACTGGAAACTGTGTTTATCTCATGCCAGCATCTTATAGATTACAACATTGAAGCCCATAGAAGTTCAGTGAGCACAAGCTATACAGCTTATTAGTGTCAAACCAAATCAACTTAAGTATTTATTGATAATTACTATATAACTGCTATAATAATTGCATAACTCTATGTAGTAGAAATATGATTTACTCAGACCTTTCTTAAGAATCTTATAACCTACTTGGTAGTCAGACCATACATGAAATAAAAACAATTATGCAAAATGAGCATAGTAGCATTTAATAATAAGCCTAACAGAATAGTTTCATGTATTTCCTATATACCATGAATTCTGACATCTCTTCTTAATATGTTGCAGGTATTTAAAAATAAGCATTCTCAAAATTAATCTCATTTTCTTACTTTTACATTTAGTTTTTCCACTACACTCATGATATTTCTTTGCCTTGATTTATCAGGGCCGCTTAGACACAAAACATAAGAAATTGGGTTTTAATAGGATAGTGTTCTCAATCTGGACTGTAGACTAATATGACTAATGTTTTTTGTCTATTTGTTTGCCTGAAGCCTCAGCTTACCTAGTAACTGAGCATTTTTAGAGGGAGCAACTCTGCCCTTCTCCTAGGATAGTCAACATATTTTTTCCTGTTTTCTGTGCATTCTAATGCCTCCTAGTCTGATCCTCATAAAAGCAATTAGAAGTAGATCAGTGGCCCCAGAAAAGAGAGGAGAAGCAGAGAAAAAAGGACTAAAAATAACCAAGGAAGGGTAAGGGATTTCTTACTCAATAGTATGCTAGTTGATTGCCTTCTTTATGTAGATGTGTTGAGCTGTGTTTGCTCAGTTTAATATTTGCCTCATTCCAATGTCCTCTTCCCAATCACTGTAAACAAAAACAAAGACTTCTCATTGGAAAAATCAATCCCTTCAAATATGATATTTCCCTGACCTGTCAATGTGCTTGAAGTTGCTATAGATTAAGATCATCACTCATTTCCCAGTGAGTAAAAAGTGAGCCTCTTGGCTGTTCTTTCTCTAACAAAGTAATGTTGTTTAAAAACTTTTGGAGCAAAATAGATTTGGGATTCAGACGCTACTTCTGAGGCCTTTGGTATCTTAGCCTAATGCAGAATCAAAACAAAATATGTATATATCACTTATTGAGTTTCTAATGTTTGTCTAATGCTTTATGTAAGTTGTACCATTTAATTAACCTCCATATTGCCCCTTGAGGGAGAGAAAGATATTATTATCCCCTTAAATAAAAAGAAAATAAGATGGAATGGCTAGCTTGAAATCATTTAGCCAATAAATTGCCAAATCATGAATCTAATTCAAGTGAGTCACATCTCAAAGTTACTATTAGCAAGGTAGAAATGTTATGTTCCTGGAATAATGACAGTGTAGATACTGACTTCAGGAAATTTTGTGTCCTTTACCCCAAACTCTAGATTTGGTAGCAGTGTAAACCTAGATGCTAAAAAAAGGATGGCCAGAAAAAGCACATAAGTCATGGTTGAAGATAAGGCGAAGGAAGGGCACTCCATCAAAGAGGCAGATTAAAGATGTGATCTTGCAAACAGAGAAGCCATACATTTTACCAAGGAGTGCGTACTTGGATAATTCATTGTTTTGAAGACATATTCAGAAGAGAGTCTGCCAGTTTTACCCTTTGGAAATGCGATATACTGGTAATATCTGGTCTCACAGCAGTTCCTCATGAGCATAAAAGTCAGAAACTATATAAGCAACTTCTGTTCTACTATAATAAAACCTTGTCTTATCAACATAAGAACATAAATAATATATATTAGCAAAATTATTTCTTCTCACTAGATATTAATGTATCCATCTGAGGGGCTGAAACATAGGATGATATATTACAATCAATCAGAAGATAAATTACTTATTACTTGCAAACTTTGATCACCATAGGGATCTTCACTACAATATGCATCCTTAGTAGGCATCTGTTCTAAGCTAAAACATTTTGGACACTTGGTACGCTCAGCAACTTAAATAGTAGCTCTTTCTATTAAAGAAAATTGAATTTCCAGAACATTTTCCTATATTAAGCTATATCTACTTATTCATTACCTTTTTATCATTGTTTCAAGTTTTCCATCTGAATCTAAAAAGATACCTGCAGATTATTAATTGTTTTAGCAATTCAAAACTGCTTTTATAAATATATGGCCTTTTTTTTAATAAAAGTTTTCTGGACCTTAGCCTGAAAAATACCAAACAAAGGAGACTAAAGCAAGTCCAAAAGTCTACATTTCAAATACAATATCACAGAAGAGTCTGGGGCCAAGCTGGATTGAGGAATTAGTTTTGGTCCTCTTTCTTTACCCACTTACTTCCTGTGAGAAAATTCACTCATCTTGGTTTGCTCTTCTCATGACCCTGAACAAACAGTGGTTTCTGCGATCTGTGTTGATAATGTCTTTTATTAACTGAAAATTTGTTTGCTACTACAAATAAGAGCAGGGAAGACAATATTTAATGCTTTCATATCCTATAGTAATGGTCAAAATAAATATATAATATTTCAGTAAATGCAGAACCTCTAAAGACTCAGATCCATTAAAAATGAAAGCTTATATTAATCTACTAAGTAAAGATTCTCATTTAGTTGATGTGCTGGTTTGGTGCAAGAATAGCATAAAATGGGTAGTAGAAAAATAGTGAGAAATGCAGATTATATGTTCATGTCCACTTAAAAATGTGTATGTTTCTTTACCCATCAACCAACGATTTCTTCCTTCTCTTTTGAATAATACTGTGTATAAGGAGCATTAGTAGTATTTAAATCCATAATTTGGTTCATAAGTGTTCAGCCCACAAGGGATTTTGAGCCTACTAAGAATGGAGAACTGTTAAACCATCACCTTCCTTTGGCTCTAACTCTAAAAAATGAACAAAATAAATTGGCCTATGGACTATAGCTAGCCTTTGCACTTTCTGTGTGGCCCAGAGAATCTCAAGACTTTAGCATGGTTTAAGAGGATAATCAATATGAGACTCCAATTCTTTTCAAATGTAATATTCAACATATAGGTACATACAGACACATTTACAAATCAGTACCTTGGACTCTATCAGCAAGAGAGAGCAGAAATAATTAATAAAAACAGATCCATTGGGGCTCCAGATATTAGAAATATTGCTGTAAAATAATATTTTCATTCATTCAAGATGATGAAGTCAAGCTTGAAACTTTTGGGAAGAAATGAAAACTAGTAAAAATTTACATAGATTTTAAAATACGTATATGAACGTGTATATTAAGCTTATAATCTCAGTTTAATTGTACTGCAGTAGAACAGGCATAGCTGAAGGAAAATTGTGACCAGGAAAATAGGTCAGTGGATGCTATTTAGAGTAAACCATGCAAACAAAAAGGTAAAAAATGCAGAAATAAAGGTAAGCAACATAGAGAATAGAGTATTCATGTACAGCACATAGTCTACTGCAGTTTCAGAAGAAAAGAAGAAAAACAGCTGGGAAAAGTAAATTTTTTAAGAAAAGAAATCGTTGAAAATTTTTAAATAACTGATTAAGAACATTTATAGTTCCAAGAATTGCAGAAACTCTCAAGGAAATTTTTAAAATTTCCCTGCTTAAACATATAAGCATGTTTACAGTTGTGAAACTGTAAAAAAAAAAAAAGTCAAAAAGATATAGGAAAGCATTTTCAGCTTTAAGAAATATGAGAGATGAAAAGAAAGACTTACAACTGACTTCTCAACAGTAGCAATTGAAGTTATAAGGCAATTGAATTATGTCATTAAATTGAGAGAAGTAAAAAAATTCCAAAATTAAAACATCATAAATGAAAGAAAAGAAATTTAAAAATTAGAATAATATAAAGACCTTATCAAACAATTGGAACTGAGAATCTTGGCCACCAGAAGAACAACACTAAAGAGAATTGTAAAAATTTCTTTAGGCAAAAAGTTAATGATTCCAGAAGGAAGGTCAGATGCAGATCCAACAAATCTGTGGTTATACCTAAGTGAACTTTGACAGTATAAAGCAATAATGATACAATACTGTCTTCAAAAATGCATTGAAATAGAATTATACAACAATAAACCATAAAGGGATAATTGCAATTGGAGTAATCCAATATACTTTACTTTCTATAAGAAGGATAGATATGTCTATTGATATGAAATGTTTCAAAATCAAGAATGCATTTTGAAATTTCTAGCATCTCTGCTAAAATAGTTAACCAATGGATTACTTTCATACTAATAGAAAAAAAATGGTGAGATAAATTCAAAAATGACAAGAAAGGAGTAAGAGAGGTCCAAGGAATAAGTGAGACAATGAAAATTCCAACCATATTAGTAATTAAATAAAATGCAAATGAATTAGTTTCTTTGGTTAAAAAAGAAAGCTTAGAAGGCTGAATGACAATCAAACCACAATATGTTATACATAAAAATAGTATTTAATATAACATGAGAATTAATAATACAATGAAAATACTAGACAAAATCATGAAGGCATACCTATATTGATATCAGACAAAGCAAGCTTTAAGAGAAAAAATTTACCAGAAACTATGGTAATTTCATAATGATGATAGATTCTATTTATCAGGAAGATGATTTTAAATTTGTACATATCTAATTATATTACCTCAAAAATGTAAAGCAAAAATTAATATATATTCAAGATTAAGTAGGTATATCAACAATCACAATGAAAAATACTATCATGTATTTCTGAGTAATCAGTTGAGTGAGCAGGGAATACCCTCAGTGGAGAATTAAAATAATTAAAAATATGATGTAAAATATAAAATATAGAACTCAAAATTAGATTAAAATGTATATGTAGTTACTGTGGCAACAGTGCACAAATGCTAAAAATCAATAACAAAAGTGTAAAGGTTAAGGTTAGAATATGTTCAGAGATTATGATTCATAAATGAGCCATGAACCAAACAAAATTATATTAAGTATTGAAAATGTTTTGATAATTAAGAATAAACTGCATATCAAATTTTTAGGTATTTTTTATATTTAGAGGAAAATATATAACCTTATGTGGATGTCTTAAAAACAAAGAATACCAATAAGAATATTAATGTGAAAAATATTTATCTTGCTGAATTACAAAAAAAATTCTAAACATTCCCAAAGGAGTGGAAAGGAATATATTATGAAGATAACAGAAAAAACTATATTTAGAGGGAATTGATACATATAAATGTTAGTTTCTGAAGAGACTAATAAAACTGATGTATCTAAAACCTACTTGATTAAAATAAAAGTAGGGAGACAGAAAGAGAGAAAAAAAGTACAGTGGGGTAGAAAGGATGGAGGAGGAAAGGAGGGAGAGGAGAACACAGGTATAATTGTCAATATCAGCAAGAAAAATGCAATGCCACTAACGTTTCCTGTAGAATTAAAATTATAGGATAATATTTTGAGTAAATCTATGACAAAATGTGTTTGTATGTATATGCATGTATGTACGTTTGTATGTATATATGTATGTATGAAATGATAAAATCACGAGGATAATATTACTTAGTAAAGTTGACACAAAATGACAAATCTTAGCTGATCATATAATGATCAATGTTCATTATTTAGTAATTAAAGTCTTCCCAGGAAGATTTTTCAGGGCCACATGACATTACTAATGGAAACATCAAATCATAAAGAGAGAAATTGCTCAAATATCAAATTAATTATTCAAATAATAGAAAAAAAGACACATCCTTCAAATCATTATATGAGGCTAATAACCTTAATGACCATGACAAGGTCAATATAAAAAAGAGAAAATTTTGCATCAATTTTATTACATATCATATATTTTAAAATTCTAAGCAAAATATTAGCAAATCAAATACATTACTATGTAAAAATATGGTAAAATAATTTTATATAGTTGACTTGTTATCTTAAATTCAAAATTGATTAAATTTGAATAATTGATGCATTTTTCTTTATTAACATGTTAAGGAAAACATTTTATGAACACCAGAATAAATACAGAAAATTTTTTGATAAAATTCATCATGTACTCATTAATTTTCATTTTTATTTTATTTTATTTTTTGAAACAGGTTTCTCTCTGTCACCCAGGCTGGCGTGCAGTGGCGCAATCTTGGCTGACTGCAACCTTGCCTCCTGAGTTCAAGTGATTCTCCTGCCTCAGCCTCCCCAGTATCTGGGATTACAGGTGCCCGCCACCATGCCTGGCTAATTTTTGTATTTTTAGTGGAGACGGGGTTTTACCACATTGGTGAGGCTGGTCTCAAACTCCTGTCCTCAAGTGATCCACCCGCCTCGGCTTCCCAAAGTGCTGGGATTGCAGGTGTGAGCCACAGCACCCAGCCTGTATTTATTAATTTTAAAAGAAAAAACACACTCTTAGCATTTCAGGAACAGAAAGTATCTTTATTCATATGGTAAGGGTATATATAAATGTACAGTAAACATCATTCTTGATGTAGATTGCACTGAGATAATGATGCCTGCAATGTCCACTTTTATTGTTTGTTTGTTTTTGTTTATTGAGGCAGAGTCTTGCTCTGCCTCCCAGGCTATACTGAAGTGACACGATCTCGGCTCACCACATCCTCTGCCAACAGGGTCCAAGAGATTCTCTTGCCTCAGCTTCCTGAGTAGCTGGGATTACAGGCGTGGGCCACCACATCCGGCTAATTTTTATATTCTTAGTAAAGACGGGGTTTCATCCTGTTGGCCAGACTGGTCTCAAACTCCTGACCTCAAGTGATCCGCCTCCTTGGCCTCCCAAAATGGTGGGATTACAGGCATGAGACACCGCGCCTGGCCCCATGTCCACTTTTTCTGACATTGTATCAGGCACTGAGGTAGCCGAATAGATGAACTGATGTAAGAATTGAAAAATAACAATTAAAACTTTATTATTAATAGATGATTTTAGAAGATGTAAACCAAATAATATGAAGACAAAATATTTAAATTGGTGAGTTTAGCAAGTTTTCAAGTTTTAAAAATCCAAAAAAATCAAATAAACACTATTTTTAAAGACAACATTTACTACAGCATCAAAAAATTGCATAACTAAAAATAAATATAAAAACAGGAGGTTTTAATTTCTTTCACAAATTGACTTATAGATTTAAAATATTCCTAATAAAAAATTCAATAGGATTCCAGACCTCAGAACTTCCTTCAACACATGATGGGTATGACAAGTAATTAAGGAATAAAACTTTTTTTTTTTGTGACTGCAGAAAATTATTGTGTATTGGGAAGAACCATGAATCTTGTTAGTTGGTTTATTTATTTTTAAAAAATGGTATGTAGCATGTGCTAAACTCTGTGTTTTAAATTTTGAAGACACTGGTTTCAGCATTCATTATGGGCATAATTTAGTAGAAAAATTACTTAATTTCTCGAAATTCCTGTCATCCTCTTAAAATTAGCTTGTGTGTATGGTTGAGTGTAAATTCAGATTATGGATAAGTTTACTGTATAATTTACTGACTCAAATAGCATCTTTTGAGAGTGAGAGTGAGTACTGTTCTAAAGCACACGGGTATAACAGGGAGAATTAGTGCTCCTAATTAAAGAAGAACTTCATAAAATTCCTAGAGCTTGAGTAGGTATTTGAATCTCTATCCCATCCACCTACTTGACTTATGAGACAGCATAGACTGTGACCCACCATTCTTCCCTTAATTATTTGCAATGTGTTAAACTACAGGTTCATCTCTTTGGGGTTGCATCTCTCATGCAAAATCCATTGGAAGGGACTTTCAAAGATAATCTTCTCAAGTCATTAATGACTTTATATGAATGCATTTATTAAACAATCACTTGGAAAAGCCCTGTAGAAATAGGGGGAAAAAAGTAACGTGTGGTAGGCAAGTTAGAAAGAAAAGTGAGGGAGATGAACGGTATAAGTGAGGGTGAGGTATAGTCAGTTGTACATCTAAGGAGAGGTGCGGGAAGCCTTAGGACCTCAGTGTGCTGGAGGAGGTTCACAACCTCAGTATGGGGATCACACTTTGATAGGGTTATTGAAGTAGTAGGATGCAGACTAACCCTTTTACATTAACATCACACATTATAGAAATATTGGTTTTGGCTTTTGCATTGGATGTACGGGACGTGGCATTTGAGGGTCTCTCTGGTTGCAAAGCCTGTTTTCACACCCTCACATGACAAGCTAAGACTCGGCATGAAAGAAAGAAAAGAGACTTGGCAGGGATAGGGAGCACGGCCATGTGGTCATGACTACTGCTTTGCTAAGTGATGCTAGCTAGAATTTCATATCAACATTTTCTCATTTTCTCACTGGCCCCACCTCTCTCTTACATAAGGTTATTAAGAAGACTAATTAGATAACACCCATAAAATTCCTTTGCTCCTTAGAGAAGGTTTTTATATTAATCCTTGTCATTATTATTCAAAGAATATTGAAACTCATTGCAGATTAAAGTAATTTTGAAGAACCACACAGACTACAATTTACCATCCAAATGGACAAATACAAACTCAATATTTCCTTATCTTTTATTCTTATCTCAGTGCCTATCCTAATTTTGTAACACTGCAGGAAAGGCAAAACAACCTCACTTTTGAATATTAAATTCATTTGCTTGCTTGAATTTTAGCAACTGCTTGCATAGAAAAGACTTCGTAAAAATTAAATAGCTAAATTACTTGAGGTTAGTTAAGATCAGCAGCTTCCACCTAAGGGGAAGAATTGCTCATCAGAAAAAATGCCTTCTACCAACTTTTCTTGTCCTGTTCTCCTGTAAAAATTTTGTAGATCTCCAAAATCTTCTCTGTTAAAGCCTTTTTGTGTCTATCCCAGACATCTAAAGCTTTATCTCTTCTGAACTCATGTGTAGTGGATGAGTTCCCTCAGATACCCCAGTAAAAGTACTTTTTGCCTAAGATGATGAAGAAAAAACCAGACAATAAAAAGGACACTTTGGGTCCATTTTCATCCTTGGCCACCACACTGCTCCCTACTCCCTACTCCCTGTTTAACACTATGGGATGAAAGTCAGTAGATCTTGGAACCCATAGTATTTTTTTCTCGTTCTTCAAACAATTTTGCCATTATAAATTGCAAGAAACCATGATACCTATCTTTACATAGGTTTCTGAAAACTACTAAGGTACTTAATTATTTGAGAAATTATGTATGTTGAATTTCTAGAGTAGATATTGTTTATTTTGAACCCACAATCTGGTGTGTGTGTGTGTGAGATCCCATTTTTCTGTATTACCTTCTGGATTGGAAGACCAATTAGGACTATGATTTTCTACCCTAACACATAGTAGGTGACAAATTCAGTTTTTATTGAGTGAATAAGTAAGGAAACAAAATGTTTAAATATGAAGTTGCCTCACAGAATTTCCTACAAGTCTTGTTAACTTAAGTATTCTCTGAAAACTCAACTCTTCGTGGATAGCGTTTGTAATAACGGCAAGGATGAATAAATAACACTTATTGATTAGATGAACATCATTAGTCTTGCAACTAGTTGTATAACTGTATGGATTGTTTCTCTCATAGGAAATTTAAACTATGTATGGATTTAGGATCCCCATAGCCTACAGCTCCATAACTTAAGCTCTAAACAGTTGGGCATTGTTTTTCAATGTGATTTTCTTTTTATTTGCTACAGTTAGCCCTCAGTAAAGGTCATTCAATAAGTATAACTAGTTGCTAACTCTAAAATTTATTTGAAAATAGTATTTGAAGTATGTTACTAAAATTAATAAAACAAGCATCTTTAAGCCTTATTAGTTTTTATATTGTTCTCCAAATACATTGGACCGAACATTACAGGACCTAGTTTATATAAATATGTTCTATATTATTACATAGGTCTATATAATTCCATAGGTCTCTCTATGTATAATTATATAAACTAAGTCTCTATAATGTAACAACACATATGCTACAGGTCTTGCCTAGCAAATCTATGAAAATATTTCAGTTTGTATACTGACTAGGGCCAATTTGAAACTTCCAAAAATTTAGAGAATGACTATGTTGTTAAATGCATAGGATAAAAAGAAATAGACTGCGTAATTGGTAAATCCTCCTAGTAGTAAGTAATTTACATTACATATTTAATCTGTATTCTAAAAGTATAGCAAAGATATCGAGTACTATAATTAATTCCTGTTTCACTCCAGCTTTAAAATAAAATATTACCAATTTAGCTTTGGTACATGATTCCCCTCCTGGTTGCATCAGTTGTGCTTCTTTCAAGTGATGGCCAGTACCTGAAGTTGATTTTATTATTCCTATGTATATGTATACATTTTTATTATACATATACACATCTGTACATACATAACATATGTAAAAATTATATATTGTCTCTCTTGTTTTGCATGTTTATCTAAATGGTGCATTACTGATATATTTTTCCCACTTGCTTTTCTCAGTCAAATTGAATTTCATGATAGAGATGAAAATAAAATACATTTACCATATCAGTAGTTACATAGCAAATGGCACATGCCATATTAATACATTTGAATAAATATTCATCACGTGCTTTTGGTGTTACAACTTGTAGTAAGAAGAAGTTTTAGTTTCCTGTCATCGGATCTTTGAAGGCATTAAAAGGGAACTGACTACGGTTGTAATGGAGACCACTACACTAATTATGAGTGTTTTAGAACGGAACTCATTCTCACTCTCAAAAGAGTAGCTTTTTGAGTCAATAAATTTTATAGTGAATTTATCTTTAATCCGAATTTATACTCAAACACGCACATGAGCTAATTTTAAAAATGATGACAGGAATTTTGACAAATTATTTTTGTGCTAAATTATACACATAATGAATGCTGAAGCCAGTATTCAAAATGTAAAGCACAGTGCTTAGCACATGGTACATAGCATAGACTTTTTTAAAATAAGCGAACAGACTGACTAGAGTTATGGTCCTTCCCACTACACAATAACATCACATTGCACCGTCAGAAGGGATTAAAATTTCTGCAGTAACAGAACAACAAAGTTTTATTTTATTAATTTTATTCTTTTCTTTTTTTTTTTTTTTCTTTTATTTAGACAGAGTCTCGCTCTTGTCTCCCAGGCCGGAGTGCAGTGGCCTGATCTCGGCTCACTGCAAGCTCCGCCTCCCAGGTTCATGCCATTCTCCTGCCTCAGCCTCCTGAGTAGCTAGGACTACAGGTACCCGCCACCACGCCCTGCTAATTTTTTGTATTTTTAGTGGAGACGGGGTTTCACCGCGTTAGCCAGGATGGTCTCGATCTCCTGACCTCGTGACCTGCCTGCCTCAGCCTCCCAAAGTGCTGGGATTACAGGCGTGAGCCACCGCACCCGGCCAAAATTTTATTTCTTAATTACATGTCATACCCATCAAGTGTTCAGGGAAGATATGAGGTCTGGAATCCTACTGGATTTTTACTAGGAATATTTTTAATCCATAAGTCAATTTGTAAAATACATTTTAAGTACATTCTATTTTTAGATTTATTTTTTAGTTCTGCAGTGTTTTTGATGTTATGGCAAATGTCTTTAAAAGTAGTGTTTATTTGATTCTTTAATTTTTTTAATCTAAAAAACTTGCTAAACTCACCAAATTAATTTTTTGTTGTTGTTGTCTAAACAGCGACTTTTATTGACGCGGCAGTGCACAGCGACAGAGGTGCTGCTTCTTGTAGAGCAGGGCTACCCCATAGGCGGTGTGCCCAGAGTAACATTTCAGAGGCGGTTTTATAGTCATAGTTATATCTACTTTTAATTATATGCAATTTTTTAAAAATTATACTTTAAGTTTTGGGGTACATATGCAGAACGTGCAGAATTTGTTACATAGGTATACACGTCCCATGGTGGTTTGCTGCACCCATCAACCCATCATCTACATTAGGTATTTCTCCTAATGCTATCCCTCCCCCAGCCCCCTATCCCCCCACAGGCCCCAGTGTGTGATGTTCCCCTTGCTGTGTCCATGTGTTCTCATTGTTCAATTCCCACTTTTGAGTGAGAACATGTGGTGTTTGGTTTTCTATTCTTGTGTTAGTTTGCTGAGAATGATGGTTTCCAGCTTCATCCATGTCCCTGCAAAGGACATGAATTCATCCTTTTTTATGGCTGCATAGTATTCCATGGTGTATATGTGCCACATTTTCTTTATCCAGTCTATCATTGATGGGTATTTGGGTTGGTTCCAAGTCTTTGCTATTGTGAATAGTGCCACAATAAACATATGTGTGCACGTGTCTTTATAGTACAATGATATGTAATCCTTTGGGTATATACCCAGTAATAGGATTGCGGGGTCAAATGGTGTCTCTGGTTCTAGATCCTTGAGGAATCACCACACTGTCTTCCACAATGATTGAACTACTTTACACTCCCACCAACAGTGTAAAAGTGGTCCTGTTTCTCCACATCCTCTCCAGCATCTGTTGTTTCCTGACTTTTTAGTGATTGCCCTTCTAACTGGTGTGAGATGGTAGCTCATTGTGGTTTTGATTTGCATTTCTCTAATGACCAGTGATGATGAGCTTTTTTTCATGTGTTTGTTGGCTACATAAATGTCTTCTTTTGAGAAGTGTCTGTTCATATCCTTATCCCACTTCTTGATGGGGTTGTTATTTTCTTGTAAATTTGTTTAAGTTCTTTGTAGATTCTGCATATTAGCCCTTTGTCAGATGGATAGATTGCAACATTTTTCTCTCATTTTGTAGGTTGCCTGTTCAATCTGATGGTATTTTGTCTTCATATTATTTGGTTTTCATCCACTAAACGTAATCTATTAATAATAAAAGTTTATTTATTTCCAAGTTTTTGCACATTTAACTTCATTTATTTGGCTACTGCACTAACCATGACCTCTAATACAATGTCAAATAAAAGTAAACATGGTCAGCATCATTGTTTCAGTGCAGTGTAAAGGGAATGATTTCATCATTTCATCATCAAGTATGATGTTTAGCATACATTTCTGAATACCCTTACCATATGAGTAAAGATACTTTCTGTTCCTGAAATTCTAAGTATTGTTTTTCTTTTAAAATTAATGAATAAATGAAAATCTTTATCAAATAATTTTCTGCATATATTTTAATATTCATGTAAATTTTTATCTTTGTTGACATTTATTACCCCAGTGTATCTCATTTAACTAATTGTATAGTATTCTGTTGTAAAAATAAATAACAATTGATTATCCACTCTCCTCATGGGTATAATGTTGGAGGTATACATACATGCATACATATATATTTCCATATATGAACCTGTACACACATGTACTGTTAAGGTAACATGGTAATTGAGGTACATACCTGTTCTCTTCTTCCTGTCCCCACCCAAAATGAGAGTGAAATGTTGGCTTTAACTAGTTTTCTTTCTTTCTAGTGAGTTTCAGCAACTTTTCATTAGATTATTGTTAGAATTCCATTTTCTGTTAATTACCTATTCACAATATTTCTCTCTGAGACTTATCTTGTTGCTACTGATTTGTAGTGTGTAAATTTATTTTAGATATTGATCCTTCATGTAATCTAGTGGTTGAAAATAACTTTTTATAGTCTTTGGCTTATCATCCCATTTTTGGCATTTTTTAATGCAGAGAAGTTTATAGACACTCATTATAAAAAAATTCAGTTTTCTCGTGGCTTATGTTTTTTGTTTGTTAATTCATTAATTTCTTCCCTATATTAAGATAATAAATGTCTTAAAGTTTTTCTGCTTACTCTGGTTTTTATTTATATTTAATTTACATGTGTACTTTATATGAAGGATTCCATTATATTTTTCTCAGAATCATTTGTTGAGATTTTACTCAATGATTTCTAAAGTTATTCTTAATTTACCTAACAAGTTTTCATGAATGAATTTGTCCATCTCTGACCCCTATCTTTTTTTTCATTACTTTGATATTATCAATCACACTGCCAAATGTATGATAACTTCATAATTGCATCTTGTTCTTTAACATTTTCATAGCTAATATTTTCCACATGTTTAAGAGGTATAATTTATTCACTATAAGGTCACCCAGTTAAAATGCACAAGTTAGTGGTTTTTCAGTTTTCACAGAGTTGTACAACTATTTAGGTTTAGAACATTTTAATCACCCCCAAAAAGAAGCCTTGTACTTGATAACAGTCACATTGCATTCCCCATCACACACAGCCATAGGCTAATATTAACCTTCTTTCTGTCTCTATGGGCTTAACACGTTTTGGATATTTCAATACTCAGATGACACATATCATTTCATGATATAAATGGTATAAAATATGCATCATTTCTGACTGACTTCTTTCATTTAGCATGTTTTCAAGGTTCACAAGTTTTAGCCTGTATCCATATTTTGCTATTTTTTCCACCCAAAAATATTCCAATATATGGATATATAATATATTGTTAAGCCATTCACCATTCATCAGCTGATGGACATTTGGGTTGCTTCCATTTGCAGACTATTCTTCATAAGGCTGTGCTGTTAGCTAAACTTGATCCTTCCTTTTTCATATGCAAAATAGACATTGCTTGAAAAGTTCTATGAAACACTGTAATGTTCTTCATTAAACCTAGTTCACTACATAGGTACATTTTAGAATAATGGATATAATATTGGGTCTTTCATAACAAAATATGTGTGTATGTATGTATACACACACACATTTTAATTACATACAAATATATTACATATATATATTTACACACACATATACAAACATTTGAATTTTCTCTTCAATAAGGGTCATGCACAAATTTTATTAGGTTTATTTATAGGGATTCTATTTTTTATAGCTATTATAAATATATAACTTGAAAATATATTTCTATGAATTGATAAAGATATTTAATTTGTATATATTTATCATATATCCAGTAAACCTGCTAACTATACTGCACATTCACCTTTATTAAACTTGTCTTTATACGTGGAAAATCATAACGTACTCAATTCATGACAGATTTGTTTCTTCCCTCCAAGTTGTCCTTCTGTTATTTACTTGTTGGTCCTGTTAGTTTGGGCAGAGCCTCTATTTCCATATTCATAAAAGGAGCAGTGATTATTTCTGAATTTAAAATTATAATTTATGTTTGTTGGTGGCTTTTATGTCTTCTTTTGAGAAGTGTCTTTTCATGTTCTTTGCTCACTTTTTAATGGGGTTGTTTTTTGCTTGTTGATTTAAGTTCCTTATAGATTATGGATATTAGATATTTGTCAGATGCATAGTTTGTGAATATTTTCTCCCATTTTGTAGGTTTTTCTGTTTACTTTGTTGAGAGTTTCTTTTGCTAAGCAAAAACTCAGTAGTTCGATTAGGTTCCACTTGTCAACTTTTGTTTTTGTTGTAATTGCTTTGGGGGACTTAGACAAAAATTTGCTCAAGCCTATATCATGAAGTGTATTTCTTAAATTTTCTTCTAGGACTTCTATAGTTTGGGATATTCTTTAATCCATCTCGAGTTAGTTTTTGTATATGATAAAAGGTAAGGACCCTGTTTCATTCTTCTGCATTTAGCTAGCCAGTTATCCCAGAACCATTCATTGAATAGGGAGTCTTTTCCCCATTGCTTGCTTTTGTCACCCTTGTTAAAGATCAAATGGTTATAAGTGTGAGGTTTTATTTCAGGGTTCTCTATTCTGTTCCATTGGTTATGTGTCTGTTTTTGTACGAATACCATAAGGTTTTGGTTACTATAGCCTTATAGTATAGTTTGAAGTCAGGTAGTATGATGTCTCAAGCTTTGTTCTTTTTGCTTCAGTTTACTTTTGCTATTCAGGTTCATTTTTGGTTCCATATACATTTTAGAGTTTTCTTCTAATTTTATGAAGAATGATAGTGGTAGTTTGATAGGAAGAGTGTTGAATCTGTAAATTGCTTTAGATTGTGTCCATTTTAGAAAATACTCATCATCACTAATAATCAGAGAAATTCAAATCAAAACCACAATGAGACAGCATCTCTTACCAGTCAAAATGACTATTGTTAAAAAGTAAAAAACAAACAAACAACAACAACAACAACTAAAAAAAAAACAGATGCTGGTGGTGAACCTATGGAGAAAGGGGAATGCTTATACACTGTTGGTGGGAATGTAAATCAGTTTGATCACTGTGGAAAGCACTTTGGGAATTTCTCAAATAACTTAACACAGGTACCATTTGACATAGCAATTCTGTTACTTGGTATATACATATACCCAAAGGAAAATAGAACATTATACTAAAAAGACACATGTATTGTACATTCATCACAGCGCTATTCACAAGAGCAAAGACATGGAATCAACCTAGCTGCCTATTAAGGGTGGATTTGATAAAGAAAATGTAGTGCACACACACCGTGGAATACTACACAGTCATAAAAAAACAATGACGTTATATCCCTTGCAGCAACTTGGATGGAGCTGGAGGCCATTATCCTAAGTGAGTTAATGCAGGAACAGGAAACAAAATACAGCATGTTCTCACAGGAGCTAAACACTGAGCAGCCGTGGACATAAACTATAGGAACAATAGTTACTACAAACTACTAGAGGTAGGAGGTGGGAGGAGGACATGAGTGAAAAAACTACCTCTTGGGTACTGTGCTCACTACCTTAGTACAATGTACTCAGGTAACAAAACTGCACATGTAACCTCTGTATCTAAAATAAAAGTTGAGAAAAAGAAAAAAACAACAACTTACACTCTTCTACCATGTATGATTTGCAGACAAACTTTATCATGTCAAGGACATTTTCTACCATTCCTAGTTTGCTAAGGGTTCTAAAACTAATAGGTACTGAAATAGGCCAAATACATTTCCTAAATTTATTCAGAAAATTTTGTGACTTTCCTTTAATTCATAATGGTATGAACCTCAATAGATTTCATAATGTTATACAATTTTTGCATTTCTGGAAACTTGACTTTCTCATGTGACATTGTTTATACATTACTGAATTTTGGCTGCTGATTATATAGAAATATTTACATCTACACTTATGGGTTGAAGCAGCATATAAATATATTAGATTGGTGCAAAACTGCAATTAATTTTGCACCAACCAAATAGAATTTGAAAGATTTTGAGAGCATGCCCTTTGTTTTAGTTATTTTATGACCCTACAGGGCTTCTAATGATGGCATTTTCCTAGTATTTGGGGCTTAGCTTTAAAACAGTATGACTACTTTAGTATTTATAGTTTAATTCATGTGATTTTTTTATCATTGACCAAGTTTTGGTAATTACATGTTTTTAGGGAATTACCATTTTTAGGATTTTTCAAATGTCTTGGTATATTTCTATGCTTATAACTGGGTTTTAAAAAAAAATTAGTACAGTTAAAATTGACTTCATTTTAGATAAAATGTATGTGTGTGTGCACATCACTCTGTTTCTTTGTCTTCAACTCTTTCTATTGCTTTTTAATCAAAATTTTCAGAAGTGTACAATTTCATTTGTCATTTTTAAATTAGTCTTCAGTGAAATATAAAAACATTTGGCTTTGTTTATCATTTCCGTTTTATGATTATTTTTGAGAGTTGAGTTATTACGTGAAGAAGTACAATTGGAGGCTCCTAAAACTTCCTCCATTTCACCACTGTAGCAAATCAAAAGCAACATTTTATCCCAGGAATAATGCCATGAAATGCTCCATCATCAAAGAATTCTACTACAAGTACAGTGGTCTCCATTTTAATTATAGTTAGTTTCCATTTAATACTTTCAAAAATCCAATGGCAAGAAACTAAAACTTATTACTGCAAGGTGTTAATTTTAACACCAGTAGTGGGGGATGAATGTTTGTATCAATATGTTAGTAAAGTACCTGGCATTTGCTGTGAAACTACTGATAAGGTGAATGCATTTTATTTTCAATCTCTATCACTGAAGGGGATCAAAAGCTGTTTGCATCCTTCGCATATGCATTCATATGTGAAGGATGACAGTACACATTTATTATCTAGACCCAGAGTGAGGTCAACTCTCTTGTTCTCTGTCATAAGAGTATCAAAATAACCAATAATGATATTTAACTTCAATACTACTAATAAGAAATAAAACTAAAATGATAATTTAATGCAACTTTAGCCCATCCAGCTGGTAAAAGTGCAGAGAGAATACAGGGCTGTTGATGATATCGTCACTCTCATTTATTGCTTACGGAAATGACAACACAGTTTTGGGGGATTATTTAAAAAATGAAAGACGTAGTCATGAAGTATTCTCTTTGATGTGGAAATTCTTAGTATTTAATTATAGATAACCAAATCTTAAGACGTAAAAAATGAAGTATAGGAAAATGCAAGCTGACTAAGACTTAAGCATTCTGGATTCAGTTTGCACTCTGAGCACAAATTAAGTATAGTATAACTCTATCAATCCAATCTGCAAAAGTGAAAAGAAAAAATCAGACAAGCCATGACATGGAAGTCCTAAATGTGTGGATCAATTTTATTTCATTAAAAAAAAAGGATTTTTTAGAAACTAGATCTCACTCAGTTGTCCAGACTGTAGTGCAGTGGTGCGATTATAGCTCACCGCAGCCTCCAATTCCTGAGTACAAACAATCCTCCCACCTCTGCCTCCCAAGTACCTGGGACTATAGGAATGCATCAATGGCCCTTGTTAATTTATTGTATTTGTTTGTAGAAACAGGTCTCAATTTTTTGCCCAGGCTGGTCTTGAAATCCTACGTTCAAGTGATCTGCCATCCATGGCCTCCCAAAGTGTTGGGATTACAGGTGTGAATCACTGCATCCAGCCTAAATCAATAATAAAAGCTGGAATCAATTTTATATAATAAAAGGTCATATGCAAAAAGTAAGAATATATGTGCAGTTTGTTTGTTTGTTTTTGAGATGGAGTCCCGCATTGTCACCCGGACTGGAGTGCAATGGCGCAATCTCAGCTCACTGCAACCTCCGCCTCCCAGGTGCACACGATTCTCCTACCTCAGCCTCCAAGTAGCTGGGATTACAGGCACACACCACCACACCTGGCTATTTTTTTGTATTTTTTTTGGAGATGGGGTTTCACCATGTTGGCCAGACTGGTCTTGAACTTCTGAATTCATGATACACCTGCCTTGGCCTCCCAAAGTGCTGGGATTACAGATGTGAGCCACCGCACCCAGCCTGTGCAGTTATTTTTATTGCAAAATTGCTTCAGTGGCAAAAACAACATAAAACCATAAAACCTGAAAACCTTCTGAACATCCAATTTTATAATATATTTTAGTTATGAAAATTGAGATTTGTCTTTGACTATTACCTTGTAGCATTGCCCCTGCTGTATCATTAGGCAAAATGATTAAGCAGCAAGATTATTTAGTAATGCAACTCTATATTTAAAAATAAAAACAAGCCATAATAAAACCTTTTTTATCTCTGTGACTATATATGCACAAGCTTGAGCAAAGATGTCAAAGAATGCATTCCAAATTCTTAATAATTAGTTCGAAGAAAGTTAAGATTGTTGTGTTTATACATCAATGTATTTAAATTTTCTATTAAGTTTGATTGATTGATTTTTTAAACTTTTATTTTAAGTTCAGGGGTACATGTGCAGGTTGGTTACATAGGTAAACATGTGTCCCGGGGGTTGATTATACAGATTGTTTTATCACCCAGGTATTAAGCCTAGTATCCATTAGTTATTTTTCCTGATCCTCTCCCTCCTCCCAACTTCCATCCTCCAATAGGCCCCAATGTATGTTGTTCTCCTCTTCATGTGTTCTTCTCATTCAGTTGCCACTTATAAGTGAGAACATGCAGTATTTGGTTTTCTACTCCTGTGTTAGTTTGCTAAGGATACTGTCCTCCATCTTTATCCATGTCTCTGCAAAGGACATGAACTCATTTTTTATGACTACATAGTATTCCATGGTGTATATATACCACATTTTCTTTATCCAGTCTATCACTGATGGACATTTAGGTTTATTCCATGTATTTGCTATTGTGAATAGTGTTGCAATGAACATACTTGTATATATATATTTATAATAGAATGGTTTATTTGTCTTTGGGAATATACCCAGTAATGGAATTGCTGGGCCAAATGGTATTTCTGTCTTTAGGTCTTTGAGGAACTGCCACACTGTCTTCCACAATAGCTGAACTAATTTACACTCCCATCAACAGTGTATAAGCATTTCTTTTTTTCCCCAACTTTGCCAACATCTGTTATTTTTTGACTTTTTAATAATAGCCATTCTGACTGGTGTGAATGGTATCTCATTGTAGTTTTGATTTGCATTTCTCTAATGATTAGTGATGTTGAGCTTTTTTTCATATGATCTGTTGGCTGCAGGCATTGCTTCTTTGAAGAGTCTGTTCATATCCTTTGCCTACCTTTTTATGGGGTTGTTTTTATGTTCTTGTAAATTTGTTTAAGTTTCTTATAGATGCTGGATATTAGTTCTTTGTTGAATACATAGTTTGCAAAAATTTTCTACCATTCTTTAGGCTGTGTACCTAGTCTGTTGATAGTTTCTTTGGCTGTGCAGAAGCTCTTTGGTTTAATTAAATCCCTCTTATCAATGTTTTGCTTTTGTTGCAATTGCTTTTGGCATCTTTATCATGAAATTTTTGCTGATGCCTATGTCCTGAATGGTGTTGCCTAGGTTGTCTTCCAGGGTTTTTATAGTTTTGGGTTTTACACTTAAGTCTTTAACCTATCTTGAGTTAATGTTTGTATGTAGTGTAAGAAAAGGGTCCAGTTTTAATCTTTTGAATATAGCTAGCCAATTACTCCAGCACCATGTATTGAATAGGGAATCCTTTCCACCTTGATTATTTTTATAAGGTTTGTCAAAGATCAGATACTTTGAACTGTGCAGTCTTATTTGTAAGTTCTCTATTCTGTTCCATTGATCTATGTGTCTGTTTTGTACCAGGGCCATGCTGTTTTGGTTATTGCAGCCCTGTTGTATAAAGTCAGGTAGCATGACGCCACCAGCTGTGCTGTTTTTGCTTAGAATTGCCTTGGCTATTCAGGCTCTTTTTTGGTTTCGTATGAATTTTAAAATAGTTTCTTCTAGTTTTTGGAAGAATGTCAATGGTAGTTTAATAGACATAACATTGAATTTATAAATTACTTTGGGCAGTATGGCCATTTTAGCTATATTGATTTTTATTAATCCATGAACATGGAATGTTTTTCCATTTGTTTATGTCATTTTTGATTTCTTTGAGCAGTGGTTGGTCGTTCTCCTTGTGAAGATCTTTCACCTCCCTAGTTAACTGTATTCCTAGGTATTTTATTCTTTTTGTGGGAGTTGTGAATATGAGCTCATTCCTGATTTGACTCGTGGCTTACCTGTTTTTGGTGCATAGGAATGCTAGTGATTTTGCACGTTGATTTTTTTATCCTGAGACTTTGCCGAAGCTTAAGAAGCTTTTAGGCTGAGACTATGGGGTTTTCTAGATACAGGATTATGAATTTGGGTAAATAATGACATAAAGGCAAAAGTCAAGAAGTTCTTTGGAATTAATGAGAACAAAGATTCAACATAAGAGAACCCCTGGGACACATCGAAGGCAGTATTAACAGGGATATTTATAGCTCTACATGCCCACATCAAAAAAATAGAAAGATCTTAAGTTAACAATCTAACATCACTACTAAAAGGAATAGAGAATCAAAAACAAACAAATGCCAAAGCTTGCAGAAGACAAAACATAACCAAAATCAGAGCTGAACTGAAGGAGACAGAGACACAAAAAAATCATTCAAAAGATCAATGAATCCAGGATCTGGTTATTTGAAAAAATTAACAAAATAGATAGATTACTAGCTAGACTGATAAAGAAGAAAATAGAGAAGATTCAAATAAACACAATCAGAAAAGACAAGGGAGATATTACCATTGACTTCACAGAAATACAAGCAACCATCAGAGAATATTATGAACACCTCTATGCACAGAAACTAGAAAATCTAGAAGAGACGGATACATTCCAGAACACATACACTCTCCCAAAACTTAACCAGGAAGAAATTGATTCCCTGAACAGCCCAATAACAAGCTCTGAAATTGAGGCAATAATAAATAGCCTACCATCCAAAAATAGCCCAGGACCAGAAAAATTCACAGCTGAATTCTCCCAGATGTACAAAGAAAAGCTGGTCCCATTCCTACTGAAACTATTCTAAAAAAAAATTGCAGAGGAGGAAGTCCACCACAACTCATTCTATGAGACCAGCATCATCCTAATATCAAAACCTGGCAGAGATACAACAAAAAAAGAAAACTTCATGCCAAAATTCTTGATGAACATTGATGCAAAAACTTTCAACAAAATACTGGAAAGCTGAATCCAGCAGCACATCAAAAAGCTTATCCACAACGTTCAAGTAGGCTTCTTCCCTAGGATCCAAGGTTGGTTCAATATACACAAATCAATAAATGTAATTCAGTACATAAATAGAACTAAAGACAAAAACCACATGATTATCTCAATAGATGCAGAAAAGACTTTCAATAAAATTCAACATCCGTTCATTTTAAAAACTCTCAATTAACTAGGTATTGAAGGAACATACCTCAAAATAATAAGAGCTATCTATGACAGACCCACAGCCAACATCATACTGAATTGGCAAAACTGGAAGCATTTCCCTTGAAAACTGACCCAAGACGAGGATGCCCTCTCTCTCCACTCCTATTCAACATAGTATTGGAAGTTCTGGCAAGGGCAATCAGGCAAGTGAAATAAATAAAGGGCATCAAAATAGGAAGAGAGGAAGTGAAACTGTCCCTGTTTACAGTTTTATTATTTTTTAAATAATACTTAAAACATTGGGTTTGTAAAGGTATAATATACTTAATTTGAACTCAAACTGAGTGCAAACTGATTCCAGATCTCTTAACTATTAGTTCACTGGCATTTTTCTACATTTACATTTTCTATCCTAAGATATAATTATATATAATTAAACACTAAGAATTTCTACCTAAATAAGAATACTACATGACTATATCTTTCTCTTTTTATGATTCTGATTACATCTGAAGGTTAGTGTTTGTTTGCCAGTCAATAGTTTAGGAACTTATCAAGGTATACGTTATTTATTTGTAAATAATCTCAAACAGAATTTGGAAAAATGATTAGGCAAGTAAAGTCTCTGAGAACCCAGAAGGCATATGATAAACCCCATCATCTCAATCTTGTAGGTTTTATTACTAGGAGAATATTTATATGCTTCCTATATTCTATAGATTTATGATTGGCACATGGAGTTAATAAATTATATTTATATACTGCATAGCAATATTTTGGTCATTGATGGATGGCGTATACTATGGTGGTTCCATAAGATTTTAATGGAACTGAAAAATTCCCATTGTCTAATGACATCATAGACATTGTAATGTCATAGTGCAAAGCATCATTGTTTTGATGTTGGTGTAAATGAACCTACGGCACTGCCAGTGGTACAGCACATACAATTATGCATAGCATATAATGCTTAATAATGGTAATAAATGACGATGTTACTGATTTATGTATTTATTATACTATAGTTTTTATCAATTCAGAGTGTACTCCTTTTGCTTATATATAAAAGGAAACATTAACTGTGAAACAGCCTCAGGCAGGTCCTTCAGGAGGAATTCCAGAAGACGATATTGTTATCATAGGAGACGACAGCTCCATGTGTGTTATTGTCCCTGAAGACCTCATAATGGGACAAGATGTGGAGGTGGAAAACAGTGAAATTGATTATACTGATCCTGTGTAGGCCTAGGCTAATCTGTGTGTTTATGTCTTACGTTTTAACAACAACAACAAAAAATAGTTTAAGAGTAAAATCAAGTGAAAAGTAGTATAATAAAAATAGAAAAAAGTTTATAGAATAAGGATATAAAGACAATATTTTGTACCAGTGTATAATACGTTTGTGTTTTAAGCTAAGAATTATTACAAAAGAGTCAAAATGTTACAAAAATTAGAAAGTTTATAAGGTAAACAATTTACAATTAACTGAGGTTAATTTATTATTGAAGAAAAAAATTTTTTGTAAATTTAGTGTAGCCTAACTGTACATAGTTTATAAAGTCTATGGTAGTGTATGGTAATGTCCTAGGCCCTCACATTCACTCATCACTCACTCACTCCCCAAGAGCAACTTCCAGTCCTGCAAGCTCCACTCATTGTACATGCCCTATACTGGTGTACTATTTTAATCTGTTATATCATATGTTTACTGCACCTTTTCTAAGCCTAGATATGTTTAGATACACGCATACTAACACTGTGTTACAGTTGCTTACAGTATTTAGTAGTTACATGTTGTACAAGGCTGTAGCCTAGGAGCAATTATCTCTACCATATAGCTTTGATATATAGTAGGCTATACTATCTAGGTTTGGGCAAGTACACTTTATGATGTTTAAACAATGAAAAAAAATCACCTAATGATGCATTTGTTACACTGTTGTCCCATTCTTAAGCGTTGCATGACTGTATAGTAGCCTTAGGAAGAAAGAAGGCTATTAAGGCAGAGCTGCAATGTCTAGTTAAAAATCACAGCTCATCTTGAATGAAGCAGAGAATACTGAAAAGAAATTGAAACAGACTGACTATCCCAAGAGCTAAAATAGTCAACTAAATGAATAACAGCCTTCCATAGGGTTCGGATGGTATATGTACATGAAGACATGGGCCAGGGTAAAGTGGAAACTTAGCATACGTCTCCAGTTTCTGCTCTCAACTCCAAGCCACAATCCCTGCCCCAGCTAATGTGGGAAAGCATGGTGTAGTTCAATATCTGGGGTTGTTATGCACACAGAGACATGAACAGGAGCAACCTCTATAAGCCAGAACGACAAAGTGGCAAATAAAGCTGAATGTATACATGCTTTAAAAAATTATCCTGATGTGCTCTAGAAGGTAATTACCTCTACTTGTGTTAAGGGAAATTACAACACAATATAAGCAACATAAGAAGTAAGTGCATGTCTACTAACAGCAGACACACACAAAAACAAATCCAGGAAAGAGACAATAAAATATCTTTCAAAAGTAGAATTCACACACATACACACACACACACACGTGAGACAGAGAGAGAGAGAGAGAGAGAGAGAGGGAATTTGGCAGGCTTAAAGCTATTTTGTGAATAACCCCAAAAAATGAGTTAAAAATATATGCATAGAATTATAGACCAAATTATTTTAGGAATGAATGTATTCTCAAAATCAGAAATTATACTGTCATACCTCATATTAACAGATTTAAAGAGCAAGACTTTAACCATCTTTTTAATAGGTAAAGCAAAATCTTTTGATAAAATTAAACAATAATCCACCATTAAACATTTTAGGAATAACTTACAAATAATAGGATTTCTTCTTAAATGTATCTCACAGAAATCTTCAGTAATCATCATAGTTAGCAATGAGGCTTTAAATCGATTTTCTATAAATTCAAGAGCATGGCTAGAATTACTATTACCATGGCTTCTACTCAACATTGTTCAGAAAGAACTGACTAATGTAGTAACAAAGAAACAAAGAGAAAAAGAGAAGGAGGGGCAGAGGAAGAAAAAAATAAAACAAAAGATAAAATCACTAATAATTTATCACTGTTGCTTATTGGCAGGCAATATGATTGTCCACATAAAAAAATAAGGAAGCAACTAAAGTTACCAAAGATTACGGACAGCAATTCAGCAAACAGAAATCACTATTCTCGTGGTAGTCTCATAGGCCAGGGTCCATAATCCGTGTGCCTTCATTATCTGGGGTAGAATTCGTAGGAAGACAATGCTAAGTTTAAATTGACTCTCCAGATGCTTATGGAGACGTGTTAGTCAAGGTTGGAAGGTAGCACATGTTTTATTAAACAGTTTATTTTATAATAGGTTAATTTATGACTTTTCAATATTTAGATATGGGTTATGTGGGCCTCCATTTGTGTAATTTTCTTGGGCACAATTGTTAGGGGTGGACATATCTGTGCATTTTTCTGTCATCAGCTAATCAAAGAAAAAACATTATTATGTTTAAAATGCCAGAAAAAGTATTTGAAAAACCCATACAGCGTATTCCAAAAGGATAGTAATTATTAAAAGAATGAAAAGTCAGGAAATAAATTCTTTCTTTTTATTGACCACGTAATAGTTTGCTTAATAAAACCATAAAAATTCTAGTAGAATATTGATACGTTGGCGAAGGTGTTGGATTTACATAAGTTTAATACATTTTCTCTGAATTTACAAGAACAATCCATAGATCAATGTAAACAATTACAGGAAAAAAAAAACTGTTTAGAAAAATACATGTATACATGAAGAAAGTTTAACCATATTAGTCAAAATTTACATACAATTTTTGTGCAAATTCCATTAGAAACCTAGCAAGCCACTTATTGGGAACGGGAATTTTAAAATAATAACAACTTATAATGACAAATCACTTGTCTAAGAATGGCAAACAATTTTTTAAAGACTCATGGTTTTCCGTATACATAAATTATATGAGGCTGCAAAAATATATGTTATTAAAACAGGAAAAGACAGATGAGGACAGAATTGAGGACCATTGAAGAGAAGGATATATGGAGAGTAACATTTTATCTCAGTAGGAAAATGATGATTCATTTAATAAATTGTATGGAAACTTTGATTATCCATTTAGATCCAAACAAAAAAAATTTTCTATTATTACATCACAGCATCTGTAAAAATAAATGTCCAAATGAGAAGTGTCAACGTAGAAAGTAAAATGTTCAAAATTATTGAGAAAATTTAGAAGACTACATAAATGTGGTAAGGGTGAGAGTAATTTATACAAGAAATTAAGGATATGTAGAAAAAAACATTTGGCTATATAAAATTATAAAATTATATATGGCTTTCAAGTTACTATTTACTTTTTATGCAAAAAGACCAACACTATATTTTAAACAATTGCAAAGCAATTCATACTATTAAGAAAAGGGTGTGTGTGTTTTCAGGCATGTGTATTAGGTCCTAAAATTAAGGAGAAAAAGGCAAACTGCATATAAAAAGTAGACAGATTTTTTTAATAGGTAAGGCAAAGAATAAAAACTTCAAATTTTCCGTAGTCAATTATCTCTAGCAGATTCAGAGAGAAGGCTATTTTCATATACATCTCATGTAGTGAGGTGATTGATTTCTATGGTATTATTTTGAAAGTAATCTGTCAATATCTCTCATATTTTAAAGTTAAAATAACCTTTGACCCAGTAATCTCACTGGTGGGAATCCCTTTTCAGAGGTTCAAGAAGTTAAAGCATGGGTAAGTATTGTTTTATGTCCAAGAATGTTCAATACAGAATTATTTGTAATGCTGCAAAAAAAGCACGCAAAAAAAAAAAACCTTGGAAACAACTTTGAATGCCTATTATTTAGAGATTAATTTGGTGAATTCATATGATAAAATAGCAGTTATTTAAAAGGTTATATTCGGCCTTCTTTAACTGATTTGGAGGAAGGTTGGGTGAGAAAATCAAGGGACAGAGAAATGCACAAAAGCATAGTCCTTTCCATGTAAATGTACGTTTTTATGTTTGTATGAACACAGAGAAAGATGTGAAGATATCAAGCCAGATTGTTAACTTTCTCTATCTTGAAGGTAGCAAGAGACAATGGGGCGTATATACAGTTAGTAGAAATCTAAATTCACACTTTTTTTAGGGAGTATTTTAAGAAGATATTTTTAGGGCAATAGGTAGCTATATACATCTTGACCTCAACTTCTGGGAATTTATTCAAAGTAATTAAGTGGAAAAAAAATTCATGTTTAATATTGTTTACTATGGGATAATATTACAAAAAAATAGAAAAAGACATGGCAGGAGAAGTAATTTGAGGAAGCAGCCTTGGAGGACTAAGTAAGGACACTGCAACGGTGCCAGCACCCCGTGAATTAATAACAGAGGGACTTTGTAGTGGTGTGAAAAATAGTTACCAGAAGAAAAATACTCAACATGATCAGGTTCCCAATCCAGCAGAGTATGGAATTACATTTACATTATGATAAAAAGAAGGATCATTTAAAAAACTGTTAGCAATTGGAAGATTATGTGGAAGAATAAAAACAATTATGTTTTGGAGAAGTGGCTAAATTTTTCTTCTGTATTGTCTTTGACTGACTGAAATTTTGGAAGACAATCGATTGAAACACTTAACAAACTTTTTTGATTGTCTGTTTTGTATTTATATTTTGCTGATATACACACTTGTGAAAATGGAATATATGGGCTCTGTCCTTACAGGGCTTATAAAGAGAGAGCAGGTTACTTTCAAATCATTACACAGGTCACTATACCCTAACAACTGGGACAAATGCTATTGCATGAAAGCACAAGGCCCTATGAAAATGATATCAGTGGTTAAGGCCACGTTTCCAAGGAAGTGACAAAACTCGAAGTATCCCCCAGATTGTCCAGGTGCAGGGCCAGAGCTGAGGGGCCAGGAGGAGCCAAATGAAGGTAATAGTAATAGAATGAGCACATTCCAGGCAGGTTGTACAAAGACATCACAGACAGAGACAAATGAGAAAGACAGAGAATAGGATGTTAATGAAGACGTAACTCAGTTACTAAAGAAGTCTTCAGTATGTTGTATCTTTTCTGTTTAAGAAAGCAGGAATATTATAATGTATCTTATTTAAGAGGAATTTTGGTCTAATTTGGTGGGGGTTTCTCAGGAGAGGCAGGAAGATATGGCCAACTGTTTTGGTTGTAGTCAAGTTTACATCCTATTTTGCTCTAGGGTCTTGTGTAAGTTACCTCACTTATTTGTGCCTCTATTTCTTTTCTGTAAAATGAGAATGTTGTTCCCTACGCTCCCCCCCATATATATACAGACACACACACACACATATGTGTGACACAAACACATATTATAGATATGTGTGTATATATATAAACACACATACACACATATACATATATCTGTTTCGTATGGGGATGTTATATGTATAACATGTTTTATAGATATTTTATATAGGATATACCATATATGTTATATATACAATATAATATACTGTTAGAATATTATACTATATATGTGTATATATACACAAGTGCAAAGTATAACATCTTCATTTTACAGAAAAGGAATAGTTGCACAAAGTTTCATATATATGTATATATTGTTGTAGGAGCAGACAAACATGGATATAGCAACACACACATGTGCACACAATGTGCCTTCTTTATTCTATAAAAGAAAACCTGAACACTTCCAACTGCCTTGGTTCTCTCTTAAAAAGAATGTGCTCCAAGGTGAAGCAACTTGATAATTTTCTTTCTCTACTAATAATCAGACACCCAGTGCCAGTGGGAGGAAATTTATTGCCAAAAGTACTTTGGACCGCCCCCAGTTCCACTCCCAAACAGGCTCCTCCCATGGAGGGCCCAGACTCAGAGAGGATAGGAAATACAAACGACCAGCTTTATGCCACAGTATTTCAATAATTACCCAATCACAGTAATTACTGTGGCAGAATCTGGGAAATAGACAAGGGGAGTCTGAGCTGCTTGGGAGTGACTCAAAGGAAGACTAAATTGCATCACTGAGTCAATGGAGACAGGATCCTGGGGACTTAGTTAAGAGTTTACAAGCAGGGATCCCACACAGTCATCTTGAAAAGCCAAACTTCTAGAAAATGAGTGTTTTTGTGTTCTCATGCAGAGAAAGGGAATAACACAGAGGCTGTGTAGTCATATGGGCAAGAGTGAAGCCTAGAAATGCCGTTAAAAGTCAAGTTTCAATATCTCTGAGAGCATCACTATTCTTCCTTGGAACATGGAGCTAGTTCCTCATGGGGCTACAACAGTCACTCTCAGTGTCCTGCCTATATTTCCTGGTCTAATTCCAGGTGAACTGCAGTTCCTGTGCACAACCATGGCTTCCTCACTGTCTCTGTGTGGGCATTCTTTGGCCAGGGAAATCTGCTTGGCCCAAAGCACAGAGAGGGAGAGCGGTGCTGGAGAATTAATTATTGGCCCTTATCTCATTCCTGCCTTGTCTCTTCATGTTCTGTCACTGTTTCCTGGGATCATTTCTCAATTGAACTATTGCACCCAAATCCTTGCCTCAAAGCCCTTTTGAGGCACAATCCAAACTAGGATTTTTTCTGAAATTAAATATTGCCCAATGCATGTGGAATGTCTAACATTATGCCTGATGTATTACACACATATTATCATTCTGTCCTCCTGGCTCTTACTGACTGCTAAGTTCTGGAATGAGGCTCCATTTGCTAACCACAGAGGCTATGCAACCACCATCCTTAGCATCATGTGTCTTGACTCACAAGGAAGTTAGCAATAAAGAAAGAAAGAAAACAACTGTATTAACAATTCATATTGAATCCTGCCTCTTCTATAGTAGCAGATCATCAAAATGTTAACTGGAAATGTAGCTGCCAAGTATAAACACCACATTTCCCAGTTTCCTCTTACGGGGACACACTTCCTTGCCTAGTTGGTAGGAGGGCTGTGGGGATCCTGGGGCAGGCTGCCTGGAGAGAGGCTCCCTATGCCCGGTGGTGTCTTTCTGGGCATCAGAGCTGCCATCCCAGCCCATGAACCATTCAGTCCCTGTTTCCCCTCCTGTTTTCTGCTTTGATTCCTACTACTACTTCCTACTTTGATAGAGTCCTCTGCAGAACATGGAAAAGGATCCAAAGCAGAGGGCATCACAGATTTGTTCACTTTGCTCCACTGAAATAACTCTGGGAATGGAAAGACGGAAGTGGAAGCTATTCATAACAATTGCTTGGGTTTCTTTGAAGTTTGATCTTGTTGTGGTTTTATTTAGCAACTCTTTGCATGAAGCACCAGAGTCAGCCCTTACACCTGGATCTGATGTAGGAAGAGGGGAAGGAGTTAACAGTTTGTATTTCTAGGGTTATTGCACCACAATTAATTCCACAGCTAGACTGGCAAGATATTCTGGATCCAGGAAATGTGTCAGCTTTGGAAACTCATATCCTTGGGCAGGAAAAGTCAAAAACATGTACTGAGTTGTTAATGCCCCCGTGGTTTGGGAAGGATCTTGTGGATCCCTGTATTTCCCCAATATCTGTAAAGGGTCTGAAATCTTACCATTTATAGTTTCCTCCTTATGAATCTTGAAGACTTTTTGATTTCAAAGAGGCTTGGCTAAAACATCTTTCAGCTTTCATCAGCTGGTCATTTTAGAGGGATGTCAGTCTCTGAAGGCAAAGCAGAAATGGAAGCCCAGATTATGGGGGTATAGAAGTAGAAAAACAGGCAAGATAAACTTTGTTCACCTCACAGTTTTGTTGAAGGCTGGATCTTGTATTAAGTTTACAATGTGATGACCTGTAAGGTATGTGGTGCTTGACGTGTAGCTTCTTGTATTCTTCAGTGGAAAGGGAAGTGCCTTATCTTTTTCTCTTTGTGGGCGTATGGTGATGTAATGATGTGCTGCAGACCATGCAGATGAGGGCAACTCTCTAGGGTTGCTGAAGTAACACGACAGTGGAACCTGCCTCACTTGCAGTGTGGAGCTGCTACACCTGCCCTTAGCTGTTGTGCTGAGATCTTTGAGCCTCTGCTGTTTTCAGTCTCAGTGAAGCAGCTTAAATCATAACCTAAAACATATTCATCCAAAAGTGAGAGAACATACCTGTAGATGGTCTGAGCTAACATCTATAAGCACCCCTAAATATAAAGAATATGTGGGTAAAGCCACATGAAAGAACAAAACTACAGCAATGTCAAAAACTACATGTCATTATCGATGTATTCCACCAAGTATGACACACTAGATAGGCATTTGCCTTTTTCCCACAAAACAATGACTTACGTTTAGTTTAAAGAACTGGGGATTTCAAACTAAGTTGTGATTTTAGTCATCGTTTTTGTTTATTAACACTTATATTCCAAATTATGTATTTACAAAGTTAAAATATTTAATCTGAAGACTCCATTACTTGTAGTATGTAAACCAGATATCTGAGGCAACTTCCATCTCGATAACGACAAATAAACACACCAACAGAAAAATTAGGTTCTATGGAAAAGATACTTTTTAAAATATTTGAGGTAAGAAAAATCTCCATGGGCCCTCAGACCAAACAAGTAAAAACAAACAAATCATAAAAATGTGAAACTGAAGCAATAAGTAGTGATGCCGAATGAAGAGACACTCCAGGGCCAGATGCTGACTGGTGCTGTGATCTAGGGAGTAAGCCTCAGCAGCCTGGAACCTTAGAGGCCTTTGAAAGAGACCACAGAGATTTCAAGTCAGTTACATTTACTGATTTCTAAATGTCCACAGTGTCCAAAATAATCAATTTAGGCACTTAGAATTGATGCAAATTTGTATTAAGCAAATTTGAGCTCACAAATGAAATAACCAGATCTAAAGGTAATGAACCACCATGAATAGGAGTCAGAAGCAAAAACTAAAATCAGGGTCTTAGAATCCAAAAGACTTTTGATGCTGCAATTATTTCATAATTGTTATTAAAAACTGGCTTATGTAAATGAACATATTACTAAGAAACACATCCTTCAAACAGTGATAGAGATTTTAAAAATAACCAGAAAAAATTATACATATGAATAAAAGTGGTACATAATCCAAAATATAATAGATGAGAAAATTAGACATTGCTTCATAAAAATGAAATAAACAAAAATCTCAGAACTAAATTTTGGTAGCAAATATGTTTATTGGGAAAGGGAAAAGATAATTTACAAACAAATTATTAAAAATTTAGCAAGATAACTGTATATAATATCAACATAAAATCTGTATTTCTGTTCACCAGCAAATAAGATTTGGTAAATATAATTTTAAGGTATTATTTATAATAGCAAAACATCATAAAGTAATGAGGAATACATTTAATTAAATATGTGCCAGAAAGAGATAATTATATAATCATATTGAACAATATTAAGCCCTAAATAAGTGAGAAAATGTACAATATTCTTATATAAAACAATTCAATATAATCACTGTATCTACTCTCTCCAAATTTATCAAGAGTTTTGTACACTTAATCAATATCCCAAGTATTGATTTTGTAAATGAAATAACAAACCAGTTCCAAAATATGTGTGGTAGAGCAAGTCCAAGCATAAGTTGGCTCAGCTTGCCTATTATATAGTAAGACATCTGGCGTTATACTGATTAAGTTACTTGATATAGGCACAGAAATTGATATGTTGATAAATGGAACAAAAAGAGAGACTAGACTCAGACCCACAAATAATATGAAAACATCAAATGATGGGCATGGCTGTGTAGATCTTTAAGGAAAAAATGTTATTCAATAAAAGGTCTAGTTATTCATACAGAAAAATTAATTGGATCATAATCTTATACTACATACAAAATTAATTCTAGTGGATTAAAGACTTAAATTTGAAAGACCAACTTCAACACTTTTTAAAGTGTTAGAAAGTGTAGGAAATTATTTTCTCAAACTAGGGAAATGTATCTTAAATAAGATGTAGACTCTAATCACAAAAGGAAAGACTAGGATTTAAGATATCAATTAGACAAAAGCATCATAAGAAAATTAAAAATGCAAGCGCTGAATTGGTAGGAGAAATGTAAAATAAAGTATTTTCCTCTCTAAAATTTAAGTAACACTTTTAAATCAATAAGGAATATACAAATAATCCTATTTTTAGAAAAATACAGAAAGTGTGAAATATTACAGAGAAGAGAAAATATAAATGGCCCATGAACATATGAAAACATGCTCACCCTGGTTAATAATCAGAAAAATGGAAATTGAGATTATAATAACATATAATTTCATAGTGCTTAGATTGCTAACAGTTATAAAGTCTGGCAGCATGAAGTATTGAAAAGGATGCGTGTCAGACAAATTTGCTGTAGGTTGTGTGATTAGGAACAATCATTTTGGAAAATGCCATTTTCTTGCAACACTCAATAATCACATACATATTGATCTAACATTTGCACTCTTAATTATATATGTTACGGTAACTCTTATACATGAACACAGGAACAAAAGTGTTCACAGCAACCTTTATGTATATGTGTGCATGTGTGTATGTGCTGTTTGTAAAATAACAAAAAAATAAAAAATTGAAAACAGTAAGTAACCATTGTCAAAGGACTGGATAAAGTGTGATACCTTTGTTCAATAGAATATCATACAGAAATAAAAATAAATATCATCTCTAACCAATAGCATGTATGAATCTTAGAATTAGAGGCCAAGCAATATAAAATTAACAAACCTTCAACAATATGGTCTTCTTCTAACATACATTTTCAAAAGATAATTTAAAGAAGTATTCTTCAAGGAAGATGGAAACGGGAATAGGACAGACATGGAGCACATGCTTAAAACTATCTTGATGCTATTCTAGATATTAAGATGCATGGTGGATTTATCAGTTCATTTTATTTTTGCACTTCCTTCTGTAGATATGCACTACAATTATCCTTCAGTATACATATTTAATGTTATAAATACATTTAAAACCCAACAAATGAGATTTCTAAGGTACTAAACTTATTGTGGCTTGCTGAAGTGGCAGCAGTAGATTCCAGCTTCTTATACTGGAAGGTTATGACTCAGCCTCTCCACTGGCCAACAGCGTGATGTGTGAAAGAACACAAGCTCTGTCTCCCTCAGTTTTATTATTTGTAAAATGAAGATAATAATTACACACTGATCAGGAGGACAAAATGTCTGTATACTTTAGCCAGTACCAGGCACTCAGATGAAGTGTCCTTGTGGGGGGCCATTATAGTTTTTCTTGTTGTGGTAAAAATGTCCTTTCACCAGCTATTTTGCGTCTGTTGGGGCACTGTCCTTCCATGGGCTACATGAAGAATGTTGGCTACAAGGAATAGCTAAAATACTAAAGATTATTGTTACAGTAGAATTATTTTCTTTTTTAAAAAAAATTTTATTGACAAATTAAAGTTGTATTTATTCATGATGTTAAACATGATTTGTTTTATTTGTTTCTTGAGACAGTCTCGCTCTGTTGCCCAGGCTGGAGTGCAGTGGCACAATCTCTACTGACTGCAACCTCTGCCTCCACCTCCCGAGTTCCAGTGATTCTCATGCCTCAACCTCCTGAGTAGCTGGGTCTGCAGGTGTGAGCCACCACAAGTGGCTAATTTTTGTATTTTTAGTACAGATGGGGTTTCATCATGTTGGCCAGGCTTGTCTCCAACTCCCGGCCTCAAGTGATCCACCTGCCTCGGTCTCCCAAAGTGCTGGGATTACAGGTGTAATGTTTTGATATATGTGTGCATTGTAGAATGGCTGAATCAAGCTAATTAACATATGTATGACCTCATATACTTAACATTTTATTTGTATTAAGAACATTTAAAGTCTACATTTTTTAACCAATTTTCAGTATTCAATATTTTATTATTAACTATTGTCACCATGATGTATGATATAATTTGGATGTTTTCCTGCCCAAATCTCATGTTGAATTGTAATCCCGTGTTGGAGGTGGGTTCTGGTGGGAGATGATTGGATTATGGTAGTGAATTTCTCATGAATGGTGTCACACCATCCCTCTTGATACTATACTCATGATAGTGAGTGAGTTCTTATGAGATCTGGATGTTTAAAAGTGTGTGGCAACTTCCCTGACCCTCTCTTGCTCCTGCTTTTGTCATGTGAAGTGTCTGCTCCCCTTTCACCTTCCACCATAATGGTAAGCTTCCCGAGACCTCCCCAGAACCTGAGCAGATGCTGCCATGCTTCCTGTACAGCTTGCAGAACTATAAGCCAATTAAACCTCTTTTATTTAAAAATTACCCAGTCTCAGGTATTTCTTTATAGTAATGCAAGAAACACCTAATACAGAAAATTGGTACTGAGTAGTGGGTCATTCCTATAAAGATACCTGGGAATGCAGAAGCAGCTTTGAAACTGGGTAATTGGGCAGAAGTTGGAAGGGTTTGGAAAGCTCAGAGGAAGACAGGAAGATGAGGGAAAATTTGGAACTTGCTAGAGATATGTTGAAAGTTTGTGACCAAAATGCTGATAGTGATATGGAAAATGAAGTCCAGACTGAGGAGGTCTTGGAAGGAAATGAGCAACTTACTGAGAACTGAAGCAAAGGTCACATTTGCTATGCTTTAGCAAAGAACTTAGCTGCATCGTGCCCCTGCCCGTGGGATGTGTGAAACTATTCCCCGACCAAACTGACGGTTGGGCTGCTATTTCTCGCAGCCCAATAATGAGATATAGATGAACTGGGGAGAAAGAGAGGTTTTATTTTCTGCAACTCGTTACAGGGAGAAGGCCTGGAAATTATTGCCAGACCAACTCAAAATTACAAAGTTTTCCAAAGCTTATATACCTTTGTAAAAAGTAAAGTAGAGGTTCCTCTCCAAAGACTTTCCTCCCCATCTAATTAGGAATAAATAGTAACTTCTCTTAGAAGCAAAATTTATTCAAAGACCTGTGCTAACATTCTTAAATATCTGCTAGCCGTAATAAAGAAATTGATGTACTTTATGTTCTTGGCTTCCACAATTTAGCCTAAATTTTGCCCTGGCATGCTTATACTGGTCCAAGCAAGCATTAGGTCATAGCCTGTTCCTCTTCCTTATTTGAAGATGTTTTTACCTTTCTTAGCATTCCACAAGTTACTTCCTCCTTCCTTTGTTCTATTCTGCCTTTGCCTCTTTTAAAAAGTTCTAAGTTGCTAGCCAATTGGGGCAAATACAGAATGTGAGGTCCCATTCCAGCCAATGGAAACTGGACACAGCAGTAGGGTGGATGCATCAGGTTATAAATCACCCTGTCTCCTTTGTTTGGTGTACTCTTGTGACAAAACTGTTGGCGAGTGTACCCTTTCTGCAGAAAGTAAAAATGGCCTTGCTGAGGAAATTAAATTTATGTTCAGGTGCTATTTCTTTATGGTACCGGCGAACAAGCATTCCTAACACCTTTTAAGCTGTATGTCCATGTGTAAGTGTTCATTCATCTAAAGACATATGTGGTTAAATTCTTCTCATCTATAACTAAGATGTGAGTCCTGAAGACATTCTTTGGAGCTTCAGTAAATTTACTTAACCTAAATGGGTCCAGGTACTGGGGTGATTACCCTTATGTTGTCTCCTGCTAAATCATGGAGCTTAGGGAGTTCCTTTAGACCCCCAATAAACTTGTTTCTGGAGGCCTGGGCAGTTTCTTCAGACCCCCAATAAAACTTGTTTAATCCTAAAAGGGTCCTGTTAAGAATTCCTTCATTAACTTGTCATGCTTCGAAGCCCAGGAAAGATCTAGGCAAACTCTTGGTGAATTTTTTGTTACATTTCAGCCTTTGTATAAGGACGCTGGCTCAATCAGCTTTTAATGTTTAACCTAGCTACTCGTTCAGTGCTGAGACAGTTGTAATGGATGCCTGCGTTAGTGAGACCTGGGCTGCCACAAAACTTTGAACTTGAATGTGATGATTTTGGGTATCTGGCAGAAGAAATTTTTAGGCAACAAAGCATTCAAGATTTGGCCTGGCTACTTCTAACACCTATTCTCAGATGTGAGAGCAAAGAAATGCCTTAAAATTGAAACTTATATTTAAAAGAAAAGCAGAGCATAAAGGTTTGAAAAAGTTGCAGCCTGGTCATGTGGCAAAGAAAGAAAAAGCTTTTTCAGGAGAGGATTTCAAGTAGGCTGTGGAGCTACCACTTGCTACAGAAATTTGCATTAACTAAAAAGAACCCAAGGGCTAATATCCAAGACAATGGGGAAAAGGTCTCAAAGGCATCTCAGATAATTTTGTGGCAGCCCCTTCTATCACATGCCCTGTGGTCTGGAAGGAAAGAATGCTTTCATGGGCCAGGCTAACAGGGCTCTGCTGCCCTGCACAGTCTTAGGACACTACTCCTCACATCCAGTACTGCTCCAGCTCCAGCCTCGGCTCAAAGTGGCTGAGGTTCAACTTGGGCTTATTTGTGGAGGGGGCAACTTGCCATGAGCTTTGGTGGCTTTTACATGGTGTTAAGCCTGCAGGTAGACAGAGGGCAAGTGTGAAGGAGATTTGGCACCCTAGATTTGAAAGGATGTATGAGAAAGCCTGAGTGTCCAGGCAGAAGCCTATTACAAGGGCAGCACACTCACAGAAAACCTCTACTAGGGCAGTGTGGATGGGAAATGTAGGGTTTGATGCCCCACACAGAGTTCCCATTGAGGCACTGCCTAGGGGAGCTGTGGGAAGAGGGCCACTGTTCTACAGACCCTGTAATGATAGATCCACAAGCAACATGCACACTGCACCTGGAAAAGCTGCAGGCACTCAACCACTTGTGAAAACAGTCTCTGGGGTTATACCCTGCAAAGCTACAAAGGTGGCGATGCCCAAGGCCTTGGGAGCCCACCACTTGTACCATTGGGCCCTAGATGTGGGACATGGAGTAAAAGGTGATTATTTCAGAGATTTGAGATTTAAGGACTACCCTGCTGGGTTTCAGACTTGCATGAGACCTGTTGCCCCTTTCTTTTGGCCAGTTTCTCCCATTGGAAACAATAATATTTACCAAATGCTTGTACCCCCATTGTGGAAGTAAATCACTTGGTTTTGATTTTACAGGCTCACAGGTAGAAAGGACTTCCTTTGTTTCAGACGAGAGTTTGGATTTTTGTGTTCATGCTGGAATGAATTAAGACTTTGGAGGGTTAATGGAAAGGCACTATTGTATTTTGAAATGTTAGAATGACATGAGATTTGGGACGGGCCATGGGAGGAATGTGTGTCCCTGCCCAAATCTCATATTAAAATGTAATCCCCAGTGTTGGAGGTGGAGCCTGGTGGGAGGTGATTGGATCATGGGGGCAGATTTCTCATGAATGACTTAGCACCATCCCCCTTGGTACTGTCCTCATAATAGTAAGTGAGATCTCATGATATCTAGTCAGTTAAAAGTGTGTTGCGCCTCCCCCTTCTCTCTCTTGCTCTTGGTTTCACCATGTGATGTGCCCGCTCCCCCTTTACTTTCTGCCATGATTGTAAGCTTCCTGAGGCCTCCCTGGAAGCTGAGAAGCTGCCAGCATTATTCTTCCTGTAAAGCATGTGGAACATGAGCCAATTAAAACTCTTTTCTTTATACATTACCCAGTCTCAGGTATTTCTTTATAGCAATGCAAGAATGGACTAATATAATGTACAATAGACTTCTTGAACTTACTTCTCCTAACTGACATTTTGTATCCTTTGGGCAACATCTCCCAATTGCCCAGACCCACTCCTGGTAACCACCCCATCATCTGCTTCTATAATTTCAACATTTTTAGTTTCCACATATAAGTAATGTCATGTGACCATCTTTCCAAATTTTTTTTAAATAAATGAGTTGTGAGATTCTCCAAAGTTAATCAATACCTTAACTTTTAATCCCCTGTACTGGCAGAATCTATAAACTATATATATTTATGTGTGTGGATGCACCGTATAGGTGTGTGTGTGTGTATATATATATGTATTTAATAGTGATATTTTGTAGAGAAGGGAAGCTGTCTTGATTACCTCAATAATCTCATTCTCTAGGAGAGTGTCCTATTTTTTTTTTTAATTTGCTTAACATTTGCCAAATATCTACTATACACCTGGCAACATGTTAGGTATTTTAGAAGTACTCAGACATGCTATTGAATAAATGAATGAATAGACCCTCAGTGTATCATGCTACCAATATTTTCATTGAAATTTCAGAACTTAGTTCAACTAAAGAGGCTTTGTAAATGTTATATTATAAAGTAGTAGGAAATTTGATTTGAAATATATTTTAGAGTGTTTAGCTTTTATAGTAAAATTTTCTACACTACACTAGATCTTAGCCAAAAGTCTGAGAAGTGATTATTTAGTAAAGTTTTCTACATGACAAAAATCTAACCATTTACATTTTAGAAAATGTAGCCAATAGGTTAAAACTGAGAGCAGAAAAAATCACTCATATTTCAACACCTAGAAACAATCTTTTTTAATATTTAAAGTATTTCTCTAGTCTTCTTGCATGCATATTGTCATTTCATGATTATCAATATATAAGCAATCCTTCACTCTTCGGTTTCAATATCTCCATCTGGCATTTTTTTTTTTTGGAAGATATATCTCCTGTAAAATGAAAAAGAACTGTGCCAGGCATAGTAAAGTATACCTAAGTTTTTAAAAATTGGCATAGAGGAATAGAGTGTACTTTTTTATATACCTTATATGTTTTGAATATTTATAATGGAATGGATTTCCATCTCTTAATTCTGGTATGATTTCATGCCTATTTTATATCTGGGGAATGGACTGATTAGCTCAGAAGGTCCCTGCCAGTCTGTGGGTTTTAGAACCTTCAGCAAGCACTGTTTGTGTTTGCCCCAATATCTTGATAAACAGAAATCCTACTCAACACCAATTGTTGTGTGATCTTAGACACATTTGGCAAATTCAAGCTTCCAATAAGTTTTCAGAGTTTCTGACCTTGAGTTTCAGGGCTTGTCGGTCTTTTATGAGGACTCTATCAGGCCAAATACAAACATATTAACATCAGGGAAGAGGAGCCATGAGAAGCAATGTTGAACAGCATTGTGCCATTTTCTGAGGTAGAAATAAGATCGCAATGAAAGCAAGGAAGATATTGCAGTGAGGCCTGATTTAAAAAGGTAATAGTTATTAAATGAAGAGGAAAAATTGAGTGTAACAGCCATAAGAAGCAGGCTAAGTTTTCTTTTGATGGTAGCTTTTTACATTTGTCAAGTAAAAATCAATTGCTTTGAGCTCTATTCCCTTCCCCCAAATATTCTTAGTCTCTGTTGCTATATTCAAAATGCTGAATATACAAAGAAAGAAAAAAACAGCAACAATTCACATAATACACCAAACTAATTTCATTTTGAGGGTGAACTGAATTGGAAAAATCTCATTTTCTTAAGAAAACTATGTATCTCATAAAGTCTTTATGTGCTTTGGAGGAATATGCCTTTGCCCAAAGGAGATGCTTGTGCCTTGTCTGGGGAGGTAGTGAGAGAGAAAGAAAGAAGAATAAAAAAGAAAACGACTTTTTTCCCTACAAATAAAGCGCAAAGGGCTAGACATTTTAATTCCTTCATTTTCCCATTATTTCTTGGTTGATCAATCAGTTTCCCCAAGCAGACTTCACTTTTCTGCTTTTCTCTTGCCTCTGCCTATGCAAATTGCAACCTGCTTTTAATTATACAAGGTGCACTCTCACCAACTGATGATAATGGAGTGAAAATAGGAAGTGCATTAAGCAGCTTCAGTGGGATTTTATATGCACCGTAATGACCTTTCAATATGAATTCATAGTGAGGAAAGGATTTATATTTTTCATATTGTATAGGAAGTTGTTCTTTGTTATAAGACGTCACTTGCAATCCCTAGTGACATTTGAATAAAGGTGTAAAAATGTCGTATTTTACCATTGACACATCCCGTCTGTTCTCTCTTGTCATGGGATAAGGGGCTTTTTCATGCATATATATGACAGCTCAAGATGTACTTTCAATTGGGTTTTCTTTCCTTGAGTTATTAAATATTCAGGATGTTCATTATGCACCAGAGCCTGAATAATATAATATTAGTGGGAAACCTTTGTGGGAGCTTTTATTACCATTATTAATATTAATCTTGTGTGCTGCACTCATTTTTCTACTTTGCAAACATAAATGTCAATAGAATAAGTAAACCACACCTGTCACCCACCTCCATAGGTAAGGGCAAAAAAAAGAAGCTTTAGAGTGAAAACAAGAACATTTTTTACCTCACTTTTTCAAACAGTAAAAGAGGGGCAATGGGAACCCATCTATCCGATTTCTGCTCCTAAAGAGAGCAAATTTGGTAGGTGGGAAAATTAAAGTTCGAGAAGTGAGAAAAGTTCCCAATGTAAAATATGGTGAAAGTAGAAGAGATTGCACTGAAACCCAAGGAAGGCTTCTGTATTCCCCAGACAAGGCATCTTCCGCTATTTCATACTGCTTTGAGAAAGTTGAATAAAAGTCATTGCTGTCTCTGCTGTTCAATTAAACTTGAGTTCTGGAAAGTCAGTAACTATATTCAAGCTTTATTTTGTTCAGAATCCAAACCTTGATTATGTCATATAATTGAAAATAATAACTATCTTGTATAGAATCAAAATAATATCTAATGTTTGAGATGCACTCTGCAGCTTATCAATGTGCTCACATATATTTTTCCAACAGCGCCTGCTAAATGCATGCATAAATACGTGATTGAAAGTCCTAATCTAGTTTTGTGAGTCACATGCTAATAGTGTGGTAGAACAGTCTGCAACAGAATAGATTCCTCAGCATGGCATAGAAAGGCTTTCTTGATTTAGCTCCTCCTCATTTTCTGGCCTCTCCTCAATACTCTTTCTTTCCAATGATCATTTGTGATCATTCACATGGCATTACCTTCTGTTCTACATTAAAATGCATTTGTTCATGCTTGGCCTGTGCTCATGCTGCATTGTTTTCTATGAACATTTCTGTTATGACTTAATGAAGAATTTGCCCTCTTTTCCCCATTCATATGTTATTTCTCTGTTCAGATTTCAGTTCTTTCAAGAAAGCACCTCTGATACATCTCAAGTATATATTGTGATCCACCTGAGAGCTATTAGCACCTTATTTTGTAATTATCATCTATTCTTTCTGTAAGCTACTTAAGAGCAAAACTTTATGTATTATTCAAGCACTTAGTCTCCTGTGCCTATGGGTATTCAGTGAAGAGTTTTGGAATAAACAAAAATCAAATTACTTGTTGAAATATCACTAGTGACAAAGATAATAAGGTCAAACATTTTGACTCTGCATCTCCCCATTTTGTGCAGTGTGGTGTGTTGGGAAGCCTAGTATCTTTGGAACAATACAGAGACATTGACATTCATTCTCACTGTAACATACCCAACAGAGTCTGTTTCTTAATCAGCAAGATTCTGAAAACACTCTGATGAGGTTAATGGAAAAAATGAAATGGAATAATGCATGTGGTTTTTCTGGCATAGGAAATGCTCCACACACGTTAGCTATTACAATACTTTCTTTCCCCTGTCCCTTCAATGTTGATCCTCTTCAGGCTCACACCAAGAGTCCCCTTCCTCTCTCTGTGTGTGCATTGACCTTGACCAATTCATCCATCTCATGCCTACAATGGCCATCCTTCTGATCATGGCTCCCAGATCCTTCTCCGGATTTCATTTCTCTCTCAACTCCTTTCCCTTCATGTCCCCAGAGAACTTTAAAACTTTTGGCTGGGCGCAGTGGCTCAGGCTTGTAATCCCAGCACTTTGGGAGGCCGAGGTGGGCAGATCACCTGAGGTCAGGAGTTTGAGACCAGCCTGACCAACATGGAGAAACCCTGTCTCTATTAAAAATACAAAATTAGCCGGGCATGGTGGCGGGCGCCTGTAATCCCAGCTACTCAGGTGGCTGAGTCAGGAGAATCACTTGAACCTGGGAAGCAGAGGTTGCAGTGAGCTGAGATCGCACCTTTGCACTCCAGCTTAGGTAAGAAGAGCGAAACTCCGTCTCAAACAAACAAACAAACAACAACAACAAAAAACTTTCAGGTTGGTATAATCAAGAGGCTAAGAATCTCTTTACCACACTTGTATAAATATTCATATGTGTTCCCTTGAAAAACATTGATATATTTATTAAACAGGGTGCTGTCTCAGACTCTGATGGAAGTGTGCTGTGATAAATGGAATGTGGACTGTGTGTTGAATTATGTGTTAAGAATTTTGAAAAGGCAACATGAACTTAATACCTCTTTATTAGGTTGTTATGGTGATCAAATTGAGTTAATACATGTAAAGTAATTAGAACTATGACTGGCACATTATAAGGAATGAATAGATTTTAGTTTTTATTATGATATCCAAAGCTGAAGTAATTATATGCTTTCCCAATGTTACTATTTTTCACGTGTTTTCTACCTCAGATTTTGAAACTTCTAGTTTCTTTGCTTCTTAATTTATACATTAGTAATTCAACATTAATGCTTCCCACTCTAAACCCTAACCCCATCCAATCAATCACAAAACCAGGCCAGCTCTACCACCTTAATATTTTTTCAATGTTTTTATATGTTTAATTTCTACAGCTATCTTTTCTCCATCAATACTCCCATCCCTAAGTTCAGGCCATATTACAGCATAGTTTTTAAACATTTTTTAAACTAAAAATTTAATTCACACATGCTAAAAAGTTAGAGAAGAACAGAAAAGTGAGAAAATGTGTTTCTCCTACCCTATGTCTCCAGTCCCCCTTTCCAGGGGCAGCTACTAGAATTGTTTGAGTATTGTACTACAGGGTCTCTCTCTCTCTCTTTCTCTCTCGCTCTCTGTCTCACACAGACACACACACACACACCCACATGCATACACACACATTGTATATGACTTCTGTGTTTTTCTGTGTTTTACACAGGAACACTTTATTTTTGTCTTAAAATATTAATTTTTTCCTACCAGTACATGCAAGCTCTTCACCTTTCCTATATGTCTGTGGAGGCTCCCTTGTTGAATCCTAAATTTCTTTTGTCTTGTACTTCATTAACACTTTATTTTACTTTAGATCCAGGGGTACATGTACGAATTTGTTATATGGGTATATTGTGTGATGCTGAAGCTTGAGCTTCTAATGATTCAATTACCCAGGTAGTGAGCATAGTACCCGATAGGTAGTTTTGCAATCCTTGATTCCACTTCCCTTTTGCGGCCTTCTAGTAGTCCCCAGTGTCTATCATTGTCATGGATATGTCCATGAGTACCTGATATTTAGATCCCCCTTATACGTGAGAACATGTGTTATTTGGCTTTCTGTTCCTGAATTAATTCACTGAGGATAACGGCCTCCAGCTGGATCCAGGTGTTGCAAAGGACATGATTTCTTTCTGTTTGGTATTTCCTGGTAAATACCAAAAAAAAAATGTACCACATTTTCTTCATCCAATCCACCATTGATAGACACCTAGGTTTATTCCATGTCTTCGCTATTTTGAAGTACTGTGATGAGCATGCTAGTACATGTGTCTTTTTAGTAGAATTATTTGTTTTCTATTGGATATATACCCAGAAATGGAATTGCTGGGTCGAACGGTAGTTTGGTTTTCAGTTTTGTTGAGAAATCTCCAAACTACTTTACACAGTGGCTGAACTAATTTACATTCCCACCAATAGAGTACAAGTGTTCATATGGACTTTTGAATGAGCTTGCCCATACTCCTCATCTTCTTATAATGAATCTGGTTAATGGATTTATGCAAATCCCATGAAATTCCCCAAATGATTTTGGAATAATTGTGATCTTTATACGATTAGTTCTTTCTAGCTAAGAAAGTAAATTATTTTCATAGCCAAGACTTGTTTAAACTCCTGGATAGTTTTTCTGCTTTATTGTTATTAAAAATAAAATATTTTACTATAATTTATAATTGCTCTATTTGCATGTAAGGATGTTAGCAGATAATACATTTTGTAACTAGATTAATTAAAAATTATCTTAGAGCTTTTAATAATCCTTTGACCACCTCTCAGTTTTATTTCTTCACATCTTTTGTCAGTTTCATTCCTGAAAGCCTGCAGTAAAAGGCATGGGAGAAATCCACTGTAGGTAAACTGCTACATATGTAAGGGAAAGTGCCACTTTTTTCAGGCAAAACTGTCCTTAAAGCAACATTGCAAATTGGTAAAACGAGTGTAATGATATGCATCTGCAACTACATATTTATTTTCATTTCCTGCACCTAAACCCATCACAAAATAACATGGATTTACTATATCCAATACCCAACTCATATTTATAGACAATTCCACTCCCTCCCTTTCTAATCTAATCTTTTGTTGCTGTCATGCATTCTTCCAAATCGCTCCTTGGATATCCCTCTGAAATGCCATTACCTCAATCACATTTTGGTCTGCTAATTAATTTTTGGGTTTATTTTCTTGTTATAAAATCACTACTATAAGGTGACACCCCTATTGTCATTGCAATTAGAAGGAAAGCCTGCACAATTTAGCCTGTATTTAAATATAAATTTTTTTTCAAGATAATTCTTTAAGGTGGCTCTTTTCACTCCTGAATCTGAAAAAATGCAAATATCCTCCAATTCCCTGGCTTCTTCTCCCTATTTTGTTTACCTTACTATATTTTCAATATGTACATTTCCCTAATTTATTGACATCTCTGTTATGTATTTTAATGAACATTACTAACAACTGCTCCAACCTAATCTTTACTTCCATTGATCACTAGCGCCCAATGAATATTTTCAGCTGATAGACATGTAATTTTTTGAAATATCATTATATTAACTTTTTAAAAATAAGATCATCTTTTCTCTTTCATTTACTTTTTTAAACATAAAATTACATGTCGCTGCATATTATTGTACTCTTTCTGTTAGTGTTTGTCTAATACTTACTTTCTTAATATTTTTCCTTCTACATTTCTGTCAACTTCACCAGGATATATCCACAATTTTTTTGAAATTCAGCATTTTTCTTTCTTGGACCTAGTGCTCTCATTCTACCTTTTGATGTACATTTTATTTTATTTAAAGCAAATGTCATTATTATATATTTAAATATATTTTATTATTGATCTATATCATTTTATTCTGGAACAATTCATGTGGAGACATTATATATTGTCTCATCTCTTTCCTTGCTACCATGTAAGCCATTCTCTACACTGAATCAAGAATGATCTTTCTAAAATATAAACATATAAGTCATAGAGAATAGAGACAACTTAATTTGAATGAAATGAAACAGATGTATTGGAAACTAAGAAAGAAGAAGTGATTAAAAAAAAGAACCTAGAAGCCCTTGAAATCTGGATTGAGATGTTCTGCATTTATGTGGTCATAGAAACCACTGGAAGGAGTTAACTGGGAAGCATTCTCAAAGCAAAACCACAGGAAGAACAAGCTGGTGTCAGTATAGAGGACAGGCAGAGAACCAGGACCCAAGGAGAGAGAAGAGGTCAGATTATTCAAAGGTGGAAAGAAACTAACACTATTTTGGAAGACTTAAATCAATAATGAAAGCCTTCATTTGTAGATTTTTGTCAAAAAATCGAGAACAAAAGTTCCCATTGAACAATAAAAATCTTATCTAACTTGAATAAATGTCCTGTTTTTTGTTTACTGAATTGTTCTAATACAAAGGCTCTATTTTCTATGAAAAAAAACAAAAAACAAAAAAACAAAAACAAAAAGAAAACCACATTTTCACTTTATTTTGCCTAAAACATTCTTCAGAAGTTGGTAACTGAAAGAAAATTATTCACATTATTAACTATGTATTCTTCACAATCTCAAATATTTGAGATGAAAAGCATATTGAGATGAAAGGAGAAAAGAAAATGTGGTTAAGTTGAACAAAAAATTTCTTTTTATTTTTTATGACAGTTCTAGTCACCGACTATAAATTATTGAACTTTATTTTCTAAAGCATTCATTTTTTTCTATTTCTCTGAGATGAACTTTTTTTAAATTTTATTTTAAAATGTGTTGGTGAATTCAGTATAACATATAAATGAAGACTTAGCAGTAATTGGGGATTGAAAACCATGAGTTTGTATCCTAGCTCCCTACTTCTAATTCCATGACCAAGCTTAATTCATTTAGAAAATTTTTGAAACAAAATTTTTAAAGTAAATTTTAATAAGGTACCATATGTAAGAAATAAGTTTATTGCTTGGGTCAATTAAATTAAAATTAGCACAATTTAATTAAGTGAATGTAATGAAATGAACAAACCTTTATTGACAGCCTGATGATTAACAGGGATTTAAATTCAATTGGAAAGGTGCACGCACTACCATCACCGCCACATGTCTCATGCCCTCTGATCCAGGGTAAACAAGGTGTTGTAGGACTTTTCCTCAGTTCAGCTAAATACGGGGTTTTTGTCCATCCCATGGCCATGAAAATTTAGGCTCCCAGACAGTTTAAAGAATGAGTAAAGTAGGTTTTTATTGGGTGAAAAGTTAAAAAAAAAAGGGGGAAACAGGGACTCTGACAAGGCCAGACTCCCTCCGCTAGAGGGCTTCTGGTTGGGCAGTTTAAATCCCAGGTTTCACGCAGGAAGAGGAGGGGCCAGGCTCCTCCCCACTGCAAAAGGTGTGTGAACTTCCTGAGGCTCCACTTCAGTGGGCAGGCTGGTTGGAGTTTCTTTAGGAACTCCCTTCCCATCTGGCTGTCTCATTCTCCCATCTAAAGAAGTATATCTAACTGCTGTTAGATTAAGGAAAAGGACAAAGACAGATCTTAACTCCTTCCTGCTGACTGGGGGTGCTGTTTTGGAGAAACGGCAGTTAGAGCTCCCTCACAGGCCTGTGTAAGGGTTCCCAGCAGGAGGGGCCATCCTCTGAGCCTCCGTTTGCATGATCATTTGGAGTTTGATGGCCTGAAGGCAGGAACAGACAGACAAACTAGGTTATTAGAAAACATGTATTAAAACAAAACAGAGGGAGGGGTAAGAACAGCTCAAAAATCCTGAGGCCTTTTACCAGTTTGCATGGGGAGAGGGAGGGCAAAAGCCTGACTGGTAAAAAAACTTCACCCTTTTGCCATCTTATTGGGCTCTTGAGTTCCTTTCCCCTGAGCCCAATCCTAAGCCAACCAGTTTAAGGTTTGGGAAATTAACTCTTTCCAGTTTGGAGGATGCAGCTGAGGGGGGTGTCCCATAGTATAGAGATACAATTACCTGTCAGTGAAGAGAGGACAGAGGAGGAGAGAGGAAAAAAGAAAGGATTTTTTAAAAGGAGTCACAGGGATTCAGGATGCATTTGAAAGGGGTACACACTGAAGATGAATGGCTACCCATCTAGAAAGAGGGGAGAAGGCATCCTTGGTTCCCTTCTCTTCCTAGCAGATACCCCTTCTCTTCCTAGCAGATACCCAGGGTATGTGAGGGAGAGAGGAAGGAGCATTCTCTTTCCATCTTCCATCCTTGTATCCCCAAGTTCCAGTGAACTTGGCAGGTCTCCCCATAATTGCCAAAGCGGTTTGTACCCATGAAGCAGGGAGGGCCTGGAAAATAAAAATTATCACTCTCACCTATTCCTCTGAGCCCTGTACTGTTAGTAGCCTTGGAATTCCCTAGATCTCATTTATGCCTTTGGTACTAATGAGGCCTTTATCCATGAAACAGGAAGCTTGGGCTTGGCTTAATTGACAGAAATCATCCATACTCACCTGTGCTGTGCCTTTTAACCTCTGTTGTCATTTGCCTCTAGATCCCTTAGATCCAGTTTTCTTTTCTAGGGCTTTGACCCAAAGCTTGGAATTGAGTCTGGGACAAAAACGTGTCTCTCAGGGTGTTGGATGGACTCGTTATCATAAACCAAATGCTAAGCAGAAACTGTGGAACTGAGTCCTCCTCCAACAAGGGAGAAGAAAGGATATTTTGTGACACATCCAGATAAATGGAAGCTAGCTATAGTTAGGCTTGCTACGATTTGGGTGCATGGTGCTTGGCTTTGGTTAGTTCCCTTAGTTTTACTTTCCCAACAAGGAAACCACTGGGTGATGGACACCCTATTTATTCTATCACCTGGCAGGATTTGCAAGATAATTGCTCAGAACTAGAATATTGATCCGGATTTCTACATTACCAATTCATTTTGCTCTTTCTGAGCTGCACCCAGGGATTGCTGGTTGGTTTACAGGAACAAGCAGGGTAGTCTAAAATGTAGGTGAAAACTTAAAAACAACTAGTAAATTTAGAATTTAGTGGCAAATGTATGATAAGTTTTGGAACATAATTTATCTCTCTCCAGTCCTCATTTTTGTTAAAAAAATAAAAAATTATGATAAGGGTTTCCTCCAACCTCAGAAGTCTGAGGATGAAAAGTCTTAGAAGCAACAGTGAGGTTTTGAGTCTCCATTTTACTCGCTTTTGGAGTCCCCACATTGTGTACCAAAAATGTTGCAGGACTTTTCCTTAGTTCATCTGAAGACTGGGTTCTTGTCCTCCCCACAGCTGTTAAAATGTAGGCTCGCAGATGGTTTAAAGAGTGAGTAAAGCAGGGTTTCACTGGGTTTTTAAAAGGGGAAAAAAGGGGGGAAACAGGGACTCTTGCAAGGCCAGAGTCCCTCTGCTAGAGCACGTCCCACCAGGCAGTTCGAATCCCAGGTTCCACACAGGAAGAGAAGGGGCCAGGCTCTTCCCCTCTGCAAAGGGTATGAACTTCCTGAGGCTCCACCTTAGTGGGCAGGCTGGTTGGAGTTTCTCCAGGGTCCCTATCCCAACTGGCTGTCTCAAAATCAGTACTAGCCAGGTGGCTTTCACGATCAGCTTTCCAATTTATCATAATCCTGGATCTCCTAGAATTGATTATAGTCATGGATGCCAACTTATACTTACTAATCTCACACTAAAAATACCCATAAGAGAATAAAATATGAATGTGCATGTCAATTAATTCATCTACCCTGAGTAATATAACTGTCAAGAAAGCCAGAACCTTGTGTCAATCTTACCAGAAGTTTTTCTTCCTAAAGGCAAATTATTTTGGAAACTAAACAACATAAAGACACTAGGTAAAAATGAAATCAAAGATAATTACTATGTCTCACATATAAAAAGGCATTTTAATGCCTTTAGTTTCCCAGAAAAACTAGAATATAAAAGGTAAAATTAACCATTAGATAATGTGTGTAAAGACCTGCAATATGTAATTATTTAGCATTTCCCAAAGCTTTATATTTTTATTTCTAGCAGTGACAAACGGATACAATTTGATAACGACATAATAGCATGGTGTGGTCACATAGTGGTTGAACATATGTGTTTTGATGTCAGACACCTGTCTGACCTATATTGTAGATCAGTATTCTAGAGCTAGAATTTGTTAATTGGAGGATTTTGGATAAGTTTCTCTATCTCCCCAAGCTTCACTTTCCTTATTCACAAAATGAAAAAAAAAAAAATACAAAGATGAGTCTTAGTTTACTGTCAGGTTTAAATGATGTATGTAGCTTCTAATTTTCCACCACCGCATTTGACATGTAGTAATTGGTCAACATAGTTACTGAACACATGGTTATCTGTGATGTCATAACAACTAGTGGACATGCTTTCAAGTAGGACATATGACCTGAGAGATGGATAGTTTATCATCGAAGAATACAATGTGGAGCTGTACTTATGGGGCTCAGGCTCATAGACTCTGAGGTCTGGAAGTTGAAAATGACTTACAAGTCAATTTTAAGCACCTTTACAAATGAGCCTTGGGTTACAGGATTGTTTTTTGTATTTATGCTGATTTTGTGTGTATTCAGTGTGCAAACCTAACCTTTCTTATATTCTTTAAAAAGGAGCTGTGATGTGAGTCAATTCAATTTACTAAGCATCAGAGCGTCCTGTTATCTAGCATGACAGTCACAAAGGGGAATGAAGCAAGGGCTCTGCCTTAAAAGGAGATCTTTAATCAGAAATGATAGTAATACACTGTGAGATTGAAATAACAAGAGTAGGCACAGGGTTTTTTGCACACAAAGAGAAGAGTGGAAAAATCTTGTGAGCGGAAATAATAAAAACTTATTACTTTAGGAGTTTAATGGATCTGAAAAAAAAAAAAAAAAACAGTCTTTGAGGAAAAACCAGGAGCTGACATTATGTGAGATTTCAAGGATACCCAAAAGCTCACTTGAGTAGAGTCTTGTTTGGGACTCAGCATACTGAGTGGGGTAAGCTGTAAAGAGGCCAGACCCTAAAGGACCTTAGATACCATATGCTGAAGATTGGGAGGACGTTTGGGAGAAGCGGGAATGACAAGTAAGCTTGGGAGCCATGGTGTGCCGAGCTCACCAGTGGAGCACAGTTTGCACGCCATGCAGCATGCCAGCTTCGGAAGATTTTCTCACTGTGAGTATGGAGGTGTTTTTTTTCACCTATGTGTAACCTTTATGTTCAATAGAAAGAAATAAGAAACGGGAAATAAAACTTCGTAAATGTGTGTTCCAGTACTCAGATCCCTACTAATACCCTTGGGAAAGTCACTATGGGAGTCAAAGAAGAATGATCATTACATCCACCTACTGGTACAAAAGATCACATTTCATTCCATCTAAAATAGGTGAAATAAATTTAAAAATTCGAATCATTTAAAATGGCAGTAAACAAATGCAAGTAATAATGACTGTCCCCCCAAAAAAGAAATATGAATCACTTCAAAGTTTTATCTTTTTGGAGTATAACATCAAGGTACTTTAAAGCACTTGGAGGTTTATCCGCACATAAATATGAACAGCTAAAGAAGAACAGCACGTTTCAATGGGTATTGTGAAAACAATGAATTTCCAAAACAAAGGGTAAGGTAAAGGCAAATAATATTCCCCAATACACGATTTCTAACGTTCCTAAAGTAGCACTAATTTGGATATGTTCAATATTTTTAAGCATCTTTACATATGTTTATAATTTGTCTGACATTCTAGATGGACATCAGACAACCTCCACTGAATCCTAACCAGAACCTATGAGGCTACTGAAAAGTTGTGCGATCCTGCATAACTTCTGTCACGCCTGAAAACCTCAGGACACTGAACTTCTCATCTGGAAAAAAATAAAACTTTTTACCTATAAAGTTGGGAGGATTAATTAAGACAGTACATGTACTGTATAATATTTAACCCAGGGTCTTGTGTATACCTGTTAAGCAAAAAACATATATGGTATTTTTATTATAATTTATTTCATGTTATTTAATTATCAAATATCAAGCAAGAAATGTTTTATTATAGCATGTTTTAGATAAGAAAACTGAAGCTCAGGAAGGCCAAATGTTTTTTTTTCAGTTTCACAGCAGTGCTAAAACCAGAAACCATTGCTCTGATTCTATACCTAGAACTGCCCTCGCTCTCTTAGACAGACTGAGGAGGTGGGTCATTTGCCTTCAGTGGAAGACCTCTTTCACAAAGCCAATGTGCTACAATGGGGATGTGCAGATATTCATGCATGTCCCTCCAAGACTTAGCATCCTGAAGACCCACCTGTTGGTCAGTATTTCTTATTTTGCTAATGCCAAAACATTTTGACATTTCCAATTCATGTCATCTGACTCTAAAACTCAAACTTACATTTCAAAATAAATTTTATTTAGTCCCACATAAAAAAGTACCATATAAATCTAAAAAACAAAGCACAAACACAAGTGCAGAAAAAAAATGCCATATCATGACTAATAGAAATGAGTTTTATTTATCAGCTGAAGGAGCTCTTGGGCTGAGACTACGGGATTTTCCAGATACAGAATCATGTCATCTGCAAACAGCAATAGTTGGACTTCCTCTTTTCCTATTTGGATGCCTTTTATTTCTTTCTCTTGCCTTATTGCTCTGTCCAGGGCTTCCAATACTCTGATGAATAGAAGTGGTGAGAAAGGGCATCCTTACCTTGTGCCAGTTTTCAAGGAGAATGCTTCCAGTTTTTGCCCGTTCAGTATGACGTTGGCTGTGAGTTTATCATAGACGGCTCTTATTATTTTGAGGTATTTTCCTTCAATACCTAGTTAATTGAGAATTTTTAACATGAAGGGATGTTGAATTTTATTTAAGGCCTTTTCTGCAACTATTGAGATAATTGTGTTTTTGTCTTTAGTTGTTTACGTGATAAAAAACATTTATTGGTTTGCATATGTTGAAACAACCTTGCATCCCGGGGATGAAGCCTATTTGATTGTGGTGGATTAGCTTTTTGAGGTGCTGCTGGATTTGATGTGACAGTATTTTGTTGAGGATTTTTGTGTCAATGTTCATCAAAGATATTGGCTTGAGGATTTATTTTTTGTTGTGTTTCTGTCACATTTTGGTATCAGGATGATGCTGCCCTCATAGAATAAGCTGGGGAGGAGTCTCTCATTTTCAATTTTTTTTAGAATAGTTTCAGTGGGAATGATACAAGAAGACCTGGCTCTTCTTGTACATCTTGTAGAATTCGTCTGTGAATCCATCTGGTCCTGGGCTTTTTTTGGTTGGTAAGCTATTTATTACTGATTCAACTTGGGAACTTGCTGTTGGTCTATTCAGGGAATCAATTTCTTCCTTGAAATTCAATCTTGGGAGAGTGTATGTGTCCAGGAATTCATGCATCTCTTCTAGGTTTTCTAGTTGTGTGCACAGAGGTGTTTGTAGTAGTTTCTGACAGTTTTTATTTCTGTTGGGTCAGCGGTAATATCCTCTTTGTCATTTCTAATTGTGTTTATTTGGATCTTCTCTCTTTCCTTCTTAATTAATCTAGCTAGCAGACTATCTATCTTATTAAGTATTTGAAAAAAACAGCTATTGAATTTGTTGATCTTTTGAATATTTTATTGTGTCTCTGTATGCTTAGTTAAGCTCTGATTTTGGTTATTTCTTGTCTTATGCTAGCTTTGTGTCTGATTCATTCTTGCATCTCTATTTCTTTCAGTTGTTGTTAGGTAGTTAAATCGAGGTAGGTCTCAGGATACAAAATCAATGTTCAAAAATCACTAGAATTCGTATATACCAGCAACAGCCAAGCCAAGGGCCAAAGCAGAAAGACAATCCCATTCACAATTGCCACAAAAAGAGTAAAATACCTAGGTATACAGCTAAACAGGGAGGTTAAAGATCTGTACCATCAGAATTACAAAACACTGCTGAAAGAAATTAGAAGAGACAAACGGGAAAACATTCTATGCTCATGAATAGGAAAAATCAAGATTATTAAAATCACCATATTGCCCAAAGTAATTTACAGATTAAATGCTATTTCTATCAAACTACCAATGAAATTCTTCACAGAACTAAAAAAAAAAAACAACTATTTTAAAATTAATACAGAACCAAAAAAGAGCTCAAATAGCCAAAGCAATACTAAACAAAAAGAACAAAGCTGGAGGCAGCACATTACCCAAGTTCAAACTATGCTACAGGACTACAGTAACCAAAACAGCATGGTACTGGTACAAGAAAAGACACATTGACCAGTGGAACAGAATAGAGAGCTTAGAAACAAGGCTGCACATCTATGACCATCTGACAAAAACAAGTGATGGGGAAAAGACTTCCTATTCAATAAAAGGTGCTAGGATAACTGGCTAGCTGTATGCAGAAGATTGAAGCTGGGCCCCTTCCTTTCGCCATATACAAAAATCAATTCCAGATGGGTTAAATACTTAAATTTAAAATGAAAAACTATAAAAACTCTGGGAGAAAACCTAGGCAATACCATCTTAGTCATAGGATTGGGCAAAGATTTCAAGACAAAGACACCAAAAGCAATTGCAACAAAAGCAAAAATTGGCAAGTGGGATCTAATTAAACTTAGGAGCTTTTGCACAGCAAACCAAACTATCAACAGAGTAGACAGATAACCTGCAGAATGGGAGAAAACACTTGCAAACTATGCATCTGACAAAGTTCTAGTATCCAGTATCTGTAAGGAACTTAAATAGGCGATACAATCTTAGACATAGGATTGAGCAAAGATTTCAAGACAAAGACACCAAAAGCAATTGCAACAAAAGCAAAAATTGACAAGCGGGATCTAATTAAACTTAAGAGGTTCTGCACAGTAAACTAAACCTTCTACAGAGTAGACAGATAACCTACAGATTAGGAGAAAACACTTGCAAGATATGCATCTGACAAAGTTCTAGTATCCAGCATCTGTAAGGAACTTAAACAAATTTAGAGGAGAAAAACAAATAACCCCATTAAAAAGTGGGCAAAGGACATGAACAGACACTTCTCAAAAGAAAACATACATGCAACCAACAAGCATATGAAACAAAGCTCAATATCACTGAGCGTTAGAGAAATGATAATCAAAACCACAATGATACCATCTCACACCACTCAGAATGGCCATTATTAAAACGTCAAAAACTAACAGATACTGACAAGCTTATGGAGAAAAGGGAACACTTATACAATGTTGGTGGGAGTGAAAATTAGTTCAACCATTGTGGAAAGCAGTATGGCAATTCCAAAAGAGCTTAAAGCAGAACTACCATTTGACCCAGCAGTCCTATTACTGGGTATACACCCAGAGGAATATATATCCTTCTACTATGAAATGCTTGCATGCTAATGTTCACTGCATTGCTATTCACAATAGCAAGAACATGGAATCAACCTAAATGACCATCAGTGGTAGACTGGATAAAGAAAATATGATATTTATACACCATGAAATACTATGCAGTCATAAAAAAAAGAATGAAATCATGTCTTTTGCAAGAACATGGATGGAGCTGGAAGCTATTACCCTCAGCAAACTAATGCAGGAACAGAAAACCAAATACTACATTTTGGCTTATAAGTGGAAGCTAAATGAAGAGGACTCATGAATACAAAGAAGAGAACAACAGACACTGAGATCTACTTGAGAGTGGAGGGTGGTAGGAGGAAGAGGGTCAGAAAAAATAACTGTTGGGTACTAGGTTTAATACCTGGGTGCTGAAATAACCTGTACAACAAAGTTGTGTGACATGAGTTTACTTATATAACAAACCTTCACATGTATCCCCAAACCTAAAATAAAAGATAAAAAATAAAAGGAAAATCAGTAGGGTTTTATTAAAACAGCAGGCACTCAGAGACCAGCGCAGGCTTAATTACAGTTTCAGTAGCATTTGCTTTAATTGGAAGAATAAAAGAAGTGAAGTGGAGTGAATGAAGAAATTAGCATATCTATCACTGTTGTCACATTGTACTGTTTGCTTCTTCCTGTCTCTGAAGCTGCGCTGAACCCTGGAAAAAAATGTGGCATGGCAATCAGCAAATCCTCAGGCTCCACCTTTGTGAAATTCTAATTAAAGTATTTTATAATCTTAAAGAAATAAGTTTTGGATTATGCATGGTAAAAATTACTTAATTTCTAAGATTAAGGAAGTAAAAATGAAATCAATATCATGTGTGCATATGTTTATATATATATAAATTGTCTCATATTTCTTGACAAGAAAATGTGTATGATAATTCCTCCATTTTGTGTTCCCCATGAAATCTGAATATAATTTGGGAATTTGAGCTGGAAGTGATATAGACAGTAAGATGAAAATAACTCCCATTAATCACTCTGATGGGCGTTTCTCCTTGTCTATGTGCAAATTTCCAGTGATAGAGTGGGCTGTCTCTCTAACTTCTCAGCCTCATAATCAGCGCATCAACTGAACTAAAGGTCTTATTTTCTGTAATCAAGTTTCAGGGAGCCATAATGCTATTCATGAACTCTAGAAAAAGTAAGATTTGCAATTAGGTGATGCAATTCTATTGTAGCCAATACTAAATGGGTGCACCAGAGTAGACTGGTTATTGGCACATTTCATTGTTAGCCATCTAGTATTCATTAGCATATAAAGTATGTTAATATACATGTTCATGTGAGTAGATGTACATGTATATTTTAACAATGTTGAATATTTGATATTCTAAAGTGATACAATCCAGTAGAATGTTCAGCTATTATATTAGAAAAATGTTCATTGTCTATACTGTTCAGTACAGTAGCCACTAGTATACGTTGCTGTTGAGCATTGTAGCTACTGGGACAAAGGAAATGAATTTTAATCCTATTTAATAAATTTAAATTGCTACATGTGGGTAGGAGATGCCATATTAATTGGTGCATTCCTTTTTCTTTTTCTTTTTGTTTTTTTTGAGACAGAGTTTTGCTGTATCACCTAGGCTGGAGTGCAATGGTGCCATCTAGGCTCACTGCAACCTCCGCCTCCGGAGTTTAAGTGATTCTCCTGCCTCAGCCTCCTGAGTAGCTGGGACTACAGGTGCCTGCTGCCACACCTGGCTAATTTTTGTATTTTTAGTACAGACAGGGTTTCACTATGTTGGCCAGGCTGGTCTCAAACTCCTGACCTCGTGATCCACCCATCTCAGCCTCCCAAAGTGCTGGGATTACAGGCGTGAGCCACTGAGCCTGGCCAAGTGGTGCATTTCTAGATAAATTATTTATTTATTTTAACTCAAATTAAACTTTCTGTAGAGTTGGGTAGATTATATTCTTATATATTATTCTTTATATATTATTATATATAAATATTTTATATTTATATATTCTTTAATATTCTTATATATTATTGATATTCTAATGCAAAAAAAACAAGAAGTGTATTGAATATTTACCAGTGAATATGCTCATGTACCTTCAATTTCAAATGATTTCAAATGATTTGAAATTGAGGGTAAGATTTGTGGCGCTAATTGTCGTTCTTTTTCATTGATGATCCCTGATTTTTCAATTAAAAAATAGTCCAATAATAAAAAAAAGAAAAGGACTAACAAGAGGTCTTTGACCACTTATGGAGAACTTATAAAGCTTTTGCAAAATTTTGACTCCTTAAATGATTGTCTGAATAGTTCATTTAACAAAAAGTAAATATCATTTCTCCAATTTAATTGGCGTGCAGAAACTGTAACAGGCCTGGGATTTTCAGACAATTTCTAATACCACTATCATAACTTTGAACTACTTATTGGCTAATATTTGCTATTTAGGTTTTCCTTTGGTTTCAAACCTTTTGAAGACTGATCTAAGTGCTAAATACTCTTAGATGATGTCATTTTAATTATGTAGGTTACCATTATATCTAAACAGAGTAACAGTATTAGTAATACCATCAAGGTTTGTTATTCATAGGCATTATTAAAACATAAATATTCAAATCAAATTGTAGGTGAATGTTCTAAATATTATATAACTCAAAGCCCAATTTTTAATTTCTCTTTCTTGGCATTATATTACTCAATTGAATTATGTATTATTTCAAGAGTAAAATATAGTATAATATTTTATTGTTAGAAAAGCTCCTAATACCACATACAGAAGGTTATTAATACATTTCTTTCAGTGTAGTAGTTTGAATATTCCTCTCCCCTCCAATTCATGTACACCTGGAACCTCAGAATGTGGCTTATTTGAAAATCAGATCTTTACAATTATAATTAAAGTAAGAATCAGATAAGATGATGCTGGGTTAGGATGGATCCTAAATTTATTAATAGTTTTCTTATAAAAGGCATAAAAGGACCAACATTAACTTTGAGAAGTAATGCAAAAAATGGGATTAGAAATTAGGGTGATGTGTCTATAAGCCAAGGAATGCTGATTACTGGCAAAGGCAGCACATAGAAGAGACGAATGAGATAATAGCTCCCCCAAGGATACTACAAGGAACCAACACTACAGATAGATAGTTTGATTTGGGATTTCTAGTCTCCAGAACTGCGAGAAAATAAACTTCTGTTATTTTAAACCACCAAGTTTGTGTAATTTATTGTGGCATCCCTAGGAAGCTAACACATACTTTGGTACTGGGAAGTGGGGTGCTTTTGCAACAAATACCTAAAAATGTGAGCATAGCTTTGGAATTAGGCAATGAGCAGCGGCCGGAAGATCTTTTAGAAGCATAATAGGTAAAACAAAGAAACAAACAAAAAACTAGATTACTTTGACAAGACTCTTGGTAGAAAAATGGACATTAAAGATGATTCTGGTGAGAAAGGTGATTCTGTTAAAGAAAATTTGTGTCATTGTAAAGAATAAACATGTCATCCTAAATAGAATGTTGGTAGAAATATAAGCATTAAAATGCTTCTTTTGAGATCTCAGAGGGAAATGAGAAACATATTATTGGACCCTGATAGGAAGATAATCCTTATTATAAAGTGGCAGATAACATGACTGCATTATTCTTTAACATTGGATAGAAAGCAGAACGTGTCAGTGATTTACTTGAACATTTATCAGGGGAGATTTCCAACTACTGTTGAAGGCACGATCTGATTTATCCTTGCTGCTTATTGTTAAATGTAAAAGAAAGGAGATAAATTGAAGAAGGTTCTATTAAGCAAATAAGAAACAGTGCTTGGTGATTTGGAAAATTCTTATCCTATGATGATTACAAAAGATGTTAAAAGTATATTCTGGAGAAAGGGTCAAGGGTGTAGCTGGACAACATTTTGCTGCAGAAATGAGTTAAGTGAGTAACATTATAGACCCATCTCAGCAGAAGCCAGGAATACAAAAGGGGTTATTCAGGCAGGATTCAAGGAGAATCTTCTTGTCTAATGACATAGATGTTTTGACATATGTGGGAGATCCACAAGATTATTGAGAATATTGTATTAGCAGAAACACTATTAGCTTGGACTGAAAAGGACAGAGACTATGCAAAATGAAAGACAGTTGATGGTATCCCAAAATTGTACAGGTAAGAAGTGGAGTTATAGTGCTATCCTTCAAGAAGAAGGAAGAATGACTCCAAGAGTGGGGACATGATAAGAGACAGAGGTTGGGGAAGAAAGAGCAGAGGGAGCTGTGATCAGTTGGGCCCAGCAGACAGAGATGTTTGCCATAGGTGATTGTTCTCAGACCTTAAACCATAATGGAATTTACACTGAAAGTTCTCAGTCTTGTGTGGAAATAATGACCCCTTTATTTATTCTAATTTCTCCCTATGGTAATAGGGATGTCTATCCTATGATGTCTCACTATTGTATTTTGAAAGCAAAGGACTTGTTTTCTAATTTCATAGGTTCTCAATTGAAGAAAAGTTTTGACCCAAGATGAATCTTCCTCAGGGTCCCATTCATATCTGTCGCAGGTGTTGCAAGTTGGGAATCTTAGTTGGTTATATCTGGATAAAGTTTTGTATTTAGAGTTGATGCTAGCATGGGTTAAGACTTTTAATGATGTTAGGATGGGTTGAATGTAAAGGGGACAGCCATGTATTGGGGGGGGACGTAAAGCTGACTATAATGGGTTGAATAGTTTCCCCCTGGAATTCATGTATACTGAGAAACTTGGGATGTGACATCATTTGGAAAATGGATCTTTGCAGAGGTTAAGTAAGGTAAGGATCAAGATAAAATAATGCTAGATTATGGTGAGGAAATGAAAGTGTCTTATATGTGAGAGAATAAGACACACAGAGACAATGTGAGGTTGGAGGTAGAGAGCTGAATGATGCCTCCACAAGCCAAGGCATCACAAGGATGGCCAATAACATCAGAAGCTTAAAGATAGTCACGGGATGGTTTCTCTCTCCAAGGCTCCAGAAGGTACCCAACCTGCTGACAGCTTGATTTTTAATTTCTGGCCTCCAGAACTGTGAAAGAATTAAATTTCTGTTATTTTAAGTCTCCATATGTGTGATTAGTTGATGTGGCATCCTTGGAAAACAAATATATAAACTAATGAAATAGATTGAGATTAATTTAAATATTACAAAAGTGTACATTGTTTAATTAACATTGAGATAAACACTATATAATCCTTGAGGGAAAACATAAAATTTTAAATAACAATTGAAGGCAGAAAAATGGAAATTTGGTATATGTGTATGTGTGTGTATATATATATATTTTTTTTTTTAATTTTTTTTGAGACAGAGTCTTACTGTATGGCCCAAGCTGAAGTGCAGTGGCATGATTACAGCTCACTTCAGCCTTTAACTCTGGGGTAGCCTCTCACCCCAGCCTCCCAAGTAGCTGAGACCACAGGTGCATGCCACCATGTCTAGCTAATTTTTGTATTTTTTGTAGAGATGGGGGTCTTGCCGTGTTGACCAGGGCTGGTCTCGAACTCCTGGGCTCAAACGAACCTCCAGCCTTGAACTCACAACTTGATGGTATTATAGGTGTAAGCCATGGTGTCCGGTCATATAATTTTAATTTTTATAGAATTGAACTGTGTATTAGTTACCATTTGTGGAATTAGAGAAGAAGTTTAAAATATCTTGAGCTGTTAGTTACTTAGTTCTACTTAGGCTACGAGAATTTCAAGCAAATATTTCTGTTTGAAAGTTGATATATCATAAGAACGCATAAAAAAGCTGTCAATTTTGATGCAAAATTTCAAGTGAATAAAAAGTTAGGTTAAAGAATATCCATGACTAATTACATTAAACTAATAAAATATGAATATTAGAAAGGAACTAAAAGGTATTAGAGAATGATGTGGTTTCTCAAAAATATGTTCTTTTCTGTGGACTTCATATTTAATAATGGCAGGAAGTACCTTGGCATGGAAAGGGCTGAGTAAGTCATGTTGCTGGACACAAATGAAAACGTTCTCAATGTAATTACAAAATGTATAATAGTAAAATTGCATTAGCTTAAACTATAAGATTGTAGTTTAAAATGATACATTAATTCTTATAGCCCATTTGTTTATTCCATGAAGTTAACACTGACTTTCAACATTGGTGTTAGTCAAGTTGAAGTCCTTTGATATTTAAATAAACATGCATTTGCTGAATTCTAATATATGTGATATATACATTTTCGAAAGAACTTAAACATTTGATTTCAGTCTTTCTTTTGAAATACAAGTTTTTTGTCATCTTAAATGTGAGAGTTGATATAGATCTTATTTTAAGTATATATTTTCTGCCATCTTTAAAAAAACATAAAATACCAAACAATAAATCATATTAAATAATATTATTTAATTTTCAATGATGATTACTTAAATTATATTGGACTTTTTACTATAAAGTTCACTAATTGTATTTGATCAAAAATATTATACAGAACACAAAGGTAAATGAATACTTATCCTAAGAATATTAAGGAATTTGATTTTAAAAAGTAAAGCTTTTTGATGTGATCAGAATTTTTTCTCACTTGATTCTTTATACTAAAGGTACAGCTAAGGATAGAGAAGGTGGTATTTTATAAAAGTGTGTGTGCATATATAAATATATGAATATATATTATACATGTGTGTCATATATAGTTGTGTGTGTGTGTGTGTGTATATATATATATATATATATATATATATATATATATATATATATGTAACCTTGTTTAGTGATGTCTGTACTCATTTTTAGACTTCTCCTAAATTTTATGCCAAGAACTGTAGTGGGGTTTTTTTGTTCAACATTTGCAAAGCCTAATCCACTTTAGTGATACTTCCACCACAAAACCAAAAGCAATAATAATAGCAGTGTGTTCTGAAGTGAAATTGATGTTTTGCATCTGAAATCAGAAAACTAATAGCAACTTTTAAGCTATTAGTATTTCTTTAAGAAAAAACACAAAGGGCCCAACTCCTCAGGGTAGCCAGTTTCATATACAAGGAACAAATGAAAACAGAGCTAAGACAGTTGTACGATAAGGCAGTTAATATATTCTTACTGTGATTTAGTGAATATTTGTGGAGATTCTACTACATGATCAATAACATGCCAAGTCATTTTGTAGTACAGATGTGTTGGATTTGAAGAATAAATTAGTATTGCCAAAGGGCAGTGCTTCAGAAGGGTTATTTGATGGAGTTTCTCAGAAACTTTCAAGTTATCCATGTTTTGCTCAAAAGATAAGGCATTTTCAATTTAAGCTGCAATGTAGAAGAGAGTCTTCCTTTCAAAGCATCCCTTAAAAATCCCTGTAATTGTCTCAGCAGGCAGAGAATTCTGACTTGTGGAGAAAAGAAGCAGAAAGTTTCACATTAGATGGGGTGAGGGATAAAGGGTTAGAGCTACAAATAGCAGTTAAGAACATGTCACAGGGAAGCCAAATCTTTATAGAAATCATTTGACAAAGTTTTGGGTTTAAATTCTGTACACTGAGTAAGGAAACAAATATATTGAAACTTAAGAGGCATCAGTAGTTGAAAACACATATAAAAACACATATGTGTCTTAAATATTTTGCTTTTACCAAGAACATATCAATGATAATAAATTTTTGTTAACCTTTACCATGGGCCAAGACATTTTAGCAAAACATTCTTGATTGAAGTTCCAAATTTCTTTTTTGCATGAACTGAATCTACAATGCAGATGCAGCTGCTGCTACTTCCAGTTTTTGTTTTACTTAAAATAAGACCATAAACCTGAAGCAAAGAATGCAGAATCTTCTTTATTTAAATGATTCTCCCTTTTATTCTTATCCATACCTCATTATACTGTTTTTATTATTTTTTGCAAAACATATCTATGTTTTATGAAAGATAATCATTTTTCATACTCATGTTAATTTGTTTACATAATAATTGAATTATGTTATTGCACTAACTAATAAATGTGGAGTAATTTGGTTTGGAAACAAACAAAAGTGACTCTTGATAAACACACAACACAAATAGAGAAAGAATAAGTTCAAGAGGACTCAATACTATATGCCAATACTTCATGCCATGGGCATATATCAGTGTATTTTGCTGAAATAATTGAAGCAGTAAGTTCTTTTGGCCAATGGGTAAAATCATTCATGATCACTTATATCACACTAATAATTGCAAATAAATGACCTAAAAGCTATTAATTGCATAGATCCCTGTCATGGAATACCGAATGGCTGCCTGCAGCTCCAGGAGACCACAAGCTTCTCAGTTTCTCACATGAAGGGGATTTTCCTTCTTCTATAGACTTTCTTTAAAAGAGTAGTAGACTTTACATTGTGGGTTCTTAAAAAATCAATGACCCCTCCAAAAAATGGCTTATATATTGGCTTAAAATTACAACATATAAGGAGAATAACACACACCTGTAATGTTAAGCCATTTACAAAGAAAATTCAATGAAATGTAGGTTCTTCTCAATGTCATAAGAATATCCATTCTAAGCCAAATTAATCCATGAATTTAAGGCATTTTCCCCTAAGAGAATATTTTATTTTGGTAAATGAAAAGTTGATCCTAAAATTTATATGAAAGAAGGAAAACTAACAGTAACCAAAGTGAATTTAAAGAACTTGAGAAATGTCCTACTAGACTTCAAGGCTTAACATAAAGCTATATGAGTTTTAAAAAACATGGTATTATAACTGAGATACATAAATAGCCTAGTAGGGTAGAATAAACCAGTAAAAATGAGCTCTTATAGAGAATCTTCATATATTAATAACACTTTTAATCAGGGTAAACGTAACTCAAAAATTATAATGGAGTAAGAGGTAATAAGTATAGAAGAAAACCATTTTTAATCTCAAGTATTTCTGCCCTTGAAAAAACACACATACACACATGCCAATTCCAAGTGCATAAAAATCCCAAATGAAAAAAACAAAACTTTTAAATTTCTTAAAGGAAATATAGGATTAAATTTTATGACCTGGTATTGAGAAATATTTTTATAAAAAGGAAACAAATTTGATAAGTTTGACTCCATTAAAATGTAAACTTTTTGGTCAATATAAGTCACTATGAAGAAAAGTTAAATGGCAAGCCATTGCCTGAGAGAGGATATTTGAAATGCCTACTACTTTTAGAGGTTTAGCATCCAAAATACACAAAGAATCAAAACAATCACGAAAGACAAACAATTGAACAGAAAAACTGGCAATGATTTTAAGCAGGCAATTCAGAAAGGAGGAAACCAAAAGAGTCAGTAAACATTTGAAAAGATGCTCAACCTCTGTAGTAATCGGGAAAATACCTAATAAAACCATAATAAGATGCCCATCCATATCAATTATATTGCCAAGATTTAAGAACCCTAACAATGTTGGCAGTGAGGAGGTAGAGCAATAAGCACTATTATGGAAATATAAATTTATGCCACCACTTTGTAGAGCAACTTGGCAGTATAAAGTAAAATTGGATATGTACATCCCTTCTGAAACAACTATTTATTCGTCAGACATAAACCATAGAGACTTTCTTGCTCACACGCCCAGGGACATATATAAAGAATGTTCCTAGCAGCTTGAGTGTCATAAAGAAACTGAGAAAATTTAAATGCTCTTTCAGAAAAGAATGAATATAGCATCATATTTTTTCAAATGTGGAACACTGTAATTATCATTAATAAAATAGAAGATTGGGTCTCAACATAGATAATATTAAAATATATTAATTCTGAGAAAATCAGTTAATTAATAGATGATACCGTTTATTTAAATGTTTAAAACATCCAAAATATTGTATTGTTTAGATAATATAAACATATTTTAAAATATTTTAAATGAATATTAATAAAAATCACCCAATGTTATATATGGGTTTCTGTGAAGAATTTGAAAAGTGAATATGGTTCAGAAAAGGTACACAGGAGCATAGGAGACTTCAGATAACTCTCTAATTGTTTCCTAATTCCAAATTTAAATTTTAAAAAGTAAAAATACGAAGTAAATCTACCTCTCACTCTGTATCTAATCTCTCAATCAAAATGTAGCCATTCTAATTTCCTGCAAAGAATGCATCCTTCTCAATGCGTGTATCTATACATATCTCTAATAAGACATTGAAATGGAAGCTTTACCAGTATATGGGGCACCTTTCTGCTCCATGTCAGTCTTTAGTCTTTTTTTTTTCTTAGTTACTGTAGTGTGAGCCTCGCCAAACTCACATTGAGTGCAAACTTCAGCTCCTTTCTTGGGCCATGGAAATTTATATTTCCATAATTTTGTGTATTGCTGGTGACGTTAGACTTCTTAAATCTTGCCAATATAATGCAAATGATGGGCATCTCATTATGGTCAGCCAGCTGGGGCATGACTCCACTTTCTTGCTTCCTGCCCTTTGCATTTTTTTGTGTGTGGATTTCTTTGCTTAGGAACTCAGTTGGTGCCCTTGAATTAACCTTATGATGAAAATTTTGACCAACTGGGGATAGAAGGTCCCCAAAAGCATATTATATGACTTATCCATTCTCATGGGATAGAGCAACCAATTGCCTGTAGCGGGGGTAAAGTTCATTATCTTCCTATTAACTCTCTCCTCTTCTTTTCTTTTCTCCCCCTGACTCTCAACTATAGCTTCTTGGATCGCTTACCAATCCAATATATGCACATAAGCCTATGTTTCAGGCATATATATATAATCTTTTTTAGTGATGTCTGTATTCGTTTTTAGGCTGCTCGTAAATTTTATTCCAAGAACCCTAGTGGGTGTTTTTTGTTCAACATTTGCAAAGCCTAATCCATTTTAGTGATATTCCCCCCACAAAACCGAAAGCAATAATAATAATAGCAGTGTGTTCTAAAGTTCTGAAAAACAAGAGGCCTAAGACAGAAAACTAATAAGATGGAGTTGACATTTCATAGGCAAATAAACATATGCAGAATCTACAAATAAATATTTCATGGAAATAGATCTTCTACTATTGTCCCATCAACAAGTTCCAGGATATAAAAACTACTCAGAATGTGGACAGGATTTGTGAAGCGATTTCTTTGGGGGGAAACTGCTGTCTTGCTCTCCTAACAGGAGAGAGTTTGGGTGTGATTCCACTTTCTAGCTTTAGGCCTAGAAACTTCAAATTTAAACACGACCCCTGGGAAAACTTGTCGTGTGTTTTTCTGCAGTTTTGTGACATTATAGCCTGGGCCTAACTGTTCCTTGACAAATTGAGAAGATGAGAGTTCCTAATTACCCTCAGAATTAGTGATAGAGCTGGGAGAGCTTCTTACCATTGGAATCTGCTTGTATTTCAAAGATTTCTGTTAGGATAAAGATGCAGGAGTCTTTCCAGGGATGCACAGGCATGCCATAAAAGAGACCCAAAATAGAGATGTAGAGAACATATAAGCAATTGGATTAGAGTTCTCCAACATCCTCTCAAAATATGCCCCTAGAGGAGCAGAGGAACTGCAGCAGTAAAAAGTTCCAAGCTGAAGCAACATTAGCAAGGGAAGAAAGCCAACACAAGCAGTGGTAGATAATTGCAATTACCAGAGCAGAGGAGAATAGTCCAGCTGTAGACCTTTCAAAGAAGCCTCCTGAGAGAAAGTAATTTATAAAACTCTCAGTTCCAAAGAGCATAATACAGGTTTACTTAAGGTACCAGATCAAAAAGGAGTATTCCGTCCCTTCACTTTTCCTCCCTCCCCACAGCCAACCTGGAGAGATAGCCAGAGAGCTGCTAGAATGTGAATGGTGGTGTAGTGGGCTTTTGTGGACATTGACAAATATAAAGTTATTATTAGAATTGTACACCAGACAGTTTTGACTCTGAAAGACACCTGGTTTGTGCCTTGATTTACCTACGAATAAGATCAATTAGGTCAGAATGAGAAGAAAACACAAAATGTTATGGGCCCTGAGGAAACTTTTATGCAGTAAGCAACTCCTTTCACCAGGTAGCTTGTGAAAGAGAAAGTGGGAAAATTAAAATTTTATGTAGTGTAAAATACACACACACACACACAAACATTTACACATACAAATGAAAGGACATCGTGCACACTCCTTTGCTGCTTAGTGTTTTCATTTAAATATATGTGGGACTATATCCTCAACATTAGCACATGTAGGTCTATCTTATTTTTAATTTTTATATAATTATCACATAACAAATATATTAATTCTTAGCTGTTGTAAAAACTGTTCCAACAGAACAAATTAAAAACAAAGTCATTCTTGCCTCTCTACAATTCTGTTTTCTTCCTCAGAGAAATATTATTTTGGTGTAAATTCTTCCAGCAAAGAAAAATATAGCTTTGCTTTATTTTTTGCCAAAATCTTACCATATTTTATTAGTGTAAAATTTCATTATTTGAAAATAAAATATGCCTTATAGATTATTATAAGCCAGAAATTACATAATTATAGAGACGCCTCATTGTTTTAATCTACAATACTTTATTCTATAGTATGAATACTCCTTGGCTAACTGATTTACATAACAATTCATTTTACAATGAAGTTCTAAACTTTGAGGGAGTACTACACCTACCAGAGCTCTGGTCAATGTTTAAAAATATTTAATGATTTGATTGACACTTTTAGTCAAGACCAATTTTGATATTATATTACTTTCCATCTTTCAATTTTGGTGATATATTAACCTCATAAATAACCTTTGCCTTACATCTCAACTTTCAACCTACATACAGAAATTTTCAGAGCTTCTTTCTCTTTGTCATCAAAGATTTAATATAAGAAGGCTTTAGTTAGGGCTCATGTTCCTTAGAATTTATCACAACAAGAAAATATATTGAGTGATAAAAATCATAAGTAATAAAAATCAAAAGATGATCAGATTATATGAACAAGAAATTCTATAAAAAGTAGATTTTTTTTTGCATTCAATTAAACCAAACAACTTGCTTACCAGCCCATCATCTACAGTGTCTCCTTATTGGTAAATTACTGAGAAATTAGATTGTATTATTTCAATTCTCTTTTATCTGTAAGAACAGTATATGAGATCTTTCTTTTCCTAGACTACTACTTTTGGCACGTAAACTTCCTAAAAATTCAACTGCCATTTTCACAGTCTGTGCCTTATGTCATATTGGTAAGTTTGGGGCTTGGGGAAAGTCTACCTTGGGAATAAAATAATTGAAAAGACTAGAACTAGAAAAGATTCTGAAAGTTATTAAGTCTAAACCTCATATTTTCAAACTAATAGGGAAACAGATCTAAGGGAGTGGTAATGTAGCAAATAAAAGGACTTAGAAGACAACCTGTGTTTCATACCTAATGAATTCACCTATCATTGAGCCCTACTCCCAATAAATACATGTAGGAAATGCCTACTCCCAATAACTACATGTAGCAAATGCCAGACCCATTGTAGATACATAAGCCTACATCTGAAGTTTGTGAACAGATACACTTTCACCTTTTTGGTTCTACTGATCTACTTCTCCTGCAGATGGGTATTTCACAAGGCTTGGAGTTGGAGCCCTTTTCTACAATCTCCCCAGTTAAGTTTTAAAAAACTTACTCTCCTTTTCTCTTTTGAAAGTTCCTTTCCTGAAATGTAAACAAGATTCTATCACTTTCCAATTCTCCTCTTGCCATTTACTGTCCTCTGCATTACTATTTCACTTTCATTAATAAGAGAAACAGAGGACCATGGTTTACTTCTCCACCCAAATACATGCGATTGAAAATGCCCATATCCTGTGGTTAACCAAGTTTAACATAAAGCACTCCTAACTTTTATCTTTATACCACTTTATCCATTCATCCTCGGGCCATACTATGCATCTAGCCATCTTTCAGAACTGCCATACCTCCAGAGTTTTAAACACTTCCTCATTTCTCTTATCCCTTCATGACCGACTCACTTCTCATGGAATCATGGCCATCTGGAGACTTTGATCATATCACAATCTGCATAACCATTCTATAATTACTAACTTTTTAACCAGCCTCAGCATCATGGTTGATCCAACATCTGAACCACTCTCTTATCAGGACTCTTAATACCCCTGTGTTTTGGTCTTTTTCCATGTTGCCTAAAATGTATGGATCTGAGTCAGTCATAAATGCTTACATTTTAGTTTTACTTTGGAATATTGGGAACACTTGGATAAAATTCCATGAGTATGTACTGCCTTGTGATCGACACAAGCAGGCATACAGAATTGCTTAGCAATCTTTCTACATGTCCCATTTTAGCTCTCCCTTTGTTCATGATGTTTGTTCACTATTCTTTGATGTTTGTTCACTATTGCAAATTGATCCCTTTTGATAATGTATAATGTGCATATGTGCTTACTTATGTACCGATGACAGGCAGAGATATCACTCTTTGTACCCTGGGAATTTGGTTTGGGGCAGCTTATATGTCATAATAAGTAAACAATCTTTAGAAAAGAAAACATGGTGTTGAGGCTGAAAAGCACCTTAGAGATATTTTAATCCAACACTATCATAGTGATAGAGATAAACGTCCATAGCAGTAAATTGTTTTGTCCAAAGTCACACCACTTTATACAGTTTGAGCCAAGAATCATTACATCTGTGAGCAAATAATATATAATGTACTGAACTGCTGTGTTATGTTCTATATGAGCATTTTCTCCTTAGTAATCAGAATAGGCTAACTGCTGAAATTTATATAATCCCCCAAACCCAAAGACTTAGCACACCAATGTGGTTTCTCCCTTCAACAAATTCCAATGCAGATATTCTTTGCCATGATCATTTAGTTGGCAGATGAGAAACATGAGAACATAGAGAATCTCAAACCTAATGTTCATACACCTCCACTGTATATTATGCCAATCTGCATTCTGTTGTTAAGAACTTGCCATGAAGTGTCTCCTCAATGCTGGAGGCTGGCATATACAGTCCTTGAGTGGACAGATGCTTCCCAGCATTCAGTCTACACTGGAAGGGAAACATGAGTCTGTGTTTTTGTCAACTGTCCTATACCAAACTCTCATTTCCTGATCACTACATCCCCGCATGGTAACACAATTATCCACACTTTAAATAAGAGGAACTTTAGGAAGTTAAGTCAACTGCCAAAGATTGTTTAATGTGGTGTTAGAAGGAAGCATGAAACCTGAGGCTTCATGAGTTGAAATTGCAGTCTTTGCTGCTATCTCAGACTGCCTTTCAAAAATGTATGCTGCTGTGTATCCCCTTGGTAGATCCTGAAATGGGTTTCTCCATGCAATTAATTGATTCTTTGTTTGTTATTGCAGTAACACAGACCTAAACAATACATTGTAGTTTAGCATGTTTTCCAAGTCTTTAAGGACAGGCTTTCTAAAAGCCTGGTCCCTCCAACTTGAGAAGCTGATCTGTTTTCATTTACACAGAGATATAAACCCATACCACCAAACAAAATTATCTTTAGCTTTGGAATACACATTGTGATTTTACTTGTCAATATCTTCTGCTGTGAAACCTGTAGGCCATTATTAAAACTGGCTTGCTTTGAGGAAGCCTCAAGCAGTCAGTTCAATTCTACAAACACAGATTTTACCCACCATGTGCCAGGAATTTTGCTTAATGCTAAGAAAAGAAAGATAAAATACACAAAATTTATAGCTCTCCCCTCCCCCACAAATTCAGTCTCACACTAAAGGCAAACACAGCCACAGTGTACTTTTCAAATATAAGTGAAAAGAATTAGCAAAAGGTGGTGAGAGCGTCTTTAGCCTGGTCAGGGGAGATGCTATCTGATTCACGTCTTAAAGTATAAAAGGTTGCCAGGTAAAGAAAAATTGTATTGTTACATTGCCACAGGGAGAATGTCACATGTTTATTGTGCTAACCCTTAAAAACCTCTTTAATCTTCTCTTCCCATAAAGAAAGCACAGAATTTGGCAGTAGGTAGAGCTAATTTTAAGTCCTTGCTCTCTTGCTTTTAAACTTTCTGACTATGGGAACAAAAGCCTTGCCTTCTCTGCCATTTAGGATTCCTTGTTTGTAAATCAGAGCAGACGATACCACCTCATAAGGATTCTGTGGGTTCAAATATATAGATGGAAAGCTGTCACTTTTCATCAAGATAAAGTAAAGGAGGCTGGATTTACTCACCCACCTGATACAAACAAAAAATCAGTTGGCAGCTAGCTAGCTGGCTAGATAATAGATAGATGATAGATAGATAGAGATAGTTTCAAAGACACTGAACATAGACAACAAAGGACAGTGGTATTGGAGAAATTGTGTATTTAGAAGGTAACTTCTGTTATTGGTCCAATTTACTACTGTCTGAAAATAGTTTCCAGGCCATTGCAGAGGTCAAACTCCCTGACAAGCAGAGATGGAGTTGAGTATGGGGAAAGCAAAGCAGCTAGAGTTTCCAAGACAAAGTACCACAGAGGAGATAGATGCACATAACAAGAATTACAGAGATATGCAAAGTGTCCCCTTTGAATGGATACTCAGCAGAGAGCTGATCACATGCCTATGGGAAAAAAATAACCACCTGAACAAAGAGAGAAACACAAAAAAATGATTAGAAGTAATTGTGCTCAGAGTTCACAAGGAGCCAGGAATTATTCCTTTCTCTCAGGAATCTCCATAATTTATGGGGTAGTTGGTACAATTAACAGAGCGGGCTTGCCTCAAAGGTAGGGAAAAATTAGCCCTAGACTGAACAATTCTTTGATAATAACACCTTACAATCATCTAAAATGTGTAAATCTTAAAATCAAGGCATAAAAGCATTGAACTGTTTTATAGTAACAAGTTTATACTAGAAAAATAATAACAGTAATATTAATAAAAATACAAAAATATGTAATACCTAACAAGGTAAAATTCACATTTTCTCATATCCATCCAAAAGTTACCAGTAATGAAAAGAAGCAGGAAAATATAATCCATAATGAGGAAAAAATTAATCAAAAAAATCTGATCCAGAATTGGCACAAATGTTGATTGTCAGAAAAGTGCATGAAAAATTATTATAGCTGCATTATATACTTTCAAATAGTTAAGTAGAGCAATAATTATATAAAATCAGATCAAACTTTAAAAATCTATACAATTCGAAATGAAGAAAAATCTAGATGGTCTTGCTGGTAGATTACACATTGCAGAAGAAAGCTTAGTGAACTTGAAAACCTGTCAACTGAAGCCATCCAAGATAAAAAGGGAAAGAAGAAAATACAAAAACATATAGAGCATCAATGAGCAGTGGAACAGATTTGAAAAAAAAAAAAAACTTGCAAATCTGATTAAAAAAACTATAGTCCCACATATGCAAGAAACTCCATAAAACCCAAGTACAGTAAAACAACAACAACAACAAAAAACTAGACCTAGGTACAATACAATCAAATTTCTCAAAATCAATTATAAAGATACTTCTCACAAGCAGGCAGGAAAAAAATATGTTACGGGCAGAACAGCAAAGATATGAGTTGCAGCACTTTTTTCCCCAGAAATTATGTAAACATAATTAAATTAAAGATAGTAGGGAGAAACAACACATTATGAGGTTTGGTGTGGTGGCCTCATAATCAGTATAAAACACTTCTTTAAGGATAGACAGTCTTTAACTTACTAAGTCTTTAAATTACTGAAAGAGCTAGGTCTTTAAATTACTGAAAGAAAAAAAATCAACAGCAAGAAAAGCAACTGTTAAGTTAGAATTCTACATCTAGTGAATACATTTTTTGAAAGTAAATTGAAATAAAGACTTTTTAAGACATACCTAAATGGATTCATCACCTAATAAAGGAAGTACTTTAGGCAGAAGTAAAATGATACCAGAAGGAAGTTATGGAATGGTGTTAATTCTCATTTGAAGTAAGACATGCAGTTGCCAGCTCTTCTACAGAAGAAAGGAGCTTTTATGCTGATCTTGAGGGTAGTTATCCTTAAAGAAGTGGGAGCATAGTAATTATCTAGAAGATGAGATCTCATCAGGCACTTGATGGTTTGAGGGTTAAGAAGAATCTGAACCTTGAGGTGAAGATAGAAAAACAAAGCATGGTTATAGGCATTTGCATGTTTTCAAATTCAGTCTTGACGTAGCACTCTTGGAATATTCTATCGAAGGCTGGTACAACCTAGGAACCAAAGGATAGGGTATCCTTATAGAGTTTTTCAAGGATCTACATTTTTTCTTTCATAATGTACATAATTTAGGGACCTAGAATGATCATAGGATCCTCCTTGATTCGTTTGAGGCCAGTTTTCATCAGTTATCTTACTATGTAGTTTAAACAACAGTCGTACAATCTGATGAGTGCTTAGTGTCCTCCTGCTTAAACTAGAAAAGGTGTATGTACTCATCTCTGGTTTTGGACGATTCTATAGAAGAAAAGATTTCTAAGAGGAAATATAAAACTTTCTGATAATATCACTTGTGTATTTTAAATTTAAATGTTTTAAGTTACTTGTAGAGATACATGGAGATTTAAGAAACGATAAAAAGTCTCCCCTAATGATAGCATTTTGCAAAACTATAATATAATTACAACACTATTGTCGTTGTTACAATCCATCCATCTTATTCAGATATCTTCAGTTTTACTTATAACTATTTGTGTATGTGTAGAGTTCTACACAATTTTATTACAAGTATTAGTTCTTTTATTCACCACCACAATCAAGATAATAAACAGTTCCATCACCACACAGATCCCTCCTATTTCACTTTTATAATTACTCCTGGCTCCCTCCCCTATCCTGTTGCCCAACCTCTTGTCCTCTATCCTATTGTTGCCTAACAATAATCTGTCTTCAGTGTAAACAGTACTATAATGTTTTTAATCATCAAATATGATTTATAAAAGTCACAATGGAAAAATAGTCTATTATATGTACCCATATTTCCTCTCTTGTCATTGTCTTATCTTTCTTCCTGATGTTCCAAGATTCACTATTTTTATCATTTCCTCTGTAATGAAATATTTTATTTAAGCAATATTGAAGGGTAAGTCTGATAGCAAAAAAAAAAAAAGCCTTTTAGTTGTTTATAGTATGCCAATGTCCTCATTTTAGTCTTTCTTCCTGATGTACAGTTTAGCTAGATATAGAATTTATAGCTGGCAGTTCTTTTCTTTCAGCTCTTAGAACTTGTACCACTCCCTCTGTTCTCTTTGGTTTCAGATTGTTTTTAAACTCTATTAAAGTTCAGATTTGTGTTCAAGTAGGCATAATGTATTTTTTCTTTCTCCTTTCTTTTTTTTTTTTTTTTTTTTTTTTTTTTTTTTTTTTTGAGATCAAGCCTTGCTCTGTCCCCCAGGCTGGAGTGCAGCAGCACACTCTTGGCTCACTGCAACCTCTGCCTACTGGTTCAAGCGATCCTTGTGCCTCAGCCTCCCAAGTAGCTGAGACCACAGGTGTTCACCACCACACCCCGCTAATTTTGATATTTTTAGTAGAGATAGGGTTTCACCATGTTGGCCAGGCTGGTCTCCAACTCCTGACCTGAGGTGATCCTCCTGCCTCAGCCTCCAAAAGTGCTGGGATTACAGGCGTCAGCCACCATGCCTGGCCTCATAATGTGTTGTTTCTCCCTGGCATCTTTAAATTTTTTTTTAAGTGTCTTTAGTTTTACTAGTTTTCATTATTTTGTGCCATGACATAGATTTATTTGGGTGCATTCTATTTGAGATTTAGCCAATTTCTTGAACATGTAAATTTGCATGTTTTGCCAAATTTAAGGAGTTTTTAGTCATTATTTCTTTGAACACTCTTTTAGCGTCATTCTTTTCCTTTTGTCTTTCTGGCATTCTGATATAACAAATATTGGATTTTTGTTGTTTTTCTCACAGGTCTGGGATCTATTCATTTTACTTTTCGTCTGTTTTTCTCATTGTTTTTAGATTGGTAGTTCTGTTCATTTATTGTCACATTTAGCTATCTTATTTACACTTAACCATTAAGCAAATTTTAAATTTCTTGGTTTTTAAATATTATTTCTATAGTTTTTTTCTTATAAATAACTTCTCTTTCTTTGCTAATATTCACTATTTATTCATTTGTTTCAAAATAACTTATAATTGATTCTTGGAGCATTTATATAACGGCTACTGAAAAATCCATGCCAGAAAATGTCAACATCTGATTTATGTCAGTATTTGTGCCTTTTCTGATTCAAGTTGTAATTTTTGATTCTTGATTTAATAAACGACTTTTAATTTTATCCTAGATATTTTGCCTGTATGGGTCCTATTTAAATCTTTTATTTCTCAGGCAGCCACTCTGTTTAGGTCAGCATTCAGGTCCTGGGCTGTTTTGTAGGCTGCAGTTTCAATGTTGCTTTACATTTTACAGCTTTTGCAGTGTAAGTTTTCTATATGGTTTACTTGATGCCTCTGTGGTCCCCGCTGATCTCTGCTAGTGCTGCCTGAGGGAGCTTCATGGCCAGGTTTCTGTGTGTCTCTTTCCATGTGGAAAAGGAGTTCCATATCCAAGATGAAGTGGTTTACCTGGGAAGAACAATGTTGCAGCATGATTCCACTATCGGCGCTACCCACCTGCTCTGATATATATAAGCAGAGAAGGAAAATGCCAGGCCTATGATAACAATAAAGCTTTCTAGTCTGGGCTGCTCATCATGGCTGGGTCCCTCTTGTGAGTTCTAACTGCCCCTCTGCTTATTTCCGTGTTTCTCAGTAGGAGAAGGCAATCTTAGAGCTAAAGGAACTAACCAAGCTGGTTGATTGCTATAGCACAATCACCCCAGCCTTTGGGAGATAGAAAAAGCCTTCCTGGCTCTGCTTGTCATGGCTAGATCCCTCTGACCTGCTTCTCCAGTGTCTTTCAGCTTATTTAGTGAGGATACTGATAGACTCTTACTGATGGTTTTTCCTGGATCACCTCGTATTTTTTTTATGATTTGCTCTAGGGATGGAAAATGCCTGCATGGGCTGCCTTCTTTAATGTTAGGTTGAGAGTCAGGAAATTCTGGATCTGTGTAACCTTCTTCTGTTGAGAGGGGAAACTAACATGCCCTCTCATTCTGCTACTCCTGCAGTCCTGGAGACCCAAACAAATTTGTCTTCTTCTTTCCACATTTTGGAGATTGAGTTTGGTTGCCTTTTGTGTAAAAAGTGGGTTTTATAGTTGCTGTTAGCAGATAGGAGCAGGAAGAAATGGGTCTGGCCATAGGGTTTAGACTTAACTGTTAAGTGTTCCAATGTGTGTTGCTGGCATCAAGCGAAGAAAAGATTCAAGCAGAAGAGTATTTTCTAGTCTAAGAGCATTCATGGTCCAGACTGATCTTGGGAAAATTGGCGATGGTGAGTTTTTGTTTGTTTGTTTTGTTATGTTTTTCTTTTGGTTCCTTTTCTCTCTTTTTAACTGAACTGAAATTCTCATGTATCCATTAAACTTGTGAAAATCGATCTATAAGGAGATTAAACAAAATCATTCTCATTGAGAAGGAAGGGGAGTTTAAGAGCTAACAGATCAGCCCCTCTTAAGCATGTTTATGTTCCTCTTAATGTAAGGCAAAGCCATGAGTAAAATAAATTAAACAAATAAATTATAAAGGTAAACTTTCAACACCCATCAGCAAATAGAGCAAATGACCTAGGTAGGAAGCTCAAAAGGCATCAGGTAGGAAGCAATCACAGTCATTCATCAATCATTCATTGTTGATTTATTCATTTGTTAAATATATATTTATCAAGGGCACACTGTGCATCAGACAATATTCTAGTTGCTAAAAATAAAACATTGACAAAAATAGGAAAAACCCAAATGACCAACTCTGATTGGAGCTAAAATTATTTCCTTCTCCTCCATTGCAATCTTAGCCTTGTTTGTCAAGTGAACTTTTTTCCATTGCCTCCTTCTTTAGAGTAGACATTAAAATAGACTGATGCATATATGCCTAACATATGTCAGCTCATCTCTCTAAATGCCTATTTACTTATATATCTACATCATCTATATATAGATATAAAATCTCCTATAAAAAGACCCTGCATAGGGTCTTGAAGCTTTTACATGCTCTTCTGCTAAAAATGGTGCAGTCTCTCCCAAAATAATTTTCTTCTCTGGCCCTTGCTGTTCTCACTTACAAAATAAAATGCTTTGATTTGATTGATAGTTCTCCAAATTGATTAATTACTAAAATTTCCTCTACAATATTTTAGGATGATTTATTGGCTCCATGGTAAACCTATTTAGTGAGAAATTTTAAAAGATATGGTCTTTATTTCTAAATTTTATTTTTTGTAATTTTATTTTTAGTTGGCAAATAATCATTGCACATACTCATGGAGTACTTAATGACATTGTGAAAGTGTATAGTGGTCAGATAAGAGTAACCAACATATCCATCATCTCAAGCATTTATCAATTCTTTGGGAATATTTAATATCCTTCTTCTAGCTATTTGATACCACATAATATATTATTGTTAATTATAGTCATCCTACAGTGGTATAAAACACTAAAACTCATTCCTCCTATCTAGCTATAAATTTATGTTCTTTAACAAATTCCTATCCTTCCCTTCTCCCCACCCTTTGCAGCTTCCAGTATCCTCTGTTCTACTTTTTACTTCTAGGAGATAAACTTTTTTTTAGCTTCCACTTATGAGTGAGAACATGTGGTGTTTATCTTTCTTTTTCTGGCTTTTTTCACTTAACATAATGTCCTTCAGTTCTGTCCATGTTGCCAAAAATAACAGGATGTCATTCTATTTATGGCTGAATAGTATTCTGTTGTGTATATATAAATAGCATGTTTTCTTTATCCACTCATCTGTTGTTGGAACTTTGATTTATTCTATATCTTGGCTATTGGGAATAGTGTTGCAGTAACTATAGAATGCAAATGTCTGTTCAATATAATGATTTCCTTTCCTTTGGATAAATATCCATGAGTGGGATTGCTGGATCATATGATAGTTCTATTTGTATTTTTTTGAGGAACCTCCATACTGTTCTCCATAGTGACTGTACTAGTTTACATTTGCACCAAGAGTGGATAAGAGTTCCCTTTTCATTTTTTTTAATAGTCATCCTAAGTGAGGTGAGAAGGAACCTCATTTTGGTTTTAATTTGCATTTACCCAATGATTAATAATGTTGAGCTATTTTTTCATGTTTTTGTCGATTTGTATGTCTTCTTTTGAGAAATATCTGTTCAGATTGTTCATTTTTTAACTGAAGTTTTGGTTGTTGTTGAGATGTTTGAGTGCCTAGCGTATTCTGGATATTAATACACTACTCGGTGAGTATTTCGCAAATATTTTATCCCATTCTGTAGATTGTCTTTTCACTCTGTTGATTTATTTACTGTACAGAAGTTATTTAGTTTGATATAATCTCATTTTTCATGTTTGCTTTTGTTTCCTATGCTTTTGAGGTCTTACTTATAAAATCTTTTCAAGACCCATCTTCTGAAGCATTTCTCTAAGGTCTTCCTCCAGTCTCTGTTCCATTTTGAGTTGATTTTTGTAAAAGACAAAATGTGTACATCTAATTTCATTATTCTGTTCATGAATATCCAATTGTCCTAGCACTAGTTATTGAAAAGACGGTCCTTTCCCAATTAGTGTTTTGGCACTTCTGTCAAAAATCAGTTGGCTGTAGCTATGTAGAGTAATTTCTGTGTTCCCTATTCTGTTCCATTTGTCTACATACTTGTTTTTGTGCTAGTAGCGTGTTGTTTACTAAAGATTTGTAACATATTTTCAGATCTTATTGTGTGATGTCTCCAGCCTTGTTATATTTTTCTCAGGATTGCTTGGGTGATTTGGGGTTCTTTTTGGTTCCATACAAATTTTAGGATGTTTCTTTCTACTTATGTGAAGAATATCCTTGTTATTTTTATAAAAATTGCAAAAAGTCTGTATATTTTTGGGTCAGTATTGTCATTTTAGCAATATTAATTATTCCAATAATTTAGCATGGACTGTCTTTCTATTTGTTTATATCCTTTTCAATTTTTTTTATCAGTGTTTTGTAGTTTTTCTTGTAGAAGTCTTTCACCTCTTTGATTTAATTTAATCCTGGATATTTTTTATAGCTATTTTGAATGGGATTGCCTTCTTGATTTCTTCTTCATGTATTTCATTGTTAATGTATAGAAACTGATACTGATTTTTATATATTAATTTTGTATCTTTTGACTTTCTTGAGTTTGTTGCTCAGTCTGAAATGTTTCTTAGTAGAGTCTTTAGAATGGTGTAGTTATAAGATTATATCTACGAACAGTCACAATATGACTTCTTCCTTTCCAATTGGGATGCCCTTTATTTCTTTATCTTGCCTAATTGCTCTGGCAGGATTTCCAGTAATATGTTGAATAAGAGCATTGAGTGTAGGCACCCTTGTCCTGTTCCAGTTCTTAGAGGAAAAACTAAAAGCTTATTTATTTAGAACGATGTTAGTGGTGGGTTTGTCATATATAGCCTTTGTTATGTTAAGGTACTTTCGTTCTATACAAAATTTATTAAGAGTTTTTATCATAAAATAATATTGAATTTTATCAAATCTTTTTATGTGTCAATTGAGATGATTATATTGTATGTGTCCTTCATTCTATTGATGTGATGTATGGTGGTTATTGATTTGTGTATGTTGAGACTTCCTTGCATTCCTGGAATAAATCCTTTCTGATCACGGTGTATTACCTTTTGATGCACTTTTTGATTTGGTTTGCAAGTATTTTGTTGAGAACTTTTGTGTCTATGTTAATCAGGGATATTGGCCTGTAGTTTTTTGTTGTTGCTGTTGTGTACTTGTCTGATTTGGGTATAAGGGTTATGCTAGCCTTATAGAGTGAATTACAAAGAACTCCCTGTGTTTTAATTTCTTTGGAATAGCTTGAGAAGAATTGGTATTAATTCTCCTTTAAAGGTTTGGTAGAATTCAGCGGTAAAGCCATCCAGTCCTGAACTTTTCTTTTTTGGAAGACTTATTTATTAATTCAATTTCATTACTTGCTATTGGTCTGTTCAGGTTTTTTATTTCTTCTTGGTTCAATCTTGGTACTTTGTGCATGTTCAGAAATGTGTCAGTTTTCTCTATGTTTTTGAATGTGTTGATATATAGTTGTTCATATTAGTCTGTAACAATCCTTTGGATTTCAGTGCTACCTATTGTGATGTCTCCTTTTTTGTTCCTGATTTTAATTATTTTAGCCTTCTCTATTTTTTAGTTAGTCTAGCTAACACTTTGTCAATTTTGTTTATCTTTTCAAAAAACTAACTTTTTGTTTTGTTGATCTTTTGTATTTTTATAGTCTCAATTTTGTTTGTTTCTGCTCTCGTCTTTATGATTTTTTTCTTCTACTGATTTTGAGTTTGGTTTGTTCCTGATTTTCTATTTCTTTGAGGTATGTAGTGAGGTTGATTATTTGAAATCTTTCTAGTTTATTTTGATGTAGACATTTATTGCTATAATCTTGCTTATTAGTATTACTTTGACTGTGTTTTATAGGTTTTGGTATGTTGTGTTTCTATTTTTATTTCTTTCAATGATTTTACTAAATTTTATTCTTAATTTCTTCCTCCTGCCGTTGTATATTCAATTTATATTTATTTGTTTGGTTCTGTGTGTTTGTTATTGGTATCTAGTTTTATAATATTGTGGTCAAATAAGATACACAATATAATTTTGATTTTGAAAAATTTTTGAGACTTCTTTTGTGTCTTAACTATATAGTCAATTTTGCATAATGTTCCATGTGCTGATGAAAAAATGTATATTGTGCAGCTTTTGAGTAAAATGTTTTATAAATATCTGTTAGGTTCATTTGTTCTATGTTGCAGTTTAAATCTTAGGTTTCTTTGTTGATTTTTTATCTAGATAATGTGTCCAATGCTGAGAATTAGGTACTGAAGTCCACAACTATTATTATACTGAAGTCTATTTCTCCCTTTAGATCTAATAATATTTGCTTTTTATATCGGGATGCTTCAGTGTTGGGTACAAATATGTTATAGTTATTACATGCTCTTTCTAAATTTCTCTCTATTATTACATAATATCCTTCTCTGTCTCTTTTTACAGCTTTTAACTTCAAGCCTGTTTGTCATATATAATTATAGCTATTCCTGGTTGCTTTAGGTTTTGGTTTGCATAGACCATCTTTTTACATCCCTTTACTTTCAGTCTATGTGTGTCTCTACCAATGAGTTCAGTTTCTGGTAGGCAGCATTTAAAGAAGTCTTTTCTTTTTTTTTTTTCAAATGGATTCAACTAGTCTATACCTTTTAAATGAGAAATTTAAACCATTTACATTCATGGCTATTTTTAATAAGAACTTAATTTTGTCATTTTATTGATTGTTGTCTGATTATTTTGTACATCCTTTGTTCCTTACTACCTCTTTTCTTGTTTGTTTTTGAGGGTAGTTGGTTTCCTTTATTGATAAGGTTTGATTTCTGTCTTTTTCCCCTTGGTGTATCTGTCTACTAGTGAGTTTTATAGTTTTGCATGTTTTCATGATGGTGGTTGTTGTCTTTTTACTTCCACATGTAAGACTCCCTTGAACATTTATTGTATGGCCAGTCTAGTAGTAATGAATTCCCATAGCCTTTGCTTGTCTGTGAAGGATTTTATTTCTCTTTCATTTCTGAAGGATAGCTTTGCTGAGTATAATATTCTTGCATGGCAGTATTTCTTTTTGTTTTGTTTTTCTTTTCATATTTTGAATGTATTATCTCATTCTCTCCTGGCCTTTAGGGTTTCTGCTGAGAAATACACTCATATAATGTAAAGACACATATAAGGAAATCATATTTTGGCAATTTTACTATAATGTGCATCAGAGATGACCTGTTTGGATTGAATTAATTTGGGATTCTGTTTGTTTCATGGATCTGGATTTCCACATCTCTCTCAAGGCTTAGGACACTTTCTGCTATTATTTTATTAAATATGGTTTCCTCACCTTTCCCCTTCTCTTCTTCTGGAAATTCCATGTTACCAATATCTGCTTGCTTAATGGTGTCCCATAAATCCTGTAGGTTTTCTTCATTTTCTTTTTAAAAATTATTTTATTTGTCTTCTTTTGTTATTTCAAAAGATCTATCTTCATGTTCAGAAACAGATTCTTCTGCTTGATCTAGTCTGTTGTTCAAGCTTTTAATTGTATTTTTTGTTTCATTTTTTGGATTCATCCCACTGTAGTTCTATTTGGTTCTCTTTTGTGACATCTATCTCTTTGTAAATTTCTCATTCAAATCATTAATTATTTTTTCTTATTTTGTTGTATTTTCTTCTGTATTATCTTATATTTCACTGAATTTCCTTAGTATTATTATTTTGAATTTTTTCTGGTATTTCATACATTTCCTTATTATTGTGATCTATTCCTGTAGAGTTAGTTTTCTTTTGGAGGTGATGTATTTCCTTGCTTTTTCATGGTTTATATGTTTCTTTGTTGATTTCTCTGCATCTAGTGGATCACCTTTTCCAATTTTATAGATTAGGTTTCATAAGAAAGGCTTATTTGTAAAAATGGGTGTTGGGGTATAGGTTTGGTGGAGTGCATTGGCCTTGGTTCTAGGTGGATGCAGCAGTGTAGTCTCTGTGTAGCTTCTTCAGCTTTAATCCACACTAGTGTTATTGTGACCTTCTAATTGACCTAGGCTGAGAATTTGTGGTGATGGTGGTATGACTTTGCAAGTGTGGCCTTGCTGGGCTATTTCTGAGGTTGGAAGTTGTATTAGTCTATTCTTATGCTGCTAATAAAAAATATCTGAGACTGGGTATTTTATAAATAAAAACAATTTAATTGACTCACAGTTCTACATGGCTAGGAAGGCCTCACAATCATCACAGAAAGTGAAGGAAGATCAAAGGGACATTTTACATGGCAGCAGGAAAGACAGCATGAGAGCCAAGCAAAAGAAGAAACCCTTTATAAAACCATCAGATCTCATGAGACTTATTGACTACCATGAGAACAATATGGGGAACACTGCCCCTATGATTCAATTATCTCCCACTGGATCACTCCCACAACATATGGGAATTATGGGAGCTATAATTCAAGATGATATTTGGGTGGGGCCACAGCCAAACCCTATCATTTTTCCCCTGGCCCTTCCCAAATCTCAGGTCCTCACATTTCAAAACCGATCATACCTTCCCAAAAGTCCTGCAAAGTCTTAAATTATTTCAGCATTAACTCAAAAGTCCAAAGTCTCATCTGAGACAAGGCAAATCCCTTCGCCTGTGAGCCTGTAAAATCAAAAGCAAGTTTGTTACTTCCTAGATACAATGGGGTTTCAGGCATTGAATAAATGCACCCATGCCAAATAAGATAAATTGGCAAAACAAAGTGACTAAAGGCTCTATGCAAGTTCAAAATCTAGTTGGGCAGTCAAATCTTAAAGCTCCAAAATGATCTCCTTTGATTCCATGTCTCACATCCAGGTAATGCTGATGCAAAATGTGGGTTCCCATAGTCTTGGGCAACTCCGCCCCTGTGACTTTGCAGGGTACAGTCTTCCTTCAGACTGCTTTTATGGGCTGTCATTGAGTGTCTGCGGCTTTTCCAAGTGCACAGTACAAGCCATCAATGGATCTACCATTGTGGGGTCTGGAGGATGGTGGCCCTCTTCTCAGCTCCACTATGCAGTACCCCAGTGGGGACTCTGTGTGGGGGCTCCCACCCCACGTTTTCCTTTCACACTGCCCTAGCAGAAGTTCTCCATAAGGGCCCCACCACTGTAGCAAACTTCTTCCTGGACATCCAAGCATTTCCACGCATTCTCTGAAATCTAGTCAGAGGTTCCCAAACCTCAGTTCTTGACTTCTGTGCTCTCACAGGCTTAACACCATGTGGAAGCTGCCAAGGCTTGGGGCGTGAACCTTCTGAAGCCGCAGCCCAAGCTCTACCTTGGCCTCTTTTAACCATGGCTTAAGCAGCTGGGACACAGGGCACCAAGTCTCTAGGCTTCACAAATCAGAGGGGCCCTGAGCCCAGCCCAAAAAAACATTTTTTTTTTCTCCTAGGCCTTCTGAGCCTGTGATTGGAAGGGCTACCACAAAGGTCTCTGATATGCCCTGGAAACATTTTCCCATTGTCTTGGAGATTAACACTTGGCTGCTTGTTACTCATGTTAATTTCTGCAGCAGGCTTGGATTTCTCCCCAGAAAATGGGGTTTTCTTTTCTATCACATCATCAGGCTGCAAATTTTCTGAACTTTTATGTTGTGTTTCCCTTTTAAAACTGAATGCTTTTAACAGCACTGAAGTCACCTCTTGAATTATTTGCTGCTTAGAAATTTCTTCATCCAGATACCGTAAATCATCTCCCTCAAGTTCAAAGTTTCATAAATCTCTAGGATAGGGGCAAAATGCCACCAGTCTCTTTGCCAAAACATAGCACGAGTCACCTTCACTCCAGTTCCGAACAAGTTCCTCATCTCCATCTGAGACCACCACAGCCTGGATTTCATTGTCCATGTCATTATCAGCATTTTGGTCAAAGCCATCCAACAAGTCTGTAGGAAATTCCAAACTTTCCCACATCTTCCTATCTTCTTCTGAGCCCTCCAGAATGTTCCAACCTCTGCCTGTTACCCAGTTCCAAAGCTGCTTCCACATTTTTGGATATCCTTATAGCAGCACCCCACTTTACCAGTATCAATTTTCTCTATTAGTCTGTTCTTATACTTCTAATAAATATATACCTAAGACTGGGTAATTTATAAAGGAAAGAGTTTTAATTGGCTCACAGTTCCACATGGCAGGGGAAGCCTCATCATGGTGGAAGGCAAAAGGCACGTCTTTCTTGGTGGCAGGCAACAGAGCATGAGAACCAAGCAAAAGAAGAAATGCCTTAGGAAACCATCAGAACTTGTGAGACTTACTCACTACCATGAGAATAGTATGGGGGAAACTACCCTCATGATTCAGTTATATACCACTGGGTCCCTCCTACAACATGTGGGAATTATGGGAGCTACAATTCAAGATGAGATTTGGGTGGGGACACAGCCAAACCATATCAGGAGTTTGTGCATGCAAATACTTGATAAGCCAGCTTTGAGTCTCTCTCCTAAGTGGTGTTAGGACCATGGGGTTCTTATATTGGTCAGGAGCATGTGCTCATGGTTGTTTATCCAGCTTGGGGGCACACCCACAACAAACCTCCCATGGGGTTTTTCTTTGGCCCAAGATGCAAGTATAGAACTACTTGGCTGGCCTGGAAGCTTGTTTCTTAGAGTTGGCCCACAGGGCTGTTTCTCGGGGCCAGGAAGAGGCAGCACATTTCCTAAGCTGTCCTGGGGTTTTGTCTGCCAGGAGTGGATATAGGGCTGTTTTTCAGGCCTGTGACACAGCTATACTACTGCTCAGTTGGCCTGTGGGTGTTTCTGCTGGGGCTAGCCCATGAGGCTGTTTTGTAGGTCCAGGACACAGACATGTGGCTGCTTGGTTGGCCTGTGGGTATGCCTGCCAGAGGTGGCCTTTGGAGTATTTCTTAAGCCTTGATATTGATGCACAGATGCTTACCAGGGCTAGGGGTGTCGGCCAGAGGTGGCCCATAGGGCAGTTTTTTGGGCCCACTGTGTAGATGCATGGATTCTTGGCCAGCTTGGAGTATGTCCACCAGAAGCGACCCACCGGACAGTTTTTTCAGGCCCAGCGTGAAGGTGCATGGCTGCTTAGCCAACCTGGGATATGTCCACCAGGGGTTACACATAGGGCTCTTTCTCGGCTCTGAAACATGGGTTCTTGGCTACTCGATGGCCTTGGCAGCATTCCCTCAAGGGGCTACCCGCAGAATTGCCTCTCAGGTGCTTATTGTGGGTGTATGTCTGGGGAATAGCAGGGGCTTTGCAGGGATGTTTCTCTGGTCTTGAACACAGGAACATAGCCAATCTTCTGGCCTAGAAATGTATCAGCTGCTTGGAGGCTCAGGGGCCTCTCCTGCTAAGGGGAAGGTACACAGTGATTTGGCCATCTCAAGGACAGGTTTGTCTTGGGGTGGACTAGCAGACTCTTCCTCTGGCTGGAAGTACAGCAGTGACAGTTGGTTTCCCTGCCATGCAGAACCAAATTCACAGCAGATCCTAGGCCCAAGGTCCATGTATAGGGGTTATAGTGTTCAGCCACCTTTGTTGGCTTCGCATAATAAAGATGGAGCCCCATGGCTAAAGAGTTGCTGTGGCTACTGGCCCCCAGAGGATGGTGCACTCTACAAGTGGCTCTGGCCTCAAGATGGTGCTGTGCAGCAGCAGCTTGGCTTACAAAGAATGGTTTCCGGGTGGAGAGTGAGTCTCTCATGCTCCTAATCTGGGGAATGCAGTGAGTGAATTCTGGGAGCTTCCTAAAGTGGGCTCAGGGCTTGAAAGCACTGTGGGATTCTCTTGTTCTAAGGGTTGTAGGTGTTGGCGGTAGCATTGGGGGCTACTGGGAATCTTCTGTTTACCTCTTCACCTACAATGAGAAGTCTTTTCTGGCTCCAGGCAGATCGTATCTGGGCAGACGAGACACGGCTGCAGAGGCTGCATGCTTCTACACTACCCTCCCGGATTTCCAAGCACTACAGGTGTATCTTCACTGCCCCGCTGAGTTCTCACTTGCTTGCTTTGACACTCCAGTGAAATTCCAGCTGTTTATTTGTTGTCTTGGTTCTTTCTAGTGGGAGTGATGAATGCCAGGCATCGCTAGTGAGTCATCTTGCTAACGTCACTCCAAATTGTATATTTTTAAAATGTGTGATTCCGACAATCACCCAAATTTGTATGAGTACGAATTGAAGATCCCTCTAATTGTATAATTCAATTTCATGAAACATTTATTGTCAACCCATCTGTGGGGGAAAAAAGGAGATTAAAACTCAAGACAGGAAAATAAATGAAAGCCGATCTTGAAGACCATTGCAACTCAATAGAAAGCCACTATAATAAAGAAACAGTCAGAGATTTGGATTAATCGCACTCTTTAGCATTGTGTCAAGTGAGATAAGGTGCCAGGACCTCATCCTATATTCCACGGCTGTACCCTTAAACCTGTTGTTCGACATCCTTTTTATTGTTCTCTATGTTCAGCCATTGGCAGAATAAAGTGATCCTTTTCATTTCCCACATTGTCTCCTCTTTATATTATGCATCCACTGCCCCATAATATGGCTAGTTTCCATATAGACTTGTTTGTGAATTCGCGAAATATATTCCATATGCTGAGGCAGCATTCAATAAATGTGACATTATGTATAAACTTCTACTGCTAATAAGCACACAGTACATAAATGTCAAAACCTATTGGGTTAAAAGTTAAATGTAAGTAGCAAAAAATAGGTGAATATCTTTTCAACTTCTGGGTAGGGAGCAGTTCCTACATAAAATATATAAAGCACTAGCTATTAAAAGTATTGATACATTTGAATATTACAAAAATCTGATTTTGAATCATCCTATGGTACATAAACAAAATGAAAAGACAAACTACAAATATCCAGCAGAGGTGATATTCCAGATAACTAATAAGTAATTAACATTAAGACTATATAACAAACTATAAAAATAAGTAAAAGCAAACAAGTTTGGAAAAATTAATAGTTTATAGAAGAGAAAATATAATTGGCCAGTAATTTATTACAAGATATTTAACTTCACTGATTTTGAAAACAAAAATTAAGACAATGGTGATCTATTATTTTACTAGGTATTCAACGGGCAAAAAATAATTTTTGGTCTTAAAATTTCAAATGTTGGAAAGAATGTGAACATGTTAGATCTTTAATACTTGCTATCAGGAGTATTCTCATTTGGAGAATTTGGTATTATTTCAGGAAGTTAAATATCTGCGTACTCAACACCGGGCAATGCCATCCTTAGATGTATATAAAAATCTTGCCAATGCTTACCAGGAAGTGTGTGTAACAATGTTTATAACAACAAACAATGTATGCAACTCAAATGTCCATGTTAGGGAAAACGAATACACTTTTTGTGGGATATTCATAGAATGGGTTATAGCAATGAAAATGAATAACTATCATGATAAAAAAAAAAAACAGTACAGATGAATCTCATTGAAACAATTCGGAGTGAAAAAAGCTAGTCCCAGAAAACTACCTTCAATCTAATACTTTTTTAAAAAGGAAGTATAAAAACAAGCAACACTGCACTATCTGCTTTTTTCATGATCAGGTAACCAAGGAGCAAAAAGCAGTTTATCATCTCCCCACAAATACATCCTATATACAATAGTGGAGCTGAGCCTGTATACCCACAATGAAAACCCACATTTTAAACAAAGACAAACAGGAAATACATAGCTGTTATTGGCTTATGAAAATGATGAAATCCTTCTAGGCAATTATTTGGAGATCTCTCTGACATGACAATGGAGAAGGTTTTTGGTTAGATTCCAGTTCTGTTCTCTGTATATTATTCTCCATGGCTCTTGGTCCCACATTCAGTGAGTTTTTCTCAACTTGTCGTGCATATGGCCACAGCTAAAGTCGTGTTGAGAAGTACACCTGCATTATGGGCTATACAGCTTGTGCTGCCTTTTCATGTTTATATAAGGATTTCTTGTTGTTATTATTATTATTAGGCCAGTTTATTTTTTAGGGTAATGCAGTTTTTTTAACTTAATAATGAGCAATTTATTTTTTTCCTCTAGTAAGATCATGTATCATTAACCATACCCAAATTTATTTCCCAAGCATACTTCTCAAATTCTCTCTCTATATGTATAGCTTTCCCATTTCCTGGCCTCTGTATCCTAATTTAGCAAAGGTTGCCTAGAGCCCATCTGGCTTGGATGAGAATATAAAAACCTTATTTTCCACAGGGCTGAATCTTTTAAAGAATCTTTGTTGCTCAAAGTTGTGTGTGTGTGTGTTTTTAAATCATTATTTTTTTCTGTTTCATGTCTAGAGATAACTTTTCAAATCAGTTATGACCCCAGATGTATCAACTCCCTGTATCATTTTTGTTTCTATTCTTGAACAGCCAATTCTTTTCTTTTCAGCTTATTATTTCTAATATCTTACTAACCCAATCAGTTAAAATCAACTACCTCGCTGAAAGCTGGTTTTCCAAACTCTTCTTCTACAGCCAACTCAGTAGGCACTTGGTTGCTTTCTCTGGCATTGCTGACAGTAGCTACTGTGTTTTCACAATACCTTAAGAAGATCATATTTCCAGCCTCTGATAGCAGTTTTCTCTGCCACTCTACCACTGAGTTACATAGTTTAGGCATTTTAAAAATGCTGACACCTCACTTAAAGTTGCCAAAATTTTATTAGTTATTATAATTCTCGCTGCCATAAAATATAAATCCCAGATATTTGTGACAACATAATTATAATTGGTCACTAAAATAAAGTTTAAATGGGTGTTTCTGATAGGCAAGACTCTGCCCCAAGTGGTTATTAATGGAAGTAAGCTCCTACCAACTTGTGATTGCTGTATTCAACATGTGCTCCTCCATTTGTAGGAAGAGGGGAAAGAGCATTACAGGTTGCAAGCAGAGGTTCTTTATGTCCAGCTGTGGAAGGGGCAAAATAAATTCTGCTTATGTTCACTTGCATGGCCAGAACTTCCAAAGAGGAAGCTGGGAATTGTTGTGTGTCTAGGTGAGAGAGGAAATATGTTTGATGAAGAGCTGGCTAAATTTGAACACATATTTTATATAAGTTTATTTTTATTATCCTCTACTATTAGATAATAAGCTCCTTGGGAATATATCTGTCTTTTTGATTCTTGTATCCCCACAGCTAGCACTCTACTAGGACATGAAAAATAAATGCTTAATCCGTGATCTTCATTTCTTTGTAAACATGATAACAGTAATGTGGGAATCAAAACAGTTATAGCAACGGCATCAGTTGTAAGCAGACAAGTTTGTGAGAAACTTCTACAGACTAAAACTGTCATCGTGCCTATGCTATATGATCTTTCTAACCTACAGGATGGAAGAATTAAGTGAGACACAGCCATAAATACTGTTTTTTTTTAACATTTTAGTTATTTTATTACAAACCAAAATACAAATACAGAAAAGCATACAAAAATTTTGTAGTGTAATGAATGCATAGAAGGTAAGTGCTCTCATATCCTTTCCCCATATCAAGAAACAGAATTTTAACAGCCACCTTCTAAGCCCCTCCTTGTGCCCCATTCAGATCACCAACTCTTCCCCACAAAATAGCAACTATCTTACTTAAATTTTTCTTTTTAATTGATACATAATATTTGTACATACATATAATACATGTGATATTTAGTTGCATTTTAAGATGTGTAGTGATCAATTTAGGGTATGTAGGATATTCATCACCTCTAGTATTTATGATTTATATATGTAGAGAACATTTCAAATCCTTCTGCTAGTATTTTGAAGTATACAATACACTGCTTTTAACTGTAGTCACCCTACTATTCTATTGAACATTATAACTTGTTTCTTCTTACTGTATGTTTTTACCCATTAGCCAAACTCTCTTTATATGCCACCCCACACACATCCCTTTCCAAACTCTGGTAATTATCATTCTGCTCTCTACAAAGAGAATAATTCTTTATAAAATTGCAAAATATATTCTGATCTCTAAAAAGTTGAGATCAACTTTTTCAGCTCCCATCTATGAGTGAGAAAATGTGATAAGTCTTTCTGTGCCTGGCTCATTTCAGTTAATATAATGACCTCCAGTTTGATTCACGTTGCTGCAAATGATATGATATAATTTTTTACAGCCAAATAGTATTTCGTTGTGTATATGTACTACAATTTCTTTATTAATTCATCCATTGATAAACACATAGATTGATTCCATATCTTTGCTACTGTGAATAGTGCTGCAATAGACATAGGAGTGCCAGTATCCCTTTGATTTTCTTCCCTTTGATAAATATCCAGTAATGGGATTGCTGGATTATATGATAGTTCTATTTTTAGTTTCCTGAAAGAGTTTCATACTGTTTTCCATAGTGGTTCTACTAATTTACATTCCCACCAACAGTGTATAAGAATTCCCATTTATCCATGTACTTACCAGCATCTGTTATTTTTGTCTTTTTAAAAACAACCATTCTACCAGGGCAAGATGATATCTTGTGGTTTTGTTGTTCATGTCTCTGACGATTAATGATGTTAAACGTTCATATACCTGTTAGCTATTCATATGTCTTTTGCGAAATATTTATTCATGCCCTTTGCCCATCTTCTAATAGGATTATTTGTTTTCTTGTGGTTGCTTGAGATGCTTGTGTATTCTGAATATTAGTTGTATGATGAACAGTTTGTAAATATTTTCTTTCATTTAACGGGTAATATCTTCAGTCTCTTGAGTCTTCCCTTTGCTGTGCAGAAGCTTTTTAGTTTTAGTCCCATTTATCTATTTTTTGTTTTTGTTGCCTGTGTTTTCGAGGTCTTAGCCATAAAATCTTTGCTTAGACCAATGTTCTAAAGGGTTTCCCCTATGTTTTCTTCAGGTAGTTTTGTAATTTCTAGTCTTATGTTTAACACTTTAATCCATCTTGAGTTAATTTTTTATATGGTGAGATAGGGGTCCAGTTTCATTCTTCTGCATGTGGATATCCAGTTTTCCAAGCACCAAGTATTGAAGAAGCTTCCCTTTTTTCATTGCATGTATGTTCTTGGTGCCTTTGTTGAACATCAGCTCACTCTAAATATGTGGATTTATTTCTGGGTTCTCTATTCTGTTCCACTGGTCCATGTTTACACCAACACCATGCTGTTTGGGTTACTATAGAATGTAATGTATTTTGTAGTAAGGCAGTATGTAACTTCAGCTTTGTTCTTTTTGCTCAAAATTTATTTGGCTATTTAAGTTCTTTTTGTGGTTCCATTCACATTTTAGGATTGTTTTACTATTTCTGTGAAGAATGTCCTGTTGTTTTGATAGGGATTGCACTGACTTTGTAGATTGTTTTGGGTAAAATAGACATTTAACAATATTCAATCCTTTCATTTTTCCTGCTTCAGCTGATATTTTCAGATTGTCTGACATGCTTTCCAAGGAAAACCTATTGGCTATTTTGGGTTTTTTTCTGTTCTCAAGTTTGCCATATGTCCCCAGTAGTTTCATAGTTTCAGCCGTCCATTTAAGTCTTTAATCCATCTTGAGTTAATTTTTGTATGTGATGAGAGACAGGGGTCCAGTTTTATTCTTCTGCATATTGGTATACAGTTTCTCTCTGCTCTCTCCTGCAGATGACAATATAATTTATGTGAACATTGTAGCAATTGGTGGTTTATTACTACCTAAATGCATTTTATTCTGCAGATAAGCCTTTTTACCTAGTTTGGTTAATAAATGTTTATTGATATTGGTTTAGGTATGTATTTATTATGCAGGTTTTTATTGGGGATTTGGAGAATTTCAAAACCTATACTCTGCCACCATCATTTTCCCAAAATTTCTGTTGAATATAAGCATAAACACACAAAGACACATATATATACCTTCATATTAAATATATGTTTCTGCATCCAGCTATGTTTCTCTTAATGTTATGTCTTTAGGATATTCATTCATATATACATTTATTTATTCCTTTCATCTGCAATACAGCATTTTATTATATTACTCTAACACATCTTTGTTTCTGTTGTTTATTTCTTTCTTTTGTCCCTTGGAAGTTGAAATTGAACTAACACCGTCTTTCTTCTTACCATGCTCTAATACATTACTTTATCAGAAGCTGTACTTTTTAAAAGAAAACAGTACTCAGTGTTTTAGAAAAAATATGTATTAAAATTTGAGACTTCTTCAGGGAGCCATATATAGTCTTTAAATGTAGATAGAATATACTGTTTGCATCCGTCCAACTTATATTTTGTAAAGTATTAATGTGATAAACCTTACTTAGGCATACAGTGGCCAAATTAGAATTATTGGAATGTATACATCCCTATTACTAATCTCACCCTAATTTTACAGTCAGACCTAACGTGATTCGCCAAATATCACACAGCTGCCTCTTTAAGTAAGGAGCTAAAACTGCCAGCTCTTTTAGTGAGGTTACATTAATCTTTCATTAATGAAGAGGAAAATATTTTTGAGAATTATAAACTTCAATTATCAATTTCTTCACCACTACATTTAGGTCAGCAAAACTTGATTTTCGTTCTACATCTCTCGGTTTTTATCGCTTTATATTTGAGAAGTAGAATACCATCTGACTTACAGCCTCATAACCTGTAAAATAGTTACAATAATATCTAGTTATTTCTAGTTTTTAAAGATTAGAAATAATACATGTATGGGGCTGGCACATAGCAAAGTCACAATTAATGATTGAGTCGTTCCTTCTATGAGGAACCAGGCTCCCCATGAACTAACTCTAGGTCACAGGTTAGTGTCCCAGCTCTTGTCTTTACCTTGCAACAAATTTGCTTTGTGTTAATCATCTTGTTTTTGTTAGAAAGTAGCAAACCCAATCTTGTTTGCTAACCCTATACTATGCCTTATATTTTCTTAGGAACCTAGAAACATGAAAGCTTATCATTCCCTTTTCTTAATGGTTGTACTAGAATACTAATGCAATTCTACATGAACAAATGATTGAACCATAAAATCCTTTCATTCTAGCAAAAAATCTGCTTCATAATATAATGATGTCCAAATCATCCTGAATTAAATAAAATGTTGAGATTATTAACTGATCTGTGGCTTTATGGCAGCATGATAAAAAAACAAATAAAATCATTTAGACAAGTCAATATAATGTGCTTACCTTGCCCTCTCTGTGCAACTGAAGGCTCGTCATGTCATTTAGTATATCCAGTGATGTGTCATCTGGGGAGGACTGATTGTGGTCAATAAAGATGCTTGCAGTGATGAAGACTGGGCATCAGTAATAAACATAAGTCTTTCACTATGTCTGTTCATAACAGTTGGATCAGCTCTACTAAACTGACATGGGGTAGGTAGGAAGGAACTACTTTCTAATAAAGAATATCTGATTGGCAGAATTGAGTAGTTGGAAAGATTATAATCCTGGGTTCCAAACAAGGGAGACTTTGGCTCTGAGTCTTTTCATTTGGTCAGTGGCCTTTCAGATATTTCTCTGTGTTTGTATGTGTACAATTACACATGCATATAACATTTTAGTTTTTTCTATAAATGTGCTGCATTCTACATATATTCCTACAATTTTATTTTTTTAAGTTAGCATTCTGTGATTCCTTTTTTACTCACATTTTACTCACATTCCCCAACACCTCTTCCTCCCACTTCCTGTCGACTACACATATTAAAGGGTATTTTGGTGGTTTACGCACTGAAAAGTTTGGGGAGAGGCGCATGTGTGCTTTAATCTGGAGAGTGGCCCCGTTGTGCTCTGATTGTTTTAGATTCACTCTCCTTTGTTGTGAATCTCTCTTCAGAGTTTTGTTTTCTTCACTTAGCAAAATTTTCTGAGTATCTATTAAGGATTGGCCATACTTCTAGGTGCTGGGGACATGTTGAGAAAATAAAACAATTAAATTCATGATTACCATGGTACTTGCATTTTAGTAAGAAAGCCCAAAAACAAACAATACTTTGATGAATCCAAGTAAATATTAGGTTGTGACAAGAGAAAAGAAGTGACTAAAGCAATTCTAAGCTTTACAGCTAAATCTCACACTGTCTAGATGAAGAGACAAAAGGTTACTCCTGTTAGAAGCTTGAGACACTACCTTTACAGAAGATTCTAGCAAAGTTTCCCCACAGATCATTAATTTGAATTGAGTCACATGCTCTTCCTAATGATATTCTTAGGCAGGAGAATGGCGTAAGCCAACTATCTTAGGCCTCCATCACCTGAACCAGTTAGTCTAGAAGATGGTCTTACCCCAATTGAGCTAATGTATTTAGAGCTCACCCAAGGTAGGCATTGCAATCATTTATCGTTACCCTATTTAAATCCTGGGCTGTGAGGAAATGTGAAAGCTATGTGAATAACGTTTGTGAGATAAGCATATTATTCACCTAAATGTGCCTTTTAGGACTCCCAAGTAAATACATTCAGAATTATTTTATGCTTTTTAACTGCTAGATAGTATTTCATGCTTTGGAATCATGATTGCTTATTTTACCATTCTTTCCTTGATGAAGATTTAGACTGCTTCCCATTATTACAAACAAGACTGCAAAATATTATTTTACATACCTTCTTTTGTTAATATGTGAGAGTTTTTCAGGTGCATAAATGATCAGGATTGCTGGGTCGTACTGTACGCACATTTTCAATGTTAGCCGATTCTGCTGAATTGTTCTACAAAATTGCTTGATAGATTAAACTGCTGTCTCCAGTGTAGTCACTGTACTACTACAATATTTGATATTATCATTAAAAAGTTAACCCTATGAATAAAAGAATGTTATAACATTCTTGATTATTTATTCTTTTATGTATTTATTAATTATTGCACTTCCTAGGTCACTAGTGAGACTTAGCATCTTTTCACAAGTTACTAATGATTTGTATTTCCTATGTAAATTGCTTGTTTGTATAACCTGTTTTGTTTCTTTTTTCCATGTAGATTTTAAGCAATTTGGTATGCTCCAGGTATAAGAGATTTATCTAGAGAATAAGCTGCAAATATATTTATTATTCTCTTGCTTTATCTTTATTTTTCACTTCTTATTTATTTTTTTATTTACTTTTTAAATTTTGGGTTTGGGGATACAAGTGAAGGTTTGTTTCATAGGTAAATATGTGTCATGGAGGTTAGTTGTACAGATTATTTATTCACCCAGGTATTAAGCTCAGAGCCCAGTAGTTATCTTTTCTGCTTCTCTGCCTCGTCCTACCCTCCCCACTCAAGTAGACCCCAGTGTCTGTTATTTGCTTCTTTGTGTCCATAAGTTCTTATCATTTAGCTCCCACTTGTAAGTGAGAACATGAGGTATGTGGTTTCCTGTTCCTGTGTTAGTTTACTAACGATAATAGCCTCCAGCTACATCCATGTTCCCACAAATGACATGATCTTGTTCTTTTTTATAGTGCATACTATTCCATGGCGTGTATGTACATTTTCTTTATCCAATCTGTCATTGATGGGCATTTAGGTTGATTCCATGTCTTTGCTATTGTGAGTTGTGCTGCAGTGAACATTCATGTGCATGTGCCTTTATGGTGAAATGATTTATATTCCTCTCGGTATATACCCAGGATGGTAGTTCTGCTTTGAGCTTTTTGAGGAATCTCCATACTGCTTTCCACAATGGTTTAACTAATAAAACTCCCATCAACAGTGTATAAGTGTTCCCTTTTCTCCACAACCTTACTGTATTTTGATTTTTTAATAATAACCATTCAGACTGGTGTGAGATGGTATCTCATTGTAGTTTTGATTTCCATTTCTCTAACGATCAGTGATATTGAGCATTTTTTCATATGCTTGTTAGCCACATGTATTCCTTCTTTTGAGAAGTGTCTCTTCATGTACTTTACCTAGTTTTTAATGTGGCTATTTGTTTTTCTCTAGTAAATTTGTTTATTTCCTTATAGATCCTCGATATTAGATCTCTGTCAGATGCATAGTTGGCAGATATTTTCTTTCATTCTGTAAGTTGTCTGTTTACCCTGTTGATAGTTTCTTTTGCTATGCAGAAGCTCTTTAGGTTAATTAGATCCTATTCATCATTTTTTGCTTTTTTTGATTGCTTTAGATGTTTTTATCATGATTTCTTTGATCATTCCTACATACAGGATGTTATTGCCCAGGTTGTCTTACAGGGCTTTTATAATTTTGGGTTTTATATTTAATTGTTTAATCCATCTTGAATTGATTTTTGTATATGGCATAAGAAAGGGGTCCACCTTCAATTTTCTGCATATGGCTAGTCAGTTATCCTAGCACCATTTATTGAATAGAGAGTCTTCTCCCCATTGCTTGTTTTTGTCAGTTTTCTCTAATATCATATGGTCATAGATGTAGATTCTATTCCATTGGTCTATGTCCCTGTTTTTGTACCAGTACCATGCTGTTTTGGTTACTCTAGCCCTGTAGTATAGTTTGAAATTAGGTAACATGATTCCTTCAGCCTGTTTTTTTTTCTTTTGCCTTGGTTTTTCAGGTTCTTTTTTGGTTCCATAGAAATTTTAAAATAGTTATTTTTACAGCAGTTTACCATTTTTATATAGGTAAATTTATGTATTTTTCTTTAATATTTTATGTTTTATTTTAAAGACGTTCTCTATTTCAATATTAAAAACAAATTATCCTATGTTACTCTTAAGTATTCAAAGGGTTGATTCATATATATTTTATCTATGTGAAATAAATGTGTGTTTGTGTATGTGTGTGTGAGTGAACATATGAACTAGGTACCTGGATTCCTTTCCCAAATAACTAGTTGTTTAAATATGCTTGATTTAATAGTTATTTATTTCCCCACTGATTTAAAATGTCACATGCAATACAAACTAAATGATCGTATATTAATGAATTTCTTTCTGAATTATATTTTTAAAATATTTTTGTCTATTTTTGTATTAGTTCCACACTGATCTAATTATTATGACTTTGTAATATGTTTTTGAGATATACTTGAGCTAGTGCCTCCCTGGATTTTTTTTCAAAATATTATTTTCTCTTCTTGTACATTTTATCTTTTGCATGTGTTTTCCACAACACTTCTTTAATGTCGTGTTACATTCTGTTTGGGTTTTTATTGTGATCACATTAATTTAGAGAGATTTGATTGTGATGTATTATTGTGTTGTCTCATCCAGAAATGTTATATTTCTGTATTTATTAATATTTTCTTTTAGGACTTTTATTAAAATTAAATATTTTTCTTCAAATTAAAACAAAAGAATATTCAGGTTATCCCTAGGTGTAGGTAGGTTTGGGGCATTTTTTCTTAACCTATTCAATACATATGTCCTTCTTGTTTAACTAACTATGGCTAATCCTTTTCAACCTCATTGAATAAAGAGGAAATAAGTGACTGTGACATATATGACGTTCTTTAGAGAAAAGAGGCTCAGCTCCTGATTTACTTACCTGTCATCTAGTGCAGGTGGGACAGGTTCGGGGGGTACACAGGCAAACAGCAAATAGCAGCACAACAATGTTATGTTGCCACAAGGGAGTAAACATACAGAAATCACCAAAGGTAGGTTAGCAGGTGACTGGAAAGATTTTCTGGGGAAGATAATGCCTGAGTGTTGAGGCACATAAGAATGAGGATTTTAAAGGTAATTTAAGTAAGATTAAGAGATCTTGGATCTAGTTCCAAATTACATATCTTGTAAGATCCATAAATATGTGGCTTAAAAACCTGTGTCACTATAGAAGTGACTCTCATATTTTTTATTGTATATATAATCATTTGTGATTTAAGTGACTTAAATAGCCAATGAAAGTATCTGTAGTTTTATTTCTATTCTAATGTCTCTCCTTGTGAGGTTAGTAAAAGTAAAATTGTATGTCCTTAAATATTCAGAACACTTAAGAATGTTACTCACCTTTAAATATTTTTAAACCCTGTAAAGAATAAGACATTGCTTCCTCCTGAGCTTAGTAGTAAAATTAATTTAATTGGTGAGGAAGACATTTACAGAAACAGGCTGAAAATTCTACTTGCCACAAGGCACAACATGTACTTAATTAAGGAAAAGTCAGGAAACAGAATCAGACATTATAACAATACTGACAATTAGGATTTTAAGGGGAAAAAAATTGGAATTCCCAACACTGGCCTGTGATAAGACACGGTCAGAGAGCACTAATTAGCAATACTTAGAAAAGGTCTATTTCTTTTTCATGTTTAACACCAAAATGGTTGATGAAAACTGCAAATGTCAGCCACGTGATTCCACATCCAAATAGGAATAGCTGAGGCTGTCCTGGGGCTTAGTTCAGAGCTTAATCAAAGAAGACTGCTCCATTCAGATGTGAGTACTGTTACTTGGTGAGAATATTGATTATAGCACATAGAGGAAAACCGAGGAATCCTGTCTGTATTTCTTTTTACCGACTCCTCCCAGTGCAAGTGTCTGGAGGCACTTAAAGCAGACACATCTTTATTCGTCTTGCTTCTGTCAAGGCCAAATGAATTCTTTTGCGATATGGAAGAAAATAAGTATCCATTTAAACAGAAATTGGCTCATTCACAGCAGAACATTTGGAAAACTACCTATAGTCAATAAACCTGGAATTATTTTTACCAAAAGTATGTTCCTCTGTGTTAATCAAACTCTTTCAATTGGTTCAGCTTGTGCAACTAATCCTGGCTAAATATTTAATGACTTGTTTTATACGAAATATTAAAAACACATAGGAGAAGATGGGAAAATTAAATAATAGGTTATTTCCCCTTGGGTATTTTATGAATAATTGTAATAACTGATTATTAAGAATGTATTTTTTCTTTGATTTCTATAGGTGTAGTGAAATTATTAATATGTGGTCAATCAAAGCAACTGCTGAGAGCCAAGATTCTAACTCTCAACTATATGAAAGACGCCAGTCCAGTCTAGATCCACAAGTGTGAGTAGAAAACCATAAAATTCACAGCTGTTTGAGAGTAGAGGTATTTAATAATGTTACACAGTAGTATTAAGACATGAAAACTTTTGAGATAGAAGTAGCATTTTTTATTCAGGATATAGCCTTGAAGGGAATCCTCCTGACAAAAAGTCCAACGACTTTGAAATTCAATATCACATCTCAATTCCATAGAGTTGTGAAAGACAGAAAAACTGATTTGAGACCAATGGCAAATGAAAATAATTCCTGGGCTTAAATAGACAATCAGTATTTCCAAAATTTCGCTGTGGAAAATATTACTTCTCCTTTGCTGTGTTTACTGATTTCAAGATGTGATCCACCATAGATAAAAAATTATATCAATTTTATCTATTTTTTTATTCCAGGGTAGCATAACCCAAATCTTTTTAGAAATAAACATACCAAAGAAATTATGCACCTCAGATTCACGGATGTAAAAATGCAAAATAATGGGACTAGGATCAAACAAGTATTCTAGAAAAAATTAGAGTCAAATGGATAACACAAATGATTGAAAACAGAAATAAAAAAATTGATAGAAGAAATTGATATAAAATTTCTCATATAAAAAACAGCATTGTTATTAGAGATAAGCAGAGGAACTAAAAGAACATTGAGTTTCCTTGTATTACAAAGGACAGTGAAATGACATGAGTAGGGACAGATTTTATAAGCATATAAGTTTCTTAACTAAGAAGGAACATAAATTAACATCAAATCATAGCTTTTTTATGTTGTTTCTTGTTTTAAATATAATAGCTGATTCTCAGTATTCCTCAGGCAACTCACAACTGTAACTGACACAAAATAGAATAGTTGCCAATTTAAGAAGTATATCAATTCCAAAACAATGGCTGTCATCAATATCTCTTATTGTGGCTTCAAATTTGGGCCTCAGTGTAAAATCACCCTTTCTATTCTCTGTTCAACGTGTCCCTTGAACAGAGGGACAGAAATAATTTTCTGAACAGAAACAAATTTCTCAAAATAAATTTCACAAATTCCATATGGCCTAGACCTTAAGTTTTAGATCTATAAATGACTTCTAATGTACAGAACTTCAAATCAATACTTTTAAAAGATGTAGTAATAGACAAAAATAAAATTTTATTTAAGTAAATTATACCATATTTATAATATACTGTATGTATATTCTTATAACTCTATTCACACCTTTGTCAGGGGCCAGATTAGATAATTTATCCAGATTTAATACACAGAGATGACTTTAAATCAGTTGATTTGAACTAACATTTGCAGGCAAACTGTAGTCCCTTATGTGAGCAGAGCAGCTAAATAGGGGCACTTAGTTTTAATACTATCTGTGTCTGTATATACTAAATATAAATTGTTAATGGAAACATTAAAAATATTTGAAACATGTTTTTACAAAATCATGTTGACTCAACGAGATAGGCGATTTTAAAAAAGGACTTGATTAAGCTGTTTAAGCTAAAAGTATTAGATATTATGTACTTTCAGGTTATGTGCCCCCAGCCTATCAAATTCCAGTTGCACTCCTATTTACACAATTACAGTTATCAATATTTTTTAAAAAAAAGACTCATTCCACCTCCCATAGACATAAAATTAACATATTAAGAATATGAAAATAGAATCTGTGCCCCTCTCTTTTCAATCAGATTCACGGTAAAATACTTCCAAGGGGGTTTCTGACTTGAGAATATATTGTTCTTTTACCTGATACAAAATTTAAAGATTATATTTGTTTTCATATTATTATTTTGAATTCATGAAGTCACAACTTTTCAGACAAAAGAAAAGGTCCACCCATCTTTATTATCTACCACAGGAAATAATCTTGCCAGTAACCAGAATCATCTAAGAGCAAAACAGTAATTTGGTTAATGGAGGCCTTGGCAAGTACATGTTGTAGTCCAAAGGCAAAATTCTAAATAATAAGAGAGCTCTGAAAAACACCAGGGCAAAATAGATTTATAATGTATCATATATACAATTAAAATATTATGGGACTACTAAGAAATTTTAGTCTAACAAGTCCAAAATGTTATCTAAAATTGGAAAATTAATAAATATACCAACTGCTTTCTGTGATTTCTTAGGCAAATTTCTTTCTATTTGGGCTTCTTCTGAAAAATTCACAGAAATATGCTGAGAGGGAAAGAAACAACCAACCTATGGACAAAGAAAATAGCATAAATATGTTTATGTCTATAGTGATTATAATTAAAAAGTTAGTATTACCCAAATTCTTAATGCAAAATTGGTGCATAAATGCATTTTCTGAATGACAGTGAAATAAATAGACAAAGTCACCTATTCAAAGGATGGCTGCATTTGTTTGTGTTGCTAAATAAAAAATGTGTTACTACTTAAATGGCCAAATAAGTAATATGTTTTCCATTGTTAAGTATTTATTTGAGTATTATGGAAGACAAAAGCATATGGCTTTTATTTAGAAGTTATTTTATAATAATAATAATAATAAGTTATCATCAGTTAGTTCATTCAATCAACCAATATTTCTTGCATTTCTATTATGTGTTAAACTCTATACTGGGTATTGCGGCTGTAAAGACAGTAGACAAATCTCTGTCCTCATAGAGATTCAATTCTTTCTAGAGGATAAATCAGAAAATAACATTAATAGTAAACGTATCGGTGGCATGTGTAAAAGAGAAAAAGCAAGAAGAGAGATACAAGTCATAGGAGAAAGGTATATGGAATGTAGCTAGGATGGTCAGGGATAATCTTATTCTGAAGGTGACATTCTGGAAATGGTCTGAAGGAAGTGACGTCATGAGCTCTGATGCTCTGTGTGTTGATATCGGTGCATCCCAGGCAAAGAGAACAGCAAATTAAAAAATTGTGATGCAGGAATAAACCGGCCTCTATGAGGAACAGTGGAAGTCTAGTGAGCTAGTACGTGAGGAAAGAGAAGTGATTAACTCAGAGAGGTAATGAAAGGGAAGTGAGGGCTTTGCAAATGGAGCCTTGGTCCCAATCGGGATGTAAGCTTGGATTCCAAAAGGCAGAACTCGCTGAATATTTCAAGTAGAGAAGCAACGTGGCTGATTTATGTTTTAACAAACTAGATCTGGGTATTGTGTTGAAAATAGATTAATGAGAGATATATATGGAAGGTAAAACACGAGCAAATAGGTGTTTTTAACCAACCAGGTATGGGTAATGGTGGTTTGAATCATAGAGATAGCTGTGGAAGAAATGAGAAGAGGAGTCAAGATTGAGTACAGAATTTTGTCTTGAGCATTAAGTTCCGTTGTCATTAATTGACCTGTGAAAGGATGTGGGAAGAGCAGGAGTGGGTACTAGCAGGACTTCAGTTGTAGACGTGCTAAGTGGATGCATTGAGTGAGCATTTGAATATAGGGTCTGGAGATCAGGGGACAAGTCTGATTGGAGATATAAACCTGGATATATAAGCATGTAGATTGCAATTACAGTCATAAGATCACTGAGAGATGAGTAGATAGAAGAGGGCAAAGATGCAAAGACTGAGTTTTTAATTCCAGCATTTAATGGTCAGAGATGAGGATGAAACTGCAAAGGTGTGACCATATACTGGGGGTAAGGGGACTAGCACATTATGGTATCCTGGAAAACAAGTGAAGACAGTCTTTCTGGGAGAAGAGAATGATGGATAATGTCAATTTCAGCTGATGGAAGAAGTAAGCACTAAATTTAATAATGTGGCAGTCATGAATGTGTTGATAGGAACAGTTTTTGTGGCATTCTGAGGACTACTGCCTCACTGGAGTGGGGTCAATACAGAATGAACAAGTACAACTGGAGGCAGCATATGTGGTCCTTGAGAAAACTTTTTTAAAAGGGAAGGAGAGAAATGGAGTGGTAGCTGCAACAAGTAAGGTAAAGAGAGGGTTACAGTAGCCCCCCGTTACCACTGGTTTTCTGAGGTTTCTGAGTTCTGAAAATATTAAGTGGAAAATTTTCCCAAATAAACCATTTATAAGTTTTAAATCGTGTGTTGTTCTGAGTATCATCGTGATAAAATCTCCCACTATCCGTCTCACCCAAGAGGTAAATCACAGCCTTGTCCAGCATAAACAGTGCTCTCAGCTCATGAGTCACTTAGCAGCCCTCTTGGTTATCGAGTTATGAGATCTGAGATTAACTGTTGTGATGTCTCAGTGCTTGTGTTCAAATCACCCTTATTTTACTTAATAATGGCCCCGAAGTGCAAGAGTAGTGATGCTGGCATGTTGTTATGATTGTTCGATTTTATTATTAGGTGTTGTTGTTAATCTCTTACTGTGCTTAATTTATAAAATAAACTTTGTCATGGGCATGTATGTATAGGAAAAAAACAGTATACAAAGAGTGTTATGGTTTGGCTGTGTCCCAAACCGTATACCTCAGTATATTGTTCCTGTGGTAGTGAGAGTTTCACGAGATCTGATGGTTTTATAAGAGGAAACCCCTTTCACTTGGTTCTCATTGTCTCTTGCCAGCCACCATGTAAGATGCGCCACATGGAACCATGCGTCCATTAAACCTCTGTTTTCCTTATAAATTACCTAGTCTCAAGTATGTCTTTATCAACAGCATGAAAACGTACTAATACATAGAGTTTGGTGCTATTTGTGTTTTCAGGCATCCACTGTGCTGTGAATGTTGGAATGTATCCTCTCTGTACAAGGAGGGACTATTGCATTTGTAAAGATGGGAACAATAAAAACATGTTTCTATGCTTATCAACATCACTATTATTTTGATATATGTAAATAAAATGACCTTGATTTTACTGTTGCACATTAACAATCCCCATGATTAGTTGTGACAGTGATAAATTATGCCTGACCCATGATTCCATTTTAGCATTTACATAAAATCATTTACATTTTATCAGACCTTTTGAATTTCAGGTTCCCAAGATATATGCTACTGAAATTTTAATTAACAATTAAAAAGTTTCATATTAAAAATAAAAAGGTTTTTTATGATGAATAAGCATTAAACATTAATATGAATCTGCCACTTGGATATGAGTACAAAGCTTGTGCTTCTTCAAGTGTTATAATCAAATACTGTTCTCTAAAATAATCTGGTGAGGTTATTTTTAAAGAGCAATGCACATATATTCACATAAAATTGAGCATGACTGGGCGTAATAGAATAAATTAATGAAAGGACAATTTAAGATGGGAATCAGGAGGAAAAATATTTTAATGAGAACTAGTGAATGGTGCAATAATCTCCCCCCCAAAAAAGTTAAATAATTCTCTGTTTCATGAACATTGTGCAGAGTAGGAATGAGGAAGTTAGTTTTGGAGGGACAAATCTTGTTGCTGGCTCTGGGAAGAAAGCATCTTGATTTAATATGTGAATTTACGTAGGTTTCCTTTCAAAATGTCCATGTTTTGCAATATATAACATGGTGATAAAAGTATTGTCTGTGTCCTTGCTACTTGCAAAGTAAAAGAATCATATTTTCCTGAATGTGTTTCATTGTCTATCATATACTATCAGTTGAGCAATACGAAATCCCCAATGTTGAAAATTGAAAATGGGTGTCTATTCACAGTTTTATTCACCTTCACATCCATCCCTTTCTCTAGGAAGTCTGCTAAGTGGCATAGAGGAGCAATGCCCATATATGTGAACTCTGCAGGTGGATATATGCAACCCATTTTATCTTGTAGGTGTTCTTATTTGGGTCTCCAGTTTCTCTCTTGCCCATTCATGTTAACAAATGCGTTGATCCATTCTTTTGCTGTCTGAACTGACTTTATCTCTTTAAAATCTTTTTCTTTGTTATAAGGGAGGTTGCAGAGGTTGAAAACTCTCTCTCAGCAAAAAATAAAACCAAGAAAATACAAAGGCAGTTTATGGAAAGTTATATTAAATTTCACGATGTCAAATTCAAAAACTGATAGATTTAACTCCAGAAAAACTTTACCCGTGTTCTCAAAAATACTTTACGTAGCTATCATCTATTATTTCATATTATACTTCTTAAACATACACATGCATCTACATATATTCAGCCTGTTTTAGGAGTAACAAGCTCCATATATAAATTTTTGTTTAAATGGCCTCTTTTGTTCTTCATTGTGGGTTAACTCATTCTACAAAATCCAAATATGTAAAATGAACTTGGGTAACAGGACATGTCTCTTTCACACCTTTGCAAAATTAACTTTTGCAGCTGATTCTTTTCTTCTTTCTTTTTTCCTCTCTTTTTAAAGCAATTCTGAATTTTTGTGGAAGTAAATATGCAATTCCTTTTTGCTTCCTTTAGACCTGCATTTTTTGTATATTTGAGTATATTGTCTTCAAAATTATTTCAGTAGATTGCAACCATATTTCTCTGTCCGATTTTTACTAAGCACAATACTAAGATTAATTTTTATGAAAGTGGGGGGATTCCATCCTGATTTATTTATTTCAAATCATTGATTAAACGCCTGCCGAACACTAAGCTGTCCTCTGCCACTTGTTGAGACCGTAAAGGAGGAGCGCACCAAATCTGTAGGCTGCAGAAACTTGTCTTCACTGGGAAAAATAGGAGACGAGCTTATTGAAGGTCACGGAAAAAGACTCTTGAAGATTCTTTCTATCAATGAATCAGAATAATGTAGAATTCCCAATTACAATTCTAGTTAGAGCTGGTTAGATTTTAGGAACCCTGTGAAGCCCTTTTAAAAAAAAATCAACAGGCAATAAATACAAAGGTTATCTCTAACTATTTGATCATTTTTATGAATAAATGTAATCTGGTTATCATCCAAACTATTTTTCACCTAAGTCCAACTCCATAAGGAGTTTATGGGAGACCAATGACCTTCAATAAATATATTGATTTTTCTTGTGCCTACTGTGGGGTGAGGAGTAGAGACAAAATGATCTGTGTAGTTACCAAAGCCCTAGAATTCTGGGCCTCTAGTATGTCCCAGTTCTTCTACATCATCCTTAATTTTTCTCTACTGCCCACCAAAGTAGCAACGATGTGTCAGAAGAAGGTCCTCTGTTCATTACCTTTAGTTAAAGGTGAACCTGTGATTCTGGATAAGCCATTTCACTTCTGTAAGGTTCATACATCTTGTCTATAATCAGAACATATTGATAACCATCTCTGATCATTGGTAGGGAGATTAAATTAGTGCCTTAGTTCAGGAACTTCATATTTAGCCAAGTTACAGGGTCCCACTGGGAGTTCAATCAACTGCTGTATTGCACATCTGTGAGATGGGTCAGCTTTGGGGTTCACCTTACTCAAAAGATTTACCAGAAAATGAATACATCTACATTGTTGTTGACAGTTCATTTATTTATTTATTCGCTTTTGAAATAATTACAGACTCACAAGGTCATATATAAAGTCCAGGGATCCTTCACTCAGCATCCTCCAATGGTGCCATCTGTATGAGCACAGTTCAATATAAAAATCAGAGAATTGACGCTTGTGTAATACAAGTAACTGAACTACAAACTTTATTCAGTTTTTATCATTTTTGACGTTAACTTATTTGAGCATGTGTGTGTGTGTGTGCGCATGCATACAAATGATTTCATAATTCTATGCAATTTTTTCCAAGGTATAGATTTTTGTAACTACCACTAAAATAAAGATACAGAAGTGTTCCATCACCATAAAGAAGCCCCTTCGTGCTCCTCCTTCATATCTACATCACCCCTCTTCCCCACTGCACCCACCTCCCCTGTCCACTGGCAACCACTAATATAGTCTTCATTTTGATAGTTTTGTCATTTTGAAAGTGTTATACAAATGGGCTCTTTATATATCCCACATTTATCTCTTTTCTTTTTATTTTCCTTTATTTTTTACTCATTCTGTAATTCTCCATCTCCTTCATCACCAAAAGGCACCTTCTACTACAGTTTAGTACATATAAATAAAGCGAATGTGTTTGTATTATTAAAAACAAAACTAAGAAAACTTCTAAATCATCTTTTGGGCAGTAGAAAGCTAATGGTGATGTTAAAACCCTCATAGATGATATTACTTAGTTTCATTTTGAAAACAAGATGTCCTTGTATTTATTAGATAGTCACTTGTCTTCTGTATTCATTTTCTATTGTTCTGTAAAATGCACCACAACTTTGTAGGCCTAAAACACCAAACATTTATCTCAGTCTCTCATGAGAAGTCCAGGCATAGTATGGCTCATTTGGCTTCTCTGTTAGGATTTCACAAGGTGAGAATCTAGACTTAGACCATTTCAGGCTCTTACCTAGAGCCTTTGGGGTAAAATCTACTTTCAGGCAAATTCAAAATGAATTCACTTCCATGTAGTTGTGGAATGAAGTCCTACTCCCTTGTTGTCTATTCGCCAGTGTTGTTCTGAGTTTGTAAATGCTGTCCACAACCCTTAGCTCATGGCCCCACCATCTTCAAAGCCAGTAATGGTACATGGATTCCTTCTTTCTTTTTAGATATCTCTGATCTTTTGCCCCTACTTTAAAACGCTTATGAGATTGGGCTCACCTAGATGATCTCTTCTTGGCACATGGCATTACATAGTCAGGGGAGTAACACAAGGGGAAGAGGAAGATGGGAGCCAATATTCTAACTCTGGTACCTCAATTATTTGTTGTTTGTTGATGGCGTGTGTGGGTTTGTGTGTGTCTGTGTGTGTGTGTGTGTGTGTGTGTGTGTGTGTGTGTGTGGTTAGACTGTGGGAAGACCATTTAGTTAAAAAAAAGTTTTACATTTTAAACCACACATCCTTAGCATTAACTTTCCAGCTCTGATTAAACAAGCCTAACACAAGTTTGTTTTTTAATGGAATCATTTGTGTTCATTAGATATCATGCCAAGAGAGTTTTTATTTTTATGTTTCCTTAACACAGTGTGGCTTGTTGCTACTCTGAGTTTTTTAACACACTGAGATTTGTTGCTAGCCTGTGAGTTAGGGAGAAATACATAGTTTCACTCATAATGGTTCCTACAGAATTCTGTCCTGCTCTTTTAAGATATTATTATTCTTACTGCCCATGATGTTTTGTTGCTAGAAACAACATGCATGAAATTGAAATGGCATCCCTTTAAGATTTTTGAGAGAAAGTCTGCCTTTCAAAAACAAACAAACATTTTTGAGATTAGGTAAGTTAGACCATTCTTGTTGCAGTAGAACTAAATACTAAGCCATGGACAGATCCTCTCTCTCAAACATGTAAATAAGGAAGTTGTGCATTTAGTGTGCCTCTAGCCTTATAGTAGGAAAGCCTCAATATTTAATGGACAAGAAAGATTTGTTTGAAAATGACATTTCTTACCCAGTGAAGGGTCCAAAGCTAAGCACAGCTGCTTAGTGTAACCAAATACTTGAGGACATCTCAAGTGGCATGCAAGCACATATTATAAATGGAGTATAATTTACCACAAGAAGGTAGTTTTTTTCTAAGGCAAATACTTTTGAGGGATACATTGTATTGTTCCTGATGGCTATATTTTTGGAATAGCACTTCACAAGGAAATATAATTTATACAGGCTCTCTCCACAACCAAGAACAACCCTGTAGAAAACTTCTCTCTGTGGGTGGAAGCCAAAATTACATTTTCTGGAGTTAAATAGAAACATTCTTCTCTCTGATCAAATTTTAATGAAACAATTCAGAGGAAAACCATCATCTTCCTTCAAAATTGTTTTTACTGAAAATATAATAAATTCCAGCCTTCAGGCACAATCATAGCTTCTCTGTTTGGCTCTTCTGTGCCTGCTGAATCAAATTGATGAAGACCTGCACTCCGATATTGGCCATGATTCCAAGGTCAATTTAATGTTCACTGGGCACTGATTAAAGTACAATTCATATGTTCTCTTTTAATCAATATAATAATATAAAGTTTGAAAGGCGGCCAAAATATATTTTTTAATCTTGATTATTTGTCTTCCACAATTTCCAGAGTGCATTTTCTCTTTATTATTTCAACCACGATTTAATTCTCCAAGTCACTGGATATCTAGTTAGAACCACAGAGCACAGAGCCTTAAGGTAGTTAAGAAATCAACTAGGCAAAGCCATTTGTTGCACAGTTGAATGTGAGGTCCAGAGAGAGCCTCTAGTGAGCCCCTGCTGACTGGAAGAGCACCCAGACATGAAGAGAGGGCCAGCATGCAGCTCCTAGGCTTTCCTGATAATCTTGGCTGTTTCACTCCTTTCCAAAGCAGTCAATTCATTTTAGAAGGGTGATTTAATTTTTAAATGATTCATATTCATTATAAAAGAGAATAGCAAAAGCAGAAATAATGAAACACAGGAAAGTAAAAGAAAGAAAATAAAAATCACCAAAATTACTACTTCAGAAATACCTATATCTTACATTCGATGGACATGATTACAGATATGTCTCTTTATGTATCAATTATCTTTGTTCTCTTCATCAAAAGTACTAACTGCATTTTGAATCTCCTTTGTCTTTTGTATCTTTAATTTCTCTGAATGTTAATTTTACATCTGTCATTTTTAGTATGTCCCTCCATATACTGCCGACTGTATTTCTTTGGTTGTTACTTTGTTCCCGGTGACAGTAAATCTCAGACTCTGTTCTGCACTCTCACCATCAGAACCCCCTTATCCCAACCTGTCTCTACCATGTCATGCTCCCTCAGTGAGAAGCTAGGTCAGTGACAAAAGCCAGGCTGAGTGTGCTCTCACTGCATAACTTCTCCAAGTCCGTGTGCCCTGAGGAATTCCAGCAAGGCTGACCCTGTCTCTCCTGGCCTATGAGTCTATTCAGATCAATTCTATCAGTTAGTCAGTGAGCTGACTTTGGAACATTAATACTTTTAAGGTTATCTGTAGTATGGGGTTCTAGCATTCTAGCCATATAATTATTAGGTTTAGTGTCTTTTTATTTATTTAATTAGTTTCCCTGTTTTTTTTTCAGAATATGTTGAGAGAGAAGGGAAATTAAGATGCTTCCAATCAAACATCTTTGGGAAGAAATCAAAAAGACATTTTCTTAAGGTTTATTATTTTTCCCTGGGATGAATCGAATGAATTGGAGTCTGTGGTGGGCTCGTATACTGGTTAGCTTTTACTTGACTATGCTTTGGTTATCAAGAATCCCTACATTTAATTGGATTGTAAAAACAAAAGTTTATTTTTCATGTCACATTTTCATTATAATTGGTCTTCATTTTGAAATCCAGGTTAATAGAACAGCCTCTGTCTGGAACTTACAATTAAAACGACATGAGATAGCATGGACTTGTCCTTAAAACTTCTGCTTGCAGGTAGAATGTGATTTTTTTGTAATAATTTATGTATCCAAAGAAAGTCACATGAAAATACTGATAATAACAGTCTAGAAAGTTAAAATCCACCTTTAGAGAGGATCAAAGAATATCTGGAATTTGCAATACAATCTAAAATTGTCCATCTTGTTCATCACAAGTACATGCAGATTGTACTCACCCCTTCTACCTAAGAGAAAAAATAAATTCAGCAATGTCATCCAATCACGGGGTCAGGCTCAAAGTCAAATGGTCTTATCATCTTGCTCAGATGTGGTTCCTAGCTATGTGTCCCTACTCTTCCAGCAACAAATAGTAGACTAGGGACAGTCTAGTTGTACTTATCACACCCACTATAAAAATAAGGCAAACCACATGGAAATCCCTGTTCCATAGTATTTACGAAATTCTGATAAGCAGATTTTGAGTGGTTACAGAGATGGGTCATGTTTTTTGATTAAGCATCTTCTCCGCACTGTATCTCCCCTGCCATTGTACTTCATGGACCAAGTCTCTGCTCTCTGTGAGGACCTTCACTTCCTGTTATTCTTGTTCACATATGAAGAGGGCATTGAAGCACGGGTGGTTAAGAAGCTTTCTCAGACTGATGCTTTTCAGCAAGAAAATTAGTGTCCTACCAGGGAATTTATGTCTTGAATTGTTACTATATCTTTCAATTCAGATTTGTGGTTCATTGGACGGTAGAAGCCTCTCAAAACACAGTTGGTCTTTTATCTACTTGATTCCTTCCAATCCATTCTGTATGACTGTTTAACTGACAATCCTTTTCCATACGTGCCTCTCACTCCAAGTTTATTTACAGGAACACTGGACTTACCAGGATTTTGTGGGAGAGCCAAACTTTAGTTTTTGTTTTTGCTTTTTTTTTTTGTTCTGAGTGATATTTTTTCACAGTTAAATCAATTCAGACGTTTTAACAAAGGCTGTGATTGCAACACACTATTTTTGATCCTATACAATAATCTGGGTTTTAATAATACTTTGTTGCTTAAAGACCTTTATGGTTTTATCTTTCCCCAACTGTAAATGAAAATCAGCCATATCTTTCAACTCTTCAAGTCCAGAGTGTGTGTTCCCTTTAATCCCTGCTTAGTATGTATCAGTTCCTCTTGTGAGTTCCATTTCTTGATTAATCATATTAAATGCAATCAGAAGCATTCAATTCACATCAGTAATTTCTCCAACTCTTCACCAAAAGCCACAAACTTATTTAGCACATTATATAGTTTGGTTTCCACAAGATTGTTAGTGATTTCCAAACATTTTGTCACTGTGTAATATGAATTACTTCTTTCTAGTCTACAATAATATTTTTTTAATTTTTTATTTATTTATTTATTTTTAATTATACTTTAAGTTCTAGGGTACATGTGCACAACATGCAGGTTTGTTACATATGTATACATGTGCTATGTTGGTGTGCTGCACCCATTAACTCCTCATTTACATTAGGTATATCTCCAAATGCTATCCCTCCCCCCTCCCCCCATCCCACAACAGGCCCCAGTGTGTGATGGTCACCTTCCTGTGTCCAAGTGTTCTCATTGTTCAATTCCCACCTATGAGTGAGAGCATATGGTGTTCGGTTTTTTGTGGATTACCTGACCTTGAAACAAGAATTGCATGTTTTACTTTGTTATTACACAGAACCCAACTTCTGGCAAAAATGTCCATATTTGCTTCACTAGTTTGTGCCAAAGCAGTAGAACAAAACAAAATGACACAGGCACAAAAATCGATGGCTTATAAAAATAACTTTATTTCTTTCTCATTTCATGTTTCCATTGTGATCAAGCTACATATATATTCTTCATCCTGAGATGTAAGCTATGGAACTGCCCTAATGTGGAAAAGGTTAATATGATAAGAGAGGAATAAATAATGCTGTATTTATGCAATGAAACTTAAAGCTTCTGCTTAGATGCACTATATGTTAGTTCTATTCATACTTATTGACCAAAGAAAAGTGTATGCCCAAGTATGATTTAATCAGTTTAAGAAATATAATCCTCATATTGGAAATTAGAATCATATATACACACATGTATGATCATATATATAATATATAAATTACAATCATATATATACATATATGATTGTATAATATATATACATATATGTATATATACATATATACATATATGAATGTATAATATATAATCATATATATACCTATATGATTGTATTATATATAATCATATATATACCTATATGATTGTATTATATATAATCATATATATACCTATATGATTGTATTATATATAATCATATATATACCTATATGATTGTATTATATATAATCATATATATACCTATATGATTGTATTATATATAATCATATATATACCTATATGATTGTATTATATATAATCATATATATACCTATATGATTGTATTATATATAATCATATATATACCTATATGATTGTATTATATATAATCATATATATACCTATATGATTGTATTATATATAATCATATATATACCTATATGATTGTATTATATATAATCATATATATACCTATATGATTGTATTATATATAATCATATATATACCTATATGATTGTATTATATATAATCATATATATACCTATATGATTGTATTATATATAATCATATATATACCTATATGATTGTATTATATATAATCATATATATCATATATAATCATATATATGTATACATATATGATTGTAATTTATATATACATATGTGTACATCTGTATACACGTGTGTATATTAATAAAGGAAATCAGGACAATCAAAATACATGTTATCTGTGATCAAAATCCAAATGGATTCAGAATATTTGAGCTAAAAAGAAAGGTATGAGTCATATGGACAGAGTGTTGTTGTTTTTTTAAATACAGGCTATAATAATTATGGTCTTTTCTTGAAATACTCTACAAAGTTTAGACCAGTACACTGAATCCATTTGTGTATGAAGTTCAAAGATTCCATAATTTGAGGAATATTGTGATAATGTATTATAATCACTTTCTGAGAATTTTGAGGAGGAGTTATGTATTAGGTTTCTCTAGAGGGACAGAACTAATAGGATAGGTGTATATATAAAGGGGAGTTTATTAAGGAGTGTTGACTCACACAAGATGAGGTCCCACAATAGGCTGTCTGCAAGCTGAAGAGCAAGGAAGCCAGTCTAAGTCCCAAAGACTCAAAACTAGGGAAGCCTACAGTGTAGCCTTCAGTCTGTGGTCAAAGGTCTAGGAGTCCCAAAGCTGAAGAACTTGGAGTCTGATGTTCAAGGGCAGGAAGCATTCAGCATGGGAGGAAGATGTAGGCCGGGAGGATTAGCCAGTCTAGTTTTTCATGTTCTTCTGCCTGCTTTATTGCAGCCACACTGGCAGCTGATTAGATGGTGCCCACCCAGGTTGAGGGTGGGTCCCCCTCTCCCAGTTCACTGACACAAATGTTAATCTCCTTTGGCAACACCCTCACAGACACATCCAGGAACAATACTTTGTATCCTTCAATCCAATCAAGTTGACACTCAATATTAGCCATCACAAGTTATTTTAATTTTTTACACTATTCTTTCAAAAATGTTAACAAGTGTTTTTATACTACTAATTATACCTGGTGTGGTGGTCCACTTGTTGTTTAAGTTGAGTTATTTTATAGCCCACTTTCTTACAAGCACAAGTGCTAAAAATTCTGTGACTCGTGTTTTATAGTGAGGTAAGCATACCTATGGAGCATTTTAAACAAGGTAATCTATATGTTTCCTGCCAGTGCTATACCTGAAATAAAAAATGCTAAAAATAAAGTATGAGGAAATATATCAGATGAAGTTGAACAACAAAATTCTCCAAAAAGTAATAAAAATATTTATAGTGGATAGTAGAATTTTTAAAGCATTTGAAAGGGCTTTCTTTTATGTTGATAAAAGCTAGGAACCACAAAGAAAATACAACTCATAAATCTTTTTGTGTCAAATAACATAGTACTAAAATGTGTAAAGCAAAATTTGGTGGGCACGCATGGAGACATCAACAAGAATAATACATAGCAGAGTGATTAATAAATAAGCTTTTGTTTATGACAAACCAAGAAGATAAAATTTAAATATGGTCCCAGAGTATTTGAATAATATAAATAAGATTAAATAATAAAAATTCTTAAATTTTATATTTTATCAATAAAAAATTATATTTTTTCAAGTGTCTGTAGAACTTTTACTGTAAACTTCCCCTCAAGCAACAGCTTATTAATTTTAAAAAAAACAGAAATAACATAGAGCATATTTTATGGCCATTTCTACCTTTAAACTGTATCTAGAATACAGGCACTTTTGTGTACCTCCATTCTTTATGCCTTCCTATGAACCATCATCTCTCACCAGGATTATTGTGCACTTCTATTAAAGCATCTTGTTTCTAGTCTTACCCACTACAAGTATGTTCCCAACACATCTGACAAGAGAATCCTTTAAAATAGAAGTCAGGTCATTTTACGTTTATACACAAGCCCCTGATATCACGCCTCACTTCAGAGTAAAAGCGAGTGCTACTATGATGGCTTCAAGGTCTTACAAGAGTAAGCCCATCTCCTCTTCTTGGATCCGCTCTTCTGTGATTCTGTCATGCTCAGTCATCTCCAGCAACTGGCCTGAGTATTCTTGGAACACACCAGCCTTAAGGTCTCTGCTCTAGTGTTCTCTGCCTGAACTGCTTTTTTTTTTTTTTTTTTTTTTTTTTTACTGAAATTTCAGCTTCCTAGTGAGTCATACCATAATCACTCTAATTATCACTGCAAGCAGTACCCCAGCACCCCTATTCATAGAGAGCCTGTGTTTTTTTTTTTTTTTTTGCCTTTGTACGGTACTTATCAACCGTACAAAGTCTAGCATTCTCCAACACTTACTTTATTGTCTATCTTTTTTAGAATCCATGCTCCATGGGGATGCTAATATTTACCTATTTTGTAAAGAATTACAAAATAATTAAACCATCAATAATATAACAGCAAAAAACAAGTGTGATATAGAACACGTGTGTGTGTGTGTGTGTGTGTGTAATGTACAGAAATTTCCTGACATAATATTTCTATTTTATGATGGGTGGGTATTAAATGCATACTTAGCTTATAATATTTTTGAATTACAATGGGTTTACAGGGACATAATCCCATTATAAGTGTAGGAATATCTGTATAAAATATGTATAATATGCTCTCTCTCTCGATACATGTATATATCAAGATTATACATATATACACACATATGCTCTCTCTCTCTCGAGATATATATATGTGCGTGTGTGTGTGTATATATGTATACATATATATGTGTATGTATATATGTATACACACATATATATACACATATATATGTATACATATATACACATATACATATATATGTATATATCTCAAATGAAGGAGAGAATTTATGACTATAAATTTTCCCCTAAGAAAATATGTAGGAGCAGCTTTATAGTCATAAATATTTATTTTTCGGTTATTTTGAGACATGGTGTCACTCCTGTGGCCCAGACAGAGTGCAATGCATGATCACAGCTCACTGCAACCTTGATTTCCCAGGCTCAAGTGATCCTTTCCCCTCAGTCTCCCTGGAAGCTAGGAATCCAGGCAGCACCACCACACTCAACTAATTTTTTTTTATTTTTGTGTAGAGACGGGTTTTTGCCATATTGCCCAGGCTGGTCTCAACTCCTGGGTTAAAACAATAAGCCCCCTTCTGCCTCCCAAAGCACTGGGATTACAGGCATGAGCCCTGCATTTGGCTTATATTAATAACATAAATGATTATATTATTATTGTTATATTATTATTATTATTATTATTATTATTATTGTTATTTTCTGAGATGGAGTCTCGCCCTGTCACCAGGCTGGAGTGCAGTGGTACAATCTCAGCTCACTGCAACCTCCACCTCCCAGGTTGAAGCTATTCTTCTACCTCAGCCTCCCAAGTAGCTGGGACTACAGGCACGCACCACCATGCCCGGCTAATTTTTTGTAATTTTAGTAGAGACCATGTTAGCCAGGATGGTCTCGATCTCCTGACCTCATGATCTGCCCACCTCGACCTCCCAAAGTGCTGAGATTACAGGCATGAACCACTGTGCCCGGCTGATTATATTATTTTTTAAAAGAACAAAAACCAAACAGTATTTTCTCTACACTTAGATAATAAAAAATAAATATCGAACATTTAATTGGAAAAAAGTTCAAGTAGTGGACACGTCTTAGAAATAATTTTTGCATGTTCTACCTAAAATAGGACCCAGAACAACAAAATAAGAGCAATTAAATAGTAAATAGTAGCAAGATAATTTAATAATTGAGAGATAACACAAATTAAAATGGAACATTAAGAAATGTAATAATGATGCCCACTAATAATAATGACATAGGTACTTTCAAACATTTAATATGAGAATGTAAATGTACAAATGAATATAAGTGTGCCATTGAATACAGTTTTCATAATGCCATACATAAGAAGGCACCTGTGTCTGAAGTAAATTTATGTCAATAACTTATGAATTATTTCCAAAACAAAACAATGAAGAAAGGAATAAAAGAAGAAAGGCAGGAAGGAACAAAGAAAGGAAGGGAGAAAAGAAAGCAAATGCATGTTTTGCCTTCATGGCTACGATTATCCTGTACATTCACACTTTTCTACTTAAAATTTAAGCCATATATTTTCTATGTTAGTATAAGACTTCATGATCACTTCTATTAGCTGTATATTTTGATACTGGGTAGATGAGATATAGGTTGATGACTTTTTAATTTCTCAGTAACTACAATAACATATTTCAGTATATATAATTTTAGTGGTCTAACTGTGGAAGCCACTACTCACAAGTGTGAATTGAGATTTGGTATAGTTTAAAATACACACCTACTTTAGAAGAATTAATTTATGAACAAGAACATAAAATATCTCATTAATATTATTATATTGGGTGTATGTTGAAACAATGTGTTAAGGTTAAATCAATATATCAATAAAATTAATTATACCATATTGTTTTGACTTATTTGTTAGTGTAACTATAAGAATATTTAAAAATTGCATATGTGGTTCCTGTTAGACTATGCTGGTTTAGATAAAGTGTTACATGATCAGGGAATAGGGAAATAAGTTATGAAGATGTGGATATTCAGAAAACACTCCTCAGAAGTAATACCATTTAAATAAGCTAGGTTTTATAAGTGAGGGGGTACCCATTAGCATTTCATTATTATAATGTATCATTTAAATTATAATAAACCTACCAACTATAAAAAGGCCTGGACCAGATGGATTCATAGCCAAATTCTACCAGATGCAAAAAGAATAGCTGGTCCTAATTCAACTGAAACTAATCCAAAAACTGAGGAGGAGGGACTTCTCCCCAACTCATTCTGTGAAGCCAGTATCACCCTGACACCAAAACCTGACAGAGAAACCACACACAAAAGAAACTGACAGGCCAATATCCCCAATGAACATAGACACAAGAATCCTCAACAAAATACCAGCAAACTGATGTCAATGGCATATCAAAAACTTTATTCACCCTGACCAACTAGGCTTCATTGCTGAAATGCAAGATTGGTTCAACATACACAAATCAATAAATTCCCTCCTCTTTTTCTTTGTACTCCTATTGGTCCCATTTCCACACTTATTTTTGTGTCCTTTGGTCCTCAAATTGTTTCAAGAGCTGTTGATTCTCTTCATCATAAGAGAGTAGATCTTATGTCATTTCTAATAATAGTTGATATGTTATGGTCCTTTGTTTGTTGATGGCTGTTTTGATTAATTTTGGGGTTAACCCTGTAACACAGGGGATAATGCAACACCCTACAGCTGTTAGGACTTCAGCCACTATTATAAGGAGTGTTAGAATGGAGGCCACCCTTGCTTTACTTTTCCCAAACCAACTCCCTAAGCAGTAAATGGGTCATTAATTCTGGCATTTTCTGCCAATTTATTGGCTAGAGGTGTTAACTCTTGTAATGCTCTTGTGATAGTTTCATCTGGGGCAGTATTGTTAGGATTAAAAGTGCAACACTTTCTCCCCAGCATGACATATATGCCTTCTTTCTCTGCTAAGATCATGTCTAGTGTAAGTGTGCTCTCCCAGCCATTCAGCTAGTGGCATCTAACTGGCTAGCCACTCCTTTGAGAGCATCTCGAGTATAGTTGATGAATCTTTGTTGATTATAATAGATATAATCAATCTATTATTGATTGGATAAATGTGGATATAACCAATCCGCATTTTTATTAATAATTGACTGCCAGAAGAGTGCTGATTCAAACCCAGCAGCTATTTGATTTCAGGCCTTCAATTCATTAGGTACTCCTCTAGGTACACCTGCTGAGTCAATATAAATGTTGGGATCAAAATAATTTGTTAAATTTTTCTGACTTCGGTGGCCATGTGGATTCTTGGGAATCTTATGGAATGCCAGGGTGAATGGAATGGCCAATTGAACCAGCTGAACTAAGGCACAAGTCCCAGTCCAATTGGATGGCAATAGGTCACAGAGGTTCCTCATTCCACAATACCACCAGACATCAGCCCCGGGGTATATGAAGAGCTGAGCAGTTGCCTTTGTTTGACTCACCAATAATGTTTAGGATGTGGGTACAAGTTGAGAGTTCTCCCACAGGCTTGTTGAACTTTGCCCCCTGACTAGAGATGCAAGAGGACTGGTTAATATTCCCTATGGAGAATGAGGGGATTGCTCTAGTTCTAGTCTAACTTTAGTTTGATATTTTATGATATCTAAACAGTGTTGGTCTGATGCCTCCTCATTCTCCTCTCTTTTACATAAGAAACTGCCTGGATTCAAGCAAGTATTTGTTGTTAAGACCAGTTTTTTTTTTCTAGTAATATGGCTTCATATTTTAAAATTTGGGAATCAGTCAACAATTTCCCAGCTCTTTGATTGAATATATTCCTGACCTGATGTGGGGAGTTTATGACCAGGGCCCTGCCGAAGGTTAGCTTCTGACTCTCCTCTACCTGCAGGGCTGTGGCAGCTACTGCTTACTTGCACTTCCATTTGTCTGCTGTCTTTTATGGCCTCTCTATCTCTTTCTTCCTTTTGTACTCTTCCTTTTACATTATCCCACTCCCCAGTCTCACTTTCTGTGTCTCTCTTTGATCTCTGTCTTTTCCAGTCTCTCTCACTCATTTTCTTTTTTTTTTATTATTATACTTTAAGTTTTAGGGTACATATGCACATTGTGCGGGTTAGTTACATATGCATACATGTGCCATGCTGGTGCGCTGCACCCACTAACTCGTCATCTAGCATTAGGTATATCTCCTGATGCTATCCCTCCCCCCTCCCCCCACCCCACAACAGTCCCCAGAGTGTGATATTACCCTTCCTGTGTCCATGTGATCTCATTGTTCAATTCCCACCTATGAGTGAGAATATGCGGTGTTTGGTTTTTTGTTCTCTTGTTACTGAGAATGATGATTTCCAATTTCATCCATGTCCCTACAAAGGACATGAACTCATCATTTTTATGGCTGCATAGTATTCCATGGTGTATATGTGCCACATTTTCTTAATCCAGTCTATCATTGTTGGACATTTGGGTTGGTTCCAAGTCTTTGCTATTGTGAATAATGCCACAGTAAACATACGTGTGCATGTGTCTTTATAGCAGCATGATTTATAGCCCTTTGGGTATATACCCAGTAATGGGATGGCTGGGTCAAATGGTATTTCCAGTTCTAGATCCCTGAGGAATTGCCACACTGACTTCCACAATGGTTGAACTAGTTTACAGTCCCACCAACAGTGTAAAAGTGTTCCTATTTCTCCACATCCTCTCCAGCACCTGTTGTTTCCTGACTTTTTAATGATTGCCATTCTAACTGGTGTGAGATGGTATCTCATTGTGGACCCGTGACCCCTGAGCAATCATTTTCTTCTTCTACCTCTCTCTTTGTCATCCCCTGTTTCCTTTCTCCCTCATACTCAGTTTCTTTCTCTTTCTGTCTGGGCAGGAGCCCGGCCGTGCTGTGCTCTGGCTCCCCGCTGCCTGTCTGCAAAGATGGTCAGCTCTGCTGAAATGACAAAGATTCAGCAGCAACTTTCATCAACAGCTTTCAGCAGCCAGCTCCCAGACACAGCTGCGTGGCGGGGTTTCCCCTGCCTTCAGGGTCAGCAGCTTAACTCTTTCTCTCTCCTAACAAAAACCTTCTGAGCTTCCCTTAGTAATTCCTTAATTGGTTTCTTATTGCATGCATCAATCCTTTGTAGTTTCTTAGTAATATGAGGTTAGGTTTAGTGACAAAATAAATATTTAAAAAGCCTTGCCCTACTGGGTCCTCTGGATCTAATCCTGAATATTTTCTCATTTGATCCCTGAGACTCTGCAGAAATGCAGAGGGAGTCTCCTCTTTTTCTTGTTGGATTTCTAATGCTCTGGAGACATTCTATGTCCTAGGAGTGGACTCTTAAATCCCTCTAATTATTAGCTCTTTAAGATCTTGAATTTGGACCTGATCCCCAGAATAATTATTATCCCATCCAGGATCCTCATTTTGGAATTTCTGCTCAGCTGCCAGGACTCCTTGCTCAGGAGGATGGTGTCTCTCCCAAATGGTCATGGCTGTCCTTCTCATCATCACCCTCTGTTCCCCAGTAAACAGAATATTCATAAAAAATGATGAGTCCATGTCCTTTGTAGGGACATGGATGAAATTGGAAATCATCATTCTCAGTAAACTATCGCAAGAACAAAAAACCAAACACCACATATTCTCACTCATAGGTGGGAATTGAACAATGAGAACACATGGACACAGGAAGGGGAACATCACACTCTGGGGACTGTTGTGGGGTGGGGGGAGGGATAACATTGGGAGATATACCTAAAACTAGATGATGAGTTAGTGGGTGCAGCACACCAGCATGGCACATGTATACATATGTAACTAACCTGCACATGTGCACATGTACCCTAAAACTTAAAGTATAATAATAATAAATAAATAAATAAATAAATAAATAAATAAATAAATAAATAACAAAAAAAAGAATATTCATGATTGACATCATCTCAGCCCAAGCATACAAACTGGGTCTTAAAAATTGATGTAGCTGCTGTGCTAAGCCAAGGAAGCCTTCCAAGAGTGGCCTCATTTCCTTTTTAAAATTCCTAAACTCAGTACTTGTTAAAGGTGCACTCACAAATCCAACTTCTCCTTGTCCATAGGGACTTCTCTCAGAGGACATATATTAGACATCTGCTGTTTAGAAGGAATAGGAAAATTCTCAATGTCTTTCTTACATTGTTCTAATTCTTTCCTCAAGTTTGGCAAGGATATAAGGGAGCATTGGGTTTAGCTCCTTCATGACCCCCAGATTTCTCTTCCTCTGGCTCTCCTGTTGCCCCTGATCTCCCTGTCCTTTATGTTTTGAGATGTATGGGGGAGGGGCAAGTGTGTTAGGGGATCCCAGGGCTTTTCACCTGGCAAGGGCTCTTTACTATGCTCTTTTTCTTCCTCTTTGAAGGGGAGCATGGGGGTTAACTCACTAATCCAACAAAGAGAGTAACCCATCTCTTCTTGTGAGGAGGGGGTTTTATCATTTACATAGAGAGTTAAAGCTTTGCACACCTAATCCTCCTCTGAGCCAAACTTAGACCAAAAGACCAAAGGCTGATGAATGGGCTCTTTGGGCCAGATAAAACAGCAGTACTTCATCATTGTTTGCTTTTCCTTGTCCCCAGGTCGAGGGTTATCTCTCCAAAGCTGCAGCATTCCCCCCACCTAACTATTTGGGGGATTGTCAGAGGGGTTCTCTTTAGTTCCTTCTTTCCTCTGTTTCCTAGGCCTAGAATTCTTGTTTCCCATTTTCAGTTAATCTCTGTGTCTGAGCTTTTCCCTGTGTACTCAGCCCCCACTTACTGGATGTTTCTTGCATACCCTGAGAACTCTGAAAATGCCCAACCACCTAGGCAGTACTTACAGTCCCATTTTCCTACCTTGGCTGGTGCACCAGGTTTCCTGGTTGCTGCAGTGCCTGCTTTTTTCCCTGCATCACTTCTTTTTTCTGCTGCATAACAGTCTCAAATTTGTCTATGGCTTCTGCAGGAAGCCAGGACACTCAAACAGAGCGGGCCACCTAAATCAGGTGGGACATGTCTCCCCTCTCAGCCACAGTCATACTCCACGCAGGCACAGAGTTCCACAAATGGGCCACCAGGTTGTGAGAAACAAACTCACCTGTCTAAACCCAAAGAATAGATTCAGAGACCCGGAGAACAGCAAAAGTGAGACTTTTAATGACTCTCTTACAAGATCGGGTATCTTATGCGTGGGCACACTCAGTACCGTTACAACAAAAAATTTGTTCCCTAGTGCTCAGGTCCCTCCCCCGGTTCTTCATGGGCTGAGTACTATGGGGTCACAATCTTCCCAGCCATCACCTGTTGGTTGTTGGGTAAGGGCTTTAGGTGTTTTCTTTAGGGTTGTCCTGCATTTTGTTGCATCCCACAATGCATTGCATTCCCAGCTAGCTCAGGGGCTCTTCAAGTATTTGACTTATGACTTAAGTAGCTGGGCTGGCTGTTAAGAACAGACAAAACAAGTTATTCTGCAGGCTAGTAAACTTTTATCTTAGACTAAACGTCTTCGGTTTGGGTGAGGGCAACTAAGGTGGGAGGAGGAAGACAGGAGTGAAAGGGGAGGTGACAAGCAGGCATCAGCTATCCAAGTAGGGGCCTAGTATATCCTGTTTCTTCTGTAGTTTGCTGACCTAAGCTGATTCAAGGCACTTTGTCTTGGAAATGGAACACTGTATATATTATTTCCTTCACCATCCACAAAAGGAAGCCAGTGCCCATTACCTCATGACCCAACATATGTACTTTTAGGAATATACTCCCCACCCTCAGCTTTCCCAGGGCCTGACAACTGCATATCTGCGTTCCTTCTTAATGGGTTACTTGTTATGAACATTTCATGTAAATGTAATCACACAGCATGTCACTTTTTTGTCTGACTTTTTCACTTAGCCTATTTTTTGAGGTTCATGGCAACATGCATTGCTTTTTTTTTTTTCCTTTTTTTTAAATTTTTTAAAATTATACTCTAAGTTCAAGGGCACATGTGCAGAACGTGCAGGTTTGTTACATAGGTATACACGTGCCATGGTGGTTTGCTGCACCCATCAACCAGTCATCTACATTAGGCATTTCTCCTAACGCTATCCCTCCCCCAGCCCCCACCCTCTGACAGGCCCTGGTGTATGATGTTCCCCTCCCTGTGTCCACGCATTCTCATGGTTCAGCTCCCACTTACGAGTGAGAACATGTGGTGTTTGGTTTTCTATTCTTGTGTTAGTTTGCTGAGAATGATGGTTTCCAGCTTCCTCCATGTTCCTGCAAAGGACATGAACTCATCCTTTTTTATGGTTGCATGGTATTCCATGGTGTATATGCGCCACATTTTCTTTATCCAGTCTATTATTGATCGGTATTTGGGTTGGTTCCAAGTCTCTGCTATTGTGAATAGTGCCGCAATAAACATACATGTGCATGTGTCCTTATAGTAGAATGATTTATAATTCTTTGGGTACATACCCAGTAATGGGATCACTGGGTCAAATGGTATTTCTGGTTCTAGAGCACTTCATTCCTTTTACAGTGATGTAATATTTCATTGTATTTATACACAACATTTCTTCATTAATAGCTATTTGAGTTATTTCCATCATTTAAATATTATGAAAAGTGCTGCTATAATCATGCATGTACATATATTTGCTTGAGAACATCTTTTCAGTTTTTTACAATACATTTCTAAACGTGCGTACGTTGAGTCGTAAGGTAATTCCATGTTTAATTTTTTAAGGAACCACCAAACTGTTTTTCACAGAGGCTGTATCATTTTGTTTCTACCAGTGCAAAGGTTCCAATTTTCCCACATCCTCGTCAACACTTATTTTCTCTTTTATTATTTGTTTTATTATAGACATACTACTCTTGTGAAGTAGTACATCATTATGGTTTTGATTTTCATTTTCATAATGACTGAAGATGTTAAGAATCTTTTTATATGCTTGCTGGCCATTTGTGTCATATATTTTGTTTGGAGAGATACCTACTCAAAGCCTTTGCCTATTTGTTTTTCAGTTGGATTCCTTGTCTTTTTGCTGTTGGGTTGCAAGAATTTGTTACATATTCTGGATTCTTTATCAGCTACGTGATTTGCAATTTTTAGATGACCTTTTCACTTTTGTGATGACATTTGATGCATAAGAAATTTTGATGATATCTAATTTATCTATTTTTTCTTTTAATATTTGTACTTTCCATGGCATAGCTAAGGATCCATTGCCAAATCAAAGGTCATAAAGATTTAATCCTATGTTTTCTTCTAAAAAATTAAGGGTTTCTCTTCTTATATTTAGGTCCTTGGTCCACTTACGTTAACTTTTTGTATGTGGTGTGATGTAGGAGTCTAACATTATTTGTGTGTGTGTGTGTGTGTGTGTGTGTGTGTGTGTGTGTATTCAGTTGCCCCTTGACAAATTTTGGGAGATACTATTTTTTTCCCAGTTGAATGGGCTTTACACCTTTGTCAAAAATCAAACTGACCAATGGTTTTCCTTAGCACTTTGAATATATTTAAAATGCTTTATTTAAAATGTTTGTCTATAATTCCAAAATCTGTGCTTTCTTAGGGACAATTTCTGTTAATCTCATCTGTGAATGGGCCTTAACTTTTGTTGGAAATGGGACATTTTGCATACTATAATGCAGTACCTCTCTAAATCTGATTCTTCTCCTTCCATAGGATTTATTTTTGTTGCTTTCTGTAGGCTGTAGCTGTAGGATTGTTTAGTGATTTTTCCTATTTTTAAGGTCTCTATTTTTGGTTTGTCATCTCTGAAGTGTCTGTCCTTTTGAGAGTGATTCCCTTAAACAGTAGGATCCAGAAAATAAACAAAACAACAACAACAACAAAACAGAGAAAACAAAATAATGAAAGAAAGGAACAAGAAAATAAAAACAACAAACCTTTTCCACTCTTTACAGATTGAGTCTGTACTGGGGCATTCCTCCAATGCCTAGCAGGAGTATTTATAACTCTGCTGTAACTTTCACCTCCTGCTTGCTCTGAGCCTAGAAATCATCCAGATGTGAAAAGCTTAGGGTCTTCTCAGGTCTTTTCTGAGAAGCACCCTTCTCTGGACATGAATGTTGCCTTCTAGATTCCCAGTACACATGAGTGCCTTTGAATACCTTCGCTTCCCAAGGAACCTCTCCCCTCTTCTTTTTCTCCTAGGTTTTTGGCATTCTACTGTATGAGTCAACCACAGTCGGTTGTCCCAGGCATCTCTGGATTGTTTTTTCACCTTACATAGAGTTAAATGCCAAATAACAGTGTTTCAGTTAATAATATACCACATATACAATGACGGTCTTATAAGAATATAAAGGAGCTGAAAAATTCCGATTACCCAGTGACATCCTAGCTGTCGTAACATCATAGCACAATGCATTACTCATTTATTTGTGGTGACACTGTTGTAAACAAACCTATTGCTCTGCCAGTCATATAAAAGTGTAAAACATACAATTATGTACAGCACATAACACTTGGTAATATAAAAAACAACTGCTACTGCTTTATGAATTTACTATACTATATTTTTTAATCATTAAATATTAGTATACTCCTACTTAAAAAAAAAAAGTTTACTATAAAACATTGTCAGGCAGATCCTACAGGAAGTATCCAGAAAAAGGTATTGTTGTTATAGGAGATGACAGCTCCATGTGTATTCTTGCCCTGAAGACCTTCCAGTGGGAGAAAATATGGAGGTGGATGGAAGACAATGATATTGAAGACCCTGACTCTGTGTAGGCCTAGGCTAATGTGTGTGCTTGTGGCTCCCTGTTTAACAAAAAGCTGTAAAAGTATAAAAAAAATTGAAATTAAAAATAGTAAAAAACAAAAACTTGTAGGCTAACAATATAAAGAAATAAGGGTACAATGTGATTCTGTTTTAAGCCAATGTTTTTACAGAGTAAAAAAGTGAAAAAATTGAAAGGTTTATACAGTAAGCTAAGGTTAATTTATTATTGAAGAAAAAAATTGTTTAATAAATGTAGTGTAGTGTAAAGTGCCTGTGAACCCTACAGTAGGATGCAGTAATGTCTTGGGTCTTCACATTCACTCACCACTCACTCACTGACTCACCCAGAGCAACATTCAGCCCTGCAAGCTCCACTCATGGTAAGTGGTTTATACAGGTGTATAATTTTTTTTAATTTTATACTATGTTTTTACTAATTCTTTCAGTGTTTGGGTATGTTTAGACACACAGATACCTTTATGTTACCATTGCCTACAGTATTCAGTACAGTAATCTGCTGTACAGGTTTATAGGCCTGGGAGCAATAAGCTGGACAATAGAGCCTGCATGTGTGGTAGACTGTACCAACTGGGTCCAGGTAAGTACCTGCTGTGGTGTTTACACAATGATGAAATCTCCTAACAACACATTTCTCAGAACATATCATCATCAATATGTGATATGTGATTGTATTCTCAAGTAAATACTTTGCCTTTCTAGCCCACATGAGTTCTGAATTATATGAAATAGAGAAGGCCACCCTGTGTCAGTCTTTCAGGTAGTCCTCAGTTAGGTTAAAATAGAAAACAAAACAAAACCAAAAAAAGCCGGGCTCAGTGGCTCATGCCCGTAATCTCAGCACTTTGGGAGGCTGAGGTGAATCACCTGAGGCCAGGAGTTTAAGACCAGCCTGGGGAACATAGTGAGACTCCTTCTCTATAGAAAATTTAAAAATTAGCCAGGTGTGGTGGTGCATGCCTCTAGTCCCAGCTACTCAGGAGGTGGGAGGATATCTTGAGCCTAGGGGTTTGAGGCTGTAGTGAGCTGTATTTGTGCCACTGCACTCCAGCCCAGGTGATAGAATGAGTCTCTGTCTCTAAAGAAAAGAAGAAAGAAATTCCAAATATTTGCAAATAAAGTCTGCTTTGCGCCCTCCAGAACCAGTGACCAGCATCCCACACTGCTAGTGAGGGCTGTCCTTTTTAAGACCACTGAGAGCCAGGGAAGGGTAGGGCAGGAAGAAATAAAAATGCTACAAAGCTTCCTACCACTCTAAAGTGACCCTTTCCTTGATTCAGCATCATCTTGGATGGTGTAAACCTGTTTTCTAGGGTTGTGATAGAAGTTATTGTGATTGTTTAGTGCTGATTCCAGTGCTTCTGAGGAGGAATAGACTCTTGAAAGTGTCTACTCTACCATGTTCTCTGATATCCAGATAAATGTTTTTAACCTCCCTTACCTCCCAGGTTAAGCCTCTTTTCTCCTCTTCCTTCATATATATAATGTTCTAGTTCCTGGCAGTGTATTTCTCCCACTTTGTCATCTGGAAGAAATTCAGAAACCCTTCTCCAGTAAGCATTTCTCCCCTGGGTGCACTAAGCTCTCAGTGCTGCCTTTAAGCACCACCATATCAATTTGTACTGCTTGATTTTCTTCCCACCCTCCCCGGGTAAGTAGAGAGTAAGAATTTTCATTAAAGATGCTTTCTGTCATTACTCCATATATTTATTAATTACACAGCAATTAGAAACCGACTTTTTAGCAGGATGTGTTTGGCATCCACAAGGAAGACTTCACTCTATTTTTACATGTATTATGGATTTCACCAGCTCCAGCCTGCTCTCTAACATATTGTAAGTACTCAGTAAAATGGATGAATAGATTAATAGATATCCTGTATTTACTGAACTATGATGATTATTTACTGAGCCACTAGAGTCACTTAATATATAATAACTGGTATAATATCTTGGGTGCTTTTCATATATAATCGCATTTGATTATCAAAAATACTAAAAAAGAAGGCCTTAGTATACCCATGTTTTAGACGATAAAATTGAGAAACAGATGGAATTTTTGATTATGTTTACTAAGTAGCAAAGGAATAAACCTAAGTTTGTCTCTATTCTCTAACTCATTGTTTGACATAAAACAACATTATGATTTGTTAAAAGAGCACTTCCTGTAAACCCTATCATGCTTATTATAATCAACTATTTCTTGGGGAAAAATGAAAGAAAAAATTTACATTAAACCTTTGAAGAAGCATGTAACTTTTCTGCTCATAAATTGAACACAGACAGGAAACAAAAGGCGAATTTACATACTACAGTCAAATCACATATCCAATCATTTTCCCTGAAAATCCTTTACCTTATGAATCCACAAAACAAAGATGGCTGCATGATAAACCAAGCTGAAAATTATTTTCCATATGAATTATTCTAATTGCCAAGTAAGCATAATGAAGGCACCTCAAACCCATATGTTCTGTATGTCAAATGACATCTCTACAAGAATCTTCTTGATAATAAATTTTATTAAAATAACCGTCTATACTAAGTCTTATACTTAAGCTTCACTGACACACATTTGGTTCTTCCTTTTTCCATTATTGGGATTCTCTTCTTATTTTTTAATTCTTTTATTTCCCATAACTCTCCTATTTAATTCCACAATCTGATAAGTCATCTGTGCTCACTATGCAGTGGACTCTCAAAAATGTCAACATCCTAATCCTCAGGAAAGAGACCTGGCAAAAGGGACTTTGCATATGTGATTAACTTAAAGATCTTGATGTGGCACTCTTTTCCTAGAATACCCTGGCTGAACCAGTATAGTCACCAGAAATGTCTTTGTAAGAGAGAGGCAAGAGGATCATAGTCAGAAAAGATCATGTGATGGTGAAGAATAGGTTTGAATAATATGATTTGTAGATGGAAGAAGGGGCTACAAGTCAAGGAATATGAGTTATCTCTATAAACTGGACAAATTAAAACAAAACAAAACAAAACAAAAAACAGATTCTCTCCTGAAGCCTACAGAAAGAAGAAAGCCTTCCCTACACCTTGATTTTAGCTAAGGCTTACTTTGAATATTTGATCTTAAGAATCATAACACCATATATTTGTGTTGTTTTAAACCATCAACTTTGCAGTAATTTGTTACAGCAACAGGACAAAAATAAGACATCCCACCCTGTCTCCTTTTCCTTTATCACCAATATCAAGTTATCTTTCAAGGAAATAATGAGGAAGTACTTCTGGAAATCAGTCTCTCACAGGAATCTTGATCAAAGTTTAGATAATGGCTTTTTTAAGACTCAAAGATGCATTTTAAAAATATCATAGCATGAAAAGATGTCTTAACACACAAAAAAATTACTATTGACTGATACAAATCTAAACAATGATGTAAATGGCTGGTAGCAAGTTCATTTCTTTTCTAGATGGGTGTTTTTCCAAATACTCACTAAATCATATGTCTATTTTGTTAGATTATTATTAAAATTGAGAAAAATCCACATTCTAATAACCTCAAAAATAAGACACAGCACATAGTTTAGTAATGCAACCAAAAAGCCAAGCTGTGAAAACCAACAGCATGAACACTTAAGTACTGCATCTTACTCCAAAAGACATGGTTGTTGTCAAAAGGAAATGAAAAGTTTATAAAACTCTGTGAGGGAGAGAGAATTAGCAGTTGGCCAGGCAGACTTTGAAACCAGAAGATGGTCACATGACTCTGGTGAGATTTTGGATTTATATGATGTTTTGGCAGTTGAATGGGTTTTGCTTTAATAAACTTTATTTTTATAGTAGTGTTCAATTTGCAGAAGTTTGAACAGACAGTACAGAGTCCCCCATATCACCTTTCGTCTGCTCTCTTTTCATAATTTCCTGTTATTAACATCTTGCATATGTGTGATACATTTATCCCAATTGATGAAGCAATAGAGAGACATTATTATTATTTAAAGTCTATAGTTTACATTAAGTTTTACTTTTTGTGTTGTACAGTTCTATATGTTTTGACACATGTGCAAGGTCAGGTATTGACAATTATTATCTCATGCATACAAAATTGTTCCACTGTTTTATAAACCTAAATTGTCCTTTTCTTTCTTCTTCTCCTCCTTTTCCTCCTCCTCCTCTTCCCTTTTCTTCCCCTTCTCCTCCCCTTCTTTTGTCCTGCTCCTCCTCCCTTTTGTCCTCCTCCTCCTTCTTCTCCTCCTTCTCCTTCTCCTTCTCCTTCTCCTTCTTCTTCTTCTGGTCAGTGGTGCAATCATGGCTCACTGCAGCAACTCACTCCTGGGCTCAATCATTCCTCCCACCTCAGCCTCCCAAGTAGCTGGGACTTCAGGTACATGTCAGCATACCCAGCCAATTTATGTATGTGTGTGTATGTGTGTGTGTGTGTGTGTGTATACAATTTTATACATATATACAATTTTTGTATATATATATATACACAATTTTTATATATATATATATATATATATATATACACAATTTGTGTGTGTGTGTGTGTGTTTGTGTGTATTTTTTTTTTTTTTGATACATGGTGTTTCCATGTTGCCTAGGCTGGTCTCAAACCCTTGGGCTCAAATGATCCACCCACCTTAGATTGTTTCTGAAATCTTATCTTCACTCATGAAGTTTTCCCAACAGGAATGGCTTCCTACTTTTCTCCAGCCTTCAAATCACCTGAAAGCTCCTGCTCAAGTTGCATCTGTGTTGAACAGTCTGTGCCATGCCAGGCCTCTTTGTTTTGTGGATTCATAAGGTAAGCAGGTAAGCATTGTCTTTATGCCACTTCTCTAGTAGTTAATCGTGGAACATCCTTGACCTCCCCTTGTTACATCATATGATATTGTTACTTATTTGTTATTTGTATATCCTGTGTGTGGAATCATCACGAAGGTAAGGATTCTTATCTCATTTTTTCACTGAGCCCAGCAGACAGTAGTCAGTCAGTCAGTCAATACATTTTTATTGATTATTAGCAATAACTAAAAAACAATTTCCATGCCTATCAATAATAAACTGGATAAAGATAATGTGGCACATATACACCGTGGAATACTATGCAGCCATAAAAATGAGTTCATGTCCATTGCAGGGACATGAATGAAGCTAGAAACCATCATTCTCAGCAAACTAACTCAGGAACAGAAAACCAAACACCACATGTTCTCACTCATAAGTGGGAGTCGAACAATAAGAACACATGGACACAGGGAGGGGAGGGAATATCACACACTGGGGACTGTTGGGGGTTGGGGGGCAAGGGGAGGGACAGCATTAGGACAAACCCCTAATGCATGAGGGGCTTAAAACCTAGACGATGGGTTGATAGGTGCAGCAAACCACCATGGCACATGTATACCTATGTAACAAACCTGCACATTCAGCACTTGTATCCCAGAACTTAAAGTTAAAAAAAAAAAATCCTCCTGAGATCAGCTTTCTTGTTGCTGAGTGAGGGCAAATTTTATCATTCTTATTATCATTGAAGAAATAACTCTTTTATGGGTTATTTCATTATCATCATTGAAATTAATAATAATAATAAGGCAACAAATGCAAGCTAGTAAGAAGGAAGTTTTAGAAAAGAAGTACAAATGTGAAAATAGCACCAAGAAAAGTAGAGCCATTTGGTGCTGGGCTATTGGCTGCACTCTGCAGGCTCAGAGTTAAAGTTAGAGGGACCTATGTGAGTGTCTACAGCCAGCGTGGTCAGGAGGAGTGAGAAGAAGGCAGTGTAGACATCTATAACACCCTGTGACAGGAAGTAGACAGACTGTTAGCCACAGATCTATAGATCTTACTTTTCTATTGCCTCATCCTTTCCCCCTTTGTTTCTTAGTACATACCTACAATTCACACTGTATTTTTTAGTGTGCTGATTTAACTTTTCTCTTTCTAAGGCTGTGTGAGCATTTCCAGGGCTGTGGTTGTGAATGCAGAGGTCTTTCCAAAGAAAGACATCTCTTCTCATTTCGGTATTCACTTTTACAGTAGGATGTCCCTTAATGAAAAGGTCCATTTACAGATAGTTTTCTCATCTGTAGCTAGACAGGGACAGAACAATTACCTTCCAGTGGTCTTCCCCTACAAGTGAGAGCAGAGGAATTCATGGTCCTTCATTATCATTTGATCTCCCTTGTTACAATACTGACTCTGGAGATGGTATAGGTCGGGCGTGGGATTAGAGGCAATGGAGGGGCAAGAAGTGGTGATGAAATGAGTTGGCATTCATATAGTAATCATTGTGAGCACTCCCTGTGCTTCTACATGCTATTCAGTGCTCGTAAGAACCCTGGCAGATTCATCATGTCCTTTTACAGCAGGGTTTCAAGAAGGGCATATCATTTTCCCAAGTCACTGTTGAACGAAGCTTCACACTCCAGGCTATTCTAATACAAAGCTTATGCCATTTTCCTTTGTTCTGTTAAACATTGCAGTAGAAGAGTGGGAAAAAGATGCTTTTTAATATGACCAAGGTCTAGCAACTATAAAGTGGTTAAAGCTGTATTGAAAACCAAGGTTTTGTGACACCAAAATCCATGCTGCTCTTACAAGGGGTTAATTATTTAGGCTTTCTTTTCCACTCAGGAAAGTGTTTTAAAAGTTAGTGGAAATTACCTCAAAAACACACTATCTTATTTCCCTACTGAGTTCCAGTTCTATGAAGGGATAAAATTAAAAATAAAAAGCAGAAACATAATAATTGGGCTCCCAGTGCCAAAGATTATTAGTGGGGTTATTCATGAGCATATTTAACAGCGCAAGCATGCTGCTTCTATTGTTTGCTTTATTTTATTTATTTATTTATTTATTTATTTATTTATTTATTTATTTATTGAGATGGAGTCTCGCTTTGTGGCCCAGGCTGGAGTGCAGCTCACAGCAACCTCCGCCTCCCAGGTTCAAGCGATTCTCCTGCCTCAGCCTCCCGAGTACCTGGGACTATAGGCGCCTGCCACCATATTGGCCAGGCTGGTCTCAAACTCCTGATCTCAGGTCATCCACCTGCCTTGTCCTCCCAAAGTGCTGGGATTACAGATGTGAGCCACCGCTCCCAGCCATATTGTTTGCTTTAATAATCAAAGAAACTCATGAATACTTTGCATCTTATCTGTTCCCATTTTAAATCAAAACATAAAAAAATCTGATCCTTGCATATTCTATTTTTATTGCCATGTTCACTGATCTCTTGGACTAATATTAATAATTTTCTTGTATTTCTGCTTTGACCTTAATGGAAAATGGTGCCAGTTCTATATCAGTCTCCTAGCAAACTACTGCCATCTGCTTACTCCATAAAAAGGCCATTTTCAGTGTTAGATTTACTAGAAAACTCAGAACTTAACAGATGTTTCACATATATTTGGCAACTGTATGTGGAACAGGTCTGGTTACTGGAGCCGTTTATGTAATAATGCAAGCTGGAATTAATATGTCAGTTACTCATACAGCATGTCCCAAATAATCACTGTGGGGAGCTCTTTTTATTTATTTCTTCCTCAGATGTCAGTGGGACCAATTACTGATTTTGTTTTTCAATAAATATGTGTGGAATTTCTGACTATGTGGCTGTCACTGTGTTAATTGCCATGGACTTTGTGCAGAAGAGCCTATCAAATTCTAGCTGAGAATACAAAATGTGTAAATAGGTAATTGAATACAAGGTGAAAGTACCATCATGGAGCTGGAAAGAATTCATGATAAGGTATTAAGCAAGCTTAGTATCTGTCACTCTTCCCAGGGTTAAACTACTAAAGAAAAAAACACAGAATATTCACAGAATGAACTGAATTAGAGGGAAAGAAAGAGAGATGAATGGATAAGGATTCTGGACAGCTCCTTCTAAATCCCTTGGGCTTTACCAAGGGACCCAGACAAAAACTAATTAAAAAAAAATGTGATGCTTCAGTCGGTCTCTATAGTTTTTCCCTATCAAGTGTCACAATTTAAGATAAATGGATTTACTTATCTTTCTTGCTATTGTATATCATGGGATGAGGCAGACATTTTTTGTTGTTGGTGGTGGTTTTTTTTTTTTTTTTTTTTTGAGACGGAGTCTTGCTCTGTCTCCCAGACTGGGGTGCAGTGTCACGATCTCAGCACACTACAATCTCCACCTCCCGGGTTCATGTGATTCTCCTGCCTCAGCCTCCCAAGTAGCTAGGATTACAGGTCCCCGCCAACATGCCCAGCTAATTTTTGTATTTTTAGTAGAGACAGTGTTTCACCATGTTGGCCAGCCTGGTCTCAAATTCCTGACCTCAGATGATCTGCCTGTCTTGGCCTCCCCAAGTGCTGGGATTACAGGCATGAGCCACTGTGGCTGGCCACCTTTGTGTTTTTTATCCCAGGAAAAGTAGAACAACTTTTCTGATGTCACATAATTGTTAAGTGAAAAACTTGGGATTCAAATTCTGGCTTGTTTTTAAAGCTTTCCACCGTGCCATGTTTCAGGGTGTAGAAAATACTGCAGTCAGATGGTCCAAAGCTTACTGATGGCTCTCCTTTTGATTAATACTTTATTGGATCTGTTTACTGAAACCTTTTAAGTAGCAAAATAAAGCATCATTTAAGTCTGAATGTGACAATCAATCATCCTAATACTGAGAAAAAAATAACAAAATGAAAGAACACAAAAATTGCAATATCCAACCTTTATTGAATACATGCAATTTGCCAGGCAAAACCAACTATGAAATAGATATTCTTGCTTTATATACAAGAAAACAGGCACAGAGAGGTTAACAAAGGGAAGCTGTGATTTGAAAGTAATAGTCCTGATGCCCAAACTCACATTCCTCACTACAATGCAATGCTCTATAAACATTTTCATAGGTGCAAATCATTTATGAATTTTTATAATCCGTAAGGCAGCTTTGTTTTAAAAATGCTCACTTAAAACAATAAGAATGTTCATCTGCATATAAAATGTCCCATTGCTTCCTCAAAATGTTTATTTCTGCCTATAGGGTCATTTTAGACCTAGTTTTCTGCCTTTTCTAATTTTCTTTGCAAATCTGCATGTTACTTGGTTAACAAATCAATCTCCTAAAATACCCCAAATCTCTGAGAACAAAGAAAATTAGGATGACTTAGCTGGCAGTTTCTTGAGTTGAGTTGACTGACGCTCTCCAGTCACATGTCTATGAAAAGCAACAAGAATGGTCTCTAGTAAATATTTCCACAGTAAAACAAAACAAAAAACATACTCTCTTAAGTTGCTCACATCAAGGCAATTCAAATTTTGACACAATACCGACTCCCAGAAAGTCCCATTCCACTGGAGGAAGCTCAGGAGGAATAAGTAAAAAACGTTCAGCGGCAAGAGAGAACTATGGTGTGCCTTGGACTGGGAAAGAGATGCGCTGCACCATGGTTCTGGGCTGTTCACATTTATTGTTTGGAGCATTCTTTTGTCTTCCTGATGTATTTTTAATGCCTTGTAAATAAGGGCTCACAGTGTACCAGCCTACATGAATTTTCACCAGCTGGCCTTGCCCCAGGGAGCTGTATTGTAATAAAAGGAATAAAATCAGCATACTTCTTAGGTCCTTTGGTATAAGTCAGGCCTCACTCTCTAGGCAGGGAAAGAATTTTGAATTACAATTATGAATAGATACGTTTATTTTACTCTGGTTTAAATCTACTCAAATCTCAACTAAATGAATCATTACGCTTCAATCTGAGTTACATGGAAGGACTCTGCAAATACTATTCCTGATCTTGTTTTGGACTTCAAGATGCTCCCATTACACGTTTTATTACTGTGCCTCAAACTTGCCCATTTGTCAATTCACATTTGGTTGGTTGCCTTTTAGCTCCCCGTTGATTTCCCTTTTACTCTCTATCTGATTCTATATGTTAATTTATAATTTCCATCATGCCTTAGGGTTACGTATGCTTCAGCTGAACCATAATAAAAGTAAGCCTAATAGTTTTATCACGTGAAAGAGGTCTTGCATTTTTTAATAACTGGTTTGAAAATATTTATAGTATCACATACCTTCCAGAAGGTTCTTGTTTTATATTGAAGAATGAGACTCTCAACCTTGATTTTCTATTCTTGGGAAAATGTTAAATCAATATTCACAAATTGTGTGTGTGTGTGTGTGTGTGTGTGTGTGTGTGCGTTTTAGTGGTGAAGATGTACAAAACCTATATTTTGGTGGCAGCATAAATTTTGATGGCAGCAGTTGGGGGAATATGGTTTAAAGAATTTGAGTAATGTTTTAAAAATCAAACACCTTGCTTAGGAACCACAAATGTTAATATTTTCTTTTTTTTAATTTTATTTTTATTTTTTGAGACAGAGTCTCACTCTATTGCCCTGGCTGGAGTGCAGTGGTGCAATCTCGGCTCACTACAAGCTCCGCCTCCCGGGTTCATGCCATTCTCCTGCCTCAGCCTCCCCAGTAGCTGGGACTACAGGCATCCACCACCACGCCTGGCTAATTGTTTGTATTTTTAGTAGAGATGGGGTTTCACCGTGTTAGCCAAGGATGGTCTCGATCTCCTGACCTCGTTATCAGCCTGCCTCGGCCTCCCAAAGTGCTGGGATTACATGCGTGAGCCACAGCGCCTGGCCAAATGTTAATATTTTCAACTCAACACATTGTATCCCTGTGTGTTGGAGCCCTCTTCATTTTGGTACCTTCACTCTGAGCAGAGTAGCTGAAGCCAGTCTATGCTGTAGCTAGAAATCGAAGTAGAGAAAACATCTGAAAATATTAAAATGGTATTGGATAAGCTCCCTTCTGAAAGCACATTTGATGCAGGTCAGGCAAGCACCTGTGATGTGAAACTGTGGCATCAGTCTCTAGATCCCAGTGGTTTATCTGAAAGCTTTGGCTCTCTCTCTGAGAATATGTCCTTAAAAAACTAGTGCAACATGTAGTATCTACAGGAATGAATTGATTAAGACATATTTCTCTCAGGTGGGTGGAGGAGGAATTACTTATTCATTCTGGGCATCAAAATCGTTGACTATATCGATACGTCTATTTATTAAGTATTCAGTCTATGCCAGCCACTGTTTCAAGGGTTTCGTGTGTATGGATTCATAGAATACTCATAACTCTCCCAAAATGTATGTACTATTCTTTTTTTTTTTTTTTTTTTTTTTTTTTTTTTTTTTTAGTATGTATTGATCATTCTTGGGTGTTTCTCAGAGAGGGGGATTTGGCAGGGTCATAGGACAATAGTGGAGGGAAGGTCAGCAGATAAACACACGTGAACAAGGGTCTCTGGTTTTCCTAGGCAGAGGACCCTGAGGCCTTCAGCAGTGTTTGTGTCCCTGGGTACTTGAGATTAGGGAGTGGTGATGACTCTTAAGGAGTATGCTGCCTTCAAGCATCTGTTTAACAAAGCACATCTTGCACCGCCCTTAATCCATTTAACCCTGAGTGGACACAGCACGTTTCAGAGAGCATGGGGTTGGGGGTAAGGTTATAGATTAACAGCATCCCAAGGCAGAAGAATTTTTCTTAGTACAGAACAAAATGGAGTCTCCCATGTCTACTTCTTTCTACACAGACATAGTAACAATCTGATCTCTCTTTCTTTTCCCCACATTTCCCCCTTTTCTATTCGACAAAACCAACATCGTCATCATGGCCCGTTCCCAATGAGCTGTTGGGTACACCTCCCAGATGGGGTGGCGGCCGGGCAGAGGGGCTCCTCACTTCCCAGATGGGGCGGCTGCCGGGCAGAGGGGCTCCTCACTTCTCGGATGGGGCGGCCGGGCAGAGACGCTCCTCACCTCCCAGAAGGGGTGGCGGTCGGGCAGAGACACTCCTCAGTTCCCAGACGGGGTGGCGGTCGGGCAGAGGCGCTCCTCACATCCCAGACAGGGCGGCGGGGCAGAGGCGCTCCCCACATCTCAGACGATGGGCGGCCGGGCAGAGATGCTCCTCACTTCCTAGATGGGGTGGCCGCCGGGCAGAGGCTGCAATCTCGGCACTTTGGGAGGCCAAGGCAGGCAGCTGGGAGGTGGAGGTTGTAGCGAGCCGAGATCAGGCCACTGCACTCCAGCCTGGGCAACATTGAGCACTGAGTGAGCTAGACTCCGTCTGCAATCCCGGCACCTCGAGAGGCCGAGGCAGGCAGATCACTCGAGGTCAGGAGCTGGAGACCAGCCCTGCCAATATGGCGAAACCCCGTCTCCACCAAAAAATGCAAAAACCAGTCAGATGTGGCGGCGCGGGCCTGCAATCCCAGGCACTCTGCAGGCTGAGGCAGGAGAATCAGGCAGGGAGGTTGCAGTGAGCCGAGATGGTGGCAGTACAGTCGAGCCTTGGCTTTCACAACTTTGGTGGCATCAGAGGGAGACCAGGGAGAGGGAGAGGGGGAGGGGGAGGGGAGGGGGAGGGGGAGCTGTACTATTGTTCTTATTTTATAAATGAGGAAATTGAGGCACAGAAAATACAAGTAACTTGCTCAAAATCAAATACCTAATAACCTGGCTATTTGTTTCCTGAGCTCTCACTCTTAATGACACACTATCTTTTGAATAATGTGATCACATTCGCTGCGCTCATGAATTGACGAAGGTTTTCTTTCCCCGACTATCATCAGGCTCCAGAAATAATACAATAATAGGAGCTGTGACTCTCACACACTGAAATAAAAATCTAACATCCTTCTATATATTTACTTGTAAGTCAAATTCAGGAGTTGAGTATCTTTTTCTATCAGTGTCTGATCCTAGTACCTGAGATCAACAGTGTATGTACTGGAATGTTCACTTCTTCCCTGGGCCTGGACAGTCCTCCACCCTGCTTATTGCTTGCACCTAAGTGCCAAGGAGCTAAGGTTCTTCCCCTGGGTCTTGTAAAGCCATCTGCTTGCTTCACTTGATAACCCGCGGTGTACTTGCAAAATGATGTGGTGGTGTTCTTGCTCTGGGCCAAAGCTATCTATAAATTTACTTAAGCTTTCAAAGCCTTAGTTTCCTTATCTGTCCAATGGCAAGAAAAAGAGTAGTGTTTCCTTCATATGGTTTTGGGAACGTTAAAGGAGTTATGTAAATCTTTTTGTATCTCTAATTACAGATGTTATTTATTAGAGTAGGTACTGATGTATTCCTTCTGTCACCCTACCCAGGGACAATGGGGAAGACATTCAGATTGAAGAGGTCAATTTCTGATTGAGTCTAAGCTAAAAATAAAGCCTCCATGGCAGAGCTCCATGGGTTCTCCATGTTGCACCATTGCTCAACTCCAGCAGAAGCTGGGGAATAACACAGGTGTCTCCTGCGCTGTCTGGCCTATAGTAGAAATAAACACCACATTACAAATAGCACTGTGGACAGTCTTCAGTAGTAACCCTAGAAAGAGAACCAAGATCTCATTCCCTAAATATAAATAAAATCCCTGCATAGTTATTCTCTTCATTTTGTTGTTGTCGTTGTTTTTTGTTTGTTTGTTTGTTTGGAGTGTAGAAGTATTGGTACAGTGCGAGGGGAGGAGAATGTCTCTCTCTTTCACAAAAGAAACAACTGTTCCCCCAGGTTTCCCAAAAGGTAGTAGAGAAAACAAAGTGGTTTTTTAATTATTATTATTTAAAGGACCCATTCTGGACATATTTTTCTGGAAATGTGGTGCAAATCTTCATTTTGCTCATTTGAAGTCCTCAAATGTAAGACACTTTCATCACCATTTCCCATTAATTTATATTACCTCTACCCCTCCACTTTTTTTTTTAATCCCACTCCTTTCTTCTAACCCCTAGGCCACATGTTCAAAGGTTGTTTTGAATGGATTCCTCTCTTTATGAACAGATTGAGTTTTAGCCCTGGTCCACCTTTGTCTTCCTAATCACCTTAGCTGGGACTGGGCACATGGAAACGTCTAGATTCAGGTTAGACATCAGCCGTCTAAATAAACAGCTTCTTTTATGAGCGTATCCTATTCCATTTGAGCACTGTTAAGCAGGAAGCACACCAAGGCCCACCATTTCTTGCCAGCATGAGTTGGGAGGACTGAGCTGTTGCAAGGTAGAGATTCAGATCCCTGACAATCTCTAATAGTCCCCAACGTCATTCCAAATTAAAATACTATTTCAAATGTTATGTTTGCTGTGCAAGGCAGTTTCAAGAAAAACTGGAAAATAAGATTTTTTTCTATGAGTCAAACCTGATAAGTCAAAGCTTAGTGAGTGTAATAATGATGTCTCCTAGCTTATCCTTACTAGTCTAGGGACAGTTACTTCACTCTATTCATTAAATTGACACCCCCAGGAAGGTATCATCAGAGGAGAGGATAGTCTCTCATAAAACACAGATTAGGAAGACCCCAAGAAACAAAGTTTAACTTTGACCTGGACACTAGTTACTGAAATAGAGGATTGGAGAATCTGAAATTGGGAGGCATGTGCACTTTGAGGAGCTTGAGACATAGTCCCTAGAAAAAAACTCCTTGTTCTGTCCATAGTAGGAGAGAAATATCCCTCAAAACTATTTACCACCTTTAGACCAATTTCCTGAGTTCCAAACTATTTTCTCAATACTAAATGGACTTTATTAGAAGTATCATGAAGTTTGGCAGGGGAGAGATGCTTGGAGAGGGTGCACCAGTGAAATATTTACAGAAAATAACACACCTGTCCAACAATTCTGAAGAGGTTATCTGGTTTAAATAGTAAGACTCATGCAGATGTATTTATGAGGCATTCATTTGTTGGAAAATCTGATTTTTTCTAGATGTATAATTGATCGTCATCCTCAAATGAAGTATATCCATGTGAGATTGAGAGCAAGTCTGCCTTCTGTCTTAGGCTATCCCTGCACCATGTGCAGGGCATTATTTCTGAACTACCAGGAACTTCCTGCTGCTTAACAAGTATTTCACCACTGCCTGTCACAATGACTGAAATTTTGTCCTTATATGTTACAATTTGGCACCGTCAACTTTTGTCAAGATCACTGACAGGGTAAATATGGCATGCCTTGCTCAGTTCAGGCTGAAAGCTAGCTTGTAAAAAGCCTTCAATGTGTACTTTGTCTCAATTCGGAAAAGTTCAATGGTGATTACCATTTTGGCAAAGCACAGCTGTTTTTCTTGCATGAGATGATTTATGGCTCTAAACAAACCAGGAATGACTGTATAACTGACATTGCAAGTCCCAAAAGGTGGTTCAACATGAGTGAGAATTATAATCTTGGCTCCAGCCCTTGGTGATGATAGGTTAAGGATCAAGAACTGGTCATTATGAAAACACTATGTCATTTGACACTTTTGACACTTTAGTCACCAAGCAGTACTCTCTGTGGAGGGACTAACATTTATTGAAGCCCCTCTCTGTACAAGCCTCCCTGTTTACACATCTCATTTAAACTTTACCACTACCTTGTCAGGTAAATTCCAGCCAAGTTTTAGAAATGGTGAGATTAGAGTTTCAAACAGATTAAGGATTAATTATAAATTCACAGTTAAGCTTATATGACATCGCAGCCACTGTGCCAAATTATCTCATTTAGGGCAAGAACACATGTTTTTGGAATTTGCATACACTGTTTTTTGGGGGAGGGGGAGATCATTCTATGGACTTATCTCATGTGCAAATTATATTGGATTCCTGCGTTACTTGGAAGGAGTAAACAAAAAAGTGCCAACTTTATTGATTATTGTATATAAAGAAATTGATAGTTATATAAGTGCTCATTTTAATGTTTTTTGATTTTACCAAATTTTACAATATAACAGTATATTATCCAGAGAGATAACAACATACAGAAGAAAGTGATCTGGTAAATATTCGACTTTGGGTAGTTCTTCATTTATCTTACTAAGTCCATTCCCCAACTCGGTTAATTATTTTAGTTGAGGTAGAAATGAATAAGATAGAAATGTACTTGGTGTTTTTGCAAAGCAAGGGCTAGGTTGTGCCACACCCTTGCACCCTCCTACTCTATCCTATTCCTTATGCAACTAAAGACAGGTGTTAGAGCAGAAGAGAAAGGATTAGATGTTTGAGTTGAGAACAAATTGCTGAGGTGTCAGTTTCCTGTCTTGATTTAAAATGTGGGTGAAGGATATAAACAGACACTTCTAAAAAGAAGACATTTATGCAGCCAACAAACATATGAAAAAAAAGCTCATCATCACTGGTCATTAGAGAAACACTAATCAAAACTACAATGAGATACCATCTCACACCAGTTAGAATGGAGATCAGTTAAAAAATCAGGAAACAACAGATGCTGGGGAGGATGTGAACAAATAGGAACGCTTTCACACTGTTGGTGGGTGTGTAAATTAGTTCAAACATTGTGGAAGACAGTGTGGTGATTGCTCAGGATCTAGAGCTAGAAATACCATTTGACCCAGCAATCCCATTACTGGATATATACCCAAAGGATTATAAATCATTCTACTATAAAGACATATGCACATGTATGTTTATTGTGGCACTATTCACAATAGCAAAGACTTGGAACCAACCCAAATGCCCATCAATGATAGACTGGATAAAGAAAATGTGGTACATATACAACATGGAATAATATGCAGCCATAAAAAGGATGAGCCCATGTCCTTTGCAGGGACATGGCTGAAGGCGGAAACTACCATTCTCAGCAAACTAACACAAGAACAGAAAACCAAACACCACTCATAAGTGGGAGTTGACCAATGAGAATACATGGACACAGGGAGGGGAACATCACACACTGAGGCCTGTTGGGGGGTGGGGAGCTAGGGGAGGGATAGCATTAGGAGAAATACCTAGTGTAGATGATGGGTTGATGGGTGCAGCAAACCACCATGGCATGTGTATACCTATGTAACAAACCTGCCCATTCTGCACATGTAACCCAGAACTTAAATTATAATAAAAAAGTATACATTTTCATGCACCTACACCCAAACATGCAAAGCGATATTGGGATTCTAATTTATAACACACATAGTTGGCTCCGTGTACCACTATATTGTATTGATCATCATATGGCAACAGTTATATTTTCCTTTCTTGGAAAACCGATGGAGGATATTAAATGTGTATCCCCAATCCCTGTTATAAATACTCAGTTTATCTCCAAGTTCCCCTAATAAGCTTTTGCATAAAGAAGTAGCTATTAATGTTCAAAGCACTCTGGACTATAATCATGAAGATATTGCACAGTTAAATCTTTAATAAATAGGTCTAATTCCAACCTAATAGAACACAGACCAGGAGGATCCCTGGAATCAATCAAATATCAACTTTGACTGGGGTATCAGTTGCTTGTTGACAGCAACAAACATAAAATATCCTGGTCTCAATCTCTCTCTCTGTCTATCTCTCTTTTTCTCTTTCTCCCTCTCTCTCTCCTTCAGTAGCAAAATGACATTGGGCCCACATGTCTTAGGGTTCACATTGTTCCTTTTTCTGTGTTACAATTCTTCATTGGTAACATTTATGATGAAAGATTAAGCATTCAAGGAAACCTATTTGGGTACTCTTTGTGGAGACAACTTTGCACCTTGTGCTTGCTATTTAGGGTCTTCCCTATCCCAGAGCTAGTGCCTCTCTCCAGCTCCACTTTCCAGTAGCAAACATCTACTGGTGCAAGCTGCTCTCCTCTCCATTTTTCTCCTGCTTTCCGTCATTCCTACCTCTAGGGTTTGCTTATACTTTATTTCTTTCTTGAGCAAAAGTAATCTTCTTTCTGCCTATCCAGAATTTATCCATCTTTTACTACTCATCAAAAATATATGCCCTCCATAACAAGACTTGTGCATAATGGATTTTTACTTATCTGGATTCTTGTAGCTCTCCAATTCAGATATGGCCACGTGAAGACCACCTCAATAAGAGCCAGATTAATGTCAGTATTCAGGCTAGAAGTAGATGGTGATGCTCTCAATCTTTCTAAAGCATGAATATGCCCTGTAAAGATCTGCATTCAGCAGGAGAGGAAACCTTGCTTACACAACTGAATACAGGTTCTTGGATTCTTCTGTTCTTATAATATACACTTCAGTATTTATACTAATATTTTTATGTTTTATCTATATAAATTTAACCTGTCAGACTGCAAGCTGATTTTGAAAAGTAGCAGGTGAGTTTATTTAAGCAATGCCATCCATGCCTGAGTCATAATAGAATTAAATAAGTAATTGCAGAATAAGTAAATCAATGGGATTATACCATTTTCAAAGGAAGAAAGTGTGATATATTTATATTTTATGTGGTATGCAGAAGATGTTTATAAATATTGAGTAAATTTAGTTTATATGTGTATACATTAATATTTAATTTTTATTTAGATTATTAATCATGCAAAGATGGGTGAAAACATGTCAAAGATCATGCAGAGATACCCTCCACCTCTTAGGTTTAATCTTATCTTTAATCTGCATATGTCTCTTGTTTTTGGTTTTATTATTTCTGTTTAGAAATACAATTGTAATTTTAGAGAGAAACTTCAAAATCTTACAAGTTAAATAACACAGGAATACTGTTCTCCTATTAGCAGTCAGTTATTTTTGTGTCTCTACCTCTGAATTGGTACAGTTATCATAAACAACCATTTATTTGTTCATGCACAAACATCCATCCTTAAAACTGGGAAACCAGCCTGGTAAATTAAAATAAAGGTAGCATGAGAATTTTAGGAGTGTGACACAGTGTATTCTCAACACTGCAGCCAATTCCAACATGCTGCAGTTTCCTATTAGTATCTCTAATTCATGAGGGTTTGGACCAGCTGTTAGACAATGTTTTAGTCCTACCATTTCTGTTCCTGGAGGTGGGTGGTGTGAGTGAGACTGTCCAATGTGTCTCACTAAATTAGTCTTTAAAACTAGTTGAGTGGTAAAAAACAATAAAAACACATCAATCAGAGTCTATGATTGGCACTCCAAAATCATTTTACATTTTTTCTTGGAATGCAGAAATATATGTGGCAAAGCATGCCACAACTCATGCAATGCCATCAAAGACACTCACGCAAAACCTGAACTCAAATTCCAATGCCTACTCTTTTGCTGCCCCTAGAGTTCTAGTTAGCAATGTGTTATTTACTGCCAGGTTACTTTCCAGTTATGTTACTTCTCTGTCCTATAGCCTATATCCTTCCTGATCACTCACACTCTTCTCCCACAGATATATGTCATATTTTCTTCCTGACCACCCTCCACACTTCAACTTGAAATCCACAGTGCCTTCCCCCTCAAGCTGCCAGTGAGGTGAATGCAATCACCGTTATCAGCAATGCTTTGTATAAGCAACTCACAAACCCTGCTATGATGGATTTACTGCAGTTGAGTGTTGTAGACAACAGGAAGACCAAATGGAGTGGAGAGATTGATAGAAAGATCATTTTTCTTCATCCTAAATAAACAAAAATAAATCCTTCTATAAATCTGTCATTATGATCTTTTGTTTAATGAACTTTTTTGACCCTCAATGACAGAAGGCACTGACGTTCCACTGCAATGCTGCATAAGGCAGAAATCCGTGTAACTTTGGTACTGTGTAGATGGGCATATTTACAGTATGTAATCTCAAGAATCTGAATTTTCATAGCCTTTACAATTCAAATAGACTTTATTTGTCTTACATAATTTAACTTTGTTTTTCTTTGTTGCCATCTTTTTACCACATTAATATTTTGTTTTACTCATCAGCTTGCCTTGGTCTCAATTAAGCATCCCTATTTCCTAATACTCTGCTAAAAACCTTTAGGATGCATGATTGATACATCTCGATGTTTGCCTTTGTACTGCACCAGACTTTATTTTCCTACAGGACAATATCTCCCAAGAATTGAGCTGAGTGATTGTCACGTGTTTCACAGACAGTCAGCATTTGTTGAACAATTAAATAGAAACTCACTTCATAAATCTTTCATAGCATTATAATTGGTAACCTATCTTAATTCTACATCTCCGGATTTTTTATCTTACTCTAATTGAGCTGATGCCAGAAGTATGCTCTCTTAAATCCACTTCCATTTGTCTCTATTTCCTTAATTTCTTTAAATTCAGACCCAGTTTCTTGCTGTAGAAGGGGAGGGATGGAGTGATGATTGTACTGATGTAATTTTAAAGATTGAACTCAGGAATCACATTTTGATTAGCAGGTGGCACACTGATGTTTGAGAAGGAAATGAAAAGTGAATTCATATGCAAATCCAGTATTGTGCATCTTCAGTGCACTTAATGAATGGTGGTATTGATTTAATTTGGTTAATAAATTTTGGATAAATAGAACTCTTGATTAAAATAGTACATCTCAAGGGAAAAAGTCATATCTGAACAGACAAATTACCAAAGGTCGAAGGCTTCCCCTGACTGGAGTGTCACTCTTCTCACCCTGGTGTTAATTACGTTTGTCAACTAGCATATCATTCATGGGAATAATTTGGATTTTCAGTAAGTATGTGATCCAGTCCAAATATTTCTCTTTTTTCCTCATGGCCTGCTCCAAAAACATTTATCAGAAAATTTCTACATAAAATTCATAGATTATGGCAAATGGAAGGGAACTTGAAGTGCATATTGTCTGTAACTACTCATCTAACATTTATCCAATCTCTTCTTCAACATTTTGCAAAATGGGTTATATCATCTTGGCTCAAACTCAAGCAGATATGAGGAGCTAATTTTGTCAGGACATAGAATCCCATGGCTGGGCAGCTCCAAATGTTTCTAAATTGCTTATAAGGAGCTCAACCCTGTCTTTGTTTCTTTTTCTTTGGGGATGCTATTCTATTCCCTAGAGTCTAGAGCAACATAAGTTAAAACATGTTTTAACAAATAATAATTATTCTAATACTTAGACCTGGTCATTATGTGCCTATGAAATCTCCTTTTCATTGCCTAATTATAACAAAGCAACATTTTCATAACATAGCTTCTTTAGACACACGATATTTTACTCAAAGTTACATTAAAAGTTCAAGTTTAAAAGTAACCACAATATTCAAGATAGGTCTAACATATGCATAATTCAATAGTAATGTTACACAAAAATATTTGTACAAATTCAATTTAATTTTTTTATCTTTCTGAATACAGAAATATCACCTGAATTTTAAAAAAAATTACCCCCTTATAAAATTTTCTGTGCTTTTTTCTTTATTGTGGCCAATACCTCTCTACATGACTCTTGTAGAAAATGTAAATGACACACTTATTTCTCAGGACTTTTTTTTCATCCAATGGCTTCCAAATGTCATTCCCAATTCTTCACAGATTTCTGCCATTATAATGACAGATAGAGAAAGTGGGAGGAAGAATCTGATTTCTTCACATTGGGAGGATCTCTCCAAATTTTCTTACAAAATAAAACTGTTTGACATAGTTTTGACTAAATTTCTTTTTCAATTAAAGCCACATATTTTAAAACATATATTTCTAAAATGTTAACCTGTGGTTTCAGAGTGTATTATTCCATTTTCCATTTTATCTTGAGACAATACGAATGATTCAGAAAAAAAGACCAGATAAGAATTCCAACACAACAATTTGATAGCTCTATGATCTTGGACAAGAAGATGATTTCTCCAAAGTTTAGTCTTTCCGTCTTTCCCATCTGCAAAGTAGGCTGATTTGTCACTATTTTGCAGAAATGTGTGTGAATGAACAGAGGTAAAGAATACATGTAAACTATCTGATACAGGCTCTGTGTTTAGATAGCCTCATGAACACACTAGCTCTTATTATTTTTATAGATGATGTGCAAAATTAAAATAGCAGGATTTCTTTTGTTAACTAGTTTTATTTATGACTAATTTATAAAACACATGTTACAAAAGGAAGTCTCTTCTTTAGTTTGCTTAAAACTCATTTTATTCATTGTGTATTGTCATTTATATGAATAAAAAGAACACCTATGCAGATTAGGGGAAAGTACTTGGATAAAAGACATTTTGGTGCTGTCATTTTGTCACTTACATCTACCACATAAACTAAATAAAAGTTTTAGAAGTATTAGTATGATAGGCTATGAACAACAGGGACCCTGAATACACCTCATTTCTTACTCCATCCCCCAGCCACACCTCATCTTTTGGTCCATTTTCAAGTTGAATAGGGTGAAGGTCATTGGCCAATGCTCAAGGGCAGTAGCAGACTGGATGCTCTGAAGAACTCTGGGAATCTGCTGCTGGGGAAGCTGCATGGAGGGTGACATTCCCCCATCCAGCCAGTCAGAGCAACTGAAAACATAAATCAAAGGTTCAGCAGGTGTCCTAACCAATTCTTTCTCCTGTCTCACATTTCATACTGAAGGTAATGCCATAGTTGTCAAAAGCTTGCTTTTAAAGTCCTGTAGAGGCAGATTTAAATATGAAATTTTTTCAAAAGGCATTTGAAACAATGAAAAGGGCAAGTGATAACCCCCTTTAAGCTGCTTCTCTCTCAGGAGGCTGGAGTTAGTCTTTTGGTAATATTCTGAATCAATACAGGTAGATTTCTGAGTCCAGAGATCATACCTCTCACCAAAAGTATAAATTCTAACAAAATACAGTCCTTTAGAGTTGAAACTATATTTTTGCCTTTGCCACTAGACTACCCATGTGCTCTAGCAAAGGGGCATTGCATTTTCTTATTCTTCGTGTTCATGATGCGTATTATTTACTGTGCATGTTAGAGAGGCAACACATTTGTAATGTGAGAGGGCAAAGAGAGTGGATCAAAATGCAGGGCAATGATATTTACTTACTATCTAATTTTTCCCAAGCACCACACTGGCCCCCTTACATTTAATGTATCACTTAATATTCAGAACATTTTAAAAAGTATTTTTTTAACAGATGAAGAAAAAAAGACCTTGAAGGGACTGGAAAATTTACCAAGCTCATAAGGTTGGTAAAAGGAAAAACTGAGATCAAAATTCAAGTCTAATTGACTATAATTTCCTATAATTTTTATAGTCAATTTCTGCTTCTCCAGAAAAAAAAAACACTGGTTATTAAAGACACACATACATAACTATAATGCATTTATAAATATTTTCATTGAAAATATCAAAAGTTCTGTATCCTAAAATATGAAGCTTCATTTATCAGAAAAAATGAACTTTGATGGCATACCTTATTCACTAACACTGCTCTGTAAATGTGGCATTGTTATGACTAAGAAAGAAAATGAAATGATTGATGAATCACCAAATATCACATGTGAACTTATTTGTGAAAGTTGCGAACATTCTGTTTTTGACTTCTACCAACTGACTTTTATGCCTGAAAACATAGCTGATTCTAGTTTAAAAGGATAAATTCAACATTGATAGCACTGAGGAAATATATTTGCATCTCTATATTTCCACACTGAGTTCTATATTTACATACATTAAATCAAAGCTAATTGAAAAGTAAAGCTGTCACATTACTGGCTGAAAGTTTACTTAACAAAATTAACACAGCAGTGTACCTGAAAGATAAAGGCAGCATACCAAGAGATATTGTGTGATTACAAAAAATAAAATCTGAAGTACGAATTTTACATAACAGTATCTAATTCTAAGATACATAGAAATATATTTCCAAAAAAAGGGGCAAAGTGAGGAACAATTGGGAAAGAAAGTAAAGAACAACATATTTAAAGAACCAAAGTAAAGAAAGAAAGTAAAGAACAACATATTTAAAGAACATATAAAGAATGGGCATATTTCAGCTCTAATAGGTAGGGAATTATCTCTCTGTCTCTCTCCCTCTCTCTCTGTTAATATCTCTTCCCCTAATTTTCTTTCTTTTGTTAAGTGATCAAAAATGAGCACACAAGACAACAGTTTTTTGGTTTTTTTCCTATGTTGGGTGCACATTTTTAAAAAATTATAATGTGTTTGCTATAAAAGTAACATCCTCATAGGCTGCTAATGGCAGTGTAAAATGGTGCAAATTTACTGGATAGAATTTAGATAGAAGTATTTTTTTAAATAATAAATATAGATATAGATATTTAAAATATTTATTCCCCCAAACTCCACTTCTGAGAATCTATATATAAGATATAGAATTACTCATTATTATTTTTTTCTGTTTTGTATGAATGATTGTATTTTATTTTATTTTTAACTTTTTTAAGTTCAGGGTACAAGTAAAGGTATTTTACATAGATAAATTTGTGTCATGGGGGTTTGTTGTACAGATTATTTTATCACCCAGGTATTAAGTCTAGTACCCATTAGTTATTTTTCCTGATCCTCTCTCTTATCTCACCCTCCACCGTCTGAAAGCCCCCAGTATGTGTTGTTCCCCTCTATGTGTCCATATGTTCTCATCATTTAGCTTCCATTTATAAGTGAGAACATGCGGTACTTGGTTTTCTGTTCCTCTGTTAGTTCGCTGAAGTTAATGGCCTCCAGCTCCATCCATGTCCCGCAAAGGACATGATCTTATTTTTTTTATGACTGCGTAGTATTCCATGGTGTATATGTACCATGTTTTCTTCCTGTAGCCTACCACCAATGGGCATTTAGGTTGATTCCACAAGGTTGCTATTGTGAATAGTGACGCAATGAACATTCACATGCATGTGTCTTTAAAATAGAATAATTTATATTCCTCTGGGTATATACCCAGTAATGGGATTTCTGTCTTTAGATCTTTGAGGAATTGCCACACTGTCTTCCAAAGTAGTTGAACTAATTTACACTCCCACCAACAGTATACAAGAATTCTTTATTGACAAAGATGCCAAAAGCAATTGCAACAAAAGTAAAAATTGACAAATGGGATCTAATTAAACTAAATAGCTTCTGCATAGCAAAGAAAGCAAAGAAACTATCAACAGAGTAAACAGGCAACCTACAGAATGGGAGACAACTTTTGCAAAGTATGCATCTGACAAAGGTCTAATAGCCAGCATCTGTAGGAAACTTAAACACATTTACAAGAAACAAACCCATAAAAAGTGGGCAAAGGACATGAACAGACACTTTTCAAAAGAAGACATACATGTGCCCAACAATCATATGAAAAAATGCTCACTATCACTGACCATTAGAGAAATGCAAATGAGTTATCATCTAATATCAGTCAGAATGGCTATTATTAAACAATACTCAATATTATGAATAATTATAAAAATGTAAATCATTCTAAATGTTGCATGTATAATGGTCTTAACCTCAAACTGGAATTTTATGTTGCCTTCAAAATATTCAGAAATAACTTTTAATGACACAAGAATTTATAAGCAAGAAAGCAAATGTAAGACAAGCTGGGACCTGAATGTTAATTATATATGTTAACACACACATCCACTCACCCACACACATAAACTAGGCTAAAATATGTATGAAAAAGAAAACTATAAAATACAATCTAATATTAACAACTGAAATTAGGGTAACACTTTTTTTCTTCATGTATATTTTTAGCATCTAAATTTTTCTAAATAAAAATATATTGCTTTTATAGTCAGAAAGAAAAGAAAAACTTACTTTCACCCACTTTCTCTGGTAATTCAAGAAATATTCATTAAACTATACATACTTATAAGTGAGGAGAACTTATAATGTGTTTGCTATTATATTATGGTTTATGAGAAGTGAATGGGAGTACAAAGTTAATAACTCCTGTCCTATAATGTCTTACCATTTAATCATGGCTGTATCTACAAATTGCAAGAAAATTATATAAACCAGTTAAGTCCAAAATTATATTAAACTTGTTTGCTGATAGAATGATGAATTCCATTCACAGAAATTTGGATTTTATGAATGAATGAAACAAAAAAAATTATCTAGTCAGCATACATTTGTCAAGATTTGTTTTAAATATGAAAAGATTAAAATAATGTATGTATATGCATACTTTTAATGGAAATCATTATCAAATTCCCTTTGTTGATATATCATTGAATAAAATGTTTTCTTTAAGTAAAATTTGTCAAACTGGAGATTTATACTTAGTGAACACAGAGAATAATTCAAATGACTTACCTTTTTCAGCATTTTATTTTGCTTGTCGTTATTGACAAAAATCTTGTTTCAAATAGAAATCTTGACTAAAATGGAAACAGTGTTATTAATACTACTTTATTCCATCTGGTATATTCTTTGCAAATTGTTTTGAGGCTGCTGTGTCTTGACTGCTCAATCCAAAATATTTGAGCCCTAAAGAGAGTCTGTAATATCTTTTTCATGTTCAGGCAGTGGTTTTTAGCAATTGGGAAACACATGTGTAACTGTTACAACTATGACATAGTCACCATTGTCTTTACCATCACCATCATCACCACCATTAGCAGCACCAGCAGTATCACTATCATCACCACCATTTTAAGCATCATTATCATTGAATTTGTTGATTTCATTCTACTGGCCATGACTTGTGGTAAGGTAATTTACATGGATTTTTCTCAATTAAAGTTCACTGTAACCTTATGTGATTTCTATAGACTGTCACCACTCACAGATAAGTAGCAAAGGCTCAGTGGAGTTAGCTAAAATAGCATAGCTAATAGATCTCAGAGGGTTCAAATAGTACATCCCTGGATCCTGCTTTATGAATTGTATTTTACAGGGAGTGGAACAACCTCTGGTTGAATACGTTTCTATGTCACCTACCTCATGTATCTGTTGTAACATTAAGGCAAAATACTTTCCATGAAGCAGAAAAATATTGGTTAATGTGAAATATAAGCACTTCTAAAAATATCCTATTTATTAATAGATTCTCTTAGGAGTAAATAAGTGTATAAGGGAATAAATAATAAGTAACTAAGTTTAAGCTGTGAAGCAATGCATATAAAAATATGTGGAGAAAAGAGGTAGACTTGCCCAAATATTATTGTGATACTATTAGTTTTGAACGTATAGGCCATAATTTAATTATAATACACTTTTCTTCCATCTGCAATATATCGCCTTCTCATTCCCAGGATCTTTTCAGTGTTTGAGACTCACCTGGAACTCAGAAGACATCAAACCTTTCTGGCACGTTCTTTTTCAGCAAGTCAGGAGGCCATGAACAAATTTCTACAGATAATGTCCAATTTTATAATATCAGTCTTATGTGACTAAACTTACATGAAACTAAAATTTTTGCAATGGCTCTGATAAAGTGAACTTTTAGTATCATTAATTAATTAACAAATGTTATTAATTTTAAGTTTCATTGGTAAACATAGAACTATTGAAATTCAATTTAATATCATAAAATAACATACCATAGTGAGATTTTTATACATGAAAAATGTGAAATCACCTTTACTGAAGCTTTTCTTGTATCATGTGAGTGTGAAGATCCCAGTTACTCTTTCTTTAATAGGTATGCTCACTCTATGGGATATGCCTACAACCTTCTCCCTTTTATACAAAAGTCTTTTTGTGTTTTTTTTTTCCTTGTCACTCTATACAAATTTTTCCCCATGAGAAATATCCATTGACCTTTGGATTAATATCACAAGTGTTAAATTTCATCTTATCCATGACCACAGTGCTTTGTTATAAGCATAAGCTTTTTGACAACAGAGCTCATTCTCCTGTGCATGTCAGAAGGCTAGAGTGAACTCCGTGATGCTTTGAAAACATTTGGCAAGTTGTTGCTCTGTTCACAGCACTATATATTGTCAATCAGATGTTTTTCTGTGATGGAGATACACTTTTACATACAGAAGATGAAAAGAAGCCATGAATACATCTGTTGAATTAAATATATGAGTTTTAATATTATATCATTGTCATAATTTGAATCAATTTTGTCATATTCTTCATATAGGTTTCTCAAATTGAGATAGAACACTTTAAAAATCTTACAGCAAAAGAATGAAATGAGCATATCACAAAACCGTATTAGAATCCCCTTGAAAAACACATCCATCCTCTATGGATACCAATATCTTTATAACAGATTAAATGTGTGGAGAACCACGTTTTGTCTAAAAATCTTCCCATACCTTCTCATTTGATCCCCACGATAAAGTCACACAATGGCAGAGCATGTTCCTCTTTGACAGTAGAAAAGCATATAGGCAAGAAATTAATTCGCCCATTAGTTTGCCCAAAGTCATAGAGCTAATACATTTAAATGCACAATTCCAGTTCCCTTTACCTTATATTTCTGTGCTTATTGACAAACCTCACATAGTCCTGACCTTCTTTTAATACATATATTAGCTTCCAGTAATAGCCAATTCTTTAAAAAAATTTTTAATTAGTGAGTGTGGTGGTTAATATTGACTGTCAACTTGATTGGATTGAAGGATGCAAAGTATTGTTCCTGGGTGTACTTGTGAGGGTGTTGCCAAAGGAGATTAACATTGAGTCAGTGGACTGGGAGAGGTGGACCTGCCCTCAATCTGGGTGGGCACAATCTAATCAGCTGCCATTGCAGGTAGAATAAAGCAAGCAGAGGAACGTGGAAGGACTAGACTGGCTGTGTCTTCTGGCCTTCATCTTTCTCCTGTGCTGGATGCTTCTTGCCTTCCAACATTATATACAAGTTCTTCAGGTTTTGAACTCTTGGATTTACACCAGTGGTTTGCCAGGGACTCTCCTGCCTTTGGCCACAGACTGAAGGCTGCACTGTTGGCTTTCCTACTTTTGAGGTTTCAAAACTCAGACTGATTATCTTGCTGCTCAGCTTGCAGACAGCTGATTGTGGGACTTCACTTTGTGATCCTGTGTGTCAGTACTGCTTAATAAATTCCTTTTCATGTATACATCTATCCTATTAGTCCTGTCCCTCTAGAGTACCTTGATTAATACAGTGTGATTACCTTGTAGATAAATATGTTTATGGGGTACATGAGATATTTTGATAGAGTTCTGCAATACATAACAATCACATCAGGGTAAATAGGGTGCTCATCCAGTGAAGCATTTATCCTTTGTTTTTCAAACAATCCAATTATACTCTTTTAGTTATTTTGAAATGAAAAATTAAATTATTTTTTACCATACTCTTTGTGATGTGTTAGCAAATACTAGGTCTTATTTATTACTTCTAACTATTACTTTGTACCTATTAACCATTTTCCCTTCCCTCCCAGCTTCCCAGCCTCTAGTAACCATCCTTCTACTCTCTATCTCTATGAGTTCAATAGTTTTAATATTACATTACAATCTCACAGCTAAGTAAGAACATGTGATGTTTGTCTTTCTGTGACTGGATTATTTCACTCAATGTAATAACATCCAGTTCCATCCAGGTTTTTACCAATAGCAGGATCTTATTCTTTTTCATGGCTGAAAAGTACTCCATTGTGTATGGGTACTGAATTTTCTTTATATATATTCATCTGTTGATATACACTAAGGTTGTTCCAAATTTTGGGTATTGTGAACAGTGCGACAATAAACATGGAGTGTAGATATCTCTTTGATATGCCAATTTCCTATCTTTTTTATTTATACCCAGCAGTGAGATTGCTGGATCATATGGTAGATCTATTTTTTGTTTTTTTTTTTTTTTTGAGAAACCTCCAAACAGTTGTTCGTAGTGGATTTACTGATTTACATTTCTGCCAACAGTGTATGAGGATCCCCTTTTCTCTACAACCTCCCCAGTCTTTGTTATTGACTGGCTTTTGGATAAAAGCCATTTTAACTGGGGTGAGATGACTTATCATTGTAATCTTAATTTGCATTTCTCCGATGATCAATGATGTTGAACACCGTTTCATATGTCTGTTGGCCATTTATATGTCTTCTTTTGAAAAATGTCTATTCAAATCTTTTGTCCATGATTAGATTTTTTCCTCTAGTGTTGTTTGAGCTCCTTATATATTCTGATTATTAATCCCTTGGCAGGTGTGTAGTTTGCAAATATTTTCTCCCATTCTGCGAGCTGTCTCTTCTCTTTGTAGATTATTACCTTTGCTGTGCAGAAGCTTTTTAACTTGATGTGATTCGATTTGTCCATTTTTGCTTTGATTGCCTGTGGTTTTGTGGCATTACTCAAGAATACTCAGACCAGTCGGGCACAGTGGCTCACACCTGCAATCCTAGCACTTTGGGAGGACAAGGCAGGCAGATCACTTGAGGTCAGGAGTTCTAGACCAGCCTGGCCAACATGGTGAAACGTCATCTCTACCAAAAATGTAAAAAAATTAGCTGGGCATGGTGGTGTATGCCTGTAATTTCAGCTACTTGGGAGGCTGAGGCAGGAGAATCGCTTGAACCCAGGAGGTGAAGATCGCAGTAAGCCAAGAATGCACCACTGCACTCCAGCTTGGGCAACAGAGTCTCAAAAAAAAAAAAAAAAATACTCAGAACAATGTCCTGGAGATTTCCCCCAATCTTTTCTTGTAGTAGTTTCATAGTTTTGAGATAACATATTTAAGTATTTAATTTATTTTTATTTGATGTTTATATATGGTGAGAAATAGAGGTCTAGTTTCATTTTTCTTCATATGGATATCCAGTTTTACCAGCATCATTTACTGAAGTGGCTGTCTTTACCCCCCACTGTATGTTATTTGCATCTTTGTGAGAATGAGTTCACTGTAGGTATGTGAATTTCTTTCTGGGTTCTCTATTCTGTTCCATTGGTCTATGTCTCTGTATTTATGCCAGTATCATGCTGTTTTGGTTACTATAGCTCTGTAGTATAATTTGAAGTCGGGTAATGTAATTCCAGTTTTTATTTCTCAGGATAGCTTTAAGTATTTTGTGTCATTAATGGTTTCATATGAATTTTAGGATTCTTTTTTTCTATTTCTGTGAATAAGGTCATTGGTATCTTGATAGGGTTTGCATTGAATCTATATATTGCTTTGGGTAGTATTGACCTGTTAACAATATTGATTCTTCCAATCTATAAACATAGAATATCTTTCAATTTTTTTGTGTCTTCAAATTATATAAAGAGTTAGATATTTATTGTAGCTTTCATAATCTTGGCTTGCTTGTACCCATTCTTGTTGGGAAGGCTTTCCAGATACTCAAAAAGACTTGGGTGTTGTGATTTAAACTGCATGTGCTTTAGGGGCCACCAATAATGCTGTGGTTCTTGCAGATATGCAGAGGTACTGTCTTACAGTCTTGGACAAGATCTGAAAGAACTATTTGGATTACCAATGACTCTTGTTCTATTTTCTTACTTTCTCCCAAACAAACACAGTCTCTCTCTCTCTCTCTCTCTCTCTCTCTCTCTCTCTCTCTCTCTGTTCTAAGTCACCTGGACCTGGGGGTGTAGTGACACAAACTCCCTGTGGCCACCATGACTAGGACTGTGCTGGGCGAGAACAGAAGTCAGCAAAGCACTGAGTCTCACCCAGCCCCACTGTAACCCCTCCCTATCTACTGTCTATGTTAACTCAAGAGCTTGGGGCTCTACAGTCAAAAGGTGGTGAAGCCAGCCAAGCCCGTGTCTTTTCCTTCAGTGTGGTAAGTTCTGCCAGGTCCCAGGCCCTGGGTGTGTCCAGAGGTGCCATCCAGGAGTCAGGGACTAGAGTCAAAAACGTTGTAAGTCTACGTGGTGTTCTATTGTACTGCAGCTGAGCTGGCACTCAAACCACAAGACACATTTCTTCCCGCTCTTTTCTCCCTTTTCCATAGGTAGAGGAGCCTCATTCTATAGCTACTGCCTCCACAGGCCCATGGGAGTACTACCACCCATATTCTCTTAAGGCCTAAGGGCTGTTCAGTCATCATGTGGCGAATGCTGCTGGGCCTGGGACACACCCTTTAGGGCAGTGGGCTCCTCTCTGGCCCAGAGCACGTCCAGAAATGCCATCCAGAAGCCAAGGCCTAGAATCAGGGACCCCAAGAGTCTATTTGGTGCTGACACCCATGAAGCAGAGCTGGCACCTATGGTGCCAGACAAAGTCCCCTTTACTTTTGCCTCTGCTTTTCTCAAGAAGAAGGAGTTTCTCCCTGAAGCCACCACAGCTGAGAATGGCAATGTCTCATGAGAATGTGTTATGTCTCACCTGAAGCCAGCAAGTCTGCCCTTCCCTCAATTCCTAAACACGTAACTTCTTAATTATAGGTTCTATATATGTGGCTTCATTTAAATCTCACAACCACATAGAGTTGATAACATGATCTGTAAATTACACATAAGAAAATGGTATGACGCATTAAGACATTCAACCTCTATTACCTCCATTACTAGCAGTTACTTACAGGCAAAGAGGTGTGGATTCTGTTGTGGCTTTGCACATAAAATTGGTATAGCCTTATATTTTTTGAATGAAGATTAATATTTTATGTTGTAAGAAACACAGTGGTTAAACTGATGCAAAGCTTTTGTTGACTGCTTAAAGTCAATCTTAATTATAGAGAGAATAGCATTAAAGAATGGCAATATATTACGTAAAATATAGTCATTTGAAGTTGCCTAGGGTCATTAGGCTCTGGTATTTTTCACTGGCTAAACATGTCTCATTTAAAACAAAGCAAAACACAAAATGAGTTTTCTTTTTCTTTCTGAATTACAGAATTCATTTGGAAAGAGAGTGCTGATGATTTATTCTTCGTGATGCCATTTGTTTGCACTCCCTCAAAAATTCCAGGTGTTTTCATGCTCAGCGTTTGTCGTGCTAGAGATGACACCAGCCGACTGTGCTGAAAAGAAGATGAACTTTTGAATACCACTATTATTTATTTCAAGTAGACAGGCAAGCCATTCTTTCAGACATAGGCCTGTAGTTAACCTTACACTGTGTATTTTCTTGTAAAGATATGAAACAATTCTGGAGAATGGCTAGGAGGGATCTCTAGCAATTCTGACATCTGAATCTTTCAGTAGAAAAGTTGTTGAAGGCTGTTACGCATTCATTAAGTTAAGCACATTTGCTGAAATTTAGAGAGAGAGCAAAGAGTTTTCATCACTTAGAATGTAGGGAAACTTTTCTCTCAATTTGCTTCGGCTCTTGACTTTCTTATTCCTTGGTTAATTTTCTTCTTGCAGCAGGATTGTAGGAATGGGCTACTGAATTCTGTCACTAATATTTAATCTCCCAAGCAATACGTTCTGCTTCTATTCTGAATAGCAAAGACTTTTTTCTATACGTCTTCTCTTGAAAGCATGGTATAGTGCAGCGGTTCACACACTGCAGTGCACATAAAAACTATGATTGGAACCTATGATTACCATGAAGTATCCCGGACCTCACCCTCATGGGTTCTGGATCAGGCACTCAGAATGATGCCCAGAGACATTTTAACTCAGATGATTTTCATGTGCTGTGTTTGCCAAATATATTAAATCGATAGTCTTATAATAACATGAACAAAACAGTTGGATAATCATTACTATATATATATATATATATATATATATATATATATATATATTATTTTTTTGAGACGGAGTCTTGCTCTGTCGCCCAGGCTGGAGTGCAGTGGCACGACCTCGGCTCACTGCAAGCTCCACCTCCCGGGTTCACGCCATTCTCCTGCCTCAGCCTCCCGAATAGCTGGAACTACAGGCGCCCACCACCTTGCCCGGCTAATTTTTTGTATTTTTGGTAGAGATGGGGTTTCACCGTGTTAGCCAGGATGGTCTCGATCTCCTGACCTTGTGATCCGCCTGCCTCAGCCTCCCAAAGTGCTGGGATTAGAGGCGTGAGCCACTGCGCCTGGCCAATCATTACCATTAAAATATATTTTAATCAGCAAAATGAAATACTATGGATCTCCAAGTTCTTGTTCTTCTATAGAAATACGGAAAAAAATAACCAGAAGCTAAACCAACTTTGAGCTCTGAAAAGCAATGAAAAGTTTACTTTAACCAGCCAAATGCTCAAATTTTTTAAAAAGCTATCTTCAAATTGGTAAGATAGTATCATGTTGTTTTTACTTGTATTTGCCCCATCTCCTCCACAGCACAGTGGTGGTCTTTGTCTTGGGCAGGTAGTAACCTGGTCCTTAGTTCCATCCCTGGCCTCTCCAAACTGGAGGCAGCAGAGCAGACCTCTTTTTCAAATTATTGTGTAAATTCATTATAACCTGTCTGCAGGATACCTGAAGGACTAATACAAAGTCTGTCTCTGTTTTGCATAACTTGGAAGCCAGAAAAAAAAAAGAAGGGGGGTTGTAGGGGGTGGTGGCTGGGCAGTGCTTTTAAAAGCTATAAGGAGACTAGAAACCCAGAGAGACTTAGCGGAAGAGATTGTAGGAGATAGAAAAATATAATCTAAGGCTTGGAGGTGAAGCTGGGATGAAAAGCTTTGGTAAATTAAAATATTAAAAGGCAACCATTATATAGGAGAAATTAGAAAGCCACTCACATGCCCAGGAAATATGCATGCTCAGAAAAGGCCCAAGAAGAACTTAAAGTTGTACTTAAATGGTCCCTATACTTAAGAGCAAGCTTAGCTAAGTGGAGAAGGACCAGTACAGAGCCCATCTGTAAAGACTTAGAAAAGTGGTTGTTCTCTCTTTCTTAAATATATTGGGTTTTTTTGTTTGTTTGTTTGTTTCAACTTTTCACATCCAGGGAAATCTCTATAAAAACCTTAATGGAACATGAGCTGAAGAAACAAAAAACTTCAATGGTCACACATGACAAAGAGAGTCCTTGCAAAAAATAGTTTGGAAAAGTCTGGAAAAACTTATCTCTTCTGTCTTCAACAATTAAAAACAAAAGCAAAAGCAGGAAATGATGAGGAATGGGGAGATTTCCAGAGTTAACATGTTATAATAGGCAAATACCAAATTCATAACAAAAAATCACAAAGCATTAAAAAAGGAACCAAACACAAAGGAAAACATGGCTAATTCAAAGGAATTAAATTAGTTTACAAAATCCATCATTAAGCAAGGCAAAATGTTAGGCTTACAATTAAAAATACTTTTAACAACTGTGTTAAATATATTCAAATATCTAAGAAAAAATTGTCAAAGAACTAAGGAAATAAAAAATATATACAAATAAAATGAAAATTTTAACAAAGAGATACAAATTTTAAAGCACAGATGGAAATTCTGGAGTTGAAAAGTATAATAACTAAAATGAAAACTTACTAGAGGTGTTTGACAGCAGATTTGAGTATGCAGAAGAAAGAATTAGTCAACTTAAAAATAAGACAATTGAAATTATCTAGTCTACAGATAAAAAATATGAACATGCACACACACAGACACATATACATACATACAACAGAAAACCAAGAATGCTGTATCTAGTGAAGTGAAACTGACCTTCAAAAATTAAATAGAAAATAAGATTTTCCCAGATAAATAAAAGCCGATGGAATGTATTATTACTAAACCTAACTTACAAGAAATGCTAATGGACATCATTGTAGTCAAATGAAAGGATGGTAGGCAAAACTATATGAAAATATAAGGTTCTCTGTTAAAGGTAAAATAGGAACACATATAAAGGCCTTAATTATCATATAAATTTTTGTGACTATATTTTATTATTTTATAGAATGTAAAAGAGAAAAGCATAAAATAACTCTAAACTTATGTTAATGGGTACACAACATAGAAAAGGTATGGTTTGTGACACACATAACATAAAGGGAGGCAGCGGAAGAGCTGTAGTCAATTTTTTGTTTGTAAATCGAGTTAAGTTCTTATCAATTTAAAATGTATGATTATAGCTTTAGGAGGATTAATAAACAGAGTAACAAAAAAAAATAGATCATATGACAAAAATCAACCAAAAACAAAGACATGTAGTGATGAAAGAGAACAGAAATTCTTTGAGATATACAGAAAATAAATAAAATATGATAATAAGTTCTTTTCTATCAGTAATAACTTTAAATTTAAGTGGATCTAAATCCCCAATCAAAAGACATAATGGCAGAATGAATAAAAAGAAACAGAACACAAGTATGTGCTATGTATAAGAATCTCACTTTTGATCGAAGAAAAGCATAGGTTGAAAGTAAAATGGTGAATAAATTATATGCTATAAAAATGTCACCAAAGGAGAGCAGGGGTAATGATATTAATATTTGACAGTACACATTTTAGGAAAAAACAAAGAAACAAACAAACAAAAAAACCCCATGTCCTAAAGTAAAACAGAACCCCGTGACAAATTAGATCATTATATAGTGGTGAAATGGTCAATTCATTAAAAGATAAAACAATTTTAAACATTTAGGCACCACACATCAACAGTCCCTGATAAATGAAGCAAACATCAACAGAATTAAGGTAAATATAGAAAGTTCTTCATAATAGCAGAAACTTTTATATAATGCTTTCGATAATGGATAGCACAATCACAGAAGGGCATTAAGGAACTAGGACAGTCTAACAACACTATAGAACAACTAGACTTAAGAGACGTCTATGGAGCACTTCATCCAATAACAGAGGAGTGTGCATTTTTCACAAATGCACATGGAACAATCTTTATTACAGATTATACATGAGCTGCAAAACATTTTTTGTTTTTTTTTAGATGGAGTCTCACTCTGTCGCCCAGTCTGGAGTACAGTGGCGCGATCGCTCCTCACCGCAACCTCCACTCCTGGGTTCAAGTGATTCTCCTGCCTCACCCTCACAAGTACCTGGGACCACAGGCGCACGCTACCATGACTGGCTAATTTTTGTATTTTTAGTAGAGACAGAGTTTCACTATGTAGGCCAGGCTGGTCTGGAACTCCTGACATCAAGTGATCCACCCGCCTTGGCCTCCCAAAGTAACAATATTTAATAAATTATAAAATTTTGAAATTATACAACATATCTTTCTAAACACAATGGAAGGAAATTAGAAATCAAAAGCAGAAGGATAATTGGAAAATCAACGTATGTAAAAATTAAGCAACAGAGACAAACAACTAATGAATCAAAAAAATAGATCACAAAGAAATGATAAAATATATATAAAATATACTGAAAATGTAAAAGAACAAAACTTATGGGATGCAACAAATTCAGTGCTTATAGAAAATTCATAGCTATAAATGCTTAAATTAAGAACAAAGAAATATCCCAAATCACAACTTAAAATTTTAAAATAAAACCAGAAAAAAATAAAATAAAATAAAACCAAAGCCAACATGAAGAAGGAAATAATAATGGTTAAATGAGAGATAGATAAAATAGAGAATAGAAAAACAATACTGAAATCAACAAAGCAAGGGTTGATGTTTTGAGAAGATCAACAAAATTTAGTAAATCTTTAGCTAGCTTAACTAAGAAAAAAAGAGAGGAGACTCATATAACTAAAATGAGAATAAAATAGGTGACAGAAAAACTTATTTCACAGAAATAAAAAAAGATTATGAGAGAATACTATAAACAATTATATGCCAAAACATTGAATAACCTAGATAAAATGGGTAAATTCCTGGAAAACTCAATGTAACAAGACTGAATCATGAAGAAATAGAAACTATGACAGACCTTTAACTAGAGGGGAGATTGAATCAATAATTAAAATCCTCTCAAACAATGGTAAGCCTGGTGAATTCTCACACACACATTTAAATAATTAACACCAAATCCTCTTCCAATGCTTCCAAAAGTTTGAAGAGAAAGCAACATTTCCAAACTTACTCTGTGAGGCCAGCATTTTCCTGAAACCAACCACAACAAAAACACTACAAGAAAAGTAAACTACCATGCTGTTTTGGTTACTGTAACCTTGTAGTATAGTTTGAAGTCAGGTAGCATGATGCCTCCAGCTTTGTTCTTTTGGCTTAGGATTGACTTGGTGATGCAGGCTCCTTTTTGGTTCCACATGAACTTTAAAGTAGTTTTTTCCAATTCTGTGAAGAAAGTCATTGGTAGCTTGATGGGGATGGCATTGAATCTATAAATTACCTTGGACAATATGGCCATTTTCACGATATTGATTCTTCCTACCCATGAGCATGGAATGTTCTTCCATTTCTTTGTATCCTCTTTTATTTCAATGAGCATTGGTTTGTAGTTCTCCTTGAAGAGGTCCTTCACATCCCTTGTAAGTTGGATTCCTAGGTATTTTATTCTCTTTGAAGCAATACTGGTACCAAAACAGAGATATAGATCAATGGAACAGAACAGAGCCCTCAGAAATAATGCCACATATCTACAACTATCTGATCTTTGACAAACCTGAGAAAAACAAGCAATGGGGAAAGGATTCCCTATTTAATAAATGGTGCTGGGAAAACTGGCTAGCCATATGTAGAAAGCTGCAACTGGATCCCTTCCTTACACCTTATACAAAAATTATTTCAAGATGGATTCAAGACTTAAATTTTAGACCTAAAACCATAAAAACCCTAGAAGAAAACCTAGGCATTACCATTCAGGACATAGGCATGGGCAAGGACTTCATGTCTAAAACACCAAAAGCAATGGCAACAAAAGCCAAAATTGGCAAATGGGATCTAATTAAACTAAAGAGCTTCTGCACAGCAAAAGAAACTACCATCAGAGTGAACAGGCAACCTACAAAATGGGAGAAAATTTTCGCAACCTACTCATCTGACAAAGAGCTAATATTCAGAATCTACAATGAACTCAAACAAATTTACAAGAAAAAAACAAACAACCCCATCAAAAAGTGGGCAAAGGACATGAACAGACACTTCTCAAAAGAAGACATTTATGCAGCCAAAAAACACACGAAAAAATGCTCACCATCACTGGCCATCAGAGAAATGCAAATCAAAACCACAATGAGATACCATCTCACACCAGTTAGAATGGCAATCATTCAAAAGTCCGGAAACAACAGGTGCTGGAGAGGATGTGGAGAAATAGGAACACTTTTACACTGTTGGTGGGACTGTAAACTAGTTCAACCATTGTGGAAGTCAGTGTGGCCATTCCTCAAGGATCTAGAACTAGAAATACCATTTGACCCAGCCATCCCATTATTGGGTATATACCCAAAGGATTATAAATCATGCTGCTATAAAGACACATGCACACGTATGTTTATTGCGGCACTATTCACAATAGCAAAGACTTGGAACCAACCCAAATTTCCAACAATGCTAGACTGGATTAAGAAAATGTGGCACATATACACCATGGAATACTATGCAGCCATAAAAAAGGATGAGTTCATGTCCTTTGTAGGGACATGGATGAAATTGGAAATCATCATTCTCAGTAAACTATCGCAAGGACAAAAAACCAAACACCACATGTTCTCACTCATAGGTGAACAATGAGAACACATGGACACAGGAAGGCGACCATCAGACTCTGGGGACTGTTGTGGGGTGGGGGGAGGGGGGAGGGATAGCATTAGGAGATATACCTAATGCTAAATGACGAGTTAATGGGTGCAGCACACCAGCATGGCACATGTATACATATGTAACTAACCTGTACATTGTGCACATGTACCCTAAAATTTAAAGTACAATAATAATAAAATAAAATAAAATAATAAATTAAAAAATTTAAAAAAAGAAAAGTAAACTATATATCTTTATCCCCAATGAATATTGATGCACAAATTCTTAACAAAATACTAACAAACAGATCTCAACAGTACATTAAAAGGATTAGACACAATTAGAAAGTGGAGTAGAATTATTTCAGAAATGCAAGACTAGTTCAACATATGAAAATCAATTAATATACAACACATTAACAGAATGAAAACACACAAAATATGATTATCTCAACTGATGTAGTAAGGGTGGTTGACAAGATTTAACCTTTTTTATGATTAAAATATTCAATAACCTAGGAATACAAGGAAACTATGTCAACACAATTAAGACCATCTATGAGAAGCCCACAACCAATATTATACTCAATGGAGAAAGATTTAAAGCTTTTCCTCTTAGATCTGGAAAAAGACAAGGGTGCCTGCATTTACCACTTGTACTCAACATAGTAGCAAAAGGTCTAGCCAGAGCATTTAGGCAAGAAAAAGAAATAGAAGTCATCCAAATTAAGAAGGAATAAATAAAATTATATCAGTTCGCGGACAACATAATCTTATATGCAAAAAAACCCAAAAATTCTACATAAAATGTTGAAACAAATTAACAAATGCAACTTAGTCATAGGAAATAAAGTAAATACACAAAAATCAGTTTGTGTTTCTACACCCTAACAATGAGCCATCAGAAAATAAAATTAAGAAAACAATTCAATTTACTATATAATTGAAAAGAATGAAATATTTAGGAATGAGGCTAATCAAGGAACGGAACAAATTTTACAATCAAAAACTTGAAAACATTGCTGGAAGAAAGTAAAGAAGATGCAAGCAGTGGAAATATGCCCCATGTGCATGGATTCAAAGACTTAATGTTGTTAAGATGTCAATACGACCCAAATGATATACAGATTCAATACAATTCTTAATGAAATCTCAACAATGTTTACTTTTCAGAAATAGAAAAATCCACTCTAACCCCCACCCCAATGGAATAATCTTTACATCAAGGGACCCCAAATAACGAAGATAATCTTCAAAAAGAAGAGTGAAGTTTGAGGTCCTACACTTTCTGATTTCAAACCTTATTACAAAATTACTTACAGTAATCGAAAGTCTGGTACTGGCATAAACAGAAACATATAAACCAAGGAAATAAAATAGAGGCCAAAAACTACCTTCTACATATATGTTTATATACCTTATAACAAAGGCTCCAAAGCCATTCAATGGGGGAAAAGACAATCTTTGTAATAAATGCTACTGGGAAAATTGGATTTCTACATGCAGAAGAATGAAGTTGGATTCTTAATTTATACCATATGCCAAAATTAACTCAAAGTTGATCAAATATATAAATTAAGGTCTAAAACTATAACATTCTTAGAAGAAAACATAGATGAAAACTTTCTGAAATTAAATTTGGCAATGATTTATTGCATATATCACCAAAAAAATGAAAATAGATAAGTTGCAGTAACTCAAAATTAAAACTTTCTAAAAATCAGAAGACACAACAGATTGAAAAGCAACCTGTCAAATGGGAGAAAATATTTGCAACTATATACCTGATAAGGGGTTAATATTGCATATAAAGTACTTCTATGTAGTTCATTAACAACAACAACAATCCTGATAAATATAAGCAAAAGACTTGAAAGCAAGATATACAAATTTCCTATAAGCATATGAAAAGATGCTCAAGATAGTAATCATCAGGAAAGTGAAAATTAAACTACAATGAAATACCACCTCACATCTATTAGAAAGGCTGCTATTAAAACAAACAGAAATTAACAACTTTTTGAGAGAATGTGAAGAAATTGGGAACCTTGTACACTGTTGATGGAAATGGTCCAATCACTATAGAAAATAGTACGGCAGTTTCTCAAAAAATTAAAAATACAATTATCATATTATTCAGCAATTCCATTTCTGGGTATAAATCAAAAAGATATTAAAGCATAGCCTCAAAGAGATATTTGTACAACTATGTCTATAGCAGTGCTATTCACAATAGCCAAAAGGTGAGGGTAAGACAAGTGTTCATCAATGGATGTATAGATAAAATGTGATATATACATACAATGGAATATTATGCAGCCTTAAAACAGATGGACATTCTGACACATGGTACAGCATGGATGAACTTTGATCATACTGTCAAATAAGCTAGTCACAAAGAGACCCATACTCTACTATTCCACTTAATGAGGTACTAAGGTATTAACATTCATAATGACAGAATGCAGAATGATGGTTGCCAGGGGATGAGGGTGGGGAGGAAATGGGGAGCTGTTATTTAAGGATAAAGTTTGTGTTTGGGATAAGAAAAAGGTTCTGGAAATGGATAGTGTTGATAGTTGCACAATAGTGTGAATATATTTAATGCCACTGAATTATGTCACATATATCTTATCATGATAGAAATATATAATAAATGAAGAAGAGAAACAAAGGAGGGAAAGAAGGAGGGAGGAGAAGAGAATGAATGAAAAGAAAGAAAAGCGGAGAGGGAGAAAAACAGAAAGGAGGAGGAAAGGAGAAGAAGGAAGGAAGGAAGGAAAGAAGGAAGGAAGGAAGGAAGGAGAGGGAGGGAGGGAGGGAAGTGGGAGAGGGAAGGGAGGGAGAGAGGAAGTCCTGCCTCACTTGGATTCTAGTTAGGAAATATGTTGTATATACATTCTTTAGAAAGTTACTTGAACTTTCACAGACTCATTTTCTGCTTTTTAAAAATGTCAGATTTTCAAGTTTATTGTAAATCTTCTATTAAATGGATATGTAATTTATCTGACAACATTCTAACTAACAAAATCAATTGTTGCAAGGAGATTTTGTGGCAACTACAAACATTAAGTAGTACAGCAAGATAAAAGTATATTTTCATATATATTTAGGATTATACACAGCTTGATATAGGGATCATATTTCACACTTTCTTCTGTTATTCTATATAACACTTAATGTAGTGGATACAGCTATCATTATCTAGGGGTTTCGAATTTTATTTGATCCAGATTAGTTTACTAAAATCTGTGAAGTGAAATCATAAAGTGTTTATTCTCTAACATAAGAAACTCAGACACAGCCAATGGAGAGAAATAGAGTTTTCATGATACCATAAGGTACTTAAGTTCTTATATTTTTCCGCTCAGTGCTTCTTCGTACGTGGTTTTCTACTATGAATTGCCTTGAATTCACAGGAAGACTCTTTTATTTCCACTTTCACATTTGTATTCCCACAGGAATAAAGGAAAGAATGATGGGGACATCATGCATATTATTAATAATAAAGCCCTCACACCTGCCCCAAATCAGTCTTGCTTATGTCTCATTAGCCATTACTGGCAAATGTAGTTTGTTTATTTGTTTTTAAATTGTGTGTGGGTGGTGAATGGGGGGGGATTTATCAGTATGAAGTAAGAGGAAAATGTGTATTAGGTAGAGCATCAAGAAAATAGACCCATTGTATCAATGATTGAAAGTCACTATTTGAACCCAGAGTGACAATAATTTGTATCAATATAATGCACGCATATGCACTTTAATAAGCACATTTTACAGAAGGCAGGAAAAAGTCACAGGCCTTGCCATACTCTATCCTGGATAACTCCTTGAAGGCCACCTTTTGTCATTATATCTGTTCTTTCATCTCAAAGTCACTGGTATAATTTTACATATTATTTTTTTGAGTTTTTTTAATTGAGATGTTGGCAGAGCTGTATTCCTTCTGAAAGTTCTAAGAGACAACCTGTGCCCTTGCCTCTTACAGCAGGTAGAGGTTACCTGAACTTCCTGGCTCTTGCTCACTTCCTCCATCTTCAAACCATCATCCTCTTCAAATCTCTCTCTCTCTCTGATCTCTGCTTCCACTGTCACATTATCTTATGAGCCTCTGACAGTCTTGCCTCCTAATTATAAGGACCTTTATTATTACATCGGGCCCACCTTGATAATTTGGAGCGATCTTCCCATCTCAAGATTCTTAATCACACCCTCAAGGCCCTATTTGCTACATAAGGTCATATATTCACAGGTTATAAGCATTAGAATGCAAATATCCTTTTTGGGGGGAGGAAGAATAATTATTCAGTCTACCACACTATCAATGTTGTCGCAGGTGATTGATTCATTCTTTTCTTTTATCATAATTGGGTCTTGAGACAGAGGTAAAGATGCCATCTTGAGGATGCCATGTTTAACAAGGAAACTTTAAACCAGCTGCATCAGACCAATCAATGTCTATGACTTGTTCATCTTTAGCTCACAGCATATTGTCTAAAATGATGCAGGCATACATACATTATTAATAAAATAAATATATATTACTAAATGAATGTGACACATACATTTTACTGTATTCATATCTGGCATCTATATAATTTTTATTTAAAACTGAATATGGCAACATGACATCATGGAAAGGATAAAAATATAAACAACTATAAACATATATGGCATTCAATGATAAAAAATATCTTTGGTATAGGAACAAAGAAGTGTTCATTTGTCTCTGAAGGAAAGGTAAGAAACATCAATAAAGGTGAAGCCAAGCTGAATTTTAAAACAATGGGGTGAATCAGTACAACAGAAAGACAAGAGATAGATGTGAGTAATTTGGTGTGAAATACTTTCTGGTAAGGAATATGTGTCTACAAAACTACCTTTTGCATCATGTAGCTTATATTCTAGGGAGACTACAGAAAACAAGTGGAGATGTATGTGCATGTATGTATGTATGTGTACATATATATTTAGTATTATAATTATCATTATATTTTGGTAAAATCATTTAGTAATCATTATTATTCAATAAAATCATAAAGACGAGTTTAGAGTAATTTAGGATGAACATTGAGATGGTTTTGAGCATGCTAAGTTTGAGAAAATCATTGCAGATAATTAGTAAAGTTGAGTAGATAGCAGCCTAGTGTTTGAGGTCTAATTAGTTAATGGTAGTATAAATTTGGAACGATTGCCGTATAAATGATATTTAAGTCTCTTGAGTTTGCGTGATAGAGAACAACACAGATGAAACCAAATCTTGAAGGAGGGGGATCTAATATAGTACACAAGACAGACAGCCAATAGACATGGAAGAAAACCAGGAGAGGGTAATGTCCTAGGAGCCAAATGAAGTTTATGACTTAAGAAGAAGAAAGTAATCACCTCTTTCAAAATCAGTGTGAGGACTGAGGAATAAACGTGGAATCTATCAATGAAGAGATGGAATGGGAAAGCAGTATCTTTCGTTGCTTGTTGCCCCTCCCATTTCCCAATCCAGGTATGTTATTTGCTGCTGTCTCCTCTGCCCTGTGTCATGAAGATTGTATCACCCAGTCTGCCTTGCCCTCTGACTTGGAATTTAGAAATATTTTACATAAAATTTTTAATTTCTGACTTTTTACTGGAAACAAAACTGAAATACAGCAATGTGGGCTCACATTTAGGGTGGCAAGGATAGGCAGAAATGGAGAAGCAGCTGTATCTTTTAAAAAGGGCAAGAATTACCCAGGTGCCCACAGTTCTCAGTGGTCACTCCAGTGTAAAACCAGCCACACATACTTGGATTGCTTAACCCACTTTCTTTGGCTTCTGGGATCCTTTGAGAATATGCTATTTTACCTGCTGCTGAGTGGCCACTGATGAATGACTTGTGTTTTAGAACTTTTACTGGAGAAAACCTACCTTTCCATTATTATTTTCTGATCATTTCCTCCAAATCATAGCAACATATATCAGTACACGGAGAAAATATCTGGTTTCCACTCAAGTACTTCTATGCACCAGATTAATTTAGGGGCATCCCAAGTCTTTTCTTTCTGATACCCTAGTCCATCAGCTCCTGTACAATTCCAAGTGCTGCAATCAGACATTGCTGGAGAAATGCAATGGAAACAGCTGCACTGGCAGGAAAGCATTTCCATTTTACACTGAACTTACTGTCATTGGGCCTATTTCCATCTGCAAACTCTCTGAACCTTATACTTTTCAGTTGCCACTCCCTATATGAACTGCAGAAAAATGAGGTTTCCAAACAAGATCACATTTCTGCTTGCCCCATGCTACCATGGAATCAATCAAAGCAAATAATGCTGGGAAGGCTGAGAGATAGCAAAGGAATATTAGTAAATATGGTCTTATTCCAACAAACCACATAACCTAAGAGAACGATTTGTGGATCTGACAGGAGGTATTGCAATTGAGTATTATTTTGCTGCAGCAGAATTGTTGCTGCTGCTGTCAGCACACAGCAGGTGGTTGGAAGTTGGCAACTTTTATGAAAGCCATTTATATTACAGTACTTTTCATGTAAACAGTGGCAATATGAAGCTAAACTGTTCGAGGAATGAGATGCAAATACTAGAAATGGGTTTTCTTCAATAAGAATTTAGGCAATTGTGCTTGAATTAAAATAAAGAATAACTTTAAGACACCATCAACATTTTCTATACATGTTTTGGTTCTAAGTGCTACTCGCAAAGTCTTCACCGCATTTACACTGCTGGGATTTCTGTTGACTTTGGTGAATGTGCTATTCTGGAGGCTGATGAAGTTACAGATTAACTAAATTCTTAACTGACAAGTTTAATGATGACAAAAATGTTTGCAAATATATACTTTTAAAAAAACAGAGCGAACTAATTTCTTCTTAGAATAATGGCACTCTCATTTACCTGTTTTCTCAGAAATTTTCTCACGCAAAAATATGGGCTGGAATATGTCTTAACACAAGAGATTTGCCTATGGCCATAAGAGCATATTGTGCATTTACTTATCACCACCTATTTGATCACAACAGAAAAAAAAAAGGTTGAAGTTTATGTTCTCTAGAAAAGAAATACTCAAAGTATCTAAAAAAAAATTGTTCACGTGGAATGTTGTGTTCCACTAGCCCCAAAACATCTCTAGAAGGGATTATTCCAACATCAAGCAGTGGTCTTTAATTAAATGAAATCACAGCAAAAAGCACTTAGGGAGAGAAGGCTCATCTGGGGTAAAGCAAATGAAACAAAGAAATGGCTATAAAATGTGAAGGAGCGAAATACAACGGGCTTTGCCCACTCATAGCATGGCCTACTGCAAACTCTATTTGTCAATTTTCATGACGTCCTACTATACTCAGGTACTTGATTCCTCCATTTCACAGGTTTCCTGAAGTTTAAGTGCTCATTCAGGGTATAGGGAATGGCAGGGATGGTCTGATGAATGCTGGCATTTGTAGGCCCCACTCAAATCAGTCAAAATGACTAACTGGCTTCAAGATCTTCCCAATGAGTTCATCTCTCAGCACCTACAGCATTTGAGAATTCCGATCAGAAGACACCTATCTACCAACCACCAGGAGGCTGGGTATTCTTGTTTCACTGAATAAAATCCAAAAGTTTTGGATTTTAAGAAAACCATTCTTAGCATAAGAATGCCTGATGTCATCATAAAATATCTTTCTTACTTTGTCTCCCATTATTAACAACCTGATTTTTTTTCAGTTTAACCATAGTTGTCTCTTCATTATCCTAGAATATTCTATGTTTATAACCCAGAGCTTACATTTGCAGTATTACCCCTACCCAGTAGCGCCTTCTCCACATATATCACCTTGATCAAATACTATTTTTCCTTTATGATCTGAATTAATCTCCACAGGCTTCATGATACACTGAGATCAGTATTTTTTTTTAAAAGAAATAACTATTTACTGAATGTTAGCTAGGTATCAAGCACTGAACTAGAAATAGGAGACACAAGAGAAATAAGTACTTACAATGGCAGCAGTGGCCCATGTGTAGCAGCTGCTGCGAAGACACAGGTCGCAGCGGGGAAGGCGTGCCCCGGGGTGGGCTGGTGGGAGCCAGGAATAGGCAAGGGCCCAGCCCTTTACCAAGTTTGGCGGGGTGGGAGCCCTGGGCTCCTGGGCTCAGCTGCAGTCGCCCAGCCACAGCTCTAGACCCAGGTATTCATGCGCTCTCGGAGGCCCGGGAATCCCTGCTGCCCCGGCAGGCTCAGAAGTGACTGCTCCTGGGCCGGGCGCGGTGGTTAACGCCTGTAATCCCAGCAGTTTGGGAGGCCGAGGCGGGTGGATCATATGAGGTCAGGAGTTCAAGACCAGCCTGGCCAACATGGTGAAACCCCGTCTCTACTAAAAATACAAAAAATTAGCCGGGCGTGGTGGTGGGCACCTGTAATCCCAAGTACTGAGGAGGCTGAGACAGGAAAATTTCATGAATCTGAGAAGCAAAGGTTGCAATGAGCAGAGATCATGCCATTGCACTCCAGCCTGGGTGACAGAGCGAGACTCCGTCTCAATAAATAAATAAATAAATAAATAAATAAATAAATAAATAAATGAAGTGACTGCTCCTGTTCTCCGGGCTCCCTGTCCCCACTGTGATTTTGGAGCAATGTTGAAGCAAAGCCTGAGTGCTGTGGTGACCCGGCTGGATGTGTGTATGCTGAGGGCGGCTCCAACATACCAACCTCCTCACCACCTCTGGGGCCCTCTGAAATTCTGGGCACCAAAAAGCACAAGAGGGAGGCCAGGGGTTGCAGCTCCTCATGAGCCTGCAGCCACCCCTGGGTGCAAACAGCCTGGGCACAGTGGACAGCATGTTGATGGCAGAGGCAGACAGACTTCTGAGCAGAAAAAGGTGGTCTTGGTGAAATCCCACCTCCAAGCCTAGGACAGCTTGAAGCCTGGGGCTGGGCTGACAGTTCCGGTGGAGTCCTCAGCCTGGAGTGAGAACTTATGATGTTTTTCCATGCCTGTGCCTTGCCACCCAGGGACCAATCAACATGCACTTCCTCCCTTCTGAGCCCATAAAATCCCCTGGACTCAGCCAGACTCACACAGATGTCAGGACTATCAGCTGCACAAAGGAGTTACCTACTGTGGGTATCCTCTCTGCTGAGAACTGCATATTTGTTGGGATGACCTGCCTGCGGAAAGGAGCTACCCACTGTGGGTCTCCTGAGAGCTGTTCTGTGACTCAATGAAGCTCCTCTGCCTTGCTCACCCTTCAGTTGTCCACATACCTCATGCTTCTTGGATGCAGGACAAGAACTCAGGACCCACTGAATGGCAGGACTGAAAGAGCTATAACACAAACAGGACTGAAATACACCCCCGCTCACCACGTTGCAAACAAGAAGAGAGAAGAGCTACTGCCCTTCAGGGAGCCCAGACCTAGGGTCTCTCTGAGCCAGGGCTGTGACATCCTCTTTGGGGCTCTGCAGTTCCTGACATCTCCAAGTTTCTGGGAGCCACTGCATTCCCTGGTGCCCACAGTGGCAGCTGCTTGCAGTACACCTGGTTCAGCCACAGCCTCACATGCAGCCAGTGCCTGTACTGCCACCTGCAGCTGCCTGTCCCACCTCAGCCAGCATGCCTTGCTGTGTGCAGTGGCTGGATCTCCTGCTCACTCACACACCCCTTGCCACTCTGTGCCTGGCTTTCCCTTGGCTGGTGTGGGATCTGAGCCAGTAATGTAAGCCGAGCACAGCCTGCCAGGCTGAGTGGGTGGAACAAGCCCAGTGGGCCCAAGTAAAACCTCAGCAAAGGCACCACTGGCCACAAAGATTTCTGGCTGGAAAAGCAACACCCTAAGGATCCTGTGACACTCAAACTTCCAATTTTTACAAATTCTCTCATAGCAGCTTATCAGCTCTCTCTCTCTGGAAACAACACTACTTCTGATAATAAATTTTCAAATTTTGTAAAGTATCAGAAAGCTGTTGAAGTATGGGTTTACATTTTCTAAAGGTCTGTAGGCTTTCACTTCAAGGATGTATGGAATGCTAAATTTTTAGTCATCGAATCTTACAAAAAATGGAATCTAATGAAGGAATCCCCTTACAGAAAGAGGAGTGGGAGCAGGTCAGTGATCCTGGGGCCCACTGGTCACCTAATATAGTGCCTGTGCAGAACCTACCATCATGATGGAGTGTGGGACAGGCCTGCTGCAGCTGCACCAGCTCAGAAGCCATACTCCATGAGGATGGGAACCTGTCCTCCAGAACATACAAAAAGCGTAGAATCAAACAACAACAACTATTGTTATATTAGCCGTTTTTTTAACAGATTCATTGATAAATATTTTACATACCAAAAAAGTCAGCAATTTAAAATGTACAATTCAATGTCTTTTCATACAATCAGAGTTGTGCATCTATCACCACAATCAAATATTTTTGTTATACCAAAAAGAAACCCCACTTCCCTTAACCATTATTCCTCAATTTCTCCATTCCACCTGACCCTAAGCAACCACTCATATGCTTTCAATCTATATAGATTGGCTTATTCTGAATATTTTATATAAATCACATCATACAAACATTTTCATACAATATGTGGTAATTTGTGGCTAACTTATTTTACTCACAAAAATGTTTTCCAGGTTGATCATGTTATAGCATGTATCAGCATTCCATTATTTTGTTACCAAATAACAATTTTTTTTTTCTTTTTTTGATGGAGTCTCACTCCATCGCCAGACTGAAGTGCAATGGCATGATCTCGGCTCACTGCAACCTCCGACTCCCTGGTCCAAGCGATTCTCTTGCCTCAGACTCCGAGTAGCAGGGATCACAGGCAAATGCCACCAGGCCCAGCTAATTTTTGTATTTTTAGTAGAGATGGGGTTTCACCATGTTGGCCAGGAGGGTCTCAATCTCATGACCTCCTGATCTGCCCACCTCAGTCTCCCAAAGTGCTGTGATTACAGGCATGAGCTACTGTGCCCAGCCAATAACATTCTTTATTAAGTGTATATTTTCTATATCCATTCATCGGGTGATGGACATCGGGGCTTGTTCCACTTTTTAGCTATTATGAATAATGCCACTCTTTGTGTATATGTTTTGTGCATGGAAGTATGTTTTCAGTTCTCTTGGGTGTATACCTAGGCATAGAAGTGCTGGGGGACATGGCGACTCTGTCGAATAGTCTGAGGAAATGCCAAACTGTTTTCTGAAGCAGTTGTACCATTTTAGGTTCTCACCAGTAGTATGTTACAGTTCCAATGTTTCCACATCTTTGCTGATATTTATTTTCTGTCCTTTTGCTTATAGTCATGCTAATGGGTGTGAAGTGGTATCAGATTATAGTTTTGATTTACATTTTCCTGTGGCTAATGATGTTGACTATCAATTCATTTGCTTATTTTCATTTGCATTTTTTTTTTGAAAAAACATCTACTTAATTACTTGGCCATTAAATGAGTGGATTATTTGGATTTTATTATTGAGTTGTAAAAATTCTTTACATATCCAAGAGGTGAGTCCCTGGTTTTCAATGTATTTTTTTTCATTATTTTATTTTATTTTATTTTTTTGAGACGGAGTCTCGCTCTGTCGCCCAGGCTAGAGTGCAGTGGCGTGATCTCAGCTCACCGCAACCTCCACCTCCCGGGTTCAAGCGATTCTCCTGCCTCGGCCTCCTGAGTAGCTGAGATTACAGGCGCCTGCCACCACACCTGGCTAATTTATTTGTATTTTTAGTAGAGAGGGGGTTTCACCATGTGTGGTCAGGCTGGTCTCGAACTCCTGACCTCAGGTAATCCACCTGCCCAGGCCTCCCAAAGTTCTGGGATTACAGGCGTGAGCCACCTGGCCTTTTTCCATTCTTTAGTGTTATTTTTTAGTTGCATTGATGGTGTCCTTTGAAACACACACATAAAAAAAATTTTGATGATATGCAGTTTATTTTATCATTTTTTGCTTGTATTTTGAGAAACTCTGCTTAAGTCAATGCCTAATTTAAGGTCACAAATATTTAGGTCTAGGTTTTCTTGTAAGAGTGTTATAGTTTTAGCTTATACATTTGTCTTTGATCTATTTTCAGTTAATTTTTGTATATGTTGTGAGGTCGGAATCCAACACTATTTTTTAAAGGTATCTAGTTGTCCTAACAGAAATTATTGAAAAGATCATTTTATTCCCATTTATCTGTCTGGGTAGTCTTGTTAAAAATCAATTGACCATAAATGTGAGGGTTTACGTCTGGGCTGTCAGTTCTATTACATTGATCTATATGTCTACCCTAATGTCATTGCCACACTGTCTTCACTACTCTGTCTTTACAGTTAGCTCAATTTAGGAAGTGTAAATTCTTCAACTTGTTCTTCTCTTTCAAGTTTATTTTGTTAATTCCAAATTTTCTTATAAATTTTAGAACCAGTATATACATATACATATATATATATATCTCCTCAAGAAATCATCTTGTTTTTTGATATGGATGACAGGGAACTGCAGATCAATTGGGGCAATATCATCACATTTATAATATGATGCCTTCCAATCTATGAACATGAGATGACTTTCCAGTTGATTGGGTCTTGTTAATTTCTTAGTTTCTTTCTTTTTCTTTTTCTTTTTTTTTTTTTAAACAGAGTCTCACTCTGTTGCCCATGCTGCAGTGCAGTGGCACAATCTTGGCTCACTGCAGCCTCCGCTTCTTGGGTCAAATGATCCTCCCACCTCAGCCTCCCAAATATCTGGGACCCCAGGTGTATGCCACCATGTCCGGTTAATTTTTGTATTTTTAGTATAGATGGTGTTTCACCATGTCACACAGGTTGGTCTTGAACTCCTGGCTTAAGCCATTTGCTGGCCGTGGCCTACCAAAGTGCTGGGATTACAGGCATGAGCCACCATGCCTGGCCAGAATTCATCAGTTTTAGCAATATGGTCATGGATTTTTCTTTGAGAAGAGTTATTTTTTATTTTTTTTAATGATGTACTCTTTTTTTACCTATTATAAATATTTTGAGACTTTCTATTTATTTTTGGGGAGATTTTATATTTTTGTTGTTCTAAACCTTTTCCAATTTAACTTATCTAATATGTTAGCATATAGTCTTATATCTGTGAGGTTGGTAGTAATGTCCCTCTTTCATTTCTAATTTTAATAATTTAAGACTTTCAACTTTTTTGTGTGTTCTTAGAGCTAAATATTTGTCAATTTTGTTTATCTTTTTGAAGAAAAACTTTTAGGTTTTATTTCATTTCATGTTTTTACTATCTCTGCTTTAATTTCAGCTCTAATTCTTATTTTCTTTCTTCCCTTTGCTCTGAATTGAGCTTGCTCTCACTTTTCAAGTGTTATCAGGTCAAAGATATGGTAGTTTATTTGTGATCTTTCCAGTTTTTAAATTGTAAGCAAATTCAATTATAAGTTTATCTCTAAGCACTGCTTTAGCTGCATCATATAAGTCCTGGTCTGTTATGTCTTTATTTTCATTTATCTCAAAACGTCATCCTCAGATTTGCTTTTGTTTCATTGTTTAAAAAATAGTGTGTTGTTTAATTTCCACATATTTATGAGTTTTCAATTTTTTTAATGTAACCATCTAAATTTACACTATTGTAATCAGAAAACATACTCTGTATGATTTCAAACATTTGGCACATGTTGAGGCTTATATGATGGTCGAATTTATGGCCTAAGCTGGGGAATGTCTCATTTGAGCTCAAAAAGAATGGGTATTCTCCTGTTGTTGGGTGGAACATTTTATACACAAGCACACACATCGCACACACACATACACACACACGAACACAGATATATATACATACACACATACACACACATAAACACATATATATATACACACATACATATATACACACACGTATATATATATTTGTTAGGTCTAGCTTGTGTATAGAATGTTCAAGTCTTCCATTTCTTGTTAATCTTTTGCATAGTTGTTGTATTCATTATTGAAAGTGAGGCAGTTATGACTCTGACTCTACTTGTCAAATTATCTATTTCTCCTGATAATTTTCTCAGCCTTTGTTCATTATGATAAAGCTTAAATTTTAGGTGAAAAATAAGTCTATAATTATTGTAACTTCCAGATATATTGACACTGTTACCATAAAATGTCACTTTTATCATTATTAACATGAACATTACTAAAATTGGTGTGTTGACATTGTATCTAGCAAATTCACTGAATTTGTTTATTACTTCTAACAGTTTTTTTGCTGGAGTCTTTAGGGTGTATATATGCAAGATCATGTCATCTGCAAATGGAGACAGTTTCATTTCCTTTCCTATTTTGATACCTTTTATTTCTTTTGTCTAATTGCTCTGGACAGCCTGTCTGGCATAGACCACAGCCTATCCTGATGCTTGATTGCGTAGGCAAACTGGCCTGGGTCAGCTGGTGGACGGGCCTCATGCCTAGACCCACAGGATTGGGCCTAGAGCCTGGGTCCACAGGAGCTGGCCTGGAAGTTGGGTATGTGGGTATAGGCCTTTAGGCTAGGTCTGTGAAGACTTGGCATGGGCCTGGACCCACAGGGCCAGCTTGGCTCTGGGGTAAACCTGAAGGCTAGGTCCACCAGAGTAAGCCTGCATTCTGATGCTAGGGGAATTGTCCTAGAACCTGGGATCATGGAGATTGTCCTGGCTCTGGGTAGACCTAAAGTCTGTGTTCACAAATGCTGGCCTGAAGGCTAGGCCTGCAGGTGTCAGCCTAGTACCTGAGGCCATGGTGGCCATAAAGGAGCTGGAGTGGGACTGGAAGCTGAGTTCCAGGCTGTTGGCCTGATGCCTAAGTCTGTGGGTCTGGCTTGGTATTGGGAGGGCATGAATAATAAGTCTGTGGGGCCAGCATGCCACCTGGGGCCATGGAGGCTGGTTTGGCAATTAAATTGGGCCTGAAGACTGGGTCTATATATGCTGGCGTGGTTATTAGGGCTGCAAGAGCCAGACTGATGCTGGGGCAGGCACAAACCTGAGCCTTAGGGGCCCACCTGGCATTGGGTTGGGCCTGAAGCTCAGTCCACAGCTACCAGCCTAAAGTCTGGGGCTTTGAGGGCCTGAATAGCAATAGCATTTACTTGGGCTGACCCACTATTGGGGTCCAAGACAAAGTTCAGTGTTCACTTCATTCCCTTTCCTCTAGGAGGTTATCTTTCTCCATGCTGTGCTGCCTGGGGTTAGGAGAGGAGTGGTCTGGATAATGTAAAACTATTCTTTCTACCCTCTTGAATGCATCTTTACTTAGTTTTGTGCTGGACCCAAGTGCTCTAATCTGTCATCTGGTTTCCTTAGCTCTGGTGAAGCTATTTTTGTACATGAATAGGTGCTCAAATTGATGTTTTTGCAAAGGGAAAACTGCTGAAAAGTTCTATTTCACTATCTTGCTTATGTCATTCCCATCTCAACCATTTTCAAGTGTACAGTTCAGTAGTGTTATATAGAGTCACATGTTGTGCAAACAATCTCCAGAGGGTTTAGTAATTTTATTTTGATTTTTTAAAGAAATCTCCACACTGTTTTACATTTAAAACAAGGGTGAATAAGGGCCTCAGTGTTCTTTTTTTTTCTTTTTTTTATTTTTATGTATTTATTTTTTAATTTTATTATTATTATACTTTAAGTTTTAGGGTACATGTGCACAACGTGCATGTTTGTTACATATGTATACATGTGCCATGTTGGTGTGCTGCACCCATTAACTCGTCATTTAGCATTTGTTATATCTCCTAATGCTATCCCTCCCCCCACCCCACAACAGGCCCCAGAGTGTGATGTTCCCCTTCCTGTGTCCATGTGTTTTCATTGTTCAATTCCCACCTATGAGTGAGAACATGCGGTGTTTGGTTTTTTGTCCTTGTGATACTTTGATGAGAATGATGGTTTCCAGCTTCATCCATGTCCCTACAAAGGACGTGAACTCATCACTTTTTGTGGCTGCATAGTGTTCCATGGTGTATATGTGCCACATTTTCTTAATCCAGTCTATCATTGTTGGACATTTGGGTTGGTTCCAAGTCTTTGCTATTGTGAATAGTGCCGCAATAAACATACATGTGCATGTGTCTTTATAGTAGCATGATTTATAATCCTTTGGGTATATACCCAGTAATGGGATGGCTGGGTCAAATGGTATTTCTAGTTCTAGATCCCTGAGGAATCACCACACCGACTTCCACAATGGTTGAACTAGTTTACAGTCCCACCAACAGTGTAAAAGTGTTCCTATTTCTCCACATCCTCTCCAGCACCTGTTGTTTCCTGACTTTTTAATGATTGCCATTCTAACTGGTGTGAGATGGTATCTCATTGTGGTTTTGATTTGCATTTCTCTGATGCCCAGTGATGATGAGCATTTTTTCCTGTGTTTTTTGGCTGCATAAATGTCTTCTTTTGAGAAGTGTCTGTTCATATTCTTCGCCCACTTTTTGATGGGGTTGTTTGTTTTTTTCTTGTAAATTTGTTCTTGTCCTTTTCTTTTTTCAGAATATCCATCCTAATATGTGTTAGATGGTATCCTAATATGCTTTTGATTTGAATTTTCATGATTAGTGATTTTGAAAACCTTTCATGTGCTTGTCAGCCACTTGAATACATTTTCAGAGAAATGTCTATTCAAACTTTTTGCCCATTTTTATTATTATCTTTTGTAAAATTACTGTGTTGTATGAGTTCTTTAAATATTCTGGATGGTAACCCTTTATGATATATCTTCTTTGCAAATGTTTTCTTCCTTTCCATATATTGCCTTTTTGATTGCATACTTTGATGCAGTTGTTTTTTTAAATTTTGATGTAGTTCGATTTATCTATTTTTACTTTCTTGCCTGTGCTTTTATTATATCCAAGAAAATTATCCAATCCAAGTTTATAGGTTTCCCCCTTTGTTTTCTTCTAGGTGTTTAATAGTTTAGCTCTTAGATATAGGTATTCTATCCATTTTAGTTAATTTTATACGTGGTGTAAAGTAAAGGTCCAACTTCATTTTCTGCATGTGCATATCCAGTTTTCCCGGTACCATTTGTTGACAGAACTGTTCTTTCCTCTTTGAATGGTCTTCATACTCTTTTCAAAAATAATTTGACCATATTTGAGAAGAATATAGAAATGATTTTTAAATCCATTATAAAGAAGGAGAAAATATGCATTAATACTGTATCTTATACTTACGTAATTACTTTTACTGGTGCTCTTTGTGTGTTTGTGTGCGTGTGTGTGTGTGTGTGTGTGTGTGTGTGTGTGTTTGCATTTCCATCTGGGCCTATTTGTTTTCAGCCTACAGAATAGCCTTTAGTATTTCCTATAAGGCAGGCCTACTAGAAATAAGATTTCTCAGTTTTTAATTTATCCTGAAAAGGCTTTTTTTTCCCCAAAGGTTCTCTTAGCTACTAATCTAGGTAGGTCTATAGTTTCTGAACTTCTTGCTTGTCTCTCCTTATGTGAAACCTCTGACCTATGAGTGAACTGGTGGGAGGAGCTGGGGTCAGTGTCCCAATATTCTTAGGGATGAAAATTGCTGGTGTCTTGCCCCTTCCAACTCCCTCTGAGACTCAGTAAGCTTTATTTGCATTGTGAAGGGAGAGAGAGCCCTGTCTTCTTGTCTATACTTGCCTGCAATGGAATTTCTGTCAGGATGAGCTGGATGGGGAAGCTGAGGAGATGAAGCATGCTGTGGTTCAAATCCTAGAGATTCTTTCAATTCTTACCAAAATTTAATTAATGTTAAAAAAATTATTTGTTCATTGTATGCATTTAGAACAATTTTCAGAGACTTTAAATGGTTGTTTAATTAAATTTTGACCAGCTTGGCTTGTTTGTCTGGGGAATGGGTCTTCAGAGCTCCACATGTAGTCATCCTGAAATATGAACTCAGCCATATGCTTTAAAATAATAAAGAATGAAATAAATTTTCATTACGGTATTCCCAGTTGGGATAAGGGGGTTGTATCCCCAATGGGAAAAATGAATGCAAGTCCTTTATGATGAAATACATTCAGTATTTAAGGTAAAAGATACTAAAGTACAGTGAATAATGTATCTAGGAACATTAATATTTAATCACTATAATAATTTCAAGAACATAAAAATGTATCAATGTGTCTAGAGAAAAGGGTGGATTTATAGAAGAATTCAAAATGGAGGCAGAGACCAGACCATGCATAAAAGTATAGACTTCATCCTGAAAGGGATTCATAGAAATCAATTTCTATCTCACAAAACAGCTAAACCTGCATCATTATATAATGTGTGAAATATCCCAATGTAAGTATACTAATGTAGATAGCCTCATTTCAATATCCAATGTATATCTTCAGTAATATTCAAGGATACAGAAATATGTCTTGTCTCCCAGCCCCTTGTTCCTGCTCACCAAAGGCAATAGGACAAATAGCATGCTAATTCTATCAGAGTCTGTTCAGTTGAATTATCTTGATATATATTCTCAAAATATGTTCCAGTTCTAAGTGAGTCCTGTGGTGAGGAGTCAAATCTGACACTTTTCAAAGCTGACTTCCTTGGTTACACAAATACATGAGTAAGTCATTTGAAATGGGACAGTGTTTGCATGTTAAAGTACTAAAATTGTAAATAATAATGTGCTATTAGTAAAAGAGGAGAAAAAGACATGTAGGATGGTGTGGACAAAGATATCTTTACACAAAAGGTGACAAGCAAGACAGAGCTTAAATCACAAAAATAAATAAATAAATACATAAATAAATAATTACATGGAAAGAGAAATACTTTTTAGACAAAGGGGATATTATGGAGAAATATTTTGCAAGTGGAATTAAGTACGCACCAAAAGAAGATATCTATAAAAATCACTAAAAGTGTTCAACAGCAGACTTGATCAAGCAGAAGATCTAACCAATGAACTTAAAGTCAGTTCATGTACAACTTTCCATTCAGAGAAGCAAAAAGAAAAAAAAAAGAAAAAGAATAAAGAAAGCCTATGGAGCAAAAAGAAAAAAAAAAGAAAAAGAATAAAGAAAGCCTATGGGACTTAAGGGGCACTGACAATTTTATCAATATATATATGATCAGAGTCCTAAAAAGAGGAGAAAGAGAAAAAAAGACAGATTTAAGAAAAAATCATAGCTTAAAAATTATCAAATCTGGAGAAGGAAATGAACATCCAAATTCCAAATCACAAACTTCCTGAATAAGATAAATCAAAAGAAGTGCAAACCAAGATTCATTACAATTAAATCATCAAAAGTCAAAGAAAACTAACTTTAAAAGAAGCAAGTAGAAAGTGAGCTGTCACATTTAAGGGAAATTCCATCAGAATATTAGTGGATTTCCCAACAGAAGCCTTGCAGACCAGAAGGTGGTTGGATGATATATTCAAAATTTTGACAGGAAAACAAATGCAAGAAATGCTAAAGAAACTAATTTAACTTGAGATGAAAACACATGAGACAGCAATAAGAAAGCATATGAAATCATAAACCTTACTGTCAAAGGTTAATATGTAGATGAATACAGAATAATCTAATACTCTAATGGTGGTGTTTAAATCACTTTTAATTCTGATAAAGAATTTAAAAAATGAAAGTATAAAAATAACCATCTAAAATATGTTAATGGATAGGCAATATAAAAACACATAATTTGGCTGGGCACAGTGGCTCATGCCTGTAATCCCAGCATTTTGGGAGGCCGAGGCAGGTGGATCACCTGAGGTCGGGAGTTCGAGACCAGCCTGAGCAACATGGAGAAACCCCATCTGTACTAAAAATACAAAATTAGCCAGCTTGGTGGCGCCTGCCTGTAATCCCAGCTACTCAGGAGGCTGAAGCAGGAGAATTGCTTCAGCCAGGAGGTGGAGGTTGCAGTGAGCCGAGATGGTGCCATTGCACTCCAGCCTGGGCAGCAAGAGTGAAACCCTGTCTCAAAAACAAACAAACAAACAAACAAAAACATAATTTGTGACATCAGTAACTACCAAGAGTGTGTGGAGAAGTAGAAGTTTAGAGTTTCTGTATGTGATTAAAGTTGTTATCATCTTAGAATGGATTGTTTTGAGTATAGCATGTTTTATGAAAGCCCAGTGGTAACCACAATGACAATGTCTATAGTAAATTCATCACAGAAAATGAGAAATGATTCAAAGGATGTCCCTGTCAAAAAATCAATGAACCACCAAAGAAGACAGCAAGAGAGGAATAGAGAGACAAAAGAGCTATAAGGCAGAGATAAAACAAATAACACAATAAAAATAGTTAGTCCTTCCCTATCAATAATTAGGAAGAATCTGATCTGAATAACATTACACTGTACAATGCCTGTCATGGAGTTCAGCAAACCACAGTTTTCTGGACTGCCATGCCTAACTTTTCCTATTTTACATGTGCTAAGGAAAGAAACTGAATCCCACTCATTTTTATATTTGCAAGACTGGCAGGATGTCTAGTCTCAAAAAATTTTTCATCAATAAAAAATAGAAGCTCCAGTTTATGAAAATTACTGCTCTCAGATAAGAACTAATTGTGGCCATAGTTGTGAAAGGAAAGGAAACTAATTCAGCAAATTCATTTGCTCTGCTAAATTATCTGCTGAACTCTTTATGAATGTTATATTATTTACTTCTTATAACAAATATATGAGGTATATATCAAAGTATTTTTCTAAAGAATACTCAGAAAATTTATGGTAATTGGTCAATTTCACCTACAATTTGTTTTTTGTACTTACATATGTTAATCATATACTAGAATATTTAATGACTATTACTACCAAAACTCTTTCCAAATCATATTGGAAAAATGATTTGAAATAAATGCCTTATTCACAGTGATGTCTCCTCTCTTATTTTTCCTCTTTCATATTATTGAGTTCATTCAGTCAACTCTTGATAATTTTTCTCTAAAGATTTCACAGATGTAACCCCATGTCTTTTATTTTGCTATTTCTAAACTGATTCAGGCTCTGTCATATTTCTCCTGCACATCTTAGATAATGCCTTTGCCTGACCTCCTTATGTGCAGCCTCATTTCCTCATTCCTCCTCTACATTTTTCCCAGAATGTCTTTTGTAAAATACAAATCTAATGCAAATCATCCATGAAACCTCTAAATGGCTTTCATCCTTTAGGTATAAGTACTGTTATCCTAAGGGAACATTTTTTTTTTCTAGATTAAACTGTGAACTCTTTGAAGGAAGGAAGAAACTTCTTTTTAAATGGTGGAGGTAGTAGTGATTATATGTGGGATCTCGAAGTAGATAAAATAGATTTGTGGCAGACTGCAACTCCTCAACTTCACACTAGTTAGGTGATCTTGAACAAGTGTCTAAACTTCTATGCTCCTCCCTTTCTCCCAGTATAGAGACAATACTGGAACCTATCTAATGAGATTTTTGTACTAATTAATACAATTCACATATGACCATAGCAGAGTGTCTGACAAATAAGAATTACATAGATATTAGCTATCATACTGTAAACTTGGACATTAGGATAATAGTTTATGATACAATTGTGATTCATCGCTTTGGAATACAATAAGTATTTGATGAACAATAAATAGAGATAATAGTTTTCAAAGTCGAAAAATGTGATAATAAGGTTTACTTCTTCAGGATACTTGAGTACACAATCATATTATTGTTTCTTGATCATAGAAAAGTCGTCTTCATTTACCTCTCTTTTCCAGTTATTTCACGGGCACCTTTATGGGAATAAGTACAAGTAGCTCAGAATTAAGACAGTAAGATATTGATTCTTGGGCCTTGAATTACTGCTTACTATGCAAGATCCTTATTCATAAAATGCATGATTTATTAAGATTTTTTTCTTAAACGATTAAATATTTCTAATTTGTTCACTAAACTTAAGACCAACAAAATCTTGATTTTCTCCATGAAAAAGAAGAAATAATAAAAACAAAAATAAAAATGTTAACAATTAAATAATATCTCCTGGCCTAGATAGTGAAAATACATCACAGTAGGAGAGGACCACATAAATCATTAGGATTGCATGCTGACTTCTATTAAGTCTCAAAAATATGATAATTACTAGGCACTTAAAAAATCATGCTATTCTCATTGCATGATTATTTTTTTCCTGTTCCATAACTATTATCTCTCTGTTTTTTGGCAAGTAAATCAAACCTTTGAGGTTTGACTTTGTAATCATCCTCTCTAGAACTGTTTTGTTCCTGTCCTGAAAATGGTACCTTTTAAAAATGATGCCTCCCACCTACTGAAGATAAAATGCAGCTAAACTCTCTGACCTTTGAAAATGTGGGTGTAATAACCAGATCGAAGGACAGAAATCAAACAGGAGATGGATGAAATAAGCTCTCTCTCTCTCTCTCTCTCTTTTTTTTTTTTTTTATGACAAGCGTTGATCTTTTTTCTGTAGCTGCCGATTCCCAGAAAAGTTTTTCTTAATTTCCAAGGTCATTAAGCAGCAGAATAGAGACAAAGTCAAACTTACTCTGTCTGCCATTTTGGGTGAAGATTTTCCAGGAGTATGGCAGCTCACTTCATACCAGTTACTTTGGGAGAACCTCTCTCTTCTCTCTAGGAAGGGAGAATGTTAAGCTTAATTAATTCTGTTTTGTTTCTTTCAAGGAGGTTTTCATTTTTAGGCTTACATTTTAGGAGGTGGTTTACATTTAAGAGCTCCAGGATTTAATCAATCTTTTTAGATACCAGGTCTTTATTGAAGAAAAGAAAGAGGGGGCATGCAGTGGGCAGAAGAGCCAGATTAATGAGCATGTAGAGATTAATCTGTGCCTCCTACTCCATCCAGTTGATTTTATGGCTGTGGATGTCACTTTTGCAAAGCATTTCTAGCTCTCTTGCGTAAACAGAAATATGTGTAGGATATTCTTGAGAGGTTCACAATTGTTCTTATAAAGAAGGAGATTATAAATGATTCAGTGCCATACCCAAATCGTCTCCTCAGGGGACAATCCATTTTGGGGCAGTACCTGGTAGCCTGACTCAGGGTAAGAGAGTTGTGCAGATCCAGGTCTCTTGCATATACTAGAAGAAGGGTGTGCTGTGTTGTACTAGGGTCAAAATACAGAAGAGATGCTAATGGGAAAAGGGAAATTGATAGGAGCTTTACAAGGTTGGACATGAAGCAAGATGGATGTTGGAGACCTGGAAAAGATGAAATACAAGGCTTCATAAGCATGAAGCCTTATGACTGTCTGTGTAGGTGAAGTAGCCAGATAAATACAAACTGTAATTTTATTGATGTGAAGTTATTCTATACTTACCTAAAAATATCTCTTCACCTCTGTAAACAGCATTTTCTGAGAGGTACCTGTGATTCCCCATAGGCCCATAATTTAAAATGCAAATGTCCTAACTTATCCAATTCTTGTTCTGTCTTACTCATTATAAGCTCAAAACATAGAGAAACTATTGTTTGAAGAAAAAAACACACAAGGTTTGGAGTAAAAAATGGGTCTATCAAGTGCACTAGCTAATTGACATTGGGAAAATTAATTTACCTCTATCAATATGTATAACATAGAGATCATACTGTCTTCTGTATGATAATATATAAAAAGCTACTATAGGATTTGGTAGTACACAAGTGATGTTTGAAAGGTTAGGTGAACCTTTGAAGGAAAACAGCAATAATTGTGTGGCCTAAGGCATTAACTGGGTGAACAAGAGTAGGTGTATTATAGCAGACAAAAGCAAGAGAAATTGGAATGGCCAGAGAGAGACCAGGGTTGTGCCAGGAGTGAGTGCAGAAGCTGGTTTCACAAAGAATACATCGCAACTTCCAAAGTCATGTACACTCTGCCACATTTATTTCATTTTGATTTTGGACCACATATGTCTCACACAGTGATCGTGAATAACTGAGTTATGGTTAACATGGACCCCAGTCTTTGACATTATGGTGAGTAATTTCCCATGTAACAGTTTCATAGTCTGACTTGAAAAAAATTGGAATCCAATTTCTGTGTCTGCACTTGCATTCAGGATGTCCATTAAGAGTTAAGTTATATATTGTTTTGGAGATTTGGTAATAAATTAGAAGATAAGAGTAAGGTACAATTGTAAAAAAGAAAATAGTGAGTGTTATTAATAAAATAATTTCATTCTCTCGTTCACTCGCCCATATATCTTCCAAACACTAAATAACAAAGGCCATAGATTTACCTTATCTGATGAAACAGTTCAATGAAATTTCAGCTATGATTATACTATACTAAATTATTTAAGACTGGGAGATTTTGTGACATGACACTAACTTAATATTAGACGGAGAAGAAATAAAGTACAACCGTTCTCTTTCTTAATGAGTTTATTTATAATAAATCTTAGAAGCTTCATTTCAGTTTATCTCTTAATTAAGAAGAAACAAACATATTTTTCTAAGTTATATTATTTAAATTGTTCAGTATCTTCCAAAGACATCGAACATTTCAAGGTATCTGAACTAAGAATGTTTAGATACAGATACTAATCATTCAAGACTCAAGAAAGTATGTGTAGTATTCAGCAGTCCTGTTTTGATATTGGGGCCTAGAAAATAGGCTTCAATTTGCTGAAGAGTTAGTGATGATAAAGAAACATTGTGCCTAATTAATACTGTAAAAAGTATTTTTAAATATAAAATATGCATAGAACAGAAAATAAGTGGAGGAAGAAGTGTCTGTGTTAGTGTTGGAAGATAAGATATAAATAGAACTTTGTCACACAGGGAATGAGGGAAGAAAGGGAAACTTCAGCCAGTGTGGAGATGGGTTGGGGGAGACAGCACAGAGTGTGGCAACAGCCTGGATGAATTCTTGTGAATAAATGAGTGGATTGTTTATGCACTCTCTTTACTTGATAATTTTACTAATACTTTTCAAAAGTCTATGTAAGACATTTATAAATAGTCTGTTAAATTATGCACTGTGTAACTACATCATCAAATAATAAGAAAATAAATTCAAATTATCAGATATTTAAGAGTTGAATACAAAAGCAGCTGCTATAATTGGTATTATATACACAATTATTACAATCACAAGTCATTGACAAAGATTCATGAAATAAGAGTGCACAAGGCTAAGGTCTAATTATCCATTTAAAAGATGAACATGCTGACTGCAGATCCTTCTTGAAGGTAAATTCTGCTGGGCTCATTCTGTGGAGAGACAGATAAGAGAAAGAGAAAAATTAACAGTAATATCTATTCAGGTAGTCATAAGGTAAATTGCTTCCAGAAAAACATTCACATTGGTCTGGACTCCATTTTTATAAACAGATAGAAATTGGTATGCCTCACAAACCTACAGAATGACATAACTCTAAGTGCATTAATCTTTGTATATCTTCAGTGTTTGTAGATGTTGTATTCCGTCTGTTTAGTTAGAAGTCATATCTGTCCATCCCTTTTGCATCACAGAGGGTTTTCCAATCTTTTGTGCACTTTGATAATCTCATTTCAGTATCTTATTATTTATTATAAAAGATGGTTCTTTTGGATACTATTTTGATTTCCATTTAAAATTTTAAAACTTTTACAGTGTTATGGTTTCTGCTATAGACACACAGAACTATATATGGGCCAATTCTATCATTTATATAATTTCTGGAAGTCCACATGGTAGGGAAGAACAAAAAGATTTGAGAAAGTCAATATATGATTTTTAGGTGTCTTTGTAGGCAGAAGCTCTGAAAAGGAAAATTTCTTTATTTGCTCCTACTATATCCCACCTTTGCCCTTCACTATGTCAATACATTTTTGGATGAGGATATTGCCAAGTATTTTTTATATATCATAATAAAATTACTTTAAAAATGCCAAATAAAATATCTCCTGTGAAACCTTGATGCAATAAATAGTTCATTTTATTTTTAAGTAGTTTCTGTAACTATTTGTAGATAGAAAGAAACAATACTCTTTTATCTTTAGTAACCAAGAAGGTGAACAGCTGCACTGGAACTAGCTTCAGTTTCACTCAGCCCTGACCTAGTGCTCTAGGACATTTCAGTGATGTATGAAGGTCAGAGATTAATTACTGGTGGAAAATCAGACATCAAAATTTACTGCACAAGACTGAGAAATTACCAGAAATAGCTTCTCATGGACCTTCAATTATATACATTAAACACTATTATTTTAACTCATTAAGTATAATCCTACTTACAATTTGGAACCATGTTGATGGAGTTTTTTTTTTTCCTAATACCTAAATACTAAGGAGTTCTGTTATACTTTTTAGGCAGTAATGCCCATGTCCTCAGTTGTGAGTGGTAAGACATCCTGTGTGAGACATTGAATAAGACCACAGTCATTCAAAAATCATAATTCATTATCAAAATATTCACCTATAAACTCATTCACCCAACACTAGACTCAAATATTTTTAGAGTAAATTTTATAAGTCTTTAATTCCTATCTTAGTAAGATAATTATTCCAGAGACCTGGGTGGAAAGAAGTAAAATTCCAAATTAATTTTATGAAAGAGTATAATTTTACACGAGAATTATACAACACAAAAAAACTAAAATTATAGGTTAGTTATGTTTGCCAAGTTGTAAGAATTGGTAAACTATATCCTGAGTAATGTCACAGTAACCTGTACAAGACAAAATCTTATGCTGATGACAATTACAAGCCTAGCGCAAAATGGAACAGCGTGAACATGTTGGAGAGTAATCACAAGCAGGTGAGAATGAGAGGGTGTTCACCCTTGAAAGTCAGGAACTATACTGGTTAAGATCTATATTTCTTTTTCTCCTGAGATCATGCTTCAGTTTAATATCAGTGACTAAAGCTTCCAATTTCAGAAGTTAGAAAAAGAAAGCATATTAAGCCCCTCAAAAGGTAAATGAATAAAATAAAATTAAAAACTGAAATCAATGTAATAAATAAACAAGAAAACTTAGATGACAACAATAGCAAAGATTGTTCATTAGGTAAAAATAAATAAACCCCTGATAAGATTGACGAAACCCCTAGACTGAAAAAGGTGTGTGGGCGTGTGTGCGTGTGTGCGTGTGTGTGTGTGTGTGTGTGAGAGAGAGAGAGAGAGAGAGAAAGCAAATTGCTAATAGCAGGAATGAAAAGACAAGCAACATTACAAATGCTAAACACAGTAAAAGCAATACGGGATTATTATTAACAACTCAATAGCAATACAATTCACAACCAAGCAAAACAGAAAAATTTGTTCAAAAGTACTTACAAAAACAAACAAGAAAATAATTTAAAGCTCTCTGTCAATAAACTTAACTGGTGATTAAAACTTCCCTCATAGAAAACTCCACACCCAGATGGCTCACTGGTTAATTCTGCCAAAAATTGACAGAATTCACTGCTTAATTCTGTCAAACACAATAATACCAACATTTACAACAATTGTTAAGCATATGTAAAAAGAAAACAATCTTATTTGTTTTAGTCTAAATAACACTGATACCAAAACTTGGGGAAAATTGCAAGAAATAAATATGAGTAAAAAAATCTTCAACAAACTCTAATCAAACTAATTTCAGCTATATACAGAAAGAATCAATACATCATGGCCAAGTAATACCTGTCTCAGGAACACCTGATGATTATGAATTCCAAAATCAAACAAACTAGTTCATCACATTAAGAGATTAAAGAAGAACAATGATATACCCATTTCAATAGATACACAAAATATATCTGATTCATATAACATACACTTCTTATTCTTATAAAATATTAACAAAAAGGAAATAGAAGCAAATGTTCTCAATTAAATAAAAAGAAAAAAACCGTGAAAAACTTAGAGCTAACATAATACTTAATGGTAAAAGATTGAATGATTTCAGTATATGACCAAGGACAAGGCAACTTTGTCCTCTCACAACATCTTTTCAAATATGTACTGGAGTATTTGTCATTCCATTAAGATAAGAAAAAGAAATCAATAATGTAAATGTTGGAAATGAAGATATAAAACAATTAGTATTTAAGGGCAACATGTTTTGGTACGTAAAACAATCATAAAAGGAGGTGGAGTAAGAAAGCAAAATGGAACTCAGCAGTGATGATTTTCCCTTCCCTCAGGAACACCAAATTAAACAAGTCTCCACACAAGAATGTATCTTCTTAAGAACCAAAAATCAAGTGAATGATTATAGTACCTGGTTTTAACATTAAAGCAAGAAAAGAGGCACCGAAGAGGGTAGGAAACATAGTCTTAAATTGCCTTGCCAGTAGCCACGTGGCGCAAGGAGAGAATCTGTGCTCTTGAGGGAAGGAGAACACGGTGGTTGTAGAACCTTTCATTGGAACTCAATGCTGCCTGAAAACAACACAGGGCAGAATTCAGCTGGTGCCCATGGAGGAAGCATTTAGACAAGGCCTGGCCAGAGGGGAATGGTTCACCCCAGCAGTAGGAACCTGAGTTCTGGCTAGCCCCACTACCACAGGCTAAAGTGCTCTGGTGTTCTAAATAAACTAGAAAGGCAATCTAGTCCATGAGGACTGCAATATCTGGTCAAGACCTGGTATTGTGCTGGGCTCAGAATCAGTGGACTTGAGGTACATACAGTCTAGTGAGACACCAGCTGTGCCAGCCAAGGGGGCACTTGTGTCACACCTACCCCAACCCCAGGGTGTACAGCTCACAGCTCCAGAAGAGATTTCCTCCTTCTGGTTGGGGAGAGGGGCGAGTAAAGAAGACTTTGCTTTGCAACTTGGATAATACTCAGGTATAGTACATGAGGGTATCAGTACAATGGGTACCAGGCAGAGTCCCACTGCACCCATTCCAGGGTCCACGTCCTGGATGACATTTCTAGACACATCCTGGACCAGAAGGGAAACCACTGACTTGAAGGGAAGGCTTCATTCTGAGAAATATCAATCACTTGTTGACTAAAGAGCTGTTGGGCCTTGAATAAAATTCAGCAGTAGCCAGGCATTACTTGCTGAGGACTTTGGATGAGACCCAGTTCTGTGCTTGTTCCAGGTGTGACCAAGCACATTCATATATATAATGACCATAGAAAGAGACTCCTTCTGCTTAAGAAAAGGGGAGTGGAGAGTAAATGGGACTTAGTCTTGCAACTTGGGTGCTAGTTCAGTTCTAGTGGGGTAAATGACCAAATGGGCTCCTGGGGTAATGAATTTCAGCCCTTGACTACTGGATGGCATTTCTGGACCTGCCCTGGGCCAGAATGGAGCCCACTGCCCTGAAAAGAGAGTCCCAGGCCAGGCAACATTCACCACAAGCTGATTGAAGAGCCCCTGGTCCCTGGGCCTTGAATGAACATCAGTAATAGTCAGGCAGTAGTACCCACTGTGGGCTTGGGATGGTGTTGGTCGTGATTAGAATCTCCATTTCTTGAGGAAAGGAGAGAGAAGAGTGGGAAGGATGTTGTCTTGTGTGTACAAGATCAGCCACAGGGTAATAAAATACCAAGTAGATTCCTAAGTTTGCTGACTCCAATCCCTGGCTCCCAGATGGCATTGCTGGAACAACCCCAAGTCAAGAGACAGCTTACCACCCTGAAAAGGAAGACAGAGCCCTGGGTGGATTCACCCCCTGCTGAATGAAGAACCTTTAAGCTTTAAGTGAACATCGGCAGTAGCCTGGCTGTGATCATCATGGGCTTGGGTGAGACCTAGTGTTGAGCTGGCTTCAGGTCTGACCCAGTGCAATCCCATTGGTGGTGGCTACAGTGGGGTTTGTGTCACTCCTCCCCCAGCCTCAAGGCAACTCACTATGGAGAAACTGTCATTCTAGGGAAAGGAAAGAGAACAGGAGTCACTGTCTGGTAATCCAGATAAATCTTCCGGATCTTACCTAAGACCACCAAGGCGGTATCTCTACAAGTTTGCAAGAACCACAATGTTACTGGCCTTGGGTTGCCCCTGGCACAGATATGGCTGCAGTGACCAAAGACTTACATCACAACACCCGATTCCTCTTTAAATTCTTGGGAAGCCTTCACAAGAAAGATGGTTATAAAAAAGAGAACACTGTGAAGGCTATAATATACCTAACTCCTCAATGCCCAGACATTGACAAACATCCAGAAGCATTAAGGCCATCCAGGAAAACATGACCTCATCTAACAGACTAAATAAGGCACCAGTGAATAATGAAAAAGTGACAAAGATATGTGAGCTTTCAGAGAAATAATTCAAAATAGCTGTCCTGAGGAAACTTGGTGAAATTCAAGATAACACAGAGAAGAAATTCAGAATCATATCAGATAAGCCTAATAAAGAGATTAAAATAATTTTTAAAACTCAAGCAGACATTTTGGAACTAAAAAAATTCAATTGGGATGAGAGTCTCACAATAGCAGAATTAGCTAAGCATAAGAAAGTATTGGTGAGCTTGAAGACAGGCTATTTGAAAATATATGGTCAGAGAAAACAAAGCAGAAAAGAATGAAAAGGAATTAAATATGCCTATGAGATCTAGGAAATATCCTCAATGGGGCAAATCTGAGTTATTGTTCTCAAAGAGGAGGTAGAGAGAAAGACTGGGGTACTAAATATATGCAAAGGGATAATATCAGAGAACTCCAGATCCAGAGAAATATATCAGTATTCGGCCGGGTGCAGTGGCTCACGCCTGTAATCCTAGAACTTTGGGAGGCTGAGGCGGGCAGATCATGAGGTCAGGAGATCGAGACCATCCTGGCCAACATGGTGAAACCCCGTCTCTACTACCCCTGTAGTCCCAACTACTCGGGAGGCTGAAGCGGGAGAATGGCATGAACCCGGGAGGCAGAGCTTGCAGTGAGCCGAGATCGCACCACTGCACTCTGGCCTGGGCGACAGAGCGAGACTCTGTCAAAAAAAAAAAAAAAAAAAAAAAAAAAAAAGAGAAATATATCAGTATTCAAGTACCGGAAGATTATAGATCATCAAGAAGATTTAATGCAAATAAGCCTACTTCAAGATATTTAATAATCAAACTCCAGAAGGTCAAGGATAAAGAAAAGATCCTAAAAGCTTAGAAAATAAATAAATAGCATACAAAGGTGTTCCAATATGTCTGGCAGCAGATTTCTTACTGTATATCCTACTGGTAAGGAGAGAGTTCTGTACTATATTTAAAGTGCTGAAAGAAAAAAAAAAACTTTAATCTTAGAATAGTATATACATCAAAATAACCTTCAAACATGAAGGAGAAATATAAACTTTTCCAGATAAACAAAAATTGAGGGATTTTATCAGTACCAGGTCTATCCTACAACAAATGCTAAAGGGAGTTCATCAAACTGAAAGAAAAGAATGTTAACAAGCAACAAGAAATAATCTAAGGTTAAAAAAAAAACTCACTGGTAATTCTAAATACACAGATAGACGGAAAATATTATAACATCGTAATTGTGGTATATAACCTCCTCATATCTTAAGTAGAAAGATTAAAACATGAACCTTTAAAAATAATAAAAACAACAACTCTTCAAGACATAGGCAGTAATAATAATATATATATATAAACAACAACAAAAAGTTAAAAAGCAAAGGGAGAAAGTAAAAGTGTAGAGTTTTTATTAGTGGTCTCTTTGCTTGTTCATTAGTTTTTTAAAATTTATGCAATCAGTGATAAGTTGTTATCACTTGAAAATAATGGGATAAGATGTTATTTGCAAGCCCCATGGTAACCTCAAATCAAAAAACCTACAACAGATATACAAAAAATTAAAAATAAGAAATTAAAACATACCGCTATAGAAAATCGCCTTCAAAAAGAAGACAAGAAGGAACAAAGAAATAACAAACTACGAAACAACCAAAAAAACAAATAACAAAATGGCAGGAACAAGTTCTTACTCATCAATAATAACATGGAATGTAAAAGGACTAAACTCTCCAATCGAAAGACATAGAGTGGCTGATTGGATTTTGAAATAAAGAGCCCGGTGATCTGTTGTTTATAAGAAACTCACTTTACCTATAAAGACAGATGTAGACTGAAAATAAAGGGATGAAAAAAAGATGTTCCATGTGAATAGACACCAAAAGAGATCAAGAATACATAACACCTATAGCAAACAAAATAGGTTTCAAGATAAAAAAGAGATAAAGATATTATATAATGATAAAGAGGTCAATTCAGCAGGAGGATATATTTACCCAACAGTGAAGCACCCAGATATATAAAGCAAATATTATTAGAGCTAAAGAGAGAGATAAACTTGAACGCAATAATAGCAGGAGGCTTCAAGACCCGATTTTCAGCACTGGAGAGATAATTCAGACAGAAAATTAACATAGAAAATTTGAACTTAATCCACACTATACGCCAAGTGAATATAATAGATATTTGCAGAACATGTCATCCAAAGGCTGCACAATAGGCATTCTTTTCCTCAGCACATGAATAATTCTCAAGGATAGACCATATTTTAGGCCACAAAACAATCTTAAAACATTCAAAACATTTTTGAAATAATAGCAAGTATCTTCTCCAACCACAATAAAATAAAATTAGACATTGACATCAAGAAGAACTTTGGAAGCTATACAAATAGATGGAAATTAAACAATATACTCTTAAATGACCAGTGAGACAATAAAGAAGTCAAAAAGGAAAATAAAGAATTTATTGTAATAAATAAAAATGAGAACACTATATACCAAAATCTATGCAATACAGAAAAGGCAGTAATAAGAGGAAAGTTTATAGTAATAAGAACCTATAACAAAAAAGTTGAAAAACTTCAAATAAACAATTTAATAATATATTTAAAAGAACTAGGAAAGCAACAGTAAACAAAACTCAAAATTAGTAGAAGAAATAATAAAAATTAGAGCAGATAAAAATAAAATTGAAATAAAAAATACAAAAGATCAATCTAATGAAAAGTTGTGTTTTTTAAAAAAAGATAAACAAAATTGAGAAATCTTTATTCACACTATGAAAAAACAAGAGAAGACCCAAATAAATAAAATTGGAGAGAAAACAGAAACATCAAACTGATAATGCAGAAATTCAAATGATCATTAGACAATACTGTGAACAGCTATATGCCGATAAGTTGTAAAATTTAGAAGAAATGAATGAATTCCTAGACACAGCCTATGAAGATTAAACCAAGAAGAAACCCAAAACATGAATTGACCAATAAAAAGTAATGAGAATGAAGCCATAATAAAGTCTCCCAGCAAAGAAAAGCCCAGGACCAGATGTCTTCACTGCTGAATTATACAAATATTTAAAACTAATACCAATCTTACTCAAACTATTTCAAAAAGTAGAGGAGGAAGGAATACTTCAAAACTAATTCTGAGGCCAGATTTACCTTCGCACAAAAAACAGTCAAAGATGCATCAAAAAAGAAAACTACAGGCCAATTAAACTGAATTTAACAACAAATTAAAAAGATAATTTAGCGTGACCAAGTGGGATTTCAAGGATGGTTCAACATACACAAATTAATCAATGTGATATACATTTTAACAGAATTAAGGACAAAAACCATATGATCATTTCAATTAATGCTGAAGATGTATTTGATAAAATTAAACATTTCTTCTTGATGTACAACATTAACAAAATGGGTACAGACAGAATATACCTCAACACAGTAAAAGCCATATACCACAGACCCATAGCTACTATCTTACAGAACAGGAAATATTTAAAGCCTTTCCTCTTAGATTTGGAATACCAGAAGGGTGCCCATTTTCACCACTGTTATTTAACATAGCACTGAAAGTTCTAGCTACAGGAGTCAGACAAGAGAAAGAGAAAAAGACATCCTAACTGGATTGGAAGAAGTCAAAATTATGCTTGTTTGCAGGCAATATAATTTTATATTTGGAAAAACTTAAAGATACTATTAAAACACTATTAGAACTGATAAACAAATTCAGTAAAGTTGCAGATTCAAAATCAACATACAAAAATCAGTAACACGTCTACATGACAACAGTATACAATCTGAAAAACAAATCAATAATGTAATCCCACTTACTATAGCTACAAATAAATACAATACCTAGAAACACACTGAATGAAAGAAGTGAAAAATCTCTACAATCAGAACTATAAAACATTGATGCAAAAATTGAGGAGGACACAAAAAAATGGAAAGATATCCTGTGTTCTTGAAGTAATGCAATTCCTATGAAAATACCAATGACATTATTCACAGAAATAGAAACATTTTTAAATTTATATGGAACCACAAAAGACCCAAAATAGCCAAAACTATCCTGAGCAGAAAGAACAAAACTGAAGGAATAACATTACCTTACTTCAAATTGTACTACAGAATTATAGTAACCAAAACGGCATGTTAATTGAATAAAAACAGTTATCTAGACCAATAGAACAGAATAGAGAACCCAGAAAAATATTCAGACACCTACAGCGAACTCATCCTTGACAACGATGTAACAAACATACACTGGGTAAAAGTCTATCCAATAAATGGTGCTGAGAAAACTGGATATTTATATGCAGAAGTCTGAAACTAGACCCATATCTCTCACCATATACAAACATCAAATCAAAATGGATGAAATACTTAAATTTAAGACTTCAAGCTAGAAAACTACTACAAGAAAACATTGGGGAAACTCTCCAGGACTTTAGTCTGGGCAAAGATTTCCTGAGCCCCAAATCACAGGCAACCAAAGCAAAAACAGAAAAAATGTGATCACATCAAGTTAAAACACTTTTGCAAGATAAATAATCAACAAAGTGAAGAGACAACCCACAGAATGGGAGGAAATACTTGCCAAGTATCCAACCAACAAGGGATTAATAACCAGAATATATAAAGCACTCAAACAACTTGATAGGAAAAAAAATTAATAATCTGACTTAAAATGGGTAGAAGATCTGAATAGACATTGCTCAAAAGAAGACATAGAAATGGCAAACACGTATATGTAAAGGTGCTCGGTGTCACCAATCATCAACTCCTCTTCCTTACCTTTCCCTAATTCCTGTTTTCCCACACATAGTTACATTTTTTTCCCTGCTATGTAACCCCCTAAATGTAGTTGGTTGAGGACGTGGTTATGGAATTGATCTCCTATCTCCTTGGCTGCAGCACCAAATTAAAGCCATCCTCCCTCACAATACTCCTTGTCTCAGTGATTGGTGTTGTGTGTGATGAGAAATGTCACATTGGCATTTTGGCAATATGTATAAATCAGAAGATTTAATATTTTTAATCAGTTCAGTCTTCTCAAATTGATCTACAGAGTTAATGCAATTCCAATTAAAAATTTAAGTCAAATCTTCATTAGAAATTGACCCATCTAAAATATATATGGAAGTAAAAGAGATTTAGTATAGCAAAAATGATTTAAAAAGAACAAAGTTATTGGAAAATGATACCTGATATAAAGATTTAAAGATTTCACTAGGCGGACTGTGAGCTTGGCAAGATTTCATTGATATCTGCTGGGCTGAAAACCCGAGGTTGCTCCTCTTCCCCTCAGGGATCTCTGTGGCATAGGAGGAGTGCCTCAGTCCTTCCCTAGAGGGTTGTCACAGTGGCTTGAGAAAGCCCCCTGGAATCCTAGTAAGATCAATGCTCATGTCCCTTTGGAGAGCCTGGTTGCAGGCTTGTCCCACCTTGCCCCATCCCGCCCAACTTTTCCCCGTCCAGCGGCCTGGTGTTGGAGCACTGAACAGTACACCTGAGAGGCCTGTGCAATGTCCTGCTCATTACCAGGGACACCTTGGTACTTCCCCTTTTCAACAAAGGCCAAGTGAAAGTTCCACTGCCATCAGCTCAAATTCCTTTCACCTGCAAGCACCATCTACAGGCCAGAAGATCAATCTACACAGTCCATCACAACTTTATCTGATATCATTGTACAATGCTCAATTGGCTCTTACCCACAAGCACCACCTACTCGCCTGTAGGGTGAATTATACAATCCAACATACTTTCTGCTGACAGAAATGCACAGCACTGTGAAAGTAGATATGTCTCCTGAGACTTTCACCACCCCATCCCTGTAGGAGACAGTGAGCCGGACCACACACACAACTCACTGATTTTACAACCTACAAAGAACAAGCATTTGAGACAGCTACTACATTAAGGCTATCTATAATCAAGGAATTCATAGTGTCCAGAACCCCTAAAGGCACATTGAAAAAAGGCAAATGACTCTATCCAACATACACAATAGTTGTGCTCTGAAGAATATGACAAACAAACAAAAGTAAATTCGAAAATTAAAAGCAACAGCTTCTACAGATGAGAAGAAATCGACACAAGCATTCCAGCCTCGTGAAGACAAAAAATGCTTTGACCCTTCCCAAGTGACTATACTAGTTCTCTAGCAATGGATCCCAAACAAAATGAAAATTCTGAAATGACAGATAAAGAATTCAAAATATGGATTTCACTAGAACTCAACAAGATTCAAGATAAAGTTTAATATCAAAACAAAAAAACAAAATTAATTCAGGATATGGAATATAAGATATCTACATTAAGAAAGCAAATAGAACTTTTGGAAATGAAAAATTCACTGAAGGAATTTCAAAATACAATGGGAAGTTTAAAGAATAGACTAGGCCAAGGAGAAGAAAGTATTTCAGAGTTTGAATTAACCCAGTGAGACACAATCAAAGAAAATAAAATTTTACAACACAAAGCATTCAATAAATATTGGTTCATATAAAACAACCAAACCTGCAACTTATTGGCATTTCTGAGAGAGAAGAAGAAGTAAGCAACTTGGAAAACACATGTGAGAGAAAAATTCAGGAAAGTTTATGTAATTTTGCTAAAGTCTACAACCAGATTCCAGAAATTCCAAGTACTCCTGCAAGATAGTATACAAGAAGACCATCCCCAAGGCATATAATCATTAGACTATTCAAGGTCAGTGCAAAAGACCAAATCTTAAGGTAGCTAGCAAAAAGGGCAAAATTACCTATAGGAAAACCCATCAGACTGTCAGCAGGCTTCTTAGCGGAAAGTTCTAGCTTGTAAAGACAAGCTAGAAGAAATTAGGGTCCTATTTTTATCCCCCTTAAAGAAAAAAAATTGTCAGCCAAGAATTTCATATTTTGCCAAACTCAGCTTCATAAATGAAGAAGAAATAAAATCTTTCCTAACCAAGAAAATGCTAAGGATATTCAGCGTCACCAGACCAATCCTACAAAAAATGCTCAAAGGACTTCTAAACACGGGAATGAAGAACAATGCTTGCTATCATAAAAGCACACAAAAGTACAAAGGTCACGGATCCTATAAAGCAACTACATAATTGAAACTGTAAAGCATCTCAGTAACAATGCTATGACAGAAATAAACCTCACATATAAATATTAACTTTGAATGTAAACAGCGTAAATATGCAATTAAAAAGTCATAGATTGGCAAATTGGATACAAAAACAGGAACCAACCTTCAGCTGCTTTCAAGCGACCCATTTCACATGGAGTGATACCACAGGTTCAAAATAAAGGGATGGAGAAAGATCTATCATGCAAATAAAAAAATAAAAACAATAAATTGCAGGGGTTGCTATTCTTAGATAAAACAGAATTTAAACCACCAATAGTTAAAAAAAAAAAGAATAAGAAATGTATTACACAATGACAAATGGTACTCTTCAATAAGAATATTTAATTATCCTAATTATATTTACACCAAATATCAAAGCACCCAGATTTATAAAGCAATACTACTAGATCTGTAAAAATAGACAGCCATATAATAATATTGAGGACTTCAACACCACCCTTACAGCATTAGACAGAAAACTGAGGTGAAAATCTAACAAAGAAATCATGGACTTAAACTGGACTCTTTACCAAACAGACTTAATAGATACATACAAAATATTCCATGAGAGAACCACAGAATATACATTTTCTCATCTGCACATGGAATATTCTCTACAATTGACGAACTGCTTTGTCAGAAAGCAAGTGTCAATAAATTTTTAAACCTGGAAATTATATCAAGCATCTTCTTGGAAAACAGTGAAATAAAATTAGAATCAATACTAAGAGGAATTCTCAAAACCATGGAAGTTTATGGAAATTAAACAGCTTGCTCCTTAATAACTTTTGGTTAAAAGAAAACAAAAGTAAGGCAGAAATCAAAAAATTTTTTAAACAAATGCAAATAAAAATGCAACATACCAAAATCTCTGGGATATAACAAAAGCAGTATTAAGAGGAAATTTTATAACACTAAATGCATACATCAAAAAATGGAAATATCTCAAATTAACAGCCTAATGCTCCACTTAAATGAACTAGAAAAACAAGGACAAATTAAACCCAAAGCTAGCAGAAGAATAGAAATAACTAAGATGAGAGTCAGACTAAATAAAATGGTTATAAAAAATACAGAAGATCAATGAAACAAAAAGTTGGTTCTTTGAAAGGACAAATAAAACTCATAGACTGCTAACTAGATTGATCAAGAAAAAAAGAGATAAGTTTCAAATAAGCACAATCAGAAATGAAAAAGGTGGCTTTACCATTGAAATCAAGAAATACAAAAGATACTCAGAGATTACTATGAACATCTCTATGCACACAAACTAGACAACCTAGAAAAAAATGGATCAATTATTGGAAACACACACAGCCTCTCAAGATTAAACCAGGAAGAAACGGAAATACTGAAAGACAAATAGTGAGTTACTAACAGTAATCCATGATAAAAACAAATCTACAAACCAAAAATTGTCCTGTACCAGCCGAATTCAAAGCCAAATTCTACCAGATGTACAAAGAAGAGCTGGTGTCAATGTTACTGAAACTCTTCAAAAATCAAAGAGAAGAGATACCTTTCTAACTCATTCTACAAAACCAGTATCATCCTGATACTAAAATCTGGCAAGGACACAACAAAAAAAGTAAACTACAGACCAATATCTCTGATGAACATAGATATAAAACTTCTCAACAAAATACTAGCAAACTGAGTCCAAGAGCACATAGTAAAGATAATTCATCCTGATCAAGTGGGTTTTATTTCAGGGATGCAATTGAACATATGCAAATAAATGAATGTGATTCACTGTATAAGCAAAATTAAACACAAATACCATATGTTTATCTCAATAGATGTGGAAAAAGCTTTCAATAATATCCAACATCCATTCATGATAGAAATCCTCAACAGACCATGTAGCAAAGGAACATACCTCAAAATGTTAACAACCATCTAGGACAAACCCATAGCCGACCTCATATGCAATGGGCAAAAGTAGAAAATGAGGTACCCTCTCACAACAATCAGAATGGTCATTATTAAAAAGTAAAAAACAAACAAACAGAAACAAAAGACATACATTTTGATGAAGATGCAGAGATAAGGGAATGCTTATACACTGTTGGTGGGAATGTAAATTACTACAACTTTTATAAGAAATAGTATGGGAATTGTTCAAAGAACTAAAAATAGAACTACCAATCGACTCAGCAATCCCACTACTGGATTTCTACCCAAATGAAACAAAATCTCAGCACTATTCAGAGTAACAAAGTCATGAAATCAACTGAAGTGTCCATTAATGGTAGACTGGTTAAAGACAATGTGGTGCATATACACCGTGGAATACAATACATCCATAAAAAAGAATGAGATCTTGTCCTTTCTGGCAACAGGGATGTAACTGGGGGCCTTTATCGTAAGTGAATTAATGCAGAAACAGAAAATCAAATACTGCATGCTGTCACTTATACTTGGAAGCTAAACAAAAGGTACACATGACCGTAAACATGTCAATAACAGACACTGGGGACCTCCAAATGAGGGAGAGTGAAATGGGGACAGGGGCTGAAAACCTGCCTACTGGATACTAGGTTCACTATTTGGGCGATGTGTTCAGTAGAAGCCAAAACCGCAGCATTACACAATATCCCCTTGTAACAAGCCTGAACATGGAGCCCCCGGATCTGTAACTACAAGAAATAAAATTTATTGCTTGTTACTTTTAAAAATAAAATAATTCACAATCATATTTCATATAATAACAATCATGTTACTGTAAAGGGACAGACAAATAGGTTATTGGAAAAAACTGAAGAACCAGAAAGAGCATATCGTAGATATCACTGATATTTTACAGATGTGACCAATGAAAAGAAATAATTTCATCAAATGATGCTGGAACAACTGCATATTTATAAGAAAAATATTAATGTTTACCAATGTTTCCTACTATACACAAAAAAACTAGTCGAGGAAGGATGATACACGTAAATATCAAAGCTTTAAATGTAAAGCCTTTAGGTAAAGCGTAGGAGTATACCATCATGACCCTAGAGTGTGCAGTGATAGCTTAAATAAGACACAAATAATGTTAATGAAATAAGAGAAAAAAAGATAAATTTTACTTTATCAACAGTAAGTGCATCCTCTTATCAAAAAACATGTTAAGAAACCAGAAAAACAAACCACAGGCTGGGGAAAATACATTCAATGCATTTATATAATAAAATATTTATATCTAAGTTATCTGAAGAATCTCTGCTAATTTATATATAATAGATATAAAACTAGTAAATGCATGACTTGGAAAACAGTTCAATATTTAAAATGAGCAAAGTTTGAACACACATTTTATAATAGAAGAAATGTGAATGACTATTATTCCCATGAAAAGTGCTTGATATCATTAAGCATCAGGGAAATTCATATCAAAATCATAAAGAAACCCAATTTCACACTCACTAGGATGGTTATAACTTAAAAGACTGACAGTAGGAAGTGTTTGTGAGACTGTGGAGCAAGGAAAACTGGTATGCATTTCTGGGTCAAAAACTTTTGCAACCACTTTTGAAATTACATATAAAGTTAAACATGCTTCTACAAAATGGCATGGCAATTGCATTCTTGTGTATACACCTAAGGTCATTGAAAGCATAGATCCACCAAAAGATTAGAATAAGGATATACAGAGTTGTTTTCTTCTCATAATATTAGCCAAAAACAAAAATAACCCAAATGTCCTTCAACTGATGAATGCATAAACGTACTGTGATACAACCATACAATAGAAAAATACTGAACAGTGGAAAAAACTTACTAATATACACTACTCAGATGAACTTCAAAACTATAATATTGATATAGACAGTTTATAATGTATGATTCCATTTATATGAAATTCTACAACAGGCAGAACTAATTTACAGAGATGAAAAGCAAAGCATTTGTTGCCTGAAGTGAGGAGGATAAACTGGCAAGAGGCATGGGGGAGCTTTCTAGTATGATGGAAGTGCTCCGTACCTAAATTGGGATGGTGGTACAACAGTGTAAACATATGCCCAAATGTGCCAGACTGTGCACTGTAGAAAAATTAAACGAAAAGTAACAACCTACTTGAGATCAATTCTGAACTACAAATATGTTTACATATAATTATCAGGATAATTTAAAATCAAATTATTGAAAATGATAAAACTCCTCTGCAGCTTGCAGGACACAAGATCACTATAAAAATCAGCAGTGTTCTAACAATAGTCATTTAAAAATTAACATGACATAAATAGTTACATTTCAAGCAGTGTTCATTAAGATAGGGTCACACTGATATTTAGAAAATAATAGCCCCAAAGTAGATCTTCCCATACAGAACACATTGTATGTATCAGAAGAGGCATTTGGAAATCATGGTGAAAGCAGAAAGAATGGACTACTCAAATAAACAATGTTGGACTATTTTGGTATTCACAAGGGGACGTTTAAAATAGGTTTTCACCTTCTACTCTGCACAAAAGTAAAACACATGTTGATGAAAGAACTAAATATGAGGACATGCATTTTTTAAAAATAGAAGAAAAAATTAGGAGTATACTTTTATGACCCAAAGGCTGATGCCATAAGCACTACACATGTGTTAACTTGAGTTGAAATTAACTTTGACCAAGAATCCCATTCCCTTTGTAAAAGCTGCCGCTGAGGAGGTGTCAATTGACTCTACAGAAATTGGGAAATTCTGAATGCCCCCTGGACTTCATAGAAACTTAGACTGAAGTAAAATACGACTGAAGACATTCTAAGGATGGATAGGATTGAGACAAATCCAATTACAGGATGCAGGGTGGCACCACATAACACGGAATTATGTGTTAGCACTTATTATTACAGATATTTGAATATGAGAACTCTCCAAGAAAAGAAAGAGTGGGGATTTGTGGAATCATATTTTCTACTGTTTGCTTTATTTTCTTTCTTCGGGTAAGGTGGTATCATTCAATATTTCTGCTTACCAACTTAACATGAAAGAGAAGGATAGTTTTATGGTTGGGGGCATAGCTTGGTAGCCAATGTGCCTTACTAAACTTTATTACCATGAGAAACACTGGTGAACAGCTAAAATTATCCATATGCCAACAGATAAAAACCAGGCAATTCCATACCCAATCCCGTATTTCCATTTGAACTTGACAAACTGCAAGTTTTAACATCACTTCAACCAATTTACACACAAACCCTGTACTACAAAGGAAGAGTGGGTTTCCCTCTGGCAGGCTCTTCTCAGTTCAAGACAGTACCTACTACTCATTTAAATTTTTTTTTTCCTGGCTCTTTAAGACATCGAGTCTGGGATACCAAGCAAGCTCCTTTCCTCTGACCTGTTTCTCCTGGCCCAAAGAAAAGTGATGGACGTGCATTGCTTGCTCTTGAGAGGCAGTATACATGTAGAGCAGGGAAAAAGGCCCACCTCTGGAACAAGACTCCATAAAATGAAACCAGACTCTACTTACTAGTTGTGTGAAACATGGTAAATGCCTCAGCCACTCTGTGCCTTAGTTCACTCATCCTGTTTTCATGGAATTAGTGGGATTAAAATAACCAGTACATGAATAGTAATAAGAACAGTACCTGACATAGAATATATGTTCCTTAACTATTACTTCTCTGTTAAAAAAAAAAAAAGCCCATTTACTTTGCTTTATCGGAGAGTGTTGGATGTTTTGCATTTGGTTTGTTTTTACACCTGTATTAATACCCATTGTTGCAATACCTTCACATGTTTTCCCTGACATATTGAGGCTATTTCTATAATTTTGATATTAAATTCATTAATTCATTGATTTAGAGTTCATTTGATAATAATCTGTGCACAGATAGCCTCCCTCACAACACTCTGGTATCCCTAAGGGTGCAAATTATTTCATTTCCATGCCTGTAGTGACCAGCACAGTGATTGACATGTTCACTGTTTGACAAATGAAGGGATGGGTTTCAGGGGAAGAGGCCAAGGGACTCAAAGCACTTTAGAGCCTGGAAATGCCTTACATTAGTGTTGTGAAAACCAAAAAGGTGGTCAGACATTTCGAAATGCCCCCTACAACTTTCCTAAGGCTCCCAGGTTGAAAAACAACTACCTTAGGTGGAACTCTTTCAGTCCAGGTGATATGGTTTGAATTTGTGTCCCCACCCAAATCTCATGTCAGAGTGTAATCCCCAGTGTTGGAGGAGGGACCCGATGGGAGGTGACTGGATCATGGGGTTGGAGTTCCCCTTTGCTGTTTCCCTGATAGTGAGTGAGTTCTCATGAAATTTGGTTGTTTAAAAGTGTGCAGCACATCCGCTTTGCTCTCTTCTTCCTGCTTGAGCCATGTGAGACGTACCATATAGGATGAGCAGTCAACAGGATTATTGCCTTCCCTAATGAACTATAATAATTGGATAAAAGGCATCCACATATCCCTTCCAAAAACAAAGCATTCCTTTTATGAAAGGTGCAAATATAAAATGTGTTACTCAAATATGTAAATAAGACTCTGGAAAATATAAAATATTGAAGATGATCTTTAAAAACACTGTAAAAGTGGTTACCTGGTTATAAAAAGGTTGGAACAAAATGTAACAAAAATAAAAATAGAATAATCTGTGGTGTGTTTGTAATTTGTAAAATAATCAAAAGAGATCAGCTTAACTGACCACTTTATTTAATTACCTAAAATATATTAGACGTCAAGTATCACAGACAAGTGGAATCATATATTATAGATTTTTAGAATTTAAATTATGTGTTACTTTTATTCAGCACTTGGTGATGTTCACTGTGTGTGTCTGTCTATATACTACCCTTTGTCCCCACAACGAACAACAATCAGGCTAAGTCATAAGTGAGACAATGTTTATTTCATTCTCTAAAAGATCAAGAAGGACAAAAGAACTTTATTACTTTTAAATTACAGTCATGCAGAAGATCCAGCCTTAAGACATGCTTTCTGCAGTAGAAGGAGGAAGGAAGGGGAGGAGGGAGGAAAAAAGGGATGGAAGGAGCTAGAGAGGAATATATATTCATTGGAAAAGAGAAAACAAAATTTTCTATATTCATAATTGATTTTATTTTCATATTAGAAACCACAAAATTGTCTGTAGGTAAATTTGTAGAAATAATAGAGAGTTGAGCAAGTTAAGAGGTTATGAATTTTATTATTCAAATTTTTATTTTTATTTATTTTTGTCTTTTTGATCTAATAAACTTAAATATATTTTATATTGAAAAGTGATATTTATCCAATTATAAAGTTGCATTTAGAATTTGATATTTCTCTTTCTCCTCATAGTTCTTCAGTTGTTAGTTGACATATAATAAGGTTATAAAGTTAGGCAAAGTCCATATTTCTGACTATATCTTGTTGATGCCCTTTTAGATTTTGAAGTATATAACATTATTCTTTCCACCTTATGTTGTCACATATTAAACTTGTTACCATTCATTTCATTTGCTTCACAATTGTCTGCCTTTTTTTATTTTTTTCATTTGTCCTCCATATTTCAAATTCCATGTGTGTTTGTGCCTGTGTGCGTTTTGTGAACAACTATTGCTATATCATTTTCCTTTTCACTCCCAACTTTTTTTTGTTTGTCTTTCTCTGCTTTCCCATACGTAGAGAAAACCCTCTTTTGCTGGTTAACATTATAATTCTATTTTGCACTCTTTTTGTGATTCCTACTATTCTACTAACTAAACCCTACTCATATCCTGTACAGGTCTCTTCTCACACTGCTATAAAGAACTACCTGACACTGGGTAATTCATGAAGAAAAGAGGTTTAATTGACTCACGGCTCTGCAGGCTGTACGGGAAGTATCGCGGGGAGCCTCGGTAAACTTGCAATCATGGCAGAAAGCAAAGGGAAAGCAAGCAGGTCTTACCATGTCAGAGCAATAGAGAGAACAAAGGAGGAATTACTACACATTTTCAAGCAACCAGATCTCATGAGAACTCACTAGAACAGCAAGGGAGAAATCTACCCCCATGATCCAATCAACTCCCACCAGCTTCCTCCCCAACATTAGGGATTACAATTCAACATGAGATTTGGGTGGGGACACAGAGTCAAACCATATTATATCAATTTTCTCTATCAAACTCTAAATGGAGCAATGATTTTATCTTCTTAAGAGGACAAGTGTCTTATTCTTTGACCACTTTCTTAATCCATATCTTGTTGATATAATCTGGAATTTTAGTTTAGGACTGTCATAAACATTTTTTTTCTTATTTTGCTATTTTGCAAACTTACAAAGTTCTTTGTTCACCTTTATTTACCATTTACTTATTTTGACACTCCTGATTTTTTTTCCTATGGAATGGAGTTATTGCTTCAGGCAATTTTCAGGATATAAATGTATGCTTTGAGTTGCTGAGGCCCTATAACATGGCATATTTTTGCACTCTCAAAAATATTATTGAAGTGTTATTTTTTAAGAAGTGAAAAGTAGCAAATTTTAGTTTTCTATTTAGTTAAGGAACTTTTTAATTTTTTTTTAATTTTACTTTAAGTAAAATAAGAACTTTAGTTAAGTTCTGGGATACATGTGTAGAACATGAAGATTTGTTATGTAGGTATACGTTTGCCATGGTGGTTTGCTGCACCTATCAACCCATCAGGCATTAAGTATTTGTCCTAATGGTCTCCCTCTCCTTGCCCACCACCCTCCAACAGACCCCAGTATGTGATGTTCTCCTCCCTGTGTCCATGGGTTCTCATTGTTCAGCTCCTACTTATGAGTGAGAACATGCGGTGTTTGGTTTTCTGTTCCTGTGTTAGTTTGCTGAGAATGATGGTTTCCATCTTCATCTGTGTCCCTGCAAAGGATGTGAACTCATCCTTTTTTATGGCTGCCTGGCATTCCATGGTGTATATGTGACACATTTTCTTTATCCAGTCTATCATTGATGGGTATTTGGGTTGGTTCCAAGTATTTGCTATTATAAATAGTGCTGCAATAAACATACGTGTGCATGTATCTTTACAGTAGAATGATTTATAATCCTTTGGGTATATACCCAGTAATGGAATTACTGGGTTAAGAGATTCCATCTCATGCCAGTTAGAATGTTGATTATTAAAAAATCAGGAAACAACAGATGCTGGCGAGGCTGTAGAGAAATAGGAACACTTTTACTTTGTTGGTGGGATTGTAAATTAGTTCGACCATTGTGGAAGATGGTTAAGGAACTTTAAAAAATATCATCTTAACTATGTTTAAGTGAACAGTAAAGTAGTGCCAACTATGTTCATATTTTGCCTCAGATATTGGGGAAAATTATGCCATTTTTATTCTTATCATGGTATAGACTTTTGTGGTTTGACTTTTCTCTTTTTCGTGGCTATTTTAAAATTTTACTAATGTAATGTTTCCCCTTGTCAAATGTATCTTTTAGCATTCTATGTGTTGTAGGATTTTTGGTCTTTTCATCTTTTTTAATAGTCATTTCCATTGTTAGAAAATTCCCGCAGTTTATTTATTTCTCTATATTTTGGTGATTTCTATTACAACAATATCAACACATCTACTCTTATGACTTAAGCTTTTGGAAAGTTTTCATCCGTTTTAGTCTTCCTGATGCTTGCTGGCTGAATTCTTTGGCTTTTCTCTCCAGTTATTAATTCAAATATTTTTTCACAGAACAGGATGTATACCATTTGATAATATTTCTTATTGTGCTATTTAAAGTTTTGACTTTTTTTAATTAATCAACATTTCCTTTAAAATGGACATTTTTATGTTTTTTACTGAGAAGCATAGAGAAGAGGGCATTTTACTTATACATTTTAATTGGTCCATTATTTTAAATTTTTATTTGGTCTGTTTTTGTGAGGACAAATATATGGATTTGTTTTTAAATTAACTTCACAATCTTTGTCTTTTGACCAAATATTTCTGTTCCTTTACATTCATTTTTATAACTTTCTATATGCTTTATGCCTCCATTACTTTAATTTTATAATATTTTACATTAGGGTGTTGATTTATGTGTCCTGTTTTCTTTTGCTTACTTTTCCTGGGTTGTTAATGACTTTATTTCTTCGCCTCACCTAGATTCTGGTCTAGAAGTTTGGCAACTCAACTGTTCGGCTTGTGTTCACCATCTTCTCTGTAACTGTAACATACAGCTTGATATTTTGCTGGTAATAAATCTACAATATATAATAGGTGAACTTCTTATCAAACAACTGCCTACATTTTTATGCATACTTATGATAATCTGAAAACCTATATTCCATATCTTTTTTCCTGCAAAGCTTATTTTTTCCCAGATATAGTAAAACTATTATTAAATTTTCCCTTTGCACATATATTCTTAGATTCATTAAAAATACTAATGTATTATAAATTTCCAATTATATTATCTATCATGTTTAGATACTGTATATATTGTGAGAATAATTCTGTTTTGTATACTCTTAGTTTTCTTACTTTGAGCTCACTCTTCTGGTTGATTGAGTTTTCATCCTGTTAGAATAGGTGAGCAAGAATTTTTGCCATATAGGATATAAACTTTATGTATTTTGTCTTCTATTAATTGGGAGTGTGATTCTAGTGTGATGGTTTTTCTTTTCATTTTTTAAGGAAAACCTGTTAAATATTTTCTTTGTGCTAATAATTTGACTAAAAAAATCCTTCGGGCTGTTCACTGTGGCTCATTTCTGTAATGCCAGCACTTTGGGAGGCTGAAGAGGGAGGATCACTTGAGCTCAGGGGTTTCAAGACCAGTCTGAGCAACAAGGAAGAACCTATCTCTATAAAAAATTTTAAAAATATTTTCGCTGGGAGCGATGGTGCATGCTTGTGGTCCCAGGTACCCGGTAGGCTGGGGTGGGAGGATCAGCTGGGCCCAGGGAGTTGATGGTGCAGTGAGCCATGATTGCACCACTGCACTCCAGCCTGGCTGACAGAGTAAGACCCTGACTTAAAAAAAAATAACATTTTTTTTCTTTGTACGTATTACCATCTAAAAACGCAAACATTTTTGTTTTTTTCCAAATCTGCTATGACTTTTTTCTGATTTAATGCACAACCTAGAATCTCTTGTCCAATATCGAATAAAAGTGGTGAAAATTAGCCTTTTGTTTTTTATTCCCAATTAAACAGAAAAAATTTCAACATTTCTCCTATAATAATACATGCTCTAGATAAAAGGTAAATGCCAAAAGATAAATTTTCAGATAGAAAAGCTCCTTCCATCTCAAGTTCGCTGTTTTTTAAGTGAATGTATATTAAGTTTTATCAATAATATGTGCAAGTGTTAAGAATATTATTTGAATTTACCTCTATTATATAATATACAGCACATTACATTAATGATATTGAATGAAAGAATATTTTGTTTTAAACTTATCTTGAGCACATTAAATTATTATTTCTTACTGTTGGATTCATTTTCTTAATATTATCTTTAAGACGTTTTTGTTTTATGTGTAGATGAGTGAGATATGTTTGTAATTTGACTCTGTTAAACTATCCTGCTCAACAGATTTTGATATTTCATACAAATGAGTTGAGATGTATTATTGTTTGCTTAAATATTTGGTAACAACGCAGTGCTAATGTCTTCCGGAAACGGAAATGTAAAGAAATTTTTGAGTAACGTTTTTTAGTAAAAATAACACTCTTCATATTTTCTCTTTCATTTTACAGAAATTTGGTACAGATATTTAAATATAGTTCAATTACGTTATTCATAATATTCTCTCATGATTTTTTTAATGTCTATTAAAAATGTTTTGTGCCATTTTACTCCTGATTCCTCACAGGTTATTTTTCATCCACTTGTTTTGTTACTTACTGAAAGTGGTTTGTTCAAAACCTCTGACTATATTGTGAAAGACGTTGCCCCACGTGGGTGCCCTGAGCACTTTGGGAGGCAGAGGCAGGTGGATCACGAGGTCAGGAGTTCGAGACCAGCCTGGCCAATGTGGTGAAACCCCGTCTCTACTAAAAATACAAAAATTAGCCAGGCGTGGTGGCGGATGCCTGTAGTCCCAGCTACTCGGGAGTGAGGCAGGAGAATGGCGTGAACTCGGGAGGTGGTGCTTGCAGTGAGCGGGGATCGCGCCAATGTACTCCAGCCTGGGCGATAGAGCGAGACTCCGTCTCAAAAAAATAAAAAAATAAAAAATAAATAAATAAATAAATAAATAAATAAATAAATAAAGGAAAATAATTTGAATAGACATTAGACATTTCTCCAGAGAAGATATACCAATAGCCAATAAACCCGTGAAAAGATGTTCAACAACAGTCATCATCAGGAAAATACAAATCAAAATTTCAGTGAGATAACACTCTACACCCACAAGAATGGCTGTTACAAAAAGAGAAAGAGAAGAAAAAGTGTTTTGGTAAGAATGTGGAGAAACTGTAACGTACCCATTGAAGGTGGGAATGTAAAATGGCGCAACTGCTGTGGAAAACAGTTTATCACTTCCTCAAAACGTTATACATGGAACTACCTTATGACCCAGCAGTGTCACTCCTAGGTCCATGTCTAAAGTAACTGAAAGCGGAGGCCTGAAGAGATAATGTTATGCCAATATTAATAGTAGAATTATTCACAATAATCAAAAGGTAGAAAGCAATCCAAATGTCCATTAACAAATGGGTAAATAAACTGTGACGTACACAGACAATTGGATATTATTAACAGCCATAAAAAGAAATAAAATTATCAGCCATAAAAAGAAATAAAAATAAATAAAATTTTGATATGTTACAACATGGATAAATCTTAAACACATTATGCTAAGTGAAATAAGCCAGACATGTAAAGTCAAATAGCATATTGATTCCACTTATGTGAGGTACCTAGAATAGGCAAGTTTGCAGAGACCAAAAGTAGAATAGAGGTTATCAGGGCATGAGGGAAGTTGAAAATGGGAAGGTATTGTTTAATAGGTCAGATTTTATTTTGGGGGCAATGGCAAGTTTTGGGTAGAGGTAATGGTGATGATTACACAACACTGTGAATGTTTCAATGGCACTGAGTTGTGTACGCTTACAAACGGTTAAAATTATACATATCTTGTTATATACATTTTAACACCATAACAGAAACTATATTATAAGCAAAACTTATTTTAAAAAGACAACTGACAAATTGAAATAAAGTATTTTAATTTATATAAAAGGCAATAGCTAACATCAAAAACATATTTAAAAATTATCATATATCAATAATAAATAATTTAAAAATGTAAATAAGTAAAAAATATATAATTAATTTTAAAATAAAATATCACTAACCAGTAAGTGAATAAAAATATGCCCAACTTCATTAGCAATTGCAGCAATAAGAATCAAAACAATGGCCAGATTAAAGAAAAAATAAAAGAATAATTCAACTATTTGTACATGTAAGAATAATATATTTATATATAGTTCATGATAGTATACATTGAAATAACACTTTTGCAAGCAATTTGGCAGTTTCTAAAACAACAACAACAAAAGCAAATTTACACATATTCATCCAGCAATTCTAGGTAACTATTTACAAAAATAAATTTGTATAAGAAGATGTTTATTGTAACTTTTTTTTTTTGACGTGGAGTTCCATTCTGTCTCCCAAGCTGGAGAGCAATGGCACAATCTTGGCTCACTGAAACCTCCATCTCCCAGGTTCAAGCAATTCTCCTGCCTCAGCCTCCCAAATAGCTGAGATTACAGGTGCCCGCCACCATGCCCAGCTAATTTTGTATTTTTAGTAGAGATGGGGTTTCACCATGTTGGCCTCGAACTCCTGACATCAGGTGATCCACCTGTCTTGACCTCCCAAAGTGCTGGAATTACAATTGTGAGCCACCACTTCCGGCCCATTGTAGAATTCTTAAGAAGAGCAGAAACACTGACTATAATCTGTAGTTCCATCAGCAGAAAAAAAAAAAAAACATAGAACAAACTATGAAAGACTCTGAAATTAACATAAAAGGAATAGGGAGTCTATTTTTCATACTGTCTAGGTTATGTCTGCCTGTAAGACTCTGAAAAATTTTGTAAATAGTAGAAAACTGGAAGTACTAGATATGATTCATTTACTTAGACATGCAAATCATTTGAGACCACTGGAGCTGTCCATATTGGCCAACTTTTGTAGGTATCTATACATTTATTTTGAAGTATTTAATTGTGCATGTACATGTTTGTGTATGTGTTGTGTGTATGTATATATATTGAATTATTTGAATCAGTTGTAACATCTCTGTATTTTTATTACTTGATGACCTAAATTAAATTTCTGACAAGTTACTTTATATTTCTGTGATAATCTTTATATTATCCTTTAAAGTTTTTTATTTAACACCATAATTAGGAAAATATTAAAATATATTATTTTTCCATCTATATTAGTGAATACCACAGGAGTTAACAGAAATAAGTCTGAGCCATATGTTCTATTATGGGAGGTTCTTTGAGAAATACCATTAATTTAATAACTTGCAACAATAAGTACAATTCTATCTTAAATTTTGCATATGTAGAAAAATACACACTTATTCTGTAAACTGTTAACTCAGGCTAGTATATGATTTTTCATCCAAGCGGGCATATTTCTGTGAATCTAAAATATCTCCATTAATTTACACCAGATTAGCAGGTTTAAAGTTGGCATACATGATCATTTAATTCCTAAGAATTGTTACTTCTGGGAAAGAACACGGAATTTATTTTTTTGTTATCCTAATATTTTCTCTTAACAATAAAAAATATAGTTAATAACTCTACAGAATAAAGTAGAAGGAAATACAAGCAATACAAAAACATTTTTAATTGGTTGAGCTAAAAATATACTGTGAAATACAACTTTGATTACATTGTGGTTAATAGGTCAAATATTTAACAATGAGGATTGATTAAACAAATTATGGAACAAGTGTGAGATAACCCGTTTCATGGCTTTTAAAATTGCATTTTCAAAAATGCATATTTACAGGTATTAGGGAAACAGGAGCCTAGGAGAGCAGGGTGACACCACTGTGAAATCAACTCCATCTTAAAACCAGCAAGGCACATTCCTTCCCAGTCACAACCCATGGTCCTAAGATGTTTACAGCTAAGGAAGCAGGTTGGTAATCCCTGCAAAGACACACTCCTACAACAACAGAAAGTCTAGATAGCCCAATACCCTTAATAATATATGCTTTCAAAATAATTATGTTTATGCTTTGATATACTCACATATGAAACTGTCAAGCATAATTTTCTTTAAATAAATAGAATAATGCTATTATTCTCAGCAAACTAACACAGGAACAGAAAACCAAGCACCGCATGTTCTCACTCATAAGTGGAAGTTGAACAATGAGAACACATGAACACAAGGAGGGGATCATCACACACTGGGGCCTATTGGGGGATGGGGGGCAAGGGGAGGGAGAGCATTAGGACAAATACCTAATGCATGCAGGTCTTAAAACCTAGATGGCAGGTTGATTGGTGTTGCAAACAAACCACCATGGAACATGTATACCTACATAATAAACCTGCAAGTTCTGCACATGTATCCCAGACATTAAAGTTTAAAAAAAGGGGGGATATGTCCAAAAAAGTTTAAATATACATATATATATATATATAAATGAAATAAACAAATAAATAGAATAATACATTTTGCCATGCTATTTGCTCACCCTCACGTAGTCACAGCTTGGTTTAATCTTTATATAGATGAGACTGCTCTGTAAGAAAAAAACAAAGACAGTGCATTCATCTGCATGCTACCTGAAGATACCCTACTCTGTAATGAAATAGCTTTCAATAAACTGTCTCTTCTCAGTGCACTCTGTGACTCACCTTGAATTCTTTCCTGTGCAAGATCCAAGAACCCTCTCTGGGAATCTGGATCGAGATCCCTTTTTCCAATAACATAGGGAAGATACTCATTCTATAATATAAAGTTTTTTAAAAGGCAATGTATAAACAGTATAGAAACAGTGTCATTCTAAATAAAAACGTGGAAGAAAATAACATAACTATGTCTAAAAGAACAATATGTTGTATGCATTATCCTCTTTACATTTACCAACATTTTGGCAGTGTTCATTTATCTCTGTTTCAATAAGAAAACACACACACACACACACATGAAACACCACATTTTTACTTGATGCTAAGGCTATGGCAGCTGTCTTGTTTATAATCCAGAAGTTTCTATGTCTAAACCATTGGCCAAATAAAATAATTCACCAACTTCAATAATCCAGACAAATACACTAAAGAGGAGAGGTAGGAACAGCAATTTAAACATTTATTGCATACTCTGGGCCAAGAACAAGGTGTTTACATATCTGACAAGGCTTTTAAACCTGTGACAAGATGTTTACATGTATCTTTCAAAGGATACTGAAAATTCTTTAGTGAAAGAGAACTGAGCTTTGAAGAGAGTAGTGGAGTTTGAGATCTGAGAACGGACAGACTACCTCCTCAAGTGGGTCCCTGACCCCGAGTAGCCTAACTGGGAGGTACCCCTCAGTAGGGGCAGACTGACACCTCATGCGGCCGGGTAACCCTCTGAGACGAAACTTCCAGAGAAATGATGAGACAGCAACATTGCTGTTCAGCAATATTCACTGTTCTGCAGCCTCCGCTGCTGATACCCAGGCAAACAGGGTCTGGAGTGAACCTCCGGCAAACAGGGTCTGGAGTGAACCTCCAGCAAACTCCAACAGACCTGCAGCTGAGGGTACTGACTGTTAGAAGGAAAACTAACAAACAAAAAGGACATCCACACCAAAACCCCATCTATACATCACCATTATCAAAGACCAAAGGTAGATAAAACCACAAAGATGGGGAAAAAACAGAGCAGAAAAACTGAAAATTCAAAAAATCAGAGCGCCTCTCCTCCTCCAAAAGAACGCAGCTCCTCACCAGCAACGGAACAAAGCTGGATGGAGAATGACTCTGACGAGTTGAGAGAAGAAGGCTTCAGATGATCAAACTTCTCTGAGCTAAAGGAGGAAGTTCGAAACCATCGCAAAGAAGTTTAAAAACCTTGAAAAAAGATTAGACGAATGGCTAACTAGAATAACCAATGTAGAGAAGTCCTTAAATGACCTGATGGAGCTGAAAACCATGGCACGAGAACTACGTGACGAATGCATAAGCGTCAGTAGCAGATTCAATCAGCTGGAATAAAGGGTATCAGTGATTGAAGATCAAATGAATGAAATGAAGCAAGAAGAGAAGTTTAGAGAAAAAATAATAAAAAGAAATTACAAAGCCTCCAAGAAATATGGGACTATGTGAAAAGACTAAATCTACGTCTGATTGCTGTACCTGAAAGCAACGGGGAGAATGGAATCAAGTTGGAAAACACTCTGCAGGATATTATCCAGGAGAACTTCCCCAACCTAGCAAGGCAGGCCAACATTCAAATTCAGGAAATACAGAGAACATCACAAAGACACTCTTCGAGAAGAGCAACTCCAAGACACATAACTGTCAGATTCACCAAAATTGAAATGAAGGAAAAAGTATTAAGGGCAGCCAGAGAGAAAGGTGGGGTTACCCACAAAGGGAAGTCCATCAGACTATCAGCTGATCTCTCGGCAGAAACTCTACAAGCCAGAAGAGAGTGGGGGCCAATATTCAACATTCTTAAAGAAAAGAATTTTCAATCCAGAATTTCATATCCAGCCAAACTAAGCTTCATAAGTGAAGGAGAAATAAAATACTTTACAGACAAGCAAATGCTGAGAGATTTTGTCACCACCAGGCCTGCCCTAAAAGAGCTCCTGAAGGAAGCACTAAACATGGAAAGGAACAACCGGTACCAGCCACTGTAAAAACATGCCAAATTGTAAAGACCATCAAGGCTAGGAAGAAACTGCATCAACTAACGAGCAAAATAACCAGCTAACATCATAATGACAGGATCAAATTCACACATAGCAATATTAACCTTAAATGTAAATGGGCTAAATGCTCCAATTAAAAGACACAGACTGGCAAATTGGATAAAGAGTCAAGACCCATCAGTGTGCTGTAATCAGGAAACCCATCTCATGTGCAGAGACACACATAGGCTCAAAATAAAGGGATGGAGGAAGATCTACCAAGCAAACGGAAAACAAAAAAAGGCAGTGGTCGCAATCCTAGTCTCTGATAAAACAGGCTTTAAACCAACAAAGATCAAAAGAGACAAAGAAGGCCATTACATAATGGTAAAGGGAACAATTCAACAAGAAGAGTTAAATATCCTAAATATATATGCACCCAATACAGGAGCACCCAGATGCATAAAGCAAGTCCTTAGAGACCCACAAAGAGACTTAGACTCCCACACAATAATAATGGCAGACTTTAACACCCCACTGTCAACATTAGACAGATCAATGAGACAGAAAGTTAAAAAGGATACCCAGGAATTGAAGTCAGCTCTGCACCAAGCGGACCTAACAGACATCTACAGAACTCTCCACCCCAAATCAACAGAATATACATTCTTCTCAGCACCACACCTCACTTATTCCAAAATTGACCGCATAGTTGGAAGTAAAGCACTCCTCAGCAAATGCAAAAGAGCAGAAATTATAACAAACTGTCTCTCAGACCACAGTGCAATCAAACTAGAACTCAGGATTAAGAAACTCACTCAAAACTGCTCAACTACATGGAAATAGAACAACCTGCTCCTGAATGACTACTGGGTACATAACGAAATGAAGGCAGAAATAAAGATGTTCTTTGAAACCGACGAGAACAAAGACACAACATACCAGAATCTCTGGGACACATTCAAAACAGTGTGTAGAGGGAAATTTATAGCACTAAATGCCCACAAGAGAAAGCAGGAAAGATCTAAAATTGACACCCCAACATCACAATTAAAAGAACTAGAGAAGCAAGAGCAAACACATTCAAAAGCTAGCAGAAGGCAAGAAAGAACTAAGATCAGAGCAGAACTGAAGGAGATAAAGTCACAAAAAACCCTTCAAAAAAATCATTGAATCCAGGAGCTGGTTTTTTGAAAAGATCAACAAAATTGATAGACCACTAGCAAGACTAATAAAGAAGAAAAGAGAGAAGAATCAAATAGACGCAATAAAAAATGATAAAGGGGATATCACCACCAATCCCACAGAAATACAAACTACCATCAGGGAATACTATAAACACCTCTATGCAAATAAAGTAGAAAATCTAGAAGAAATAGATAAATTCCTGGACACATTAACCCTCCCAAGACTAAACCAGGAAGAAGTTGAATCTCAGAATAGACCAATAACAGGCTCTGAAATTGAGGCAATAATTAATAGCTTACCAACCAAAAAAAGTCCAGGCCCAGATGGATTCACAGCCGAATTCTACCAGAGGTACAAGGAGGAACTGGTACCATTCCTTCTGAAGCTATTCCAATCAATAGAAAAAGAGGGAATCCTCCCTAACTCATTTTATGAGGCCAGCATCATCCTGATAACAAAGCCTGGCAGAGACACAACAAAAAAGAGAATTTTAGACCAATATTCCTGATGAACATCGATGCAAAAATCCTCAATAAAATACTGGCAAACCGAATCCAGCAGCACATCAAAAAGCTTATCCACCATGATCAAGTGGGCTTCATCCCTGCTATGCAAGGCTAGTTCAACATATGCAAATCAATAAATGTAATCCAGCATATAAACAGAACCAAAGACAAAAACCACATGATTATCTCAATAGATGCAGAAAAGGCCTTTGACAAAATTCAACAACCCTTCATGCTAAAAACTCTCGATAAATTAGGTATTGATGGGACATATCTCAAAATAATAAGAGCTATTTATGAGAAACCCACAGCCAATATCATATTGAATAGGCAAAAACTGGAAGCATTCCCTTTGAAAACTGGCAGAAGACAGGGATGTCCTCTCTCACCACTCCAATTCAACGTAGTGTTGAAAGTTCTTGCCAAGGCAATCAGGCAGGAGAAAGAAATAAAGGGTATTCAATTAGGAGAAGAGGAAATCAAATTGTCCCTGTTTGCAGATGACATGACTGTATATCTAGAAAACCCCATCATCTCAGCCCAAAATCTCCTTAAGCTGATAAGCAACTTCAGCAAAGTCTCAGGATACAAAATCAATGTACAAAAATCACAAGCATTCTTATACACCAACAACAGACAAACAGAGAGCCAAATCATGAGTGAACTCCCATTCACAATTGCCTCAAAGAGAACAAAATACATATGAATACAACTTACAAGGGATGTGAAGGACCTCTTCAAGGAGAACTACGAACCACTGCTAAACGAATTAAAAGAGGATACAAAGAAATGGAAGAACATTCCATGCTCATGGGTAGGAAGAATCAATATCATGAAAATGGCCATACTGCTCAAGGTAATTTATAGATTCAATGCCATCCCCATCAAGCTCCCAATGACTTTCTTCACAGAACTGGAAAAAACTACTTTAAAGTTCATATGGAACCAAAAAAAAGCCCACATTGCCAAGTGCATCCTAAGCCAAAAGAACAAAGCTGGAGGCATCATGCTACTTGACTTCAAATTATACTACAAGGCTACAGTAACTAAAACAGCATGGTACTGGTACCAAAACAGAGATATAGACCATTGGAACAGAACAGAGCCCTCAGAAATAAGACCACACATCTACAACTATCTGATCTTTGACAAACCTGACAAAAACAAGAAATGGGGAAAGGATTCCCTATTTAACAAATGGTGCTGGGAAAACATGTAGAAAGCTGAAACTAGAACCCTTCCTTACACCTTATACAAAAATTATTTCAAGATGGATTAAAGACTTAAATGTTAGACCTAAAACCATAAAAACCCTAGAAGAAAACCTAGGCAATACCATTCAGGACATAGGCATGGGCAAGGATTTCATGTCTAAAACACCAAAAGCAATGGCAACAAAAGCCAAAATTGACAAATGGGATCTAATTAAACTAAAGAGCTTCTGCACAGCAAAAGAAACTACCATCAGAGTGAACAGGCAACCTACAGAATGGGAGAAAATTTTTGCAATCTACTCATCTGACAAAGGGCTAATATCCAGAATCTACAATGAACTCAAACAAATTTACAAGAAAAACACAAACAACCCCATCGACAAGTGGGCAAAGGATATGAATAGACACTTCTCAAAAGAAGACATTTATGCAGCCAAAAAACACATGAAAAAATGCTCATCGTCACTGGCCATCAGAGAAATGCAAATCAAAACCACAATGAGATACCATCTCACACCAGTTAGAATGGCGATCATTAAAAAGTCAGGAAACAACAGGTGCTGGAGAGGATGTGGAGAAATAGGAACACTTTTACACTGTTGGTGGGACTGTAAATTAGTTCAACCACTGTGTAAGACAGTGTTGCGATTCCTTAGGGATCTAGAACTAGAAATACCATTTGACACAGCCATCCCATTACTGGGTATATACCCAAAGGATTATAAATCATGCTGCTATAAAGACACATGTGCATGTATAACCAACCCAAATGTCCAACAATGATAGACTGGATTAAGAAAATGTGGCACATATACACCATGGAATACTATGCAGCCATAAAAAAGGATGAGTTCATGTCCTTTGTAGGGACATGGATGAAGCTGGAAACCATCATTCTCAGCAAACTATCGCAAGGACAAAAAACCAAACATTGCATGTTCTCATTCATAGGTGGGAATTGAATAATGAGAACACTTGGACACAGGAAGGGGAACATCATATACTGGGGCCTGTTGTCGGGTGGAGGGATGGGGGAGGGATAGCATTAGGAGATACACCTAATGTAAATGACGAGTTAATGGGTGCAGCACACCAACATGGCACATGTATACATATGTAACAAACCTGCACTTTGTGCACATGTACCCTATAACTTAAAGTATAATAAAATATATATATATATAAAACAAAACAAAAGAAAGAGAACTATGAGTAGTAATGAGTAACCTGTAGCTTCTAACTGCTCTAAGGATGACTTTCAGGGAATTGTTCTCCTGTTTGAAACAACCTACTAATTCCCTAGGGATATTGACTGCCAAGGTTAAAACTCTTCAACAACTTTCCCAAGCCATCACTCAATATCTGAACAACTTTGTTGATAGAAGGCTCTTAGACTTTGCAAATAGGTTTATTTTTTGATTGCTGTTACAGAAAGAACTATATTTATCTCCTGATAGATTTCTCCTCATTTATCCTTGGAAAAAGGTTAATCCAACTTTAAATAATTGAAAACCGACATTCTGAAAACTTTCCTCAGTGGTCACCCTGAGTGTCTTTCCCTGTCCAAGCTAAATGCCCTCTATTCCATTTGAGAACACTTCGTTCATTCCATATCTTCATCCAGGGTTATCTTCATTCTTCTTGTCCAAGTCAAGCTTTTTGTTCTAATTCCTGGAGGAAAGTTTCCCTGATGTCCATGTACCACTCTGATTCAGTCACTTACTCACAGAGCATCCAGCTCTCACCGTTTTATAGTATTTGACAGGTTGCATTATAATTGTCAGATTGTCAAGTCTCAAACTGTGAGGTCCCCAAAAGCAATATCCATATGTTTTCTTTTTTACTTTCCATGCACAAATACCTCATATGTGTTTCCATTCCTGGTGTTGATGGAATGGACCTTTGGAATGGATACCAAGCCTTAAAAAGCAAACCATCAATAAAAAGCAATCCCTCCACAAAAATAACATGCTTTTCTTCCTGGGAATGTCTACCTCCAGGAGACAGCATTTAACAATTAAGATTTTCCTTCACTTCTCCAAATTATGAGTGTCCCTACTGGTCAAACTTGGCACTGATTATTAAAGACTGTAACCAAATGATAAGGGCAGCTACACTTCCCAAGCCTACCACTAAATAACAAGTTGAGTCAATGTGACATCTGGACTTAGTTGTACTGAATACTCTGTTGAATATGCCTGGAGAAACCATCACCATTTCCCTCCCCAGTTCCCAGAATGTATACCAATAACCAAAGTGAAAGCAAATTTATTTAGTTCAGCACTTCTGCTCTGGTGTGTATTTTACAGCTTCTGTATGTCCAGAGTCATGTGTCAAAGAAAATACTGACAACTACTGTTGGGGTGAAAGTAGTTCTGAATAGGTGTAGGAAAAAGAAATCTCATTCGGTAGTTGGAACTCAAAAATATGAGTCATACCAATTACAGATGTTGGTTTATATTCAAGGATTAAAGCTGGTGAATGTTCATATTCTGAGATTTTTCAGGGACTTAGCAGTTGTGCTTTCATAGAGATTCTCAATTAGCAGGATGTGATAGGAAGATGGCAGTGTGGGTTCTTAGCATGCCTGGGGGGAAATGTGTCTAGTTATGGGGATTTTTAATCTGTGCTAGTGATTTATCAATATAACCTAACCAAATGCTTTATTAATTCAGAAGGTGTCACGGCTTTAATTTATTTTATATCTTTTACTGCTCAGGCCAAATACTTTACTAATCATCACATGTGTTTCAGTGATTGAGGCATACATTAAAATACTTGACAGGCTGCCCATTAATCTACACATTGCAGCCCACTGTGCACTTTGCTGATGGAATTTCACATTTTATAGAGCCGTCTTTGAATTTTGATGATTTGGTTCAATATTGCTAGCAGAGAACTTGACTTCTTGGGGGATGTATTGCCTATTAAAAGTGACATGCTAGGGTGATTGGGATGTGTTTTGATTTAACAATTCAGTTTATAATTGTATACACTCCACTAATCACAAAGCTTTCTCTGGTGAAAGGAACTTCAGCTCCTGTGTGTTTGTGTTGTAAAAGAGCTTTCTTTCTTCCATTTTTAGATCCCAAAATGATGCAAACATCTTCTTAAAGCCGAAATGAATAATATTTATAGAACATTTGAAACTTTCAGAATATTTTTTTCTTCTTAAAAGTAAAATATCTCTAGTTTTACCAAGCTAAGCTAAAAGTATAAAATAAAAAAGCAGTCTTCCGAGACTGGAAGTCACAGACAAAGAAAATCACTCAGAATAAAATTCTGAGAATAGGCTCTAGAATATTCTAGGTGCTAGAATTAGACAATCGAAAACATTATTACCAGCTTAACTGTCTTCAGTATACTCTCAGATAAATTCATGAGCTACATAAGTACCAATGAAACAAACAGCCTTATTTAACCTCTTTAAAATTGTAATGCCTACTAAAATTTTGAATTTTCCTCAGCCCTTTTATTCTGAAATCCACATAATCTTAATCTTGCATGTGAACCACAGAGAGCCTTCCGTAGTGTACACAAATATTGATTCAATAGATATTTCTCAAGCTCCCTACTTTATATTAATCACTGGGTTGGATCCACTGTCCTCAAGGCAGTGGTTCCAAAGCACACATGAGAAGTTGAGAAGCAAACAGTTTCTCAGAAGTCTGAGTATGAATTCTTCAGTAAATTCAGTGTAGTGGAATAGGCAAACAGTGCTTGAGGGAAAGTAGTATGAGCAAAGGATATTGAATGTGTCAGTTGTAAGCCTGGAGCCTTTTAACTTGTCCTGTAATCTCAGCCCTAGAATCACAGAGCTATGCGGCCCAAACAAAATTTTGAAATCTCTCTATGTCTGTTTCCTTATCTATTAAGTTACTGAAGTCCAGCTCCGAGACTGTATGACAAGTAAATAAGATCGGTAATATAAATATGGTGTCTGTTATACGTTGGGTACTTCAAAGTCACTGTGATAATAAATGTGATTGTTATTAATAGTATTGTAAAGAGAGTAAGAGAAAGGAGAGTTTAAAGGACATCTGAATAGCCAGATGAAGCATCATGGAAGAGATAGGCCTAATTTGGACTTTGAATGGACAAGGTACTTAGTGAATTAAAGATTATTCTGATCAAATGAAGAGAAAAGCAGACCTGGAGCCATGAGAGTAAGAGAGTGCATGATGTGTGGGGTGTAGAGAGTGTGTGGGTTCTTGGGAATTGCTGGCCTTTATGAGGGATGTGTTCTCAGAATATGGGCTACAGCAATATGTAGAGCATCTAAGTAGAACAGAGTCTCAAATTTAGACTCAGAAAATGCTGGTGTAGTGAGATCAGGTTTCAGGTGAATTACAAATCTTTTCTTGATAAAAACAGTCAAGATACTGACATTTTTGATGATTGACTTAAAAAGTGAGAAAATTAAAACAAAGTTGTAGAGACTTTGTCATATAACTCTCCCAAATTACTATTAAATTATATCAGAAAAAGTAAAAATAATGAAATCGATAACAGGTATCTTTGGACAGAGGGATTGGGGGCATGGGCATGAGGGTATGTGGACTACTGTATTTTATTATTAACAATTCTGTTTCATTTGAATGTCACACGAATACATTATTTTTATACAAAACTAAACAAATGAACAGATAAATACAGAAATTTTTCCCATAGTAGTGTCGTTCTCAGGAATGTATTATTGGATGCTGATATGGTTTGGCTGTGTCCCCACCCAAATCTTATCCTGAATTGTGGTTTCTGTAATCTCCATGTGTCATGGAAGGGAGCTGGTGGGAGGTAATTGAATCATGGGGGCAGTTACCTCCATGCTGTTCTCATGATAACGAGTGAGTTCTCACAAGATTTTATGGTTTTATAATGGGCTTTTCCCCCTTTTGCTCCACACTTCTTCTTCTTGCCACCATGTGAAGAAGGACATGTTTGTTTTCCCTTCTGCCATGATTGTAAGTTTCCTGAGGCTTCTCCAGACATGCTGAACTGCCAGTCAATTAAACTTCTTTCCTTTATAATTTACCCAGACTCAGATAAGTCTTTAATTAGCAATGTGATAATGAACTAATACAGATATGGTTTCTCTGAGGAAGAGTTATAGCCAATTATGAGATGCACTGCATAAGCCTGAATATATCCATGGAAGAGTGTCTCACTTATGTTTTTCATTCTTTGTGTGTTACATGGGAAAAAAGGCAATCATGATTGTGGTTTATAGCAACAGTCCATACACTCGACATTTATACTGAAAGCATGAAGAATGCATTTTCTTCAGCAGACAAAGATTTTTCCACCATATCCATGAAAGAGCATTAGGTAAGGATATTCTTGGTAGGAAAATTACCAGACTTTGTGGTCTTTCTTGCTTCTTAAGGAAAAAAATTACTTGTTACTATTCTGAAATTGTTGAAATCTATTTTCATAATCTTCTATATCACAAAATCTTATATGCCTACACACAAATACACACACATACATACACAAACACTCTTTCAAATGGAAAACTAAACTGAAGTCCTTGAAATCATACAGACATCCTTACTCTTATACATTTCAGGTCATGGCTTCACAAAATGAGTATCAATAATATGAGTTCTTCCATATACTAGTGAATCAATAGACCTGTCAAAGAGCTTAAATGATTGCCCAGATGTGCAATATATTATACTGTGTGCCACACCTTTGACCAGATAAGGTTTATGATAGGCCACTAAAGAACATTTCCCAGATTAAAATCTAAAACAGCTTATTTGGGGGAAAAAAAAACCCTTATACAATAACATAAAAATCCATCTTTCCCCCTTCCCAAATTCTGCTGCCTATGTGATGGTGTCCTACACTTGACTCAGTCTCAGTCTATCACCTTACAGTAAAATACTTTCTCAAATGCAAACCTTGACAGTCTGCTGCTCAAAGTCTAATTACCCAGGGTTCTTGGTTTCATGAATCTGGCTAGCTTAAACAACATAATAATTGATGGTAAGTGTTGGATACATTCCTTATCCAATTAATGGAAGAGAATGAATAAAGGTAGGTAGAAAGATAGAAAAATGGGTGAAACCCAGAGTTTCTCTGTAGGACAAGAAGCAGGCAATTCCATAACTTATTTTAGGAGGAACAATCTAGCCTATATGTCATCATTGATACCTTACTAGCTAGCTGCCACCAATATTGGAGACTGATACAATGTCTATGAATCCCAAATACACCATTATCTTTGGGTCTTTATATTGACAGTCAAAGCTCCAGTATGGTGGGTCTGTTTGATCAAACAAAGGGGATATCTCTGCATGCACTGCTTCTATTTCATGGTATGAGCAGTGGTTCCCATCAGTATTATACATAATGTGTACTAGTTCATTTTCACATTGCTATAACAATATTACCTGAGACTGGGTAACTTATAAAGAAAAGAGGTTTAACTGACTCACAGTTATGAGTGGCTGGGAAGGCCTCAGGAAACTTACAATCTTAGCAGAAGGCAAAGGGGAGGCAAGGCATGTCTTCCATGGTAGCAGGAGAGAGAGAGCACGTACAAGGAAACCTGCCAGTTTTAAACCATCAGATTTCATGAGAACTCCCTCACTATCACAAGAACAGCACGGGAGAAACCGCCCCCATGATCCAATCACCCCTACCAAGTCCCTCCCTTGACACATGGGGACTACAATTCTAGATGAGATTTGGGTGGGGTCACAGAGCCAAACCGTATGAAAGGGGAAGAAGTCACCATTTACAAGGAGCTAGAGGACAGAATGAATGAATGAATGGACTCTCCAATGTCTTTTTTTAACATTCAAATGATTTTAAAGCTTTCCAGTGCTTTTCTCAGAAGCTTAAGCTTCTTTGCTTAGCCAATAATGTTCCTCCTATCATAGTCATGGCTTATGTCTCTACTCTGTCTTCTGACATATCTTCCAACTTCAAATTCCAGAATCAAATAATAATTTTGTGATTTAAATCTTAGAACTAGTCTTCTAGGATTTTTTGTAGCACATTTCACCTTTGACTCTGCTGACCACTTCAAAGACTGACATTCTGGAAACCTTTGCCATAAATAGCTATACTACTTTATTTATCAGAATAAATGCTCTCTAAACACTCTCTCCAGACTATATAACGAAAAGTGGATAATTTTTTCCTTAAATAGTTTTAACCTTCTAATTACTGCTTAAATTTCATTTCACATTAAAAGGTATCTTAAGTTCACCATTAGACTATAGAATTAACTATTGTATAATAGTGCACTCCATGAAAATTATTGGGCAGTGAAATATTTTGCAGACTTAAAAATGTCTTTAATATTTTGCTGATCATATCAGTTATTTTTCCTTTTAAGAATGGCAGCTAAATCTCCATATGTGAAAAATTGGTATATAGTTTAATAAACATGAACCCAGAATTGAATAGAGATTCTTTGCAAAACAGTAAGTAGCAGCAAACTGATCTTTCCTTCCTGGCAAAAAGTCAAGTAGGGTATATGCATGAAGTGGTCAAAAGAAAAGACTTCATTAGTTTCAGAAAAGACACGAGGGCAAAAATAGACATGTTGGAAAAAGACTAAGAGTCCATTCTTAATTGACTCTCAGTAAGATTAATTTAAAGAACTTTTACTAGGTAGAATGAGCCATGACTGCCTAGAGTGATATTTTTAGTTCCAAGGAAGCATTCCAAGTGTGGAGCTGAATGAGCAAAGATATTGAGAATGAGAATCAATTTCCTGATCCTTATTACCATGTTACATTCTCAGCTATTTTTTTTCCTAACCTCTAGTGAGGGACTTAGAAAAGTTTTTGTGTTTGTAGCCTAGACTTTCTTAGGTTCACTAACAAAAACAAAAACAAACTAAAACAAAACAAAAATACCATCTTCTGAAGAGGAGTTAATTGCTTATTTTCCTGTCATCTCAAAATTCTCATTCAATGTCTTTCACTATTTTCTTCTGTTTTATACCATAGTTAAAAAATTCTGATCCAACCATGTTTTCTAACAATAGCTTCTCTATCAAATGTATATAGCAATACTGACTTAGTAGAGTTTTGGCAAGATCAGTTTTAGTCCTCTGTGTAAATCACCTAGCACTCTACCTTGCACATAGTAGGGGCCTATGATACTATCTCCAGTCCCCTACCTTCCACTCTATTCAGATAACTTCTTGATTGAAGATAAAAAGTCATATGTTGTCTTCTGTCCCCTGCAGGAATAGAAACAGTATTTTGCCAATGGTAGGAATTCAAATCTCTCCCAATCTCATCATTTTATAAATGAGGAAACAGGCCTAAAGTCATAAGCTGATTGATCTAAAATTACTCAACAAGCCAATGGCAGACCCAAGTCTTGGACACGTGCTTTTCTGGCAACTAAATAATTGTTTATAATTAATAAAATAATTTATTAAAAACCATTAATGCATGCTATGAGAACATTTCTTCTCCTTGTTGTCTTAGTAATATTCTTATAAGCAGAGTAGTAGTTCATCTCCTTATCTTGAATTTTTGTTACCTTAGGAATATTCATGGGTCCTGGCAAGTGGTGAAGACTTTTTTTCTGCCTTCACTAGCTGACTAGTTTGAATGGTTATTTCTGTGACTCACACCCAGGCTACTATGATGTATCAGAAATAAGGAGTAATTGCCGGTACTTACTAGGAAAGTACAATAGTATCCTGTTCAAGTGGCGTTGCACAAATAAATATCAGTGTTTCTCTTAATACTTTTCATTGAATAACCAGTAAGCTAAGTATACATAATTACTTCTACCGCTGTGGACGAGATAATTTAAACATCTTTGAGTTTTAATCTCTTCAGTTGAACCTGAAAAACAGACTTAATTATAATTTCATCTAATGGTTAAGAAGAAAAAAATTAAAAGTGTGTTGTAATATACCCTATTACATAGTATAGAGCATTGTACAAACTCAGTTAATGACCTGATCATTTTCCTTCCCACATAAGCCCCATATAAGCATCATTTGGCTGCAGAGATTCCTTGTAACTATACAAAAGATGGAAGAGTTAAGGGCTGAATCAGAAAATAATTTCAACTTGAGAATTTATTTCCTAAATATCATCAAATTGAAATAAGTAATTTTTCTGTTGTAGGTATTATCTGTAGTATATTCACACACCTGATATAAAATAACTTCCCTAGGGTACATGTCTTCCTCTTTTCACTATTCAAGCACAGGATTAAATTCAAGATACATGTACAATAAATGTTCTCAGATGAAATTTTACCTTTGATTTTTTTGGTATCCAATATCAAAAGGAAAACAATGTCTCATAACAAATTTTAGAATGTTGAATTAATTTTATAAAGTAAGAAATATAATATTGATTTAAATAATAAATAAATAAAAGATGTATAGAGACAATCACACCTTTGAGATTTTTTTTTTTTAAGTAGGAAATCTCTGAAGTCTAGGCTGGTTTTTGTCAGCTCTACAGAGGAGTCTCTAGAGCTAGCTTTAAAGGATGGATAGACAAATCACAGAGCACTGATCCGTGCAATAGCCCAACACTGGCATGCTTATGTATCAAAGAATTTCATCTGCCAAAATAAAATGACAAACACACATCAATGTCTGCTTTATGAATTAACTTGTTCTATCACTGCACCTTAATTTTAACTGTGTCACAGATCTGTTTATAGATGTCCTGGACTGTAGTGGGACTTGATGTGGTCTGTCACAGGTTTGGCTGATAGGAGGATGGCAATGAGATGGTTATGATATATTACATTCTTTAGAGTCTATGGTTACTCCTGAGGGACCAGGAGGTGAACAGGGTCACCTTTCACAACTGAAAGTGAAAGTACAGCTACTCAATTTCTGTATTTCTCAAAAGTTCCCTGATTTAATTTAAAAAGTGACCTTGTTAATCTATATATTTTTTTCACTACTCAGTCCTATTTCACTCTGCCACATATGTAGTAGACAAATAAAATGATTTTTATTGTAACTTTATATTGAAAATTGTGGGAAAAAATGCTTAAATACCTTACAAGAATGGAGCTACTAAGCAAAATGATGGCATGCCTACTCAAAGGTATGTTATAATCCACTGGGAAAAGATATGGCTGAAGACCATCCAAGGCCATGGAAAATGCAATGTAAATAAAAAAGAGTAGCCTTCGTTTATACTAGGCAATTTCAGTTAATTGTATAACTATGCAAAAAAAATTAGAGAAGTATATTCAAATTGGTAATAGTGATTGACATTTTTAAAATATATTTTCTTCTTTATGCACACTTTTAAGTATTTTGCAAGTATGTGAATATGCATTTACTAAATTATAATTCAGAAATAATTATTTTCTTCCAACTATGTGGAAAACATAGTTCTGACTTTCTAAGAAAATTTCCAACTCATTTTGATTATAACTTACTCCACCCTATTTTTGACTTCTTACATTCTACTTTTACTTTTGAATACTGCTTTTGTTTTTATTTATATTTTGGTTGCACTTCTGTTTTATTTTGTCTAGGGTATATAGTGAATAAACACTGACTTTCACAAGTCACCAAATAGCTCTTAAAGTACATTTGTTTAAGTTGCTCCTAGACATAATTAGATGTAAAACATAGTTTTACTTATGAACTAGATATGAATATTTCAATTTAGCTCTGCCAAACAACTGTTTGTTCTACCAAATTTCCTCTCAAAGACCAATGGTATAAGAATTGAGAACTTGATGTATTTCCTCCCAGCTCTTTTTTTTTCTCTCTTTCATTTTTACAATGCCCGCCAAGCCCTGCTCATTGTATTTCTGAAGCATATATTAGAGGTGGTTGACATTTATGTAGTTTCAATGTTTCATCCTCAAAACTCCAGGTATTAAAATAAACAGATGAATTCATCTCAGTCTTATTTGTTTTTAAAGGCAAAAAAATGCAAGAATCAACAATAATAATACTAATAACGGTCATGACAACAACAAACATTTGAGCAATCTTTCTATGCCAGGCATTATTCCAAGTACTTTGTGTGTATTATCTCATTTATTAATATTATTATTCTCCCTACTTTCAGAGGAAGCAACTGAGACACAGAGTATAATTTAGATTCAAGGATTCAACATTTAGACTCCACACACACAAAAAGAAAGAAAAGAAAGAGAAAAGAAAAGAAGTCACTTTCACATTACCTTGCAAGCAGAGCATTATTTGCAAACTGTGCTTTTGTTTATCTCGAATTCACACAAAAAGCAAAATCAGCTAAAATTTATGCTACCTAAAACTAAAATTTTGTGCAAATTTAAAAATGAAAAAGCAGAACAAAGCCACTTCAATGGGCTCAATGTGGAAGAAGCTGTTTGCTTTTAGCCTAACATCTTCAAAAGGGCACAGCCATTTTCCATACATTGGAAATAAAGAAATTTACCTCTGCTCTAACACATTGTATCACATGGTTTGCCTCTTCGTATGGTTTTTGAAATTAAAAATTTTGCCCTAAAGCTGTCTCTAGTGAGAACCTGACTCAACAAAGCCATGGAGAAGGAACACGTGGATTGTGTGTGAAGCGAAATGCACTTTGTTAAGGGCTTTGTTTCAGATTTCCGAAATGGGTAGTTCCCTGTAAAGTGATGAAGTGAGAATCGCTGCGAAATCATGGCACTTTGGCAGGCGGAAGTGGGCGGATCACGAGGTCAGGAGATCGAGACCATCCTGGCTAACACGGTGAAACCCCGTCTCTACTAAAAATACAAAAAATTAGCCAGGCGAGGTGGCGGGCGCCTGTAGTCCCAGCTACGTGGGAGGCTGAGGCAGGAGAATGGCGTGAACCCCGGGGAACAGAGTCTGCAGTGAGCCGAGATCCCGCCACTGCCCTCCAGCCTGGGCGACAGCGAGACTCCGTCTCAAAAAAAAAAAAAAAAAAAAACCAAAAACAAATCCAGGTCCAGCCAAGGCAGTAAAATTGCAGTGTTACCACAGCTCGTTGTGTGGAGCCAGGCCCATTAATCAAGTTAATGATTATGTATTTGGGAAAGGGATGTTTTCATTCCCAAGCTGATGAGATCTTCAACATGTTGTCTTCAGAATATAAGTGAAAAGTAAAATAAGAATTTTCAACAGTGAATGTGATTAAACAACCTTACCACCAACTTTTAATGAGAAATACAAGGACTATTTGATTGTGGAGTGCAGAATGTGCTTCTTATGCGATAGCAATAGCCCAAAGATTGTCCCTTGAACTATTTTCCCTGAGGTATGAAAATCTGGGTCAGGATGTACAGCATGCAGCCCTTTTCTTGAGTTAGGGAATGTGATAGTGAACCTTCTCTGTCTTCAAGTGCCCCTCCATCTTATCACTCCTTTTTTTTTTTTCCCCCCAGTACTCCAAGACCAGGCATCTCATCTTGTTATCTCCAGAAAGTGACCCATTATCACCCACACAATAGTTGGGTGGTGCCACTAAGACAAAAAAAAAAAAATTCTTGCTCATCTTTGTAACTGTAACATAGAGAGCAATTCTGGGAGTTGGTAAGCTGCATGATGAAATGAAGTGAACCCTTTTTAACCTTCCCAGGCAGTTATGCTCACTCCAAAACCATTCCTTTTTCTTCTCCATCAAAATTCCCACATCAGTCCCCTCAGCTTGAAAGGCTCATAGAGGCCACTGGTTCTTCCTTAAGTTTTGCAAGAGGACAGTACATCTAAGGGAGGTACAGAGATTTATGAAGGACCATACAGGTGTCCCAGCTCCTAGTCCACTGCTTTCTTTTTCCACAAGGGGTGGTGGCTTATTATGCCACTCCCTAAAGGAACAGTGTTAGAAAAGGAGACGCTTGGTATTAAAAAATAAAGAAAAAAGAACATTTTAAAAAATTACCCCAAGGGAATACAAAAGTGGGATTTTAAGTACTTGGGTTTGTGGTTGAGAGAAATAATGTGGCTAAAGGCCATGGGCAGAATTATTGCTATAAGACCAGGAGGAGAGCATCTACTCAATCACCGTCAATGTCTATCCCAGGTCCTGGACACAGAGTTCTTTCAGTAATGACACAGCTCCACCCCAGACTGATGCAGAGCTGGATCTGTCTTGCTGTATCTGATTCCTCTTTTCTCAGTTTCTCCTCACACTTCCATAATCAGGCTTGGCCCAACATTTCACTAACATTCATTAGATGAAAGTTATCAAGGATTTTTACATAGATAATTGTAATTGTCACTCCTCAGATTTCACCTTCCTGGGTCTATCTGTTGCCTCCAACAAGTGGATCATTCTCTACTCTTTGAAACGCTGTATTTACTTGACCTCCAGGACATATTTCCCTGCTTTTCCTATTAATCCATTGACTACTCCTTCCAAGCAGACTTTGCTGCTTCTTTCTCTTTGTTCTGCTCTCTAAGGGTTGGGGTATCCTGGGACTCAGTCACTTCTCATTCACTGTGGGCAATCACACTTATAAACCACTGTCACAATGTCAGAGGGCTGTCTGCATGCAGCTGTCTTCAACCCAGACCTCTCTGTGGGATTTGGAACATTTATATCAAAGCTTCCCAGTCAGCATTTCACCATGATGTTGTAGACTTTTTTTTTTTTTTTTGAGACAGAGTCTTGCTCTGTCACCCAGGCTAGAGTGCAGTGGCGTGATGTCGGCTCACTGCAACCTCCGCCTCCCGGGTTCAAGTGATTCTCCTGCCTCAGCCTCCTGAGTAGCTGGGATTACAGGCACCCACCACTGCGCCTGGCTAATTTTTGTATTTTTAGTAGAGATGGGGTTTCACCATCTTGGCCAGGCTGATCTTGAACCTCTGACCTCGTGATCCACCTGCCTCGGCCTCCCGAAGTGCTGGGATTACAGGCATGAGCCTCTGTGCCCGGCCTGTTGTAGACATCTTAAAACGAACATGTCTGAAACAGAATTGCTGGATTTTCCTTCAAATAAACTCTGCCTATAGTGTTTTGCCACTTAGCAATGGTCAAATCCATTGCTGCAGATACTCAGGCTAAAGACTTTAGTTACTATAGATTCCTCTTTCTATTGTGTTCCACATCTCATTTCTCAGGAATCCTGTTGGCTCCTTGACATGTTCCACGACTTGAGGTGGTCCTAATTGACTAGTCTCTGCACGGTCAACTTCTCCCTTCTGGTTCAATTTGCACCCAAGATGAGTTTTAGACACCATCTGATGCTCACGCAGTTTATTGTGGCAGCATTCTTATGAGATGGACAGCAAGAGCAGACTGGTGGTTCGAGGTACATGCTGAGGACAGATGACCGACTGACTGGGAAGGTTTTCCTCCATAAGCTATTCTCAGAGTTTGGGTGATTCTTCATTCTTTCGTATGCCTGTATTATTCTGGGGGCAGCTATTATATGTTTCTTTCATGAAGGGAGTTTAAGTTATTCTTTTTATTATTATTATTATTTTATTTTTAGATGGAGTTTCACTCTTGTTGTTCAGGCTGGAGTGCAGTGGCATTTTCTTCGCTCACTGCAGCCTCTGCCTCCTGGATTCAAGCAATTCAGCCTTCCAAGTAGCTGGGATTACAGGTGCCTGCCACCACACCCAGCTAATTTGCTAATTTTTGTATTTTTACTAGAGACGGGGTTTTGCCATGTTGGCCAGGCTGGTCTGAACTCCTGACCTCAGGTGATTCACCTACATTGGCCTCTCAAAGTGCCGGGATTACAGGCATGAGCCACCATGCCTGGCCAAGTTATTTTTATAAGGGTACACTGGTTTTAAGGTTCATGAAAGTTTCATCTGCGCTGAGATGGCCTTGTCTCCTCAAATCTTCAGGCCTGGGTTGGAAATTTCCAAACCAGGTTGCATTAAATTGCTAAGTGTCACATAGTGTCAGCTCTGCAAGATGGTTGAGTGGGCCTTATGGCCACTACTAATCTTATAGCCATAATATATCTTTTATATTATGCTACATCCTTCCTTCAGAATATATTCAGAGCTGACCAATTCATATTACATCTGCTGCTACTGTCCTAGAACAAACCACCATAACCTCTCTACTGGGTTATCACCACAGTCTTCTGAAATCACCCACTAAATAGCTGCAGGTCTTCCTGCTTCCACCATTTCCTCATGTGATCTAGTCCTTCCATAACGGAGAATCTATTTTAAAACATAAGGCTGGACATGGTGGCTCATGCCTGTAATCCTAGCACCTTGGAAGGCCAAGATGAGAAAACGACTTGAAGCCAGGAGTTCAAGACCACCCTGGGCAACATAGTGAGAACCCATCTCTACAATAATATTATTTAAAGTAAAACTAATAGGGAATATTATGTTATTTTTCTGGTTAAAACCTACCAAGAGTGCCCAAAAATACTCATAAAAGCCAGTTTCCCTGATAACCTCTGGGCTCCTAGTCAGCTTCCTTGGCCACACTCTCCCTCTCTCTCAGCCACTCACACTGAATCTTTCTAGGCTTTGCTGTAAGTGGGTTTATACTGAGCTTGCTTTGCTTCAGGGCATTTGAGTTTGCTGCTCCTCAACAGAATGATCTTCCCCCAGGTAATAGGGCTCAGGTTCATTCCCTCATCTCTTTCAAATCTTTGCATAACTTCACTTTCTCAGCAAAACTGGCCCTAATTACTTGTTAGAAATGAAGTCTCTTCCCATACATCACCATTCTCTTCCCCAATTTTCTGCTTTATTTTTGTCACTATAAAGCCATCATCACTCTGACATATTATATATTTTATTTATTTGTCCTCCTTTGCAACATAAATTCCATGAGGGTGGCTATTTTCTTTTTTTTTTTCTTTATTTTATCATCTGCCATATCTCCAGTGACAAACATTACTATACATTCAGTAAATGATTGAATGGATAAATGAGGAGATGAAAAAGGATGAAAAGATGCAGTAATGCATTAGAAATGAGGCAGTGGTGAAGTATTCTGCCTTCTGGAACTTACTAGAAGTGAGGTCAGAGGCACATAAGTGAAGCTGTCTCACAAAGTGTCCATGCTGTTTACCCTGCAGGTCTGACAGCCAGGTTATGACAGAATTGCACTTTTCTGCCCCTTTATAGTTAGGTGCGGCCATGGGACTCCTCTGGCCCAGGCGAAGTGCATAACAGTGACACCTGTCCTTTTCAGGCAGAGCTTTAGGAGCCTATTTAAGAACATATTGCCATGTTCTTTTTTTCTTGCCTCAGTAATCACAGGAGCACAGGGATGAGTCTCCATTATCTGGAGGGACCATAGTCCTTCCTGCTCACCTGAGACGGACCTATAATATGCACCTGAAACAGGCCCTCATGGACTTAAAATACTGATTTGTGTGATTGTCTGTAACTCAGTCTAACCTGGACTGTATTCTCAGGAACTAGCATCATACCTGCCACATAGTAGGTGTCCAAGTCTTTGGGTAACTTCACTTTCTCAGCAAAACTGGCCCTAATTAATGTGCTAAAAATGAAGTCTCTTCCCACATATCATTGTCTTCCCCAATTTCCTTCCACAACAGCTTCACTTATGTGCCTCTGACCTCACTTCTAGTAAGTTCCAGATGGCAGAATACTTCACCACTGCCTCATTTCTAATGCATTGCTGCATCTTTTCATCATTTTTCATTTCCTCATTTATTCATTTATCCAATAAGCATTTTAAATGAATTAATAAAAAAGCAAGAAGGAAGGAAGGAATAAAGAAAGGGGAGAAGGAATAGAATAAGGCAGCGGTAAAATGTTCTCATCTGCATCTGACTATTCTTTGATCTTTTCTGGAACAAAAAAATTAGAGGCACAAAGATTATTAGTATACCTGAGACTGAGAATAAAGATTGGGGTTTAATGATTTATGTCCCACGATGGATCTTAACAATCTTAGATAAGAACTAAATAATTATTACCTAGAATATATGGCATACTACTATATGTCAGGAACTCTTCTAGGTTCTCTATCCAAATATATTTTAGTTTATTTTCAATTAGCTTTAATTAGTAAAAGTGGATCAACATGCTTCTTAAGAGAGGCTGCATAAGCTCAAATCTAAGCTCCATTATTTATTAATTCTATGACTTTGGGTGAGTTACTTGACTTATCTAAGCCTTAGTTCTCTTATCAATAAAATTAGAGTAATAATTATACTTATCATAACATAGTTTTATTTACTAAACTTAATACTTAAATAAAGGCTTTAGCTGAGTGCTTGGGGAATTTAATAGTTGTAATTTAGTATTTTTTTAACTTACAGAGTTCTCACATTAAAACTATACAGTAGGAATGATTATGTCATATGTGTAGGTGAGTAAACTGAGGCATTGATAAATAAAGTAACTTGTTGAAGGTGAGAAAATGGAGATGAAGCTGTACTAGGAATTGAAATGTATTAGTTCATTCTCATGCTGCTATAGGGACATACCCAAGACTGGGTAATTTATAAAAGAAAGAGGTTTAATGGACTCATGGTTTCACGTGGCTTCGAAGGCCTCAGGAAACTTACAATCATGGCAGAAGAGGAACCAAACACATCCATCTACACGAGGTGGCAGGAGAGAGAGGTGCCAGCAAGGGAAATATCAGATGCTTATAAAACCATCAGATCTTGTGAGACTCACTGATTATCATGAGAACAGCATAGTGGAAACCACTTCCATGATTCAATTACCTCTACCTGGTCCCGCCCTTGACACGTGGGGATTATTACAATTCAAGATGAGAATTCGTTGGGGACACAAAACCAAACCATATCATTCTGCCCTGGCCCCTCCCAAATCTCATGTTCTCACATTTCAAAACATAATCATGCCTTTCCAACAGTTCCCCAAAGTCTTAACTCACTCCAACATTAGCCCCAAAGTCCATGTCCAAAGTCCCCTCTGAGACAAGGCAAGTTCCTTCTGCTTATGATGCTGTAAAATCAAAAGCAAGTTAGTTACTTCCTAGATACAATGGGGCATTGTATAAATGGGGCACTGTACAGGCATTGAGTAAATACCGCCATTTCAAATGGGAGAAATTGGCCAAAACAAAGGGGCTCCAGGCAGAAACCGTCTCCCATGATTCACTTACCTCCAGCTCATCCTGCCCTTAACACGTGGAGATTATTACAATTCAAGGTGAGATTTGGGTGGAGACATAGAGCCAAACCATACCACTGAATATCAAGCTTTGCTCACTGTGATAGACAACTCATGGCTGCTCCTATACAAATCCATGAAACAATAAATATTACATATTAGGAAAAAAACTTCAAAGCAAGTTTTTCTGTCTTCAGCTTGTCAGAAATACTGCCTAGTGAGCCATGCAAGAGAGAGCATAGCAACCTTCCAGACTCACATGAAAACACAGACACTGGACACTGAGCTATGAAATTAGCACAGAGTTAATAAGCTCAGAGATGGACAAACATAGTCTCAGAGATAAAATACTCCCTGGACTCAGGCTTGGGTGAACAAGGTCTTACTCACCTAATGAAAACTTTGCCAATTATAGAAGCTGTTCAGCAGTGGAGAACCAGAGAGACCAGGGAAAATGCCTGCAAAGAAGTTGCCTGGTACACATGTATTTGGATGAGGGCTTCATTTCTTCTAAGCTTTATAATAAAACATGCAGTGGTGGAAGCATCCAGTGTCCGGGTATGCCAGAGGGCCTGCAGGGAGAGAAATTTAGAACACGGCCAGAGAGCTTTCTAATACATAGAACCTTGTGGAGTTTATTATAATCAATTCATTTGCATATTTTTTAATTTTATATACCCTGTATTTTTATTTCACATGAATCAACTTTCCAACTTAATTTATTATAAGACACTTAAAAATCAAGTTTCTAAACCTCAAGGCAAGGGGTCAGACAGCTTCTCTGTGATAAAAATCACAATTGAAAAGTCATCATTTCCCTACTGACATCATTCTTTTGTTGAAAGTTTCCTGCAATTTTCTTTGTATTAGCATCAAGATACATTGTCCAGAGCTACTCCTATCATTGTGAATAAAGACAAGAAATATATATAAATAGATACAATGATGATAGATTAGAAAGATAGAGATGTGTGTATATAGATAGGTATGTATTTTTATACATATGTATGTGTGTACAGAAAATATTTTACTTTTAATTTTGTATAAATTATCTATTGCTATGTAACAAACTGTCTCAAAATATGGTGCTTAAAATAACACACATTTATTTTCTTATATTTTTTTCTGGGGTCACTTATCTGGGCATGGCTTAGCTGGGTTCTCAACTTCAAGTTCTCTCAAAGGCTACAGTCAAGATATCAGTCAGGGCTGTGGTCTCAGCACCAGGCTTGCCTGGGGAAGGATGGGCTCCTAAGCTCATTCATGTGGTTGTAGGCAAGATCCCGTTGCCTGCAGAATGTGGAGCTGTGGGCCTCAGTTGCTTGCTGGCTGTTTGTTGGAAGCCAACCTTAGTTCCTTGTGGGTCTCTCCAACATGATAGCCTACTCAATCAAATCTATTGAGTGGGAGCATTTAACAGTAAGGTAGAAATTGTAATATTGTGTAACCTAACCACACAAGTAACCATTCTATTATCCTTTCCATATTCTATGCTAAAATCAAGTTGCCCAACACAAAGAGATTACATGTGGCTATGAATACTAGCAGGTTGGGAATATAGAGGTGGTGGTGGTATTTAGAAGTCTACTGACCACAGGATATTGTTTTCTGTCCATTATTTTACTTGCATGTTTATCATAATAAACCTCTGTGTTGATTATTAATGCTGCTGTTTAAAAATGAAGAGGATGACATTTATAGATTCAAGTGACTTTTCCAGCATTGCAACACCAATAAAAAGCAGAATTAAGTGTTGAGCACACATATACCAGACTCCACAGCCTAACTCCCTTTCCTCTGCAAGTGTGCCTTATTTCTGAGGGTGGTAGAATCAGTGGCCATGAAATGTTAACTGGTGAAGGGCCTTGAGGAACACAGACAAGCTATGTTTATCCAAAGCTTGACCTGTGACACCCTTGGGTGTTTCTTCTTTTGATCTGTAGCTTCATCCAGCTCCTCTCAGTGAAGAACTAAGAATGAAAGAAGAAACCCTGTAAGATTCAGGGTGGTTTATTTCAAAAAACATTATGAATTACTAGAGAACATGTACTGAAAACACTTGGCAAGGTCCACTTTCAGAAAGTGTTTGATTAAAGAATTATGTGCCCAAATAATTTATTATCTGGTTACTGGAGGCCAATTATCAATATTCACAGATACTCCTCAGATCTAGTTAAATGAGTTAATTGAACTAAATTTAACCAAGATTTACTCAGATCTACTTTGTGCCAGGCACTGTGCTGGCTATTAAACATACAAAATGAATGAAAAACAACTCTGTTTTTGAAAGGCTCAATGTTATAGAAGAGAAATTAAGGAAAGAGACAGGCACTACTCCCAGAAGCAATCCTTCATGGGCAGTGAACGTCTCCTGAGGCTATACTAGTTTCACTGGAAGCAGGGGATGTCCAGAAACAATCATCTTGCTTAATTATGTGCCTCCGGGCAAAATAGTTCTGCTGAAGTCCTTTCAACCTACCTACTCACTCCCACTTCATCTTGGGAAGCAATTTATATTTTTCCTTCTCTCTTATACCTAAGAATCTAATGAAGATAGTGAAGGTTTTTTAATACTTGCCTTAACAAATACCTCTCATAGCAGACAGTAAAAATAAGAGTCCAGCAAAACTTTCGTAGGAACCCCAAAGTTACATCCAAGTGTACACACATTTTGCAATATCTAAACCTCTTCTGACACATGATGTGGTGGCTTAAAACAACACACATTTATTATCTCACGGTTGCTTCTGGGGTCGTTTATTGGGGAATGGCTTTGCTGGGTCTTCAACTTCAAGGTTTCTCACAGGCTACAATGAAGGTTAGTGACATGGTTTCAGCACCAGCCTTGATGGGGAAAGTTTGCTTCAAAAGTGCATGCATGTGGTTGTTGGCTAGATTCAGTTGATTGTACTTGAGAAGTCAATCACAATCACAGCTCCTTACTTAAAAAAAAAAAAAAAAAAAGTAAAAGCCATTTGGATCGTTGCTGTAGAAGTGGCTGTTTTAGAAAACATTATATAATGTTTACCATCTGAATTAGCAAAGGTATATATATGAGGAAAGAGGAAAGATAAATAGAAAGAAATAAATGTCTTAAAAACAACTCATAATTCAAAGACCTTACAAGGTTAGTTGTATCTTTTGATCTAAACAAATACTTCCAAAACTGAGATATTTCTTTATAAAGATGCCACTAATAGGACACAGAAAGCTAAATTAGTAACATTCATCATAATTACATTGAGATGCCAGGATTCATTGGAAAGTGTGTTTGATCTCAAAAAAGAACCCATTTTCTCCATTTTCCATAGTGAATTTAAATATAACTTAATAAAGGACAGAAAAGAGGTAGAAGAAACTTATGTTTGCCATACTTTGTTTGCGAGTCTTACAAGGACAGTTATAATAGTGCACATTTATTAAGACATCTTTTATATTTTCCTTATTTATTCTGTATGACCCATGGGGCTTTGTGTTTATAAACAAACGTATTGCTAAAGCTACATAATTCAACAAGATAACATAATGTTGTTTATGAAATGAAACAACAAAATGCATTTATCTAGATCTAAGTTCCACAATGTATAATTCAAAATGAATTATCTTGGGCCAGGAGAGATAGAGGCTGGCAGGGTTAGTGCATGAATTATTGTTAGGGTATTCAATAGCAAGACCACCATGGGTCCATCATCAGTAGAGGACTATTTAATTATCAAACCATCTGTTCTGAGAGAGACTGCAAGCACAGAAAAAAAAAAAAACTTCAATAGTTAATCCAATCATACATAGGTTTGTTAGAGATGATCATGGTACAGTGTCTGCTTTTAACAGGTGTTCTTACAAAACAGTAACATAATTATTTAGAGATACATTCAATCTTTCACAGATATTTGTGGAATCATACAACCACAGAAGGCCAGGTCAGGAGAAATATATAATAGGCCAACACGTCTATTTAACATGTGGGTGACTTGCTCAAGAATCAAACTAACATCATTCTTAATGATGAGAAACTAGGAGCTTTCCCACAAAGATCAGAAGCAAGGTGATGACATCCTCCCTTACCATTCTTTAAATATCATACTGGAAGTCATAGCTAATGCAGTAACAGAAAAAAAAAAAAAAGAAATAAGAGACATAGATTTGGAAGAAGGAAATAACTCTGTTCTTGTTGACAGATATAACATGATTATATATGTAGAAAATCCAAATGAATTGACAAAACAAAAACCAAACCAAACAAAAAATCTTCTGGAACTAAAAGTAACTACAGCACAGTTGTAGGATACAAGGTTAATGTACAAAAGCTGACTGTTTTCCTATATACCACCAATGAACCGGTGACAAAACACATTAACATTTACATTAGCAACCAAATAATGCAATACTTAATTATAAATCTAAATCTAACAGAAAATGTAAATATGTACAAGATCTATATGAGGAAAGCTAAAAACACTAGTGAAACATACCAAAGTAGAAGTAAATAAATGGAAAGATTGTTTATGTTCACGGATGGAAATACAATATTGTTAAGATGTCAGTTATTCCCAATTTGATCTATAGATTCAGTGTGATTCCAATCAATCCCAGCAAGTTATTTTCTAGAACACAGAAACTTATTCTTAAGTGTATGGACAGGCAAAAGAGTCTAGAATAGCCAACTCAATATTAAAAGAAAAGAGCAAAGTAGAAGTATGGACACTACCCAACTCTACAACTTACTATAAAGCTACCTTGATCAAGATGGTGTGGTATTGGTGAAAGATAGATAAATAGATTAATAAAACAGAAGAGAGATCCCATGAAATAGACTTACATTGATATGATCAATTGGTCATTGACAAAGGAACAAAAACAATACAGCGAAAAAAAAGTCTTTTAGACAAATGGTGTTGGAACAACTGGAAATCAATATGACACAGATCCATTAGACACAGATCTTACACCCTTTACACAAGTGAACTCAAATTGGATTATATTCCTAAATGTAAAATGTAAAACTATATGAACCCATAGAAGACAACCAAGGAGAAAGCTTAGATGACATTGGCTATGGTGTTGACTTTATAAGTAGAACACCAAAGGCACAGACCATGAATAAAATAATTGATAAGCCAGGGTTTTTGAAAAATTAAACACGTTTGTTCTGTGAAAGACACTATCTAGAGAATGGAAAGACAAGCAGCAGCGACTCTCATTCATTGCTGGTGGAAATGCAAATTGCTACATCCACTTTGGAAGACAGTTTCACAGTCTCTCACAAATCCAGCAACTATGCTTCTTGGTATTACCTAAATAACTTAAAAATTTATATCTATACATAAATCTACACATCAGTGTTTATAGCACCTTTATTTATAATAGCCAAAACATGGACCCAGCCAAGATAACCTTCAGTAGGTGAATGAATACATTGTGGGCATCCAGAAAATGAAAAAAAAATAAAATAAAATTCTGTGCTTAAAACAAAATGAGCTATAGAACCATGAAAAGAAAATATAAAATAAATGCATATTGTTAAGTGAAATAAGCCAATCTGAAAAGGCTACATACAGTATGATTCCAGCTATACAACATTCTAGAAAAGGCAAAACCATGGGAAAGGTAAAAAGATCAGTGGTTGCCAAGGAATAGTGGGGAGGGAGGGATGAATAGTCAAAGCATAGAAAATGTTTAACGCAGTGAAACTACTGTGTATAATGCTATACCAGTGGACACATGCTATTATACTTTTGTTCAAACCCATAGAATGTGCAATCCCAAGAGTGAACCCTCATTTTAGCTATGGCTTTTGGGTGATAATGATATGTCAATGTGAAACTGGAAGAGTTCCCTTATCCCTCTCGCAGTGTGTGCGATGAGGGTATGACTCGCTTTTTCGGTGCACTGCAACTCAGACCCCTAGGGGGATCATGCAGACGGGCAGTCATGAGGAGCGAGGGCTCTGACCCCAAGGCAGCATGTAGGATTGAGTGCTTACAGCTCCTGAAGTCCCAGTGGGCGTATGTTACAGTGCTCTCTTTCAGTTTAGCCACCTGCAGGTGGCTTGTGTTAATCAGCTCAATTAGACTCTCTGCCTTATCACAAGGACAGAGGGCCTTCTGGATCCAAGGTTCTTGCCTTGATGTACCAGAAAGATAAGATCACACATGGGCCTGGGGAATGAGTGCAAGGTTTTATTGAGTGGTAGAGGTAGCACTCAGCAGATGGATGGGGAACCAGAAGGGGGAAGGAGTGGGAAGATGGTCTTCCCCTTCTCCTCTGACTGCCCTTTGCCAAATTTCCCTAGGCATCGGCATTGTTACCTTTGATGGCCTGTCGAGGTGTGTGTTCTTCTGCCGCTGTGTTCTTCTTGATGTCTAGCCACTTGTGTCTGTGCCCGCTAGGGTCTCAGAGCTTTTATAGGCACAGGATGGGGGGCGTCACGGCCAGGGTGGTCTTTGAAAATGCAACATTTGGGCGCCAAAACAGGAGTGCCTGACCACACCTAGGTCCGTGGGCACAGACCCAAGGGTGGAGCCCTCACCAGTGACCTTGCCTTTCTCTACCCAGCACTTTCCTGCCCCCTCTCCTGCCCCGTCTCCCGTATCAAATGTAGGTTCATCAATTGTAACAAATGTCCCACTTTGGTGAGGAACGTTTAATGGAGGAATGTTTAATTGAAAGGGGTGTATAGGAACTCCCTGTGTCTTCCACTAAATTTTGCTGTGAACCTAAAACTGTCTCCCAAAATTAATTATATTTAAAAAGATATAAGCTCATCAATTCAAAAGCAATGAGGGAAAAGACAACTACAGACATAAAATGTTAGTAAAATTATAATGTAGTGACATGGATTTATGAGAGAACGGCTGAATTTCTAGGACATAGTATGATGGAATTTAAGCCTGGAAAGAGATAATTTAAAAGAAAAAAGCAGACTAGGCGTGGTGGCTCACGCCTGTAATCCCAACACTTTGGGAGGCCGAGGTGGGCGGATCATGAGGTCAGGAGATCGAGACCATTCTGGCTAACATGGTGAAACCCCGTCTCTACTAAAAAATACAAAAAAATTAGCCGGGCGTGGTGGTGGGAGCCTGTAGTCCCAGCTACTCGGGAGGCTGAGGCAGGAGAATGGCGTGAACCCGGGAGGCGGAGCTTGCAGTGAGCCGAGATCTCACCACTGCACTCCAGCCTGGGCAACAGAGCCAGACTCAGTCTCAAACAAAAAGAAAAACAAACAAACAAACAAGAGAGAGAGAGAAAAGAAAAAAGTGGGATGATTCATTCTGGAATCTCAGTAAATGCTCAAAAATCAGAACTATTGTGTACCTTTGTAAGGTGACGGGGGCAATGATGAAGCTAAAATAGGAAAATTGGTTGAAAATGCATAAAAGAAGCAGACTGATTCCTAGTGTGATTTTTCCCACCCTGCCACCAGATGACTACTTCTCCAGCATAAAATGATAGTTTGCTAACTAAATAGGAGAAAATGAATACTAAGAGGAAAATTAAACAAAATATGAAAACTGAATGTGAGATATCTCCAGTCATCTTTCTCTCACTGCCTCTAGCAAACTGCCACAGAGATTCACCTACAATCCCCCACCTCAGAGCATCCCTTTTCTGGGGGAAACGGAGCAGCATAATGAGGACATAGAGATAATCACCTCCAGTGAAAAGCAAGGTTCACGTGACATTCCCCAGTAGAAAAATCCTCCACTTGGCAAGTCCCCCTGTTTCCATATGTTTAGTGATTCCACTATAATTTTAGCAGTTGGGTTTTGAATATTAATAGACAACTAAAAATTACTTCTCACTTAAACATACATCTAATATAAAATATAGACCCCAAAACAGCAGCAGCAAATTACAAAAAAAAAGGCTTATTAGAAATAAAGAAATGTAGGAAGTTATCACCAACCAACCATGTGCTATTAACATGCTCAGAAAGAAGTGAAATGGTATGGTGGCCAGCAATAACATGGGAATGTGAAAATAAGAAATATTCACGTAATTAAAATGTACTTGTGGAATTAAATTATGGTGAAATAAATTTTGTGAAAAGGGCTTGTGATCAATTTATGAAAACCTTCCAATAAAGAAAACAACAAATGTAAAAATAGAAAACAGGAAAACAAATAGTAAGATGTTCAGAGGGTTGATTCAGGAAGTCCAACTTCCTAATAATATCAATGAAGGAGTGAGAAAAGAGCAACAAAATAGAAAATGTGGTGAGAATAAATATTTTTTTAAAACTGAAGAATTTAATGTTTGAAATTTTAAAGAGTTCACTGCATTTCCAGTATAATAAATGTAGGCAAATAAAATTGCACTACAAAACTTGCCATAGTAAATTTCAGACAACTGGTAATAAGAACAAAAATGTTAAAAACTTTTAGATATAAAAAAGACCACTGAAATTTAATATCAGAGTGGATATGACCTTCTCAATTGCACAGGAAGCTATTAGACAATGGAAAAACCTGAACATATTTGAAGAAAACCAGTATAGAACAACACCAAACAAAATTTTCAGTGAAGTGTGGAGATATTTGACTACAAGTTTTCAAAAAGGTTGCATTCTAAGTACACTGTTTCAGGAACTTCTGTGAGGTGGGTTACATTAAAAAGGGGAAATAAACAAAATACAGATATAGAATCTAGAAATGGGTATCCCATCTGAGGAGAAAGGTGAGGAAAGCTGCCTTGTTAACGTGTAAAAGGGAATCCTAAGAGTAATCTGTCACAGGCCTAGAGAACAAAGAGTTACCATCAGGATGGTTTAACTCAGGTGAGCAGAAGAGATGCTTCCAAGTTTTCCCAATGTGTTCAACAGTTTTCCAGGGATGCCTGCCTTTGGGAGTATAATAGTGGTGATAACATAAAATATTTTATTGAGTAAATGAAAATAATGCCAGTTATTTATTCCAGGTCATTAAAATTATGTAATAAATATAATCAAAGTATGGTTTATGATCAGTCATGACATTATTCGAGAAAAAGAGAAAAGTGAATTGGGATCTTCTGGGGACAGGAAGCATGTGTAGTGGGGAAGAGACAGGGAGAGAACTGCATCCTGGAATTCTAAGTAGAACTCAGGAGATAATTTCAAATATTTAAGAAGACAATAGACCGGGCATGGTGGCTCACGCCTGTAATCCCAGCACTTTGGGGGCCGAGGCAGGCAGATCACGAGGTGAGGAGTTCGAGACCACCCTGGCCAACATGGTGATACCCCGTCTCTACTAAAAATACAAAAATTACAGCACTCTGGGAGGCAGAGGCAGGCGGATCACGAGGTCAGGAGACTGAGACCATCCTGGCTAACACAGTGAAACCCCGTCTCTACTGAAAATATAAAAAATTAGCCGTGCATGCATAATGGCACACGACTCTAGTCCCAGCTACTCAGGAGCCTGAGACAGGAGAATCGCTTGAACCCGGGAGGCAGAGATTGCAGTGAGCCAAGATTGCTCCAGTGCATTCCAGCCTGGGGAACAGAGTGAGACTCTGTCTCAAAAAAGAAAAAAAAAAAAAAAAGAAGAAAAGAGACAATAAATGGTATTTAAAGATTTTTATTTAGAAATATGCAGGTGACTACAAGGAGGATTACATTATTGCCTCTATTTTTCTTTTTCTTTTTTTAAAATTTTATTTTTTTTTAAATTACACTTTAAATTCTAGGGTGCATGTGCACAATGTGCAGGTTTGTTACATAGGTATATATGTACCATGTTGGTTTGCTGCACCCATTAACTCATCATTTACATTAGGTATTTCTCCTAATGCTATCCCTCCTGCTGCCTCCCACCCCACAACAGGCCCTGGGGTGTGATGTTCCCCGCCCTGTGTCCAGGTGTTCTCATTGTTCAATTCCCACCTACGAGTGAGAATATGTGGCTTTGGTTTTCTGTCCTTGTGACAGTTTGATCAGAATGATGGTTTCCAGCTTCATCCATGTCCTTACGAAGGACATGAACTCATCCTTTTTTATGGTTGCATAGTATTCCATGGTGTATATGTGCCACATTTTCTTAATCCAGTCTATCATTGAGGGACATTTGGGTTGGTTCCAAGTCTTTGCTATTGTGAATAGTGCCACAATAAACATACATGTGCATGTGTCTTTATAGTAGCATGATTTATAATCCTTTGGGTATATAGCCAGTAATGGGATGGCTGGGTCAAATGGTATTTCTAGTTTTAGATCCTTGAGGAATTGCCACGCTGTCTTCCACAATAGTTGAACTAGTTTACACTCCCACCAACAGTGTAAAAGTGTTTCTATTTCTCCACATCCTTTCCAGCGTCTGTTGTTTCCTCACTTTTTAATGATCACCATTCTAACTGGTATGAGATGGTATCTCATTGTGGTTTTGATTTGCACGTCTCTGATGGCCAGTGATGATGAGCATTTTTTATGCGTCTGTTGCCTGCATAACTGTCTTCTTTTGAGAAGTGTCTGTTCATATCCTTCTCCCACTTGTTGATGGGGTTGTGTTTTTTTTTTTTTCTTGCAAATTTGTTTAAGTTCTTCGTATATTCTGGGTATTAGCTCTTTGTCAGATGGGTAGATTGCAAAATTTTTCTCCCATTCTGTAGGTTTCCTGTTCACTCTGATGGTAGTTTCTTTTGCTGTGAAGAAGTTCTTTAGTTTAATTAGATCCCATTTGTCTATTTTGGCTTTTGTTTCCATTGCTTTTGGTGTTTTAGACATGAAGTCCTTGCCCATGCCTATGTCCTGAATGGTATTGCCTAGGTTTTCTTCTAAGGTTTTCATGGTTTTAGGTCTAACATTTAAGTCTTTAATACATCTTGAATTAATTTTTGTATAAGGTGTAAGGAAGGGATCCAGTTTCAGCCTTCTACATATGGCTAGCCAGTTTTCCCAGCACCATTTATTAAATAGGGAATCCTTTCCCCATTTCTTGTTTTTGTCTGGTTTGCCAAAGATCAGATGGTTGTAGATATGTGGTGTTATTTCTGAGGCCTGTGTTCTGTTCCATTTGTCTATATATCTGTTTTGGTACAAGTATCATGCTGTTTTGGTTACCGTAGGCTTGTAGTGTAGTTTGAAGTCAGGTAGCATGATGCCTTCAGCTTTGTTCTTTTTGCTTAGGATTGTCTTGACAATGCAGGCTCTTTTTTGGTTCCATATGAACTTTAAAGTAGTTTTTTCCAATTCTGTGAAGAAATTCATTGGTAGCTTGATGGGGATGGCATTGAATCTATAAATTACCTTCGGCAGTAGGGCCATTTTCACAAGATTGATCCTTCCTATCCATAAGCATGGAATGTTCTTCCATTTGTTTGTGTCCTCTTTCATTTCATTGAGCAGTGGTTTGTAGTTCTTCTTGAAGAGGTCCTTCACATCCCTTGTAAGTTGTATTCCTAGGTATGTTATTCTCTTTGTAGCAATTGTGAATGGGAGTTCACTCATGATTTGTCTCTCTGATTGTCTGTTACTGGTGTATAGGAATGCTTGTGACTTTTGCACACTGATTTTGCATCCTGAGACTTTGCTGAAGTTGCTTATCAGCTTAAGGAGATTTTGGGCTGAGATGATGGGGTTTTCTAAATATACAATCATGTCATCTGTAAACAGGGACAATTTGACTACCCCTTTTCCTAACTGAACACCCTTTCTTTCTTTCTTTTGTGTGATTGCCCTGGCCAGAACTTCCAACACTATGTTGAATAGGAGTGGTGAGAGAGGGCATCATTATCTTGTGCCAGTTTTCAAAGGGAATGCTTCCAATTATTTTCTAAGAAAAAAATTGAAGCACGATATTCTCATTTCTTATTAAAAGCTTAGTGGAAACAATTGATTTTAAAAATTTCTTGAATATACCAATTTATTTAAAATAACCATTTGAAAATTATACACTATTATGACAGAAATGTTTAATATATTTAAAAACAAATGCTAATGAAGGAACTATATTTCAAAAGTATAAAATACTGATGAAGAGGTAGTTGGGGGAATTTATCTTTGAAAACATACAATTAACAAATAAACATATTAAAAAGTACGGAGTCTAGGTTTTATCCAACAATGTTAGAAGAGGAAACACAAATAAATTTCCAGAATAAAGTAACTTAGATAAATTAGTTCAACAGCATCAAAAGAAAGAATGATGTTTATTTTCTAGAAACTGATGAAAATGTGAAATAATACTAATATAAATAAACTTTTATTGATATCCATGAAGAAAAACAGTGAAAATATTTATAATTAGGAACTGAGAAACTTACAGAAAAATTAGAGACAAAATAAAACATTATACAAAAATTTAAATTTTTGTATATTTTTATGCAAAATGCAATTTTCTTCCTATGAAATAAATAATGAGCAATTATTAATAAAGATTGGAAACTTTTTTAAATGTAGGATATTAAAATTTGTCAATATTGATTACAATTAAAAATAAAACAATAGATTTATAACCACAGTTGCTGAAATATATTTATTGAAATGTTTTAACATTCATGACTTTTCAGAAAAATATTATAGAAAACTAGGAATCAAAAGAAGCTTCATAATCTCAATAACAAATGCTTACAAAAATATCAACAAATACACTTTATGTGATAGAACTTTAAAAGCGTTTCTTGGGAAGCTGGTAGCAAGGAAAAGATGTTACATTTCCTGTCTCTGGTTCTTGTTGTGCTGACAACACAAGTAAATCACTATGACACTCAGACACAGGCACACAGTGATTAGGATTGAAAATAAGCAAAATATTTATGGCAATATTTTGTTACTTTCTACACAGAAAGCTACAAACTATTAAAATAATAGTACTTGTTTAGTCTGAAATCAATCCAAAAACCTGTAGCATTTTATATGTAATCAACAACAGTTTTGAAAATTGAATAAACAGAAACATCTCATGGACCATGCAAACACATATGAAGGTTGGACAACCATATATTTTTATTCACCTGAGAGAGACCCACTGTATACTTCTTGTCATGTCACATCTGATCTGATATTCCAAAAGTTTATCAGCATAGGTAATAAATTCTTTTACCAATCTATCTATAGTTTACCTAGGAAGAAATTTAGCAAACGATTAACCAAGGTCATTATGGAATAAAACTGTTACACTTTTTTTTCCAAAGTCATAAAAAATGTTCTGAATATATATGCAATCTGCTGTAATAATGAAGTAACAAAATTATGAAGAACACCTTTCTTCTAAGTATTCTATACATTTAATGCAATTTCAATTCAACTCTCACCAGGATTTAATCAGAAAACTTGATATGTTTATCACAAAATTCAGGCTTTTTTTTTTTTTTTTTTTTTTTTTGAGATAGAGTCTTGCTCTGTCACCAAGGCTGGAGTGCAATGGCTCCATCTTGGCTCACTGCAACCTCTGCCTCCCAGGTTCAAGCGATTCTCCTGTCTTAGCCTCCCAAGTAGTTGGGACTACAGGCACCCACCACCACACCATGCCAATTTTTATATTTTTAGTAGAGACGGAGTTTCACCATGTTAGCCAGGCTGGCCTCAAACTCCTGACCTCAAGTGATCTGCCCTCTTCAGCCTCCCAAAGTGCTGGGATTACAGGCATGAGCCACCGCTCCTGGACAAGTACATGATTTTCAACATGGGCTGAGGAGAAGTTAGAAGACAAGATTAGCTCAGAGCCAGACTCTCAACATGTAAGAATTTGATGTATTACTGAAATGGCACTATAAAACAAATAGTTATTAAAAGTAAAAACTGGCCAGGTGCGGTGGCTCACGCCTGTAATCCCAGCACTTTGGGAGGCCGAGGAGGGCGGATCACGAGGTCAAGAGATTGAGACCATCCCGGCCAGCATGGGGAAACCCCGTCTCTACTAAAAATACAAAAATTAGCTGGGCTTGGTGGCGTATGCCTGTAGTCCCAGCTGCTCAGAAGGCTGAGGCAGGAGAATCGCTTGAACCCAGGAGGCGGAGATTGCAGTGAGCCGAGATCATGCCACTGCACTCCAGCCAGGCAACAAAGTGAGACTCTGTCTCAAAAAAAAAAAGTAAAAACTTCAAAATTTGCTTGGAAAAGTTGCTTATAAATATATAAAAATATGAAGTAAGACTTCTATCCCGCATTATAATGAACAATTATTCTAGGTAAATTAACTATCTACATAAGAAATAATGTTTAAACTTTGAAAAAAAGGTGGAGAATTAAATATTTATAGTGAGCATAGTGAAGTATTTCTTAAGCAAAAGACATGAAAAGCATACATCTGAAAGGAAAGGATTCAAGAACTTGAGCATATTAAACTTTAAAACTTCTTTGACATAAACTACTGCATAAGACACCTAAAGACACCAAAGAAAGAAAAAAGATGCTTGCAATGTATATGACAAAGATAAATTAGTATTAACTTTATATTTAAAATTATATCAATCAATAGAAAAAAGCAATACACAGAGACAAAAGATTATTTGTAATTTGTTCACAATGAGGGGGTCTAAATCATGATAACCAATAAAAAATTATCTACATCAGCAGTAGTAATGTAAATCAAAATCACAATGAGATATCACTTGACACTTTTCATACTGGCAAAATTAGAAATCTGACTTCACCATGTGTTGATAAAGTTTCAAAACAATGAAAACTCAACATAAATCACTTTTAGAATTTTAAATGTGTTTCTGACACTTTAATCATTTTCACAATATCTAACATGCTTGAGGGTGAACAATTCTACCCCTAGGAGAAATTCTGGTAGATGCACAAAAGAGATCCGTACAAAGAATCTTTATTCTAGGATTACTTTTAAGGGCAACAAATGTCTCCCTAGATCTTACTCAACTCCTATACATTTCTTAAGAAACAAACAAATCCGTTAGTTACACAATTTTTACAAATTGGTGAACATGTTATAACTCTCTTACTTCCTAGGGCATGATATTTCTCTTTTTGTCATCTAGCTCTCAAAATGGAAAACAAAAATCATCATGATTCTCTCCAAAAGAATTGCTCGTTATCACAGTAGTACCTAAATGTGTCCAGATTTAGAATCACCTGCAGCCTTTGGTAAAAGAGAATTGCCCTTCCATTATTACTATAGTAAGTGGTTCTTTGCTGGGACTTAAACAAGCAGCTCAGGTAATTTGTTTTGACTAATTCCTTTAATTGCTTTGCATCGTGTCTCCATGGACGGGCATCAAAGCCTAGAATGGGGACATTCTCTGAATGTCAGGTGGTTGTTTTTTTGGATCACAAGACACACTCCATCCTCATCTCGGAACTTCTCACAGAGTGGTAGTGATGATGACAAAGTCAAAGCCATCATAGAAAACACAATGAGGGAAGTGACAGCAATATGTTAGCACTTCATTCTTCGCTCTTAACTGAGAAAAAAGGAAATAACCCAAAATCAATTAACCTATTTATGCCGGAGTTTGCAATTTTTTTGAATTTTTGCATAAGTGAAAAATCAGACCTTAGCAATAATCTTGAGCAGCAGGATATAAATAACTCCCACATACTTAGCATTCCAATAATGGAACACTAGGCATAAGTGGGTTAATGGGGACAGGGAGAATGGTGCTGAAAAAGCAGGGCGGGAAAAACACCTAATGCTGAAAGAGAAGCTGAGAGGACAACTTCGTTAAGGATTTTTAAAGGGATAGTATTTTTTTTTCTTCAAAGGCAATTCAATTGCTTGTTTTTTTTTACATGCATGTCATAGCCCATTCCCTAGCCATCTCCACTTCCTCCTTTATAATATTTGTTGTTCTTCTGAAAGATAGGAGTGTTCATTATTTTTGCAAATTACGGTGGTTGCGTCTATTTCAAAAAATATGTTAATTGTGCCTGCAGTCAAGGATCTTCAAGCATAGTTAACTGGACAAGTTGTCAGTGAAAGAACTACAGGAAAACAACGTCCTTAATTCCATGGGGATGAGGACTCAGGTATCCACTGAAAATACGCATCCCAGAGCTAAGCATAATCTAAAGGGTCATGTCAGCAATGCCCACAATAACAAAAAAAGTGCTCTTTGAAATCAGTTAATTAATTAAGTATCCTATGAGACACAAAGAATGTTACTCTGTGCAAGGAACATATATTTTCTTAAAATTACTGGAGTTCTGTAGCAGAAATTGACTGAAGCACAAAAGAAAGATGATGAAATTTTAGCTCCATCTCTTCTCGACTCTTCAGTCTTCATTAGTTGAACTCCTCTTCCACAGTTTTCACATTACCAGAGGTTGCAAATTTTTTTGAATTCTCGTAAGTGAAAAATCAGACCTTGGCAATGACCTTGAGCCATAGGATACAATGTGTCACATTGTGCCCATCATGGAGTGATCATAAAAATTGAAGATAATGCATGCACCGTACTCAGTGCAATGCCAAGAAGGTGTTCTTAAAATACAAGCTACCATTATCATGATATGGAAACTATGCTAGTCCAGAAGTCAAAAGAACTGCATAATTTTCCTAACACTTTTGTATGCTCTTGGAACATGTCCAGTCCCTACACAGATCTTCTCTCATGGAAAATGAGAAGGATGGATTGGGTCTCTTCTTGCAAAAGCCAGAGTACCAAGCAACAGAGAAACCCTAGCTACAAAAGAATCACCCACGGGATTTTAGAAAACATGGCATGCTGGCAATTGGGCATTTATTTGCCTGTTCACCTTATGAGTGTCTTCTTGTGTTTAAGTAATTTCTGACCCTGACAAATGTCATTCAGTGCCTCCCAATCAATCATCTGTCTGGCTTTGTCTGGGCTAGGTCAGACTGGATATTCCTCAGATAGTGGAACACTCTGTCTCAGGGAAGGCTGACAAAAACACTACAGATCTATTGCTGCTACAGTAATTTCATTGCCAATGGCCAGTAATTGACCTAGGAAATGGCACATAAATCAGCTGTGGCAATGAGATGTGAGGTGAATGGATTCTGATACATATTTCCATCTCAGAACAAAATGGAAACTGTGAGGAAAGAACCCACTGACATCTTTTCTCCTTGCCTTGAAATTGATATTGGGTGGGAAGACGTTGCTTCAAGCATCACAGTTATATTGGGAGCAGGAGGTAGGTGACAAGCTGAAAGGGTAAGTGGAACAGAATGAATGAGAGACCATTGCTGCACTAAACCTGGATCCTACATTCAGGCTTATTATGTGAGGTAACTTGAGGTCTTTATATTTAAACCTAAATCCATTACAAAATTCTACTGTAAGACCCAACCTTTTTCTATAGCCTCAGAGGACAGATAACCACTTTTTATAAGCTTCTCTTGCTGTTAGGGCATGGGCACAGGATCTAGTCGTCTCAGCCACAAACTGGCTGCATCCACCTAATTCTTGAATCTTGAATTATTGGCACAAAGAAGCAGGCAAGAGAGAATTCATGAACTTTCCAGGCAGCTATGGCTACCATTTGCGGGCACTGGGGACTCAGGAGCAGCGGTTGGCTGTGAAGTGCATTCACTGTGGTCCTCTCTGCTCTGTGTCACTGCGAGCTTCTGAAGTTTGCTTCTTCAGCATTTCTCAAGATCTAAGAACTTCCCATTATCCTTTCAATATACTCCCTTTTGCTAAAGTTAGCCTGGGTTGGTTTCAACTGTTTGGAAATGACAGTCATGATTGATACATAAATATTCTTGGGCAAAGTTTATAGTGGTTTATGGTGGGACTCAGAAGTAGGCATTCTTAAAAGATTCCCAAGTGGTTCAGATTATCAGCTGAAACTGAAGCTCACTGAACAAAGTGACCTCTCAGGGACTTTTCAGTGTTGAAATTGTTTCAATTTCTGTTTCATGCTTTTCAGATACAGATGAGATGCTCATTTTCAAACCCCTGATGAGCAAAACCAGCCTTAGGTGAAACTCTCAGTTTAGCTAAGTTTCTTTTAAGAGGCAGCTTAGCTCCAGCTATTTCTCATGCCATTCTTAGCATCTTGTGATCAGAAGCTCACCTGCATTCAACTTTCTCACAGTGCACAAACACCCCCATTCTCTGATCCTTATGAAAAGCATTCTTTTGAAACGAAGAATCTAATAGCAATCATTCACTTTTTAGTCTGAATGCAAGCCATTTTTGTTTTCTTTTAAAAACATTAACATTTAGTTTTCTATTTCAACGTGGAAAAATGATGTTCCGTCTGGAGAAATGTGAACACCAGGAACATAAAATGAATGGCTTAATATGTGAAATGGAAATTTAATTCCAGATTCCAGGAAGTTGGACAGATGTTTACTTATCTTACCTAGGAATAAAGAAAGATGTTCTAAGATGGGGTATACAAGTGATTAAATTTGAAACTACTTTTAGGTATTTGATGGGATGCCTGATAAAATCAATAATGGGTTGTATTTTGGACCAAGATCAATGGGTAAATATGACAAGCACATTTATTTTCACTTAAAAAAAGCGGGAAAAAATAGCTTTTACTGAATATATCTGTATTTAACATGGGTAAATATAAAGCTCCAGAAAAGCTCATGTTTTATTAACCATAGTATCTCGATTTGGAAAGAGATAAAATGTTCTCCAGGTTACTGTCACTCTTCAGAAGCCTTTTGTGAAAGAAACTATTAACTAGTGAACCTGCCCCCTGCATAGACATTATGATAGACTTTGTTTCTTCATGTTCTCATAATAATTTTGTGAGGTGAGTAATACCTATACGTTGCTTAGATGAGAACCCCAAGGTTCAGAGAGTTTTGTTAGTTCATGATTACACAACATATAAATAGCAGCACAGCTGGAACTCAAACTCATGCCCTGAAAGCCAGTGTTTCCTACAACCCTTTACAGTCATATTTTAAGAGAAAAAAAATTCTAGGAAGCATTCCCAGGAGCAATGAGTTCCACGGAATTAGAAATTTATAAATGGAGGCCCCCTTGGCTTGATAAATTTAATAGTCTTTATCACTGCTGAAAAATTAAACCTGTTCCTTGAGGACCTGTGCTGTGTCTGGACACAGTGAAGAAACCTCGTTCCTCTAGGCAGAGCCTGGGAAGCCCCATGTGCCTCTGTGCGTGGATAGACTCTCCTCCTGGCCTGGGATGAATATGTAGAAAGCTGATGTTCCATGTGATATAAATGCCTTTAGGACCAGACTGCATCCTCTTCATTTGTTTCACAACGTTTATCAAGTGTCTGACATAGAAATGCTGCTCAGTAAATATTTGTGGAGTCCCTCACAGCCAAAGGCAGAGTTCTCAATAAAGTAAAAACTGCAAACGTTGTGTGGCAATGTCTTCTTGCCCTGTGTGTTTCCAGATCTGAAAGAACTGATGTCAGCACACGCCATTCATTCACAGCATTTGAATCTTGCTGCACCTTCTGATGCAGCTTTAGGAAATATATAGAATTTTTCAGAATGAATACTATGTAAAGTTGAAAAATCATCTCATTTTTTCTTTTACCCAAAGTAGTTGCTGACAATCCTTGCCAAGTTGAGAGATACTGAAACCCCAGATATTGATGTGAAACATTAGGAAATTATTCTACTAGGAATCCTTCTTGATGAACAATTAAATCTCATTCTTACTCTGAAATTATAGAAATAAGTTTAACAATTGCTCTAAGCTTCCTTTTTTAGAGTATCTTCTAGGGTAACAATTTAGTAGAAAAGTAACTGCATGTTGCTATTTGAGAAATTCTGCCATTGTGAATTATCAATATGTTCAGTGGAACATTGTTCATTGAAGACAATGAAGGCCATTTCATAAAGACAATAAAACAGCATTTATGAAGTGACTTCCCTTGGGAATTCAGTAGAGTGAATACAGGCTTTGCAAATCAGCAACACTTGGCTCACATCTTCTGCTGACACGTATAAGCTAGGTGGATCCTTCAGCAGGTGTGATTTTTCTGCATCCACAGAGTTACAATAATGATATTTCCCTCACCCATATGCTACATGGTTAAATGAGATTATGTGCATGTGTAATCGTGAGTATAATTTTAAGACATGCAATTTTTGACCAACACTACTTTCTCACATTGTGAAGTAAAATAATATCACTTTGTTGATGTTACTTTGTGGTTAGATAGAGATAAGATGACATAAGAGGTGCACCCTGTGCTGTGTGACCTTGGATGGGTCATATAATCTTTTAGAATCTCAGGTTTTCTGTCTATGAAGGACAAGAGTTACACATTTTCATGGTTGGTGTGTGTCATTAACCCAAAACCTAATACAAAGCAGGGTTGTAAGAAAGACCTGTTTTAACTGGCTGAGTGTAGTCAAATACAGTCATCCCTCAGCATTCACGGATAATTGGTTCCAGGACCCACACAGATACCAAAATCTATGAATGCTGCATTCTCTCATATAAAATGGCATTGTATTTGCATATAACCTATGCACTTTCTCCACACATAGATTGCTTATAATACCTAGTACAATGTGATGCCATGTAAATAGTAGTTATATTAAAGCAATAATGGCAAGGAAAAAAAGTCTGTCCATGTTCACTACAAATGCAAACATCCTCTTTAGTTTTATTTAGAATATGTTCCCTCTATGGTTGATTGAATCCATGGACGTAGAACCCATGGATATGGAAACCTGACTACATATCACTGGTGGCATTGAGAAGCTCCTTTAGAAAAGCATCAGGTCTTTCTGAGAAGGCAGGTATGGCCTAATGGAGCGGGTCCTCATCAGAAAGCCAGTTTTCCACAATGGTCATCTTGACTCTGTTCTTTGTTGGTGCCATGATTTTCTGCCTGCAAAGGCTACTGTCATTCTATTGGCTATAGCCAAGAATGTGGCATAGCTTACTGCAAATAGCAAAACTGGGCCATTGTCTCTGTTAGAGACTTAAAAAGCTGAGCTTTTTGATGGCTGTACCACTTCTTCAGTTATATTCTGTGGCAGCTCCTGCCAACACATGAAGATAATGAATTAAAAAAACTCTTCTTAATGGATAGTTCAATACCCATTTTATTAATTTATTGCAAAGGTCAATGAAGTGTAAGATACACTAAGTAGTAGCTGTTCTGTAATTCTCTGCTTCAAGACTGGGGAAGTAGGAAACTTGTCACACCTCCTAAGGCGATCATCTGCATGCCTTTCCATCCTATTTGTTTCACATTAGATATGAGTTACAACTCCTGATTACAATTAATTGTCCCAAAGGATTATCATAAAACTAATTTCTAGTTAAAGAATATCGAGGAACCATAAAAATGATCACATAGATACTGGTGTTTTATAAATGAACACACCTAATTTTTATAGTTTTAAAATAAGATACTTTTCAAAAAGGCCCTATAATAGTCAAGCACTTTAACCCAATGCAAACTCTCCCGTCCAGCATGGACAGATAATGCACTGTTTTGGTTCAGTTTTGTGTTTGTTTCTCTGTTTAATTATGCTAAGATCTAGCCATATTTCTAGCTATGCAAGAAAATCAAGAAGCATAGTAGTTATAAGCACAGGTTTGGGGATCAAAAAGATATATTCTAGAACCTTGATGTATCACCTAGAAATTCTGTGACCTTGAACAAGTTACTTATCCTTTGCAACCCCAGTTTACCTATCTATACAATCAGGACAACAGCGAGTATTGAAGACAGATTCTGTGTAATTCAAATAAAATAATATAATTAGTATTTCTAGCTTAGTTCCTGGAACATAATAACTGCCAAACCGGTTTAATTATTATTGTTATTATCATTATTCTTATTATAAACATCATCACTATTAAGAAAGAATTTACAGTGGAAGCAAAGTAAGAAGGAAGGCAAGTATGAAGCTAATCTAGCCAATCTCCAGGTAATCCAAACCCCTGAAGCAAACATTAGCACAAGGGAAAGAGTGTATTATTACAAGACCTACTACAGCTTTATGATTATTAGACCTCGATAAGCATGTGATAGACACAAATGGACAGCTTTCATTTGTCCAGGGAAATGTGACCTGTGAAATGCATCTGGCTGGAAGGTTTTGCTTTTCAGCTGTGCACTTATATTATGGGGCTGGTCCTTCTGGTGTTACTCTGCGTTATATGCAAGTAATCAAATTTTCCTTCCTGTTAAAGATGCTCTTATTTTGTTCTCTAAATTCTTTGATTCTTTTTGGTATAATAAACATCAGATATCAATAGGCAAATATTACTTAGATGAACTTTGCTGAATAATTGATTTCCTCAAAGCCCCAATACAATCGCTTATGAAAGGACTATATCTTAGAATGTTGACTTTCTCCCCAATCACTTTTGGGGATTCCTTGGAGCAGATCTGTAATGTCAGCCTTGCTTTTTAAGTGTTTTTAAGAGATGGACTCTCACTGTGTTGCGCAGGCTGGCTTTGGACTCATGTGCTGAAACAATCCTCCAGCCTCAGCCTTCCAAGTAGCTGGGACTACAGGTGCAAACTACTGTGCCTGGATGACATGAATAAACTCTGGAGTAGATTTTAAAAGGAGAAGGAAGGATAAATCCTCAATTAAAAGTGTATGAGGAACTTGGCTTGGCAGAATGCAATTACTGAATTTAGAAAAGGGCCAAGATATCAAGATTAACAGCAACATCTGAAATGTATACGCACACACGTGTGTCTTCGGACATGTATAATGATCACTTTCTTTCAGAACGCCAACACCCACTTTTAATCCTCAAGCCTCAAAGTGGAAAGAACTATGTGGAGTCAGCTCAATCCAGTTTTTCTGAAACAAAGCTGGCATGTGGTTGAAATGCTTCAGGGACAAGATACATTGTTCTGAAGGCTCATGGCACCAGATAGGGAAAAAAAAAAAAAAAAAAAAAAAACAAGAAAAAACCCTCCAATCTCAGAGATGAGGCACCTTCTGGAAACTCCTACTCTCAAGTGTCCAGAGAATGTTACTGACAATTTTTATTATTACAAATGTGTCCAGGCAAGATGGTATGTGATGTTCCCTTTGTGCTTCCCCTGCGCTAGGTTGGGTGGGGGAGGATGTTGAAGAAGAGTTTATCAGGCTCTGTGGGGCAATAGAGTGGATCCAGAGTGACCCCCCTTCTCCACTGTCACCTTGTCATGGAGGTCATGATGGTGAGATATTAAAGGTCACTTTGAGAAAAAATAAGAGGTCTTCATTATGAGGTATGTTGAAAGAGTTCTATAGTGGCCAGGCGCAGTGGCTCACGCCTGTAATCCCAACACTTTGGGAGGCCGAGGCAGGCGGATCACAAGGTCAGGAGAACGAGACTATCCTGGCTAACACGGTGAAACCACATCTCTACTAAAAATACAAAAAATTAGCTGGGCACAGTGGTGGGTGCCTGTAGTCCAAACAACTCGGGAGGCTGAGGCAGGAGAATGGCGTGAACCCGGGAGACGGAGCTGGCAGTGAGCCAAGATTGTGCCACTGCACTCCAGCCTGGGCAACAGAGCAAGACTCAGTCTCAAAAAAAAAAAAAATAATAATGAATTCTATAGTACCGAATCAAAGTTCCATAGAGACGTCAGGGTCCAGCTGAAAGTTATAATTAATCAGGAAGGTGATTAATAGATGCATTTCAGCTGGCAAATTGTAGCTGGGAGAATTACACTTGGCAAGCCACGATGTTATAATCTGCACAAGGCAATGAGTTGTGGCTGTATGATTTCAGGTGCCCTTACGTGTTACTGCAGAAGGAAAGAAAGCATCTCATCAGCTGCCAGCCAAAAAAAAATAAGGAAAAGAAAGTTTGTTTGGATTGCTAATATGTATCAATGCCAGTGGGGGAGTCATAATATTTTTTCCCAAATCTTTTATGATGGTGGCTGGTACAAGACTAGATTCCAGAAAACTAGCTATTAATAGAGGGGCCTCCACTGAGACGAGGGAAGACACAGGGGTCAGGGAAGTGGGAACTCCAGGTGCACTGCAAAACTCTCCAGGGAGGGTCAGGATGACAGCAAATCCAGAGTACCCAAGGCAGAGATCACTGCCCAAAAGACGTAGAGATGACAATCTTTCCTCTAGAGGCATGACAGTAGACAATTTGGGATCAAGTGGGAATGACAGAGTCTGGTCTTGAGGGTACTGGCCTCTGAGAGCTACTGTGACTGCTAATGATCTTTTTTCAGGATTGACAGGAATATAAATTGTAGACACTTCAACCTATCTGAATGTTAGATCCCAGGGATAAACTAAGGTAACTGTGTACCAGGCTCAATGAATAGGTACATTAATAGTAATTCTTTGCTAAGTACAGTAGTTATCCCTAATCTGAAAGGGATAACTCACGGCTCCCAGTGCATGTCTGAAACTGTGAATAAAACTAAACCCTATATGTGGGTCTACTATGTTTTTCTAATTTTGTATTTTTGGTTGATATGTTATAGTTGTACATATTTTGGGCATTTATGTGATATTCTGATACCTGTATACAATGTACAATGATCAAATAAGTGTAAACAGGCCATCCAGCACCTCAAACATTTATCTTTGTTTTGCGAGCATTACAATTCCTCTCTTCTAGCTATTTTGAAATATACAATAAATTATTTTAACTATAATCTATGTACTATAATATCAAATACTAGAACTTAGTCCTTTTACTGTATGTTTGTATACTTTACCCAACTTCCCATCATACCCTGCTCCCTGCTTTCCCTTCACAGACTATGGTAACCATCATTCAACTCTCCAGCTCCATTAGATCCTGTTTTTTTTTGCTCCCACCTGTGAGTGAGAACATGTGATGTTTATCTTTCTGTGCCTGGCTTATTTCAGTTAATATAATGACCTCCACCTCTATTCATGGTGCTGCAAATCGCAAGATTTCATTCTTATTGTTGCTGAATATTTCATTGTGTATATATACCACGTTTTCATTATCCATTCATTCGTTGATGGATGCTTACGTTGATTCCATATCTTGGGTATTGTGAATAGTCCTTCAATAAACATGGGGGTGCAGACATCTGTTTGATACTGAGTTCCATTCTTTTGGATATATATCCAGTAGTGGAATTGATGGATTATATGGTCGTTCTATTTGTAGCTTTTTGAGGAACCGCTATACTATTTTCCATAATGGCGACAGTACTTTACATTTCCATTAACATCGTAGGGGCATTCCCCTTTCTCTGCATCATCACAATCATTTATTTTTTGTCTGTTTTATAGTGCCTTTCTAACTTGGATGAGATGATATTTCATTGTGATTTTTATTTGTGTTTCCCTGATGATTAGCAATGTTGAGCATTGGCCATTTGTATGTCTTCTTTTGAGAAATGTTTATTCAGGTCTTTTGCAAATTTTTAATCAAGTTATTTGTTTTTTTTTCTGTTGAGTTGTTTGAGTCCCGTATACATTCTGCTTATTAATTCCTTATCACATGGATAATTTGAAAATATCTTCTTCCATTCTGTAGGTTGTCTCTTTACTTTATTAGTTGTTCCTTTGGGGAAAGGACAGTCTCTTTAAAAAATGGTGCTGGGGAAACTGGCTATCCATAAGCAGAAGAATGAAACTGGATCCCCATTTTACATTATATATAAAAATCAACTCAAAATAGATTAACATCTTAAGTGTAAGTCTAAAACTATCAAACTGCTAGAAAAAATAAAAACATTGAGGAAACCCTATAGAACATTGGTCTGGGAAAATATTATTTTCTGTAAGACCTCAAAAGCATAGGCAACAAAAGCAAAAATAGACAAATGGGATTACACTGAGCTAGAAAAGTTTCTGCACAGTACTAAATTTTTTCCATTTGATATTCAAGACAGCTATTAAGTGACTAATGGGGAAGGGATGTGTATACAGCATGGATGAACTGGCCAAAGGGATGACTCATGTCCCAGGCATGACAAAGCAAGAAGGCACGAGATTTCATCGTGCTACTCAGAATAAGGCAGAATTTAAAACTTATGAATGGCTTATTCCCATAATTTTCTATTTAATATTTTTGGACCACAGTTGACCATGAGTAAGTGAAATCATGAAAAGCAAAACCATGAATAAGGGGGGATTACTGTATTTCCTAACATTTCTTTTTCATATACTACATTATTTTTAAAATTTAAAATTCCAAGAAGAATAAAAAATGGCAAGGTAATTATCAAATAATGTTAACATCTTATTAGAAGCAAATGAAAATTTACTACAGAGCCTTCTGACAAAAGCACAGAAGGTAAGAGAAAAATTTAATCATCTCCAGCCCCAAAATTATTTCAAAGCCTTTATGTTTCATTCTCCTACAACAAACACATACTATGTACAAACTTTAATATGATTATCATCATGATTATTTAAGATAAAAGCTCAGGCATATAATAAAAAGACATTCAATTTCTAGACTCAACATTTGCTTAAACTGTAAATGGTTAAATATTGGTTAGAAAATGTTTTTCAGGATTTATTGCTATGAATATTCATTTTCTCCTCTGGATTTTCTCCTATGGCTTGGTACTCAGATTTATGCACTGTCTAGCTCACTCAAGTGGAGGGATTGATTTTATAATAGATTCATCTATACAAATTAGAATTAACCCTAACAGGAAATATCTTAGGTTATTCTCCTCAGCTCCATGTTATAAATATAGAGGCTAAGTTATATTAATATTTCAAGTTAGAACTAGATACCAGCTCCTAACAAAAAGTTAGGACAGACTATAGAGTGATGTCATTGCAGCATATTGATGAGATTGTTTTGCATAAAATAATGCTGGTGACATTATGCTAAATATAAGATAGAAAATTACATATATATATAGTGTGCACTATGTAACTATCCTATGTGTGGCATGTAAACATCAAAATATTAATAGTCATTATCTATGGGCATAGGATAATGGTTGAATGTGATTACATTTACTATTATATTCTGTATCAATATTATTTTGCTATTATAGTAAACAAAAATCAAAATTAAATTTTTTTAAATGACTTTGGAAAAACTAGTATTTGAACCATGAATTGATGGATTAAATAAAGTATATCTAAGGATATTAAATCTCACATTTCTCAACTGAAATGTGATTAGTTATGATAAGGTCTTGGCAGATGGTATGGCCTTAATACATGGTGATTTGCCCTTCATTTTTTATTACAGTTGCACACTCTAAACAATAGTAAGAAACTGTTTCAAAATATTTAAATAATAATGAAATGGATTATCAAAATGCCATTCAATTCTATAGATTTACAAGAGAAAAAAAATTCCCAGGCCACACCATCTTCCTCCTCATAAGCCCAGAGTTTTCAGTTTTCAGCCTAGCACTAAGAAAGTATTCTGGAAAAAATATATATATATATTTTGATATATATATATATATATATCAGGCTGACACATTTTGAAGTGCTAATGGAAGCTATATGCAGTTATCAGCTTAGCATTCACATCTATTCAAGACTTTATTTAGATGATTGAAAGAAATTCACTTAAATGTGAAGAACTGTGAAACTAACTGGCAGATAAGATGAAAAATGAGAAGTATTCCATCTATTTAGAGACCATATATTTTCCCTTAGACAGTAATATCCTCATTCTTAAAAGTTTGAATATTACCACTAAATGTTTCACAAAAATTTTGTTCTCCCACCAACCCAGAAAATGATCCACACTGATAAACAAACTAGCTGCTTTCTGTATTGATACTTCTGTATAATATTAGTATACTTACTTAACTGTCCTAATGTGAGCAATTTGAACATTAGCAAATGCATGAAATATTTACTCAATTATTTTGCACCCAATGTTGTGAGATGTTTAGAATATAGAAATATAACAAACAATTATTAAAATTCAGGTATTTTCAGTCTAATTACAGTGATAAGATGACCAACCTAGAAAGACTCATGAGTCTAAGGATGAGGAGGGCTTTAGAAAACATTTTCTTTTTGTTTTGTTTTGTTTTGTTTTGAGATGGAGTCTCACTCTGTCATCCAGGCTGGAGTGTAGTGGTGCCATCTTGGCTCATTACAACCTCCGCCTCTCAAGTTCAAGCTATTCTGCTGCCTCAGCCTCCCAAGTAGCTGGGATTACAGGCATGCACCACCACACGCCTGACTAATTTTTGTGTTTTTAGTAGAGATGGGGTTTCACCATTTTAGCCAGGCTGGTCTTGAACTCCTGACCTCAAGTGATCCACCCACCTCAGCCTCTCAAAGTGCTGCGTGGCGTGAGCCACCGCGCCTAGCCTAGAGAACATCTTCTAGTTCAACAATTTATTGCAGTTCATCTGTCAACCCATCACCCCTTCCTCTTCCAAGAAAATACAATGAAGCTTCAAAAAAGGAGTGATGGGGAGCAGGTGAAGGGCCTGATAAAGTAAGGCATGGGTGAATCTTTTGGCCAAAGCAAAACAGAGAAAAGAGAAAAAGCAGAGGGCAAGGAGGTAACCAAAATACGACATGAAAATGCACCAAATACTTCTAACATTGACAAGATTTGATGACACAAATAAAGCCGCTTGTGAGGACCCACAATGTAATGTTTAAAATTACTTGAAAAAAATATTGTCATAAATGACATATAGAAATGCTAAAATACCAGGAACAAATAAATATGAAGTACAGGTTTTGTTGTTTTTGTTATAAATATCACACCCTGTCCTGTGGTAGACACCTGAAAGCAACATCATCTTTTTAATATTCTTTCTCCTTCTTGGAACTTGAAAACAAACAAACAAACAAACAAACAAGGTAATAAATGGATGAATTGATAATACTTGATTAGAAAGACAGATAGAATAAAAAATACCAGCTCTTTTATTATCAATGGAAAGTCATAGAGTTAAAAGTTCTGTAAAAGCAAGAAGTGGGCAGAAACCACACGGAGAGAGAAACAGAAAAAGCTAAGAGAACCCTGTTGTTACCCAGTCCACCACTAACATCCTAAAGGTGGGGCTCACATTGAAATACTGAATCTGTAATTCATGCCTAAAATAGCTAGAACTAGAGTTGCACATAATTACATTAAACTCAAACAGAAGCCACACAGGGAAGGTTGAAGGAAGGGGAAGAATAGAAAAGCCATTCAGAGAATGTCGAGGGCTTAGCAGTAAGCAGCAGTTCTCGGTTTCATCAAAAATAAACAAGCGGAGGGTAGAAGCTGCCTTGAGGTACGTTGGCTGCGCCCCCTTATTTGTAGTAAACAGTGACTACACTGGTAAGCACAGGACTGTGGATGAAACATCCCAGGACATTGTGCAGCTCCCCAGCAGTCTTACAGAGGAGCTATGCAGGCAAGACGTAGTCTGTTTCTGCGGCCGTAGAGAGACACCCTTACGGTTTCTGGAAGCTGCAAGTGTGACCAGGCCTTTCAGGACCCTGAAGCTACTGCAAGTAGCTAACTAAGAAAAATCCAACTGATAAATAGACAAGCCTTATAAAATAATTTATTAAAATATCAATACAAAGATACATGAAATAAAATGTGGAAACAGCAAACTAACCAATAGATGAAAGCCCATAAAGAAGAAATTCTACAAACACAAAACCTTCAATGAAGCCATGATCTTTCTGAAGGATTACAAAGGACAAATAAAGTAACAAAGAGAAGAGATAATAAAACCAAAGGAGAAATTGGAATTAAAGAAAAAGAGTATAGGAGACTAGTAAAGGGAAAAATTATCACAGAGAAGACAAAAATAATGATTGAAAAAGAGAGAATGAACTTGTGGGCATAGTAAAGGATTTAAAGGTTAGAAATAGGAAAAATAAAAATAAAATACTTAAATAAAAGTGTTTAAAATAACTAGAGAATATGTATGTGTTCCATACATATTTGTATGTGATCTGAAAACTTAAACTAAGCATATATTCTCAAATTATTATATTAATAGTATATGCAAACACACACACACACATGCACACACACACATAATCCAGGCAACAAAATATCCAATATAGGTATAAATAGAATTTCCAAAGAAAAACTATATATGCATATAAATATGTAACACCACCACACCACTATTGTTTAACACATATTGTTCTGGAGGACTCAAATTGAACACTACAGCAAGAAAGTGAAGAAAGCTGGGGCGGGTAGGTGGATAATGGTTAATAAAGAAGAAATTGTCATTTTCACAGGAAATGTGATTTGGAGTATGGAGTAAGTCCAAATAAATAAGGATTGCATTCTTAAAATTAATAGAAGTTTAGCAGATTTGATGGGTAGAAATCAAAGTATAAAATTAAACTTATTGCTGTACACTAGCCTGTATAAGTTTGATAATTAATTGTCAAATATACATGTGTGTTTACATTTTTATATGTGTGATCACCAACAGTAGCTTAAAATTTTCAAGTACCCAATAAGATAGTTCATTAAAAGTAGCAATACTACTCAAGGGAACATGAGAGATAGTGAATATTAAATATTAAATATCATCTAAATGAAAGATACACAATGTTTGATGGATTGCATAAATCATTATTGAATAGAAGTCAATTATCTTTACATGATATATCACCTCAGTGTAATTCTGATAGAAAGCAGTAAGTTTTTTTTTTGGTTTTGTTTTATTTATGTGAGTATGCATGTTTGTAGAGCAGATTCTATAAATGTATAGAGAAATATAGAGAACAAAACAGACATTCTTATACAATAACAAAATGAAAGAATTATCTACCAAATATTAATATCTATAATAAAGCCATAGTGATTAAGAGAAAGTGATATTGGCAATGGAATAAATAAATAAACCAGCTGAACAGACTGGAGAGTGTAAACAGAAAAATACACACAAGGCAGAAGTGGCAATCTACAGCAGTGGATAGAAAGAGGCTTCTTTTTTTTCAGTAAGTAGTAATGGGGAAATTAAGTATCTCTATTTGTTAATAAAATGAAATTGGATGCCTTCTCCTTGACATGCTCAAAAATCAGCTTCAGGTGGGTTATGGACTCAACTCTAAAAGGGGTAATTATAAACCTTTCAGGAAATCATGAAGAATCTCTGTATGAATTTGGGCTGAAGAAGTATATATTTAAGCAAGGTTCAGAAACAACTAACTTAAAGAAAACACTGATAAATTTGACTATATTAAAAGCAAGGTTTAGTTTATGAAAAAATCAGAAATAAGAGGGGGAATTTACATAGAAAACATAATTTAAAAAGCACTAGTAGGCATTTACTAAATGAGAAACTTCCTCTATAACACCCTTAATGTAGACAATAACTATATTAAAAATGTATTCAGACTCTTTAAAAATTAAAGAATCTAAAATTAATACTGCAAGGAAACTTCACTACATAGAGATTGGCAAAATGTATTTTTTAAACAAGAAAATAAAATAAATAATGATCATTTCAAATTATTGAAGAGGATGTATGAGAATGGCAATTCCCAAGAACTTCTGGTGGAAGTACAAATTGATTCACCATTGTGGACCATGGTTTGACATTAAATAATATGATTGAATATATAATTGCTCAATAACTCAACAATTTAATTGCTAGGTAATATCTCAAAGTAATGCATGAGCCTGCACACCAATACATACATTAAAATGTTCATAAAAGCATTGTTTCTACAGCTTGAAACAACTCATCCACATGACTTTTAAGAAAATAATAAATAATCGTGCAGTGTGCATACAAAGAAATAACATAGTGAACAAATGTATAAACCAAATCTACTTGCAACAACATGGATGGAGCTCATCAAAATGATAAAAAAGCAAGATACAAAGAATACAATATTAAATAGAGTTAAAAAGCATGTATAACTACATTTTATTGTTTAGAAATAGACAAATAAGTGGAAAGACTATGAAAAAAAGCAAAGAAATAATCAAGTGAATGATGTAAAATGAATTATTTAGAACAGCTGTTTTATCAGGTTCTAAAATAAAAGATGAATCTGCTGGTGTAGTTTGTTGCTTGTTGGTGAAACTCTAATTCTTTACAAACTTCCTTAGCCTGCCCTTTTGTTTCATAAGAAATAATTTAGTCCTTTTCCATGTTAACAGTGAGTTTATATTATTTTTAACCGACAAGCGTAATCAATAAACCAACTAGAAGAATAATACTTGGATTAGTGTATTGTATAATAATGCCAGAAAATAATATTGTATAGTCATGTACCACATAATGATGTTTTGGTCAATGGCCACTCTACTCTCTGTTTCTGTAACTTTAATATTTTAGATTCTGCATATAAGTGTGATCATATTGTCTTCCTCTGACATATTTCATGTAACATAATGCTCTCAAGATTCATCTATATTGTTGCAAATGGGCAAATAATATCCAATCATATTCCATTCCATTTTAATGACTAATATTCCATTGCATTTACATACCACAATTTATGTATCCATTTATTTATTCATATAACATATATTATTTCCATGTTTTGTAACTAGAATAAAATTTTGAGAGAAAGAAAAATGGAAACACAGCATATGAATACGTATGGGATGCAGCAAAGGCGGATCCAAGAAGGACATTTATAGCAATAAATGCTGCGTTTAAAAAAATCCCAAATAAACAACCTAACATTGTACCTCAGAACACTAGAAAAATAACAAAGTAAGCCTAGAGTTAGCACAAGGAAGAAAATAATGAAAAACAGAGTATAAATAAATAAAATATAAAATAAAAAACAATTTAAAATAAAACAAAGAATTAGTTTCTCTCAAAGACAAAATTTGCAAATATTTAGCCAGTATAAGTGAAAAGAGAGATAAGTGACATTAATAAAACTGTAAATGAAAGGAGACATAATGACTGATTCCTCAGAAATATAAATGATTATAAGAGGCTGTTATAAACAATTGTATGCCAATGCATTTGATAAACTAGAAGAAATGAATAAATTACTAGAAACAGGCAGCTTATGAAGATTGAATTATGAAGAAATAGAAAATCTAAATGGGCCAATAATGAGTAAGGCAATTTAGTCAGCAATCAAAAATATCCCAATAAGCAAAAGCTCAGGATTTGATGGTTTTCCTGGTGAATTTTACCAAACATTTGAAGAATAATTAATACTAATTCTTCTTAAAATCATCCAAAAAATTGAAAAGGCAAGGACATTTCCAGACTGATTTTAGGAGACCAGCATTATTCTGATACCAAAGCCAAACAAGCTTGTAAAAAATTATGAACCAATATCCCTGATGGACATACATGCAAACATCTCCACAAAATACTAACATGTAAAATTTAAGAACACATTAAAACAATTATACACCGTGACCAAGTAGGGATTTACTCCTGGGATACAAGGGTGGTTTAACATACACAAATCAGTTACTGCGATGTACTACATTAACAGAATGACGGACCAAAAACATATAATCATCATGATAGGGCAGCAGAAGAGCATCTGACAAATTTCAACACTCTTTCATGACAAGAAATGCTCAGCAATTTGATTTAGAAGTAACACACGTCTACACAATAAAGGGCATATATGAAGAGCCCATAGCTAACATCATACTCTAAGGTGAACTGCTGAAATTTTTCCTTTAAATTCAGGAACAAGACCAAGATGTCCGCTTTGGCAATTTGTATTCAATAGGCTTCTGGAAGTCTTAGCCAGAGCAATTAGACACGAAAGATAAATAAAATGCAACCAAATTGCAAAGGAAAAGTAAAATTGTCTCTGTTTGCAGATGACATTATATTAAATATTAAAAATTCTAATCGCACCACCAAAAACTTATTAGAACTAATAAATTCAGTAAAGTTACAGGATACAAAATCAACATACAAAAATATTTTTCATTTTATACACTAAAAATACACTCTTTGAAAAAGAATTTAAAGATATAATTCTATTTCCAGTTGCATCAAAATAGGTACTTTTGAATATTAACCATTAAGAACAAGAGACATACATATATTATTTAGGGCTATAGCGGTAGCTGACATCAGAATTAACCACATCCACATGCACAATCAAAGTAATTTCCCTGTGTAGGCTGAATGAGAAAGTATTGCTTTTGTCAAAAGCTATTTTGATACTTTGACTTGATTTTAGGTATATGATCGACTTTGATGATATTTTTATCAACATGTAAAAAAAAATCAAAGCAGAAAACACCAGGAAAAGTCCAGAAACAAACACTAAAATCAAAATAATTTGGAAGGCCTAGACAAGAGGAAGAAAATGGGGAAAGATAAGCAGTTTCCTGTGTCTGTCTACTATCATCTTCACAACCTTGTGTCTATTAGGAGTATTAATATCTCATTAATCTCATATACTGAAGTAGTTAGCGACCTGAAGTTTAGGAACATATCTGCCTAGAATTGTGCCCTAACAATATTTTACATCATGATAGATATTAACATACATTTATTAATGTATTATTATCTCCGATTTTCCTTGCATCCTTATAGCACCTAGAAGAATTGTGTTAGTTATCTTTTGCTCCATACCAAATTACCCCAAGTATACTGGCTTAAAAACAACACACATTTATTATCTCACATGAGATAATAATGGAGTCTGGGCACCGTATACTTGATTTAATTTGGCTCAGGTTCTCTCACAAGGCTGCAGTCAGGGTGTTGGTGGGGGGTGCAGTTATTCCAGAGTTTGATTCTCATAAGGCTTCTCTTCCTAGCTTGCAGGATTCAGTTCCCTACATGCTTTAGGATTGAAAGCCTCATTTTCTCATTGACTGTTGACTGGAGGCTTTTCTCAATTTATTGCCATTAAGTTCTCACCATACAGCAGCTCACAACATTGCAGCTGGCTTTCTTTACAACAAGCCAGAGAGCAAGTCAATAAAGAACAAACAAGATGTAAATCAGAGTCTCTTGTAATCTAGCATTGAAAAGTTGCATTGTATCCTGTTTGCTGTGTTTCATTGATTAGATGAGAGTCATTTGGTATGGTCTATACTCAAGAGAAGGGGATTACACAAGGACACAGAGCATGAATACTGCGAGGTGGGGCTCTTTGGGCCATCTTGGAAGCTGCTCCCACAACATTACAGGATATATAATAACCACTCAAAAAGATAGTGCAACTGAATGGGAGATTAAGAATATGCCCTGTTCTAGCAATAGCACTACACAGTTTTTGCTTTTATAATTTTCTCCCATTATTGAGAAGAAAATATATTGACATGGTTGAGAATTATGTGCCAATGTCTACAATACCTGTCTTTCCATATGTTATCTCATTTAACTCTTACCACCATCTTGAAATTATTCCTTTCTCCAATTTACAGATGAAAATACTGAAGCTCTAAGAAGTGAAATGAGAAGCTCAAAAAGCCACAGTAAACAAGTGTAGATGATTTTATAGCTCCAAGGTTTTTACATTGAGCATGATTCTTCTTATTTTCCTCTTTCCTCATAGACATGACTCCAAGATTAGAATGGTCCGATGGCACCATTTACCTCTTATGGTCCTCACTGCTACACGTACAGATAGATGTCTTCCCACTGAAAGTCAAAAATCTGCTGATGGGCAGGAAAATGTCAGCACATTGCTGTAGCTCTCTATTCTCAGATAAATATATTAACACATTTCTCCTACTTATTTCTGTACAAAACTTATTTTGTTTCTGGCAGCATTTATGCTGATGTCAATGAGGCCTTTGACGGGAGGCACTTTTTATTGCTGCTGTATGTCTTCTTCCTGCCTGCCTTCTTCCCTTCTAGAAATAAATATTTTACTTGGCCATCTGAGGAAATATTTTCCACCTGGCACGATATTTATATATACATTTTCAAATATCATCAGAAGTGTGAATTTCACGTACAGTAATATATTTTGGGGCTTTATGTCACTCCTCCAGTGTAAAGCAAGTTTCTTATGACAAATGAAGGAAGGGAATATCTTAAAATAAACTCCTAATAACTTGGAAGTAACAGTTGTCTTGACATCAGATCCCTACATTACTAAATGAAGGACATTCTTTACTAACTGGCTTTCTTACAAAATCTGTGCATTTAAACTGAGAGTTAATAATGGGCTTAATAATAGGTGTCTGGTTAATCAAAGTCTCATGAGCAAGATTTTAGCATCAGGGAAGCACGTCTTTGATAGAAATACATTTTTATCTTTGAAGATCTAAAAACCTCAGAGTGGGGTTTTGGTACTAGAAGTTACAACTCTTGTACAGTTTGTTTAACATTTTCAAAACTTAAACTCCTCAATGATGTATTTTAGGAAGGTGTTCGTGATGATTAAATGGTAATGCATGCAGTCTACTTAGTACAGTGTGGAATACATAATAAGAGTTTCACTTTTTGTCTTAGTGTTATTGTTACAGATGCTGCCTCGCATCTTCCCGCTCTTTTTTTTTTTTACTTCTCTCACTCTATTCTCAAGCATTTATTTCTTCATACATCCGACTTTCATTCAACAAATAATTATTACTACCTTGGTAATCAACAGACACTCAGATAGACATCACAGATATCGAATAATTCAAGCACCCCACCAGCATGAAGCTCCCAGGAAAGGAAAAAGTACAGCTTTGCAAATCTTCAGTTATAAAAGCAAATTATTCTGGGGGAAAAAAAAGAATAAGAGACAGTGTCCATAACCATTAAGTTAAATTTACTGAGATTTTAACTTTGGAGCATAATTACCAACAATTTCACAAAGAACAAATGTGACAAATAGCAAACAGTTTCAAATATGTTAGATATTAATCCAAGTATATTAAAAATACTTTTAAATATTAATTGTGTAAATGTGCTAAATAAAAGAAAGAGATTTTTTTTTCCCAGGCTGGAGTGAAGTGGCATGATCTCACCTCACTGCATCCTCCGCCTCCCGGGTTCAAGTGATTATGCTGCCTCAGCCTCCCAAGTAGCTGGGACTACAGGCACATGCCACCATGCCTGGCTAATATTTGTACTTTCAGTAGAGACTTGGTTCCATCATATTGTCCAGGCTGGTCTTGAACTCCTGCCCTCAAGTGATCCGCTGCCTTGGCCTCCCAAAGTGTTGGGATTACAGGCATGAGCCACTGCACCCAGCCAGAAAGAGATTTTTGACAAATATTTTTTAAAGGCATGTTTATTTAAAAATTACTACTTTCTTAATCCAGTCTATCATTGTCGGACATTTGGGTTGGTTCCAAGTCTTTGCTATTGTGAATAATGCCGCAATAAACATACGTGTGCATGTGTCTTTATAGCAGCATGATTTATAGTCATTTGGGTATATACCCAGTAATGGGATGGCTGGGTCAAATGGTATTTCTAGTTCTAGATCCCTGAGGAATCGCCACACTGACTTCCACAATGGTTGAACTAGTTGACAGTCCCACCAACAGTGTAAAAGTGTTCCTATTTCTCCACATCCTCTCCAGCACCTGTTGTTTCCTGACTTTTTAATGATTGCCATTCTAACTGGTGTGAGATGGTATCTCATAGTGGTTTTGATTTGCATTTCTCTGATGGCCAGTGATGATGAGCATTTTTTCATGTGTTTTTTGGCTGCATAAATGTCTTCTTTTGAGAAGTGTCTGTTCATGTCCTTTGCCCACTTTTTGATGGGGTTGTTTGTTTTTTCTTGTAAATTTGTTTGAGTTCATTGTAGATTCTGGATATTAGCCCTTTGTCAGATGAGTAGGTTGCGAAAATTTTCTCCCATTTTGTAGGTTGCCTGTTCACTCTGATGGTAGTTTCTTTTGCTGTGCAGAAGCTCTTTAGTTTAATTAGATCCCATTTGTCAATTTTGTCTTTTGTTGCCATTGCTTTTGGTGTTTTGGACATGAAGTCCTTGCCCATGCCTATGTCCTGAATGGTAATGCCTAGGTTTTCTTCTAGGGTTTTTATGGTTTTAGGTCTAACGTTTAAATCTTTAATCCATCTTGAATTGATTTTTGTATAAGGTGTAAGGAAGGGATCCAGTTTCAGCTTTCTACATATGGCTAGCCAGTTTTCCCAGCACCATTTATTAAATAGGGAATCCTTTCCCCATTGCTTGTTTTTCTCAGGTTTGTCAAAGATCAGATAGTTGTAGGTATGCAGCGTAGAAAATGTGGCACATATACACCATGGAATACTATGCAACCATAAAAAATGATGAGTTCATGTCCTTTGTAGGGACATGGATGAAATTGGAAATCATCATTCTCAGCAAACTATCGCAAGAACAAAAAACCAAACACCGCATATTCTCACTCATAGGTGGGAATTGAACAATGAGATCACATGGACACAGGAAGGGGAATATCACACTCTGGGGACTGTGGTGGGGTGGGGGGAGGGGGGAAGGATAGCATTGGGAGATATACCTAATGCAAGATGACGAGTTAGTGGGTGCAGTGCACCAGCATGGCACATGTATACATATGTAACTAACCTGCACAATGTGCACATGTACCCTAAAACTTAAAGTATAATAAAACAAAAATAAATAAATAAATAAATAAATAAATAAATAAATAATTACTACTTTGAAGACTGATACGTTAAATGTAAAGAAAGAGTGGCCTAAGAATATTATGCTAAGTTAAATAAGCCAGTCACACACACAGACACACACACACACACACACACACCCCACTGCATGACTCCACCTTTATAAAGTAATAAAACTCATAAAAAGAAGAATGATAGTTGCCAGGGACTGGGGGAGGGGAAGGGGAAGTTTTTCTGAGTGTAGAGTTTCAGTCAAGTAGTATGAAAGTTCTGGGGATCTGTTGTACAATAACATGCATGTGGTTGACAATATTGTGCTGGGAACTTGGAAATTTGTTAAAAGGGTAATTTTCTGTGTTTGCTACAGCTTAAAAGAAAAAGAGAGAGAGACACACACACTATGATAACACTAATCAAAAGAAAACTAATGTAGTTATACTAACTTCATATGAAATAGCCTTCAGAATAAGGAAGATTACTAGAGATAAAGAGTAGTAGCATTACATAATGATAAAAAAGTTATTTCTCCAAAAAGACATTGACAAACCCCAAACATTCTATACACCTTGCAGTAGGATGTCAAAAACACATGAGACAAAAACTGGCAGAACTGAAAGGAGATATAGACAAATCCACTACTATAGTTGAAGACATCAACACTCCTCTGCCAGTAATTGACAGATCAAGCAGGCAGAAAATTAGTAAGGATATAAATGGTATGAACAACACCATAAATCAACTAGGTATAATTGACATCTATAGAATACTCCAAAACCAGCAGAATGCGCATTCTTCTCAAGCTCACATACAACATTCATCAAGATAGACCACATTTTGGGCTACAAAACACACGTTAACAAATATAAAATGATGGAAATTACGTAAAGTATGTTCTCAAAACACTAAGGAATTAAACTAGAAGTTAATAAGAGAAAAATAGCTGGAAAATCCCAACTATTTAGAAATTAAATGACATATTTTAAAATAACTCATTTGTCAAGACTCTCAGGTGAAATTTAAGCAGCATTTTAAACTAAATGAAAATAAAATACCACTTATCAAAATGTATGCTATGTACCAAAGTCAGTGCCTAGAGGGAAATTTATAGCACTAAGTGCACACATTAGAAAATAAGGAAGATCTAAAGTCAATATTACAAACTTTCACCTTAGGAAACTAAAGAAGGGAGAGTTAGTTAAACCTATTGCCAGGAGGATAAAAAGAATAAAAATATTAAAGCAGAAATCAATGAAATTGAAAACAGGAAAACAATAGAGAAAATTAATAAAGCACATACTAATTATTTGAAAAAATTAATCAATTGATAAACTTCTAGCCAGTCTATCCAAAATAAAAAGAGAAAAAGAGAGAAAAGAAAAAATGACGTGGCCAGTTGACATTAAACAGATTTTGTCATGAGCAACACAAAAATGGCACACTGGGCTTATGAACTGAGAAGCCACAATGGTAGAGTCATAGGCTCTGCGTGGGCCCAACAATATGTACTACCAACCACCAAGGCCCTTGTAGTTGCTGCCAACACTGAATGACCTGGATGACTAGTTGATGGGTGCAGCAAACCACCATGGCACATGTATACCTCCCAGCAACAAGGTTTGATACTGAAAACTCAATACACCACCATTTTTGGGGGAGATCAAACAACTACTTGGTAGTAAATTTATTTCAATGGAACTCTTCAGTCCTTTTCAGGAACAGACAAATTCTTGGTATGGATTGCCTTTATAACCTATAGAACCTCGATAAATATGATAATCTGGAGCTTACAAAATTCTTGATTCACAGGCATTAAGTTCCTTGCAACATAGCTTCTGACCAGGACATACATTTTACAGTGAAGGAGCTGCAGAAGTGGGCCTATAACCATAGGTTCCACTGGTTATGTTGCATAATGTATCATGCAAAACCATCCTAATAGAGTGTTAGACTGGCCTCTGGAAGCCTCAGCTGAAGGAGCAACTCAGAGACAATACTCAGTAATAATGTGATTTTGGAGGACTCAGTATACTTACTGAATAAGAAATTTCTATATGGCATTGTTGTCCAGTACAAAGAATGCATATGTCTAGGAATCAGGTGGCTAGAAATACCACTTATCACTCTCAGTGACCCAATGAGAGACTTTTCCTTCCCATCTGAACAACTGTGGCCACTGCAAAGTTAGGAGCCCTGGTCCCCAAAGGGAGTACATTCATGCCTGGGGACACAGAGAAGGTTTCAAGGGCAGCCATCAAGGCACTATTAACTCCTTGTGTGCAAGGACCAGCAGGCAAGAAATGGAGTCACCATCATGGAGGATATACGGTTGCTGTTATACAATGGGGGCAGGAGGAGTATGTATGAAATTCTGGCCATGAACTTGATTTACTTTTACTACTAGATTGCCCAACTGTGAACTAAACAAGTGCTGCAACCATGGCCTGAGAGGACATGGTTAGCAGGGGCTAGGACTCTTTAACAATGAGGGTATGAGTAACAGCATAAGGGAAGCCTCTGAGGCCAGCAGAGAAAATATGTGAGGGTCAGGAGGATGTAGAATGAAGCATACAGAAGGGAGTGGCAAGAACCAATCAGTGCCTTGTGACCAATGGCAGTATTAGAAATGTTTATCCTAAAACCTGGATGATTAGTTGATGGGTGCAGCAAACCACCATAGCACATGTATACCTATGTAAAAAACCTGCATGTTCTGCACATGTATCTCAGAACTTAAAAAAAAAAAAAAGGTGGGATCAGTATGGTCAGATCTTGAGTTTTTCAAAATAAACAGTAACCACGGCTCATATATAAAAATCTCCCAATTGTTAAATGTTGGCAACAAATTCATATACCTTAAAACATTTTTTGGTAGAAAAAAATACAACTTTGGGACTAACTTGAATCCTGGGCTGCCTGATTGTCATTCTCTTTTAAATTTTCATTAGGGTTTCACTTTAATTCAGTGTTCCAACTTCATGGTACCAGTGAAAAGTATAATGTCTACAATCCAGTACAATATACTTGGCTGATAGGAGTGGAAAATGATTTTGCTGTTAATGTAAATGTGGCATTAAGGATTGTATTTTTGACTTTGAGAAAAAAAAATGTTCATCCTACTAACTTTTGTCTTCAAGTCCTCCTCTGAAGGAAAGGCCTACTGTGAAGCTGGGGAAACTGCCCACCAAACATGTTTGGGGACGTGGATTCTCACAGTGTGAGAGTACACCCTGTCAGTCAAGGGAGTCTTTTGTTAGTCTCTTCCTCAAGGTAGAGACTGTTATGCCACAGGATATGCTTCAACATTCAATCTGGTGCCACACTACCTGGGAAGTCCTTAAACAATGAGAGTGTGAAAGTAGCAGGGCTTGGCCATTTCTGTCCTAGGTAGGACACTTTTCAGACACAGTGTGCTTCTACTACCAATTTCTACTTTCCCTATCCTCCTGTCCTTCACAGACATCAGATCAACATCGAATTTTTAAAGTTTTCTCAGACCAACTTTTATCTTTCACTGATAAGTCTCTTGCATTCTTAACTTTATCTTAGTTAGAGGTGACAGCGTGCTGGCAGTCCTCAGAGCCCTCGCTTGCTCTCGGCACCTCCTCTGCCTGGGCTCCCACTTTGGCGGCATTTGAGGAGCACTTCAGCCCACCACTGCACTGTGGGAGCCCCTTTCTGGGCTGGCCAAGGCTGGAGCCCACTCCCTCAGCTTGCAGGGAGGTGCGGAAGGAGAGGCGCGAGCGGGACCCGGGGCTGCGTGCAGCGCTTGCGGGCCAGCTGGAGTTCTGGGTGGGTGTGAGCTTGGCGGGCCCCGCACACTCAGAGCAGCCGGCCAGCCCTGCTGGCCCCGGGCAATGAGGGACTTAGCACCCGGGCCAGTGGCTGCGGAGGGTATACTGGGTCCCCCAGCAGTGCCAGCCCGCCGGCGCTGTGCTCGATTTCTCACCGAGCCTTAGCTGCCTTCCCGCGGGGCAGGGCTCGGGACCTGCAGCCCGCCATGCCTGAGCCTCCCACCCACTCCATGGGCTCCTGTGCGGCCCCAGCCTTCCCGACGAGCACCACCCCCTGCTCCACAGCGCCCAGTCCCATCGACCACCCAAGGGCTGAGGAGTGCAAGCGCACGGCGCGGGACTAGCAGGCAGCTCCACCTGCAGCCCCAGTGTGGGATCCACTAGGTGAAGCCAGCTGGGCTCCTGAGTCTGGTGGGGATGTGGAGAGTCTTTATGTCTAGCCCAGGGATTGTAAATACACCAATCAGCACCCTGTGTTTAGCTCAAGGTTTGTGAGTGCACCAATCGACACTCTGTATCTATCTGCTCTGATAGGGCCTTGGAGAACCTTTATGTCTAGCTCAGGGATTGTAAATACACCAATTGGCACTCTGTATCTAGCTCAAAGTTTGTAAACACACCAGTCAGCACCCTGTGTTTAGCTCAAGGTTTGTGCGTGCACCAATCGACACTCTGTATCTAGCTGCTCTGGTGGGGCCTTGGAGAACCTTTATGTCTAGCTCAGGGATTGTAAATACACCAATCGGCACTCTGTATCTAGCTCAAGGTTTGTAAACACACCAATCAGCACCCTGTGTTTAGCACAAGGTTTGTGAGTGCACCAATCGACACTCTGTATCTAGCTGCTCTGGTGGGGCCTTGGAGAACCTGTGTGTCAAAACTCTGTATCTAACTAATCTGATGGGGACGTGGAGAACCTTTGTATCTAGCTCAGGGATTGTAAACGCACCAATCAGCACCCTGTCAAAACAGGCCACTCGGCTCTACCAATCAGCAGGATGTGGGTGGGGCCAGATAAGAGAATAAAAGCAGGCTGCCCCAGCCAGCAGTGGCAACCTGCTCGGGTCCTCTTCCACAGTGTGGAAGCTTTGTTTTTTTGCTCTTTGCAATAAATCTTGCTACTGCTCACTCTGGGTCCACGCTGCTTTTATGAGCTGTAACACTCACTGCGAAGATCTGCAGCTTCACTCCTGAGCCCAGCGAGACCACGAGCCCACCGGGAGGAACAAACAACTCCAGACGCTCTGCCTTAAGAGCTGTAACACTCACCGCGAAGGTCTGCAGCTTCACTCCTGAGCCAGCGAGACCACGAACCCACCAGAAGGAAAAAACTCTGAACACATCTGAACATCAGAAGGAACAAACTCCAGACGCGCCACCTTAAGAGCTGTAACACTCACCGCGAGGGTCCGCGGCTTCATTCTTGAAGTCAGTGAGATCAAGAACCCACCAATTCCGGACACATTAGCAGCTTTTTTCGCAGGAGATTCAAACTGGCATAACCTTTAAAACAAGTATCAATAAAACTACTAAAAAAGATCAGTAATGAACAAAAACTCTTCCTGCCCATATAAATGGCCTTCGCCTTTTTCACAACCTTTTCTTCTGAGGGGAAAAAAAAGTGAAAATAAGAAAGGAGAAATAAAATTATTTATTTAAGTGGATAAATCTGATTCATCTAACCCTGTAATAGGAAGGATTTTAACAAGGCATGAGGGAACACGATCTACTGGATACTTCACAGTCTTATTTTTCAAAGACTTAATTTCTTTCTGTCACTGTCAGTTTTCATTGAACAACGCATGATAATTTTCTTTGGCAATTACTCCCTGCCTTGCAAATAGCACTGTTATAAAATGAAATAAAAACGTAAGCTTTAAATATTTCTTGAATACCGTAAGTTCTATTAAAATGTAAAATTTTGAGTGGTATCATACTAATTTTTATTTACAGCATTGTCATTGTCAGTATTCCCCCATGTAACTATTATGAGTTGGGTGCCTTGTGTTTCTGTGAAAAGTATTTGGTCACGTGAATAGAGCCCAGGGGAGCAGCACAGGCAGAAACTGATTAGAACTCAGTCATTTGGAAGGATAGCTGTTATTTTCCTCCACTGCTTTGCTTTATCCCCTCACTGCTTGCCCAATTCCTTGTTCAGTACAGTGGTATTGCTTCTGTGACCTCAAAGCTACATCTGAATGGGAAATTCAGCTGGGGAGGACCTGGACCTGAAACCATCCTGCTGGGTAGGGCTAGATCACAAATTAATTGTACTCCAGTGAGTAGTGTGTCTGGGGAGTCAATTTCCCAGCCATCTGAATTAAGGATTAGTCACCAGGCTGGCTGAGACTTGGCATCCAGTCTCTGCTATGGCATTTCATTTTTCTCCTATTCTATCAATTTAAAGCCAATCAAACCCTGAGGTTAAATTTATCATTTTTCATCTCAGAGTACACACTCCTTGAATTTTTACTGTGAAGTTTATATGCCTTTATACAGTTCACAGGTCTATTTCTGTAGGTTTTTCTTGCCTCTGTGATTCACCCCATTACTGCTAATATTTCTGTCCCCAAAGAAAAATATAGGAGTTCTGAATAAAAAAATCCCTCTGGTTGCATTTATAGCTTTCAAATAAACACATCTGTTAAGACCTTCCTCATGTTTTTTTTTAATTTATAAATATAATCTATTATTTTCTGGGTTTTTCTCTCCACAGCTGCTATCTTCACTTTTCTTCTAGAATATATATTTTATTATAGCCATATTTCTTTGACCACTTTAAGTTCCTCCTACCTTAGAAATAAAATTTTTCATTGAGATGCCCATCAGATAAAATATTTCTCACCAGACATATATTTACACAGAATGCATTAGAAAAGTAAATTCGTGTCATATTGTGGACCAGAAGAGATGCTAGCAGCAGTAAATCCATGTCAAGAAGACTGCAGGTTTTGTTTTGTTAAATGGTAAAATATATGATAGGGTATCTCTTTCTTATAAGTTTGTGGATATCCTTAAGTAATCCAAAATTATTCCCTAAGGCAATATGCCATATGCAAAAGCAATCAAAAGCCTTTGGTTGGCATCTCCTTTTCATGCCCCTTTAAATGAAGATGCTTGGTGGGAACACATAAAAACTATCTGTAGCCAGCTGTTATTCATCATGGCACTGTTTTTCTGGTCCTTTTGCTCTCCTGCTTTTTCTGACAATCTTTTAAACATAAACTATCAAACATTTTTAAACTACATAAACTTCCTAGTTCTGAGTTTAAATAGATAATAATTGCTTTCATTACATCTTTATGTTACAGTATAACTCCAAGGCTATGGTCTTTTTTAGAGTAATGTAAAAGTTAACAGTAAGTTATGACAGTAAGCTATTGCTTGTTTGTAAATTATTGTCAATTGAACATAATTTTATTTAAAGCCTCAAACATTGAATTTCTTTCTTCTTCATACAGTGTTTTGTTTTGAACCATTTTTGTCGTATAACTTTGATGTTTAAAACAAGTCTCTGAGTTTACTGGTTGCTGGGATAGAGCTGCAACATTCTTCAGCTTTTCTCCATGATTGCTTTTGGATTTTTCTCACCTTCTGTACACACCCTCTCAGGTCTCCATGCCTATAAGGAGAGTGGGGAACTTTGGGTGTTCATCAACACAAGGTTAAGCTGGGAACTCATTAACAATCTATATTGGAATGCAATGGGAATAGTCATAGCCTAAACAATTACCGATTATAAAAATTAGAGAAATTGGCCAGGTATGGTGGCTCCTGCCAGTAATCCCAGCACTTTGGGAGGCCGATGCGGGCGGATCACCTGAGATTGGGAGTTCGAGACCCATCTGACCAACATGGAGAAACCCCATCTCTACTAAACATACAAAATTAGCCGGCCATGGTGGCGCATGCCTGTAATCCCAGCTACTCTGGAGGCTGGGGCAGGAGAATCATTTGAACCTGGGAGGTGGAGGTTGAGGTTAGCTGAGATCAGGCCATTGCACTCCAGCCTAGGCAACAAGAGCAAAGCTCTGTCTCAAAAATACAAACAAACAAAAAAAATATTTGAGAAATCTACCTACTATGTGATTTAATAAAATGAATGGTGGTCTGCTCAGACAATCCATATGTGCCTTTTTAGATTCACATTTATAGATTATGTTTTTAAAGGGAAACACATGGTAAAGATAATGGTATTTCAGTTTCTGGGGGTTTAGCCATCTGTTCAGAAAGCCGTGACTGCCGTAGACAAATATTTCTTCTGTTTTTCATAAACAAATTCTCAATTTGTGGAGATAAATCTCAAACCAAAGGGTTTGACAATGACCTGTACCAGACAACATGGTCAAGTAAAAACATCACATTAGGTCAGACATACATTATATTATTGTCTCCAACAGCTGTGTGATCCTGAACAAAAAGCCGATTTCATAAACACTCAGTTTTTGGATCCAAAGAATATTGTGTGGACCAGAGCTTAAATGTGTGGCAGTTTGTGGTTTCCATCTTAACCAACAGGTTCTTCCATGTAGAGAATCTCTACAAAATAGTATTAATTCCTGTAAACAGATATGCAATAGCCAAAGATAGAGTTCATACTCCCAAGCTTGCATCCCCAATGTAGTGAGCTCCAAACCATTCACTTCTCAATCCAGTCTCTGTATATACATATGGAGTCCTGTCTGGAATGGGGATCCCCAATTCTTAATAACAATTCTTCCTGAATGATAAAATTTGGAGACTATGCATTTTTCCAGTTTATTACTTGAATTTTCTTGTTTTGGTTTTGTTAATAATTTTTTTTCTTTAAAAAGCCAAAATGAAGGGGAAAAAAATCCTGCAGGTCTCTTAAGGATTTTATTATTTTTGTTTCTGGCTTTTTAAAAAGACGTCACCTGTCAGCTGATTTGAGAGCAGAATTCCACAGAATTCCACATATTTCCTCATCAATCACCGTTATAAGACAGTAAAAAATCCTAAAAATTTGTTGTGGTCTTTAGTGAATGAATTATTCCCATGTGTATTGGATTGATGCTAATTCACTGCAAATATTAGATCATGTAATGCTATATCTCTACTCTCCCATGGTGGACTTCACATATTAAGTGTATACAATGTTTGAATCCATCTTAGCCAGAGCTTCATGTATTGACCACAAAACCACCACAGTTGGCAATCAAGGTAAAGCCTACTTACTAACAGATATCCATAAATTCTCTACCACAACCCACATCATGGCACAGAAGACCTCCATGATCTGACCCCTGTATGCTTCTCTACCTTCATCTCCAAAGATTGCTTCCATTTTAGATTTGCCTGAAAACTTTAATATGTTTCTTTCTCATGCTGCACCACTGAACATGCTATTTCCTCTCTGTGGTATATTCTTCTGGTAACTTTTACCCAACAAATTAATGCATATGCATCCCTTATTTAAGTTCAACTGTTCATATAGCCATTGTCACTTTGCAGACAGAATTAAGCCCTTGCTTCTTGGTTCTCCATAGTGCTGTACTCATGCCTCTATTTTAGCATCTATCTCTTGGTTGTACTACTGTTTGTTTCCTGCCTCAGACTTCCTGCTTCCAGACCTACAGGGAACAGCTGTAGGTTGAGGTTTCTAGCTCTTAGCAAAATGCCTGGAACCAAGTATAAAAAATGAATCACTAGAAAAATAAATCAATGAACTTTACTCTCTCAAACTTAAATTTTAAAAAATCCTAAAAAATAATAAAGTATTCTAATTAAAGCTATGAGTCAGAATAAGCCACATACTATGGTGGAAACAAAGAATCTTGAAGTCTTTAAAGCTTTACTTTTCACTCACACAAAATCAGTTGTATGTAGTAACAGCTGTCCAGGTCAAAGGTCTTCTTGGCAATTCGGGCAGAAGACAGCTCCATCACTCTGTGGCTTCACCATCTGGAGCCCATAGCCTCCTCAGTGGACATGACAAGAAGAAAGAGAAGAGAAGGGTCTCAGATGGTCTATGGAATACTTGAGGCCAAAAATGGTACAGAATGTGCGCATTCATTCCTCATAAGCCGGAATTAGTCATGTGGTTACACCTATCTTGAGAGAGGGAAAGTGTAATATTTCCCTTGACCAGAAGGAGAAGATAACCCATGAGGGCAAGTGCTCCTAGTTTTAATCATAGATACAGATACAAAACACGTGTGATACTCTTAATTTGTTGTATGGAATATAGGTAAGAGTATAAACAGGAAACAAACAACTGTGAATCCATTGTGGACAAATAAAATCTGCCCTTGTGGGATCCCAACTGTATTATGAAAAGAGACAGAGCTATCTTTGGATCTTGTAAAATAGTAGAATACCCAGATTTTCACAGAAAAAAAAAAGAAATACAGCTACTGCATATGACAATGATTTATGGAGGTGACTTAGCTTAGTGAACAGGTGAGTGAATAAGAAATTATAACTATCTTCACATTACTAATGCTGTTTCAGATGAGTGGACATGTTGCAGCAGAAAGGACTAAGAATAGGCTGTGCGAAGAAGTTCCTAATTTTTGCAAGTGTTACAGAATGTCCTAAAAAGGAAACATATGAAACCTATTTAGCGGTTCATCAATTTTTCTGCTTCAGATTTAGTGTAGTATTGTAGAAAGAATACAGAAACAAATCTTCAAAGTTCTAGATATGGTTCTATCAGAAAACGTCTGAGTCATTTTTTATAAGTTATCCGAGCACTCCATCTCAATTTTTTATTCTGTAAGATGAAGGAAAATCAAAGACATAAGGTCTCAGATCTCTGTCAACTTCAAATATCTATACTTTTTGTAAATAACTTATTTATTCATATATTCATCTATAAAGATTTGGCACATGTACACCAGAACTTAAAGTATAATAAAAATAGATAGATAGATAGATAGATAGATAGATAGATAGATAGATAGATAAAAATATTTGGTGCAAAAACTAGTTTAAAATTCTTAAGAAAATCACTTCTTAGTGTTCCTCCAAAGCCACCTTCCACCTTCCTCCTCATTTCCACAAGGTTTCCGGCTGCCTTTCTCGTGGTACACCTTCTTCCTGTGAAAGGGGATTACTAGGTGTTGAACACTTGTTGAAATCATTAGCCCTAATTGAAACATTATTCTTGAAACAATCAGAATAAATAAAAGGACACTGAAATAGGAAGAGATTAAAAGTGTGCAGCTGCGAGCATGAAATACTTATCGGTAGGGTCTTCCAGAGTTACCGCCACTGAATGAAAGAGGTTTCCTTTAGTCATGCCTTGAGAATACAAACTTCAAGTGTTTAAAATATAAATAATTTAACTCTGATTTTACACAAGTTTTCAAAATCCCAAGATGGTTTATTTCATAAAGGTCTTTTGAAAACCGAGAAATAATTACAATTTTTATTCATACCTTTCAGTAGACTATGGTAATATCATTTATGAAGCCGTGATTTGACATGTTTATGTTGTCATATAAACGTACAGAGGTTTTTCTGCTTTCTCTCTCTAATCTATAGGCTTTTCTTTATCATATATATTGTCCCCTGGAAAGAATACATGCTTCTCAAAAATCCCAAAATCCAAAAAAAAAAAAAAATGAATGGAAAGTGTGTTGTCCCCTAAGGTCCAGAATTTGTCTGAATGGCTTTGCCTCATGCAGACTTGCATGTTGGAACCGGCACTTATGGCTTTTGGAGGCAAATCTTAAAGTGAGGAACAGCCAAAGGGACCTTTAACAACCAATTAGTGGAAACCAGCAGGCCAGGATGGAGCCAAGAGGAAGGTGACACAGGCGCTCCTGGGGACATGGGAATGAACATCTAGCCTTCCCTCTGACTGTATCTTAGTCAGATCTGGCTGCCATAACTACTGACTGCCATCCCACACACTGGGTCACTTAAAACAACAAGCATTCATTTCTCAATGTTCTGAAGGCTGGACAGTCCTAGATCAAGCTGTCTGCAGATTTCATTCTTGGTGAAGGCCTCATTACTGGCTTACAGAGGGATGCCTTCTTGCTGCATCTTCACATAGTAGAGAGAGATCATCTCCTTTATGTCTCCACTTTTAAGGAGTGAATCCCACTTATGAGGCCTCCACCCTCATGTCCTAGTCACCTCCCAAAGGCCCCATCTCTTCATACAGTAATACCATCACTGTATTTGTCAGGGTTCTCCAGAGAGTCAGAACCAGTAGAATATATAAATGTCCAAGAGTAGGTGTATTATGGGAATTGGCTCATGTGATTACAGAGGCTGAGAAGTACCATGATATGGTGTCTACAAGCCGGAACCAGAAAAGCCAGTGGGCAATTCAGTTCAAGTCCAAAAGCCTAATGGTGGAGCACGGAGCACTGCAGAGTCCTAAGACCCCAAACCCAGAAGCTCCAATGTCTGAGAGCAGGAGATGGATGCCTTAGCTCAAGAAGAGAGAGAAAGTCCATCTGTGTGCTTTTTGTTCTATTTGGCCCTCACAGGGATGACACCTGTCCACATTGGTGAGAGTTTTCTTTTCTCAGTATACTGGTTCAAATGCTAGTCTCGTCCTGAAACACCCTCACAGGGTGAATGAATCCAGGACTGAAGAGGATAGTTTGGAAGGAGTTAAGAGGCAACTAGGACTCCATTGCCTAGTAGAACACCCAAAATCATGGTTTACCAGCTAATTGTCCATTCCATAGCCAAATCAAGTTGGTACAAAATTTACCATCACTATCACATCAGAGATGGGGGGGCTCAACACACAGTCTTAGAGAGACATAAACTTTCAGTCCATAGCATTATGGCTTTCCACAGAAATGCTCTCTTCCCTCTCAGACAAGACAGAGATGCAAAGTATCAAGCCAAATGGCTCCTTCAGAGGCTTTCAATTTTTTATGCCCTATGCTTTAAGAGTCACTTTCACCTTGTTTTTGTGTTCTATTACACAGTTCTATAGTCTATTCAGTAGGTTGACTATAGCAAATAACAATGTAGTGTCTATTTCAAGATAGTTAGAAGATTTTGAATATTGTCACTGCAAACAGGATAAATGTTTAAAGTGATAGACATGGTAATTATCCTGAGTTGATCATTATACAATGCCTCAAAACATCCCATTGTACCACATAAATATCCACAATTGTGTCAGTTATCACTTTTTTTTAATAATAAGTGAAATAATCACTTTCTCCTCTTTCTAGGTTCTGTTGTCCCACTGCTCAGAGCTTACTGTGTTGAGAAATAGTTCATGAGCTGGAAAAAGTCACCCAATGTTTAGCCCTCTAAGGATGTTATAGACGAGAGAGTCATATAGCAGCATGAGAAAAAATCTTTGTGAAAATAAAATAGGGCTTGGATACATGCCTTTCAATAGCAGTTGTAGAATTTTGAGTAGCTAATTTTTCTGAGGCCCCTTTGCTCATTTTGCAAAATTATAATAAGGATGTGTTGTTTCTGCTTTGATGTGACTGTGCCTAGCTTTGAGATGACAGGTCCTAATGATAGCCTTACCAGTAAGCATGGAACCTATTCTTCCCAGGGAAATATAAGGTGACTCTGCTGATGAGCTCTGAGAAAAGATTGTACTCCTTTACTTAAAAGGTACCTGGAATGACCTTCCCTCATGCGAAGCTATGATGAGGCAACATGAAGCAGGTGGTGGCAGCAGCCGCCATGTGGACGTAAGACAACCAGACAAGAAACAAGAAAAGGGCATCCTCTGGGTGACTGAGCAGAAAGGTGGCGGCACCTGGGTCCTATGACATTGATCAGTTTCTGAGATGCTCCTGGGAAGGCTAACTTCAGAACATTTTTAAGTACTCAAAGAGTGTTTTAAGTGGCAGTTAACTAATATGCTGTTCCTTCTTGTTAAGTGTATCCTTATTAATGAACCTACTCCTCTCAGTTTTTACTCCATACTCAGTCTGTCAGTGGCATGGATAGTCATGCTTATCTGTGGAGCCTGGAGTCCTTAAGATCAAAGAAGCAATTTTTCTTCCAACCTTTTTTTTGTGTTTTGTTTTGTTTTGTTTTGTTTTGTTTAGGAGGGATGCAGTGTATCTGTGACCAGAATAGCTCTTTGATTTTTTTTTCTCTTTTCCAGAAGACACGGGACTATTTATTTCCACCTTCCTTCTCTGATACGTGATTATTCAAATTCAATGGAGAGTCTGTACTGTATTTTATTAGGTCACAAATCAAAACTTACCACTAACAAAGCTATCATCTCCACAGGTGATTTTTCAAAACTCCTTATATATCTTCATCTAATTATTAGGCTAAGTAATATCAGTCAATTTCTAACACAGATGGTGGTATAAGAGCAACAAATTCCATCTGGACAAACCAGATGGGCAAATGGGAGTAAAGCTATACAGACAGAAATTATGGGCTTCAGAAAAAATTCTGACTCTTTAAAATGTATTTTGTTTCTTAATGACAGCCTAGCCACTTATCAATGATGATATCTGCCTTCTAATATAAGAACATTATAGTAGGAAAACCCAGTTCTTGCCACTTGTTTGCAATTTTAGAGTTGTAAAAATTAAAACTTTCTTTTAGAACAATACTGATATAAGTTTGGGGTTTAGATATCTATATAAATTAGAAGTAAAGATATTCATTTAAATTTAGGAGTGTAAATATGTCATTTGAGAAATATAGATAAATTAGATCCGCTGATACCTACATAAGTTTAAGAGTGTTGATATATATTTAAATTAGGCATTTGCTATTTAGACAAGTTTAGGAGTGTAAATATTTATATAAGTTTAGGGTTGTGGATATCTATATAAGTTAGAGGTGTAAATAGCTACATAAGTTAGGGTGTAAATATCTATATAAGTTGGAGGTATAGATATCCGTATAAGCTTCGGGACACAAAAAACTACGTAAGTTAGGAAAATAGATATTTATATAACTGTTGAGGTGTAGATATCTATGTAAGCATAGAGTTGTAGATATATATAGAAGTCTGTGACTATAGATATATATTTAAATTAGAGCATAAACATCTATTTAAGCCCTGGTGGAGGCTGTGAGGCTCTGAGTTTTTATAGTGAAGGTCATATATATATTTTGAAGATGAGGAGACATTTGGGTGATGCTATCAGAGACAGAAGATACAGAATGCCCAATTAGGAGGAACTCACAGAATTCATTTACCTTCTTAGAAGGCGGTGGATTAACATGAAAAAAGAGTCAGTCTAAAGGGTAGAACGAAAGGCATTCTTACCAAAAATCTGAACTATTATTCCAGGTAGTGTTGCTTTATTTAATTTCCTCATCTACAAGATTATAATAAATTTTATACTAATTGAGTTAAATTCTATTAGGCCTCTAGGGGAAACTTAAACCAATTAGTATCACAACAGTAAGAGGCATTGGGTGGGTTGTTCTTCTGGTGGGCTGAGGAGAAAAGGACACAAACACTGAATACCTTCTACATGTCACCGTGGTAAATGCAATATCCCTAAATATCCCTAAAAGCAGTACTTTACTTATCTGCACAATAACGAGACACTGTAGATGTTAATTTACCCATTCTGCAAATGTGAAACTGAGTCACAGAGATTAAGTAACCAATCATAGCTTACATAGCTAAGTGAAAAGGGCAGATAGATAAAACCAGCCAAGCTGCCTTCAGTTCCTAAGTTTAAGTGTTATATTTCAAAATCTGCTCAGCAATGTGCTTGTTACCATGAAAAGCTGTTTAAATAGAGTCTTGATCACATTGTACTATTTTATGTTGCTGAATACCCCTACTTAGGGCCAACTTTCCAGATGTTCTAACACACAGGTTAAACTTTTTGGACCTGCCTTCTCCTGTGATTTCTCCCCATTTGCTTGATATGTGGCTCTAGAGTCCACCTGAAGAGGTTCAATAGACCTGCAATGCTCACACTCATAAACCCCAACAGGACTCCATGGCCTAGTAAAACAAGCTCTCACTTTCCTATGGCTCTGTCTACCTGCTCTTCGTAATTTACTACAGTGTACCATCTTATCAAAGCTCAAACAACATTCTTCACAAAGCAATGCTTAAAGCTGTATTATTGCTTAGGGAATGCAATAAAATCTACCAGGAATGTTTGTTAATATGACAATGCCATGGGGATAAGTAACATATTTTATCTAATCAATAAGAAATCAGAGGCTGGGTGCAGTGGCTCATGCCTATAATCCCAGAACTATGAGAGTACCAGGAGGGAGGATCACTTGAGGCCAGGTGTTCAAGACCAGGCCTAGCAAGATAGTAAAACCCCATCTCTACAAAAAGTAAATGGATAAATGAAAATGAGCCAGGCATCCTTGCATGCACCTATAATCTCAGTTACTTGAGAGACTGAGGCAGGAGAATTGCTTGAGCTCAGGAGTTCAAGGTTACAATGAGCAATGATTGTGCCACTCTACTCAAGCCTGGACAACAGAGTAACACCCTGTATCAATAAAATTTTTTTAAAAAAGGAAAGAAAAAAATCAGATATGTTTTTTAATTAAATAATTGGTTTAAATTTGACTGGCTTAAAAACAAGAAGAAAAAAGTAATCGATTTACATAAACAGCCTTTTATCATTCTTCAAATACTATTAAACTGTCCTCTCTCTTCCAAACTTCATTTTAGCCCTTAGGCTTTCTTACTTTGTTTTTTATTTATTTATTTATTTATTTATTTATTTATTTATTTATTTTTGAGACAGAGTCTCACTCTGTCGCCCAGGCTGGAGTGCAGTGGTGTGATCTCGGCTCACTGCAACCTCCGCCTCCTGGGTTCAAGCGATTCTCCTGCCTCAGCCTCCTGAGTAGCTGGGACTACAGCCACACTCCAACACGCCCTGCTAATTTTTGAATTTTTAGTAGAGACGTGGTTTCACCATGCTGGCTAAGATGGTCTCGAACTCCTGACTTCGTGATCCATCCACCTCGGCCTCCCAAAGTGCTGGGATTACAGGCATGAGCCACCACACCCGGCCTTTAAAAATTTTTTTAAGATAAATCCCTTGCTTCAATTTTTGCCCCTTTATTCCTTCCAAACTATCCTCTTCATAGTGTGAGAGATTTTTGAGAGGCAAATATGATATATTAGATCCTTGAATCTTGAATATTCTTGAGTAATCTTGAATATACTTTTGATTCCCTACCAATTCAAATTGGCATTAGACCTTTAAGAAGCTTCCCTGAAGAATTTCTTCCCATTGTCCTCAAAACATTATACTCTGCACTAGCTATATTTAATCACTACAAACTCTCAAGCTTCTTGCACTTGCATGTCATTAACCCACCCAATTTGGACACTCTTCTCTTTGTTTCCTATGGGAACAATTCTTGCCCATGTCTCAACACATAGCTCAACTGTCATGATAAAACCTCCTGACACCCAAATCCTTGGTTAAGGGTCTTTGCTCTGTGTACCAGGGGACCTTTGCTTGGGTTTTTCTAGGACTGACATTCAACTACTCACCCTAAGTTATGCTGATTTAAAAACTGTTGAAAGACTCCTGTACCAGCTGATAAATGACCTCCTGTACCAGCTGATAAATAGCTGTTGTACCAAACCCTGAAAGTGCCCTGTCATGGCCACACAGGCTCCCCAGGCCATGCTCTACGATACACCATAGCTCCCTTAAATCCAGAAAATGAGTAAGACTGACATGACTTCGCTCCAGTGTTACAACTGCTGAGCATTTGTATGGTCAGTACCTGCACCACGTAATCAATTATTTTAACTATCACCCCGCCTCTATCATAGCATTAGGATAGTTCACTATAAGAGCTGACATATTTGTCTATCTTCCCATAGTAGCTGTTTGCCTCGAGAAAAAGAGACCTGTTATATACATCAGTTTATGACAAGCATCTGCAGACATGCTTAGCTAAATATAGGTAGTTGATGAATGTTTCATGAATGAATGAATGAATGAAATTATATATAGCACAGTCTTCAATATGCTGGCTATACTCAAAAATGCTTCACCAAAATGCAATCATATGAAGCTTTATGGAACAGAGATAATGCATTTCCTAAAACAAACATCCAACTCACTTAAACATTTTTATTCTGATAGATATGTGTGTGTGTGTGTGTGTGTGTGTGTGTGTGTGTATATATATATATCTGTGATATATATCAAAAAATGTGATGTGTATATATATGAATTTTTAATTAGTCAATACCGAAACAAATGCTTTGTGTCAGCCCTTCCAATAGCTCCAAGACAGGTTAGAATAGACCAGAGTCCCGTGGCGGCGACACAGTCTGCCAATGATTAAAGGCTGCTGCTCTGCCGAAGAGGGGCTAGGACAAGGCAAGTAAGAATACCACAAAGTGCTCTTCCATTTTCAAGTAGGCTTTTTCTTGATATTTGCTTGGGTGTTGTAAACCTTGGGCTGTTCTTCAGAGTTCTGACAAAGTTGGTTCTGATTGCTTCTGCTTGATTTTTGGTTTTATTGAGGGGATAAGAGCTGGGAGCTGCCTACTCTGCCATTTTCCTGACATCACTCCAGATCATGTGGTGATTATTTATGAAGCACATAATCACTGCTTCGTGATCCACAGCTTCTTTCTTCACTAGTGTCATTGCTGTGGTTCAGCATTTGTATTATACTTTATATTTCTTATGAACCTTAGAATCATTTGTGGGGGACTTTTTTAATGTTATACACTGGCATCTACACAAAGTCCAATAAGGTCATGTTGTAATATTTCAGAGAATTTATGAAGAAATCTTCCAGTGAGGAGCGATGACACTGTGAACCATAGCCAGTCCCCTCAATTACTGTAAGTCATTTATCACAGGTGATGAGAATGGATGGTACACTCTAAGAAACCTCTGCTTGAAATTAAATCCTGCTAATTTTCAAAAGCACAGCACAAAAATATTATAATATCTATGTGTAATACACAAATATTTGAGAATGAAAATATAAATTAAATATTTACTTGCACACAAAAATGTGGTATTTGAATTATTTACTGTATGATTACATACCCCAAACTAATCTATGAATGTTTATATTTGTTACCTATTTCTTGAAACAAGTTGTTGTAGATACTGCCATGTACAAGGAATTTCAATCCACTTATTTCTATCTGGTTTCACAATCCCTGGAAAGGCATCAGGAAGAAATTTTTTTAAGCCTCAAAAGTCCATGGTTATTTCTATCTTGCACACTGTCTCATTACCAGGGTCATGCTGAGGCAAATGGATGGCACTCAGAAAGTATTTGTTGAATGAATGGATGAATAAATGAATAGAACAATGGCTCTAAAGAGCTAAATTTTTAACAAACTTTTAACAACCACATGTTGGCCAGAGTGACAGATTAGAACCCAGAGAAGTTCCACCCTTGGGTCCAGTTTGCACTCACCAAACTTCAATGAGTACATTGGCAGAGGCAATCAAAAGTGGATAGATCATGGAGAAGGGTGAGATAACTGCCCTGAGGCATGTGGAATCTCCCACTATAAAGCCCCATGTAAGAATGAAAAACAGTGCAGGAAAATAGAAAGAAATCCGTCAGAGAAAGAAATCCATTTCTACTTTCAGCCAAATACAATTGAAGGCAAAGTAGGAGAACTGAGATAAGGTATTCTAGTATTTCAATCACTAAAGACTGAATGTGGAGCAGGAGAAGAAATATGTGCCCCTCCAAGGGTCCCCAGACCTTCAAAGAGGACAAAGACATCCGCCATATGCAGAGGCATTGGGAGGAGAAATAAGGCTGTAAGAGATCACCAGAGGCATAGAAAGTATATTATAAATTTATATTAAATGTATAATATTTGTGTATATAACATATGTATTAAGACATGAATTATATTGTGTATATGTGTTTTGTATGTAATATAATCAAAATACAAGTTACAGAAAAAGCAAAAAAAAAAAAGCTTCATGCCTCAATCAATACATGAAGGCCCAAAAGTGTTCCAGATGGTGGAATTATTAGGAAGGTATTTAAAATAATTAAAAGAAAAATAGAAGTAGAAAATATGGGTAACACGCATGATGAAACTGGACATTAATAGAGACATAAAAATGTTAGAAGGAACCAAATGGAAACGTTAGAAATTTAAAAAGCAATGTCAAAAATAATGGTTTGTGATTAATAGCAGGCTGAACACTACAGAGGGAAGAATACGTGACCTTGAAGACAGATAGAAAGACAATATCCTAACTGAAGAAAAAAAAAAGGTGGAGACAAAGAGCATTGAAAAAAACGAAATGAAAAATGTGAGAGCTATGGTTCAATAACAAATAGTATAATGTATATATAGGTGGAATCCCAAAAAGAAGTAAGAGAAATAATGGGGCAGATATAAAATCAAATAGTAAATGGTAAAGAACTTTCTAAAATTGATTAAATGAAACCCACCAACAAATTCAAGAAGCTCTGTAAACTTCAAAGATATAAATGCAAAAGACATCATAATCGAAATTCTGCAAATCAAAGGTAAAAATATCAGGCATTAAAAATTCTCAGGAAAAAAAAGTCACATGGTTTACAAGAGAGCAATAATGGAACTTCTCACAAGAAACAAAGGAGACTAGAAAATAAAACAATGAAATATTTAAAGTAATAAATGAAAGGAAAAAACCGTCAATGTAGAATTCTATATCTGATTAAAATATTCTCCAGAACTCTTATAAAAACAAAATAAAACCATTCTCACGGAGTCAAATCAGTTTCCTTCTTTTTTTTCAAGAAGACTTGCACAACACAGAATGTTAAACAACTTTCGAAGCTAAAAGGAAACGTCCAAATAGGAAGAAATGAACAACACAAGAAACAATGTATATTTTAGTAAATAGAAATGCCCTTTTGAAAGTCATTCTCTCCTAGCACTTTGGGAGGCCAAGGTGGGCGGATCACTTGAGGTCAGGAGTTCGAGACCAGCCTGGCCAACATGGCAAAACCCTGTCTCATCTAAAAATACAAAAATTAGTCAGGAATGGTGGCATGCGCCTGTAATCCCAGCTACACAGAAGGCTGAGGCAGGAGAATCCCTTGAACCCAGAAGGCGGAGGTTGTAGTGAGGTGAGATTGTGGCACTGGACTCCAGCCTGGGTGACAGAGTGAGATTCTGTCTCAAAAAATAAAAATAAAAATCTGTTTCCAAGAAGGGCAAGATGGCTGATTAGAAGCTGCAACAGTCCGTGGCACTCACAGAGGAAGGAAAAGGGGCAAGTGAATTCAGCAACTTCAACTGAAATATCCAGGTTCTCACATTGGGACTGACTAGGTAAGCAGCTCAGACCTATGGAAAGCGAAACATGGATTTTTTCCTTATTATATTAATATTAATTTTCCTAAGGTCAAGCGAAGTTAACATCACCATCTACTTGTTTTCCCCACATCCAAAACACAGCCTTGTACACAACGTGTATGTAATACATGGTTAATTGAACATAAATAATGTTATTATGCAGTGCTTTTAGGAAACTCAATAATCCTGTTATGTAAATGTTTTTAAATAATTATCTTAAAAAGAAACATTCAATAAAGATTTTTAAAAAGCAGTGAAAATTAGTGCGATACCTACAGGTTTAGAAAAAGTGGACGAAACAATGTTTCCAAGATTAAACATACAAACAAGTTAACAATTCAGTATTATTTTCTTCCCAGATACGTGAAGACAAGTTATCTGACACTTATAGTTTGCAGTAGTCTCTTTTGTAATCTTCAGTCTCAACCAAAAACTATTCATCAAGCTCATCATGTGTATTAACGTGATTCCACACTAAATGAAAGTTCCTAGTATCACAGTATCTAAGTATTTGGTTATCACTTTAACTGTGCTAGCACTCACTAAGAAGTCATTAGAAAATAATCCTGTGGTACAGAGAATTAGCCATTTCACACAGATGTTTAATGGAATCCTAATCTAGATAACCAATGAGATTTGTCATGTTAGCACCCAATTCCCTTCATGGGAGCTGCTGACTTGAGAAAGAACCAGTTCCTATTCCTGGTGCTTTTCCATGCTAGCAATATCAAAATAATTATTTTGAGCCAAAATAGTCAAAAGAAATGTAAGTATTTATTCACATAATTTTATTGGTGTGACAACTATGTGCTAAAATGTACATCAAATTAGAATCAGATGACAATTTACACCATCTGCTAGACCTTCAAATTCTATCAGACCGCTGTGACTCTCACATGACTATTGACATCCATTTCAGAAGAAGTGCTTATTTACTATCACTTGTATTAATGACTACTCTAAAGTAGTTATTGATAATCAACATTTCTTTTTTTTCTTTCTTTCTTTCTTTTTTTCTTTTTTTTTTTTTTTTGAGACGGAGTCTCGCTCTGTCGCCCAGGCTGGAGTGCAGTGGCGCGATCTCGGCTCACTGCAAGCTTCGCCTCCCGGGTTCACGTCATTCTCCTGCCTCAGCCTCCAGAGTAGCTGGGACTACAGGCGCTGGCAACCACGCCCGGCCAATTTTTTTGTATTTATTAGTAGAGCCAAGGTTTCACTGTGTTAGCCAGGATGGTCTCGATCTCCTGACCTCGTAATCCACCCACCTCGGGCTCCCAAAGTGCTGGGATTACAGGCGTGAGCTACCGCGCCCAGCAATCAACATTTCTAAAGAAACCATTTGATTGAAATATAACATTCTCAGAAAAGTGTTAAGTCATAAGTGTAGAGACCTATAGACTCTCACAAGGTAAACATACACGTCACCACCACCTACAACATCACTCTTCTTTACCAAAGTCCCCCTTTGTCCCCTTCTAGTCACTGTGTCCCACACTTTTCCATTGTTAACCACGATCCTCACTTCTACCACTCAAGGCTAATCTTATCCACTGCTGAACTTCACAGATAGAGTGGCTGTATTAGAGAGACAGACAGAAATGGAAATGGAAACCCTCTTCCCTTGCTGGGAGAAAGGTAAAATGGTTCAGTCACTATGGAAGACAGTTTAGTGGTTCCTCAGAAGTTAAACATACAAATATCATATGGCTAATTAAGTCTACTTTTTGGTATACACCCAGTGAATTCAAAATCGATATTCAAACAAATACAGGTAGGTGCAGGTTGATAACAGGGCTATTTATCATAGTAAAATGTGAAAAAGAAGTCCAAATGTTCATCAACTGATTAACAGATAAACAAATTGTGGTTTATTCATACAACTAAATATAATTCAGCCACACAAATGGAATAAAACACTGATAATTGCTACAATGTCAAAGATCCTCAGAAGCATTATGCCAAGTAAAAGAATCCAGACACAAAATTAATCAGCCAGTGTTAAAAATCACAAATATTTTAACCCTGGCAGATTAACTTCCAGTTTAAAGGATGCTAAAAGTTTATCAATATGGTAGGTAATCTATAGATTGAATTATACAGAATTGATATATTTTGGATGTTGAGTCTCCCAATACATGAACATATTATTTAGTTCTTTAACATATGCTATTTATGTTATAAAGTTTTCTGTGTAGAAATGTAGAACATTTACTTTTAGACTTACGAATTCCAAGATATCTGTGTATTCTTTTGCCTTTTATGTATGTATAAGCTTGTGTTGTAAAGTGACAGATTTATTTTTTAAAAAACAGATAATTATTAAATATTTACACATGTTATTGATAACTTATTTCTAGATATATCACCAAATGGGGACTGTGATTAATAATAATGAAAAAAGTTTATACAAACACCAATATCTTTCAAAAATAGAAAATATGTTGAAACCATTCCTAAACACTTTATAAAATTAATCAGGAAAGAAGGGAGGGAAAGAAAGGAAAATAAACCCAGCTTGCAGCACACTCATCATCGATCACTAGGTCAGCTGCTCTGTGACCTGCTTCCTCATAGTTGTCATGCCTCTTGCCTCAGAATCACATAGACCCTGTTACAAGATTATAGTTCCTTTTAACTGCTCTAGAGATAACAACATGAATATTATAAAATGTTTAGTTTTCCCTTTCAGGTATTCCTGCAGATCTTGCATACTGACGAAAGTACTGTCATCAGCTGTCTGAGGGACCCCAGGAAGAGCTGACTCACCAAAGAGTGCAGTTTCCACATCCTGATTATTTTCCCTCCTTACCCTGACCAATCAACAACCTGTATTTTCCAGTCCCTTGCCCTCCATGATCCTTTTAATATCTCCAGCCCAAAACTCCCCAGGGAGATGTATTTAAAGGTGTCCTCCCATCTCCTCACTTGGCACCTTTCAATCATTAAACTTTTTCTCTGCTGCAATCCCTGCTGACACACTGTAATGGTCTGTTCCGTGCTGCAAGTATACAAACTGATTGGTCTATAACAATGCAATAAATAATCAGCAAGTTGTTATTTACATCACACCATGCACAATATTCTAAATCCATTACTAGAATTTAAGAGACAGCACTACTGAACAATAGCGTAAACTAAGAAAACTCAAAAAATGAAGAAAGGAATTCTAAATGTAATCGAGCTATTAACTACAAAGTACAATCAAGAATTCTAGACTTAATTACATTTCCAAAATGAGATTGTGCTACCATATGGTTTTAAATCTGGTGGGTTCAGACAGTCTTCTGTATGTCACTTAAAACAACTTAAAAAAATACCTTTGTTTTTCCTTTTGAAGGAAAATTGAAGACCAACAATAACCATTATATTCTAGTTAACTAAGTCTTTCTTTTTTTTAGAACATATGTATTTTCTGAAAAAGATTGCTTCATAGCATACATTGAAGATAAAACACTTAGTGACATTTACTTTGTCACTAATTTCTTTGAGAGCATCACCATGGACCAGCATAGTTTAGAATTTTAGAACAAGAAGAATCTTTGTGAATGTTCAGGGTGTTTGCTCTTCTCTTCATAATCACGGTGTTTTTCTTGACAACTGAGAAAAGGGAAAAAGGTTGAACTTACATATGTTGTATCATAACAATTTTGAGAAAAGACATTTAATACCAGGCAGAGATAATCTCTTTTTTATAGAAAGTCAGATATTTAGAAAGCCGATAGCTTGAGACTGATATATATCAAGTATGTAATGAGGAAATGTTACATCGATTGTAAATTATCCCCAAGAGTGTGGAATTTTCCCTCTGAAGTTCTCACTGACATGACTCACCCTGCTTTGAACCAGTATATGTACCCATTCCCTTTTCAGTGTCACCACTGCACTTTGTACTTATGTTTATTTATGCATGTAATAAATCACAAATCTGTTTACCTGTTTGTTGCTACCAGTGAATTTTGAGCAGCAGCAGGGCAGAGGGCACCTTTTGTATTAGTGCACTACCATGTATCACAGAACCTGGAACCTAGCTCAATAACTGTTTGTTGAATTCAATGGGACAGCACAGAGAACAATTCCTTTCAGTTTAGTGGGCAGTCAAATTGGAGATGATGAGAAGAAAAGGAATATTCCACTGCCGTAGCCTCATGAGGTGGTTAAGCATTGGAGGATAACTCCAGGTCAAAACACCTCTACTTGCTCAGATACATAATTTATAAAATAAAAAAGGGAAAGTTAGTTATATCCTCAGAGAGATAAAGGGAATGCATATTTTATGAATACCTACCGAGTAATTTAGATGTGAATGCATTTTTGAAAGACTCTTGTCAGAGGTTCTGGTTTTCATGAATTAATGACATCTCTTAAACATTGGTAACTAAAAGTATACCACTAGCTTTCCTTTTAGCCAGAATGTGTTTTGGTGCACTGGATATGAAACTAAGCTTACTTCAATTGTGCTAAAAGCATTGATGGTGATAGCAGAAGGTAAATACAGAGAAGATGGTGTCCTCAGGACTCACTCTCATTCACCCTGTCTTTCAGTGCTGGGTTTTTGTGAGTGGCTCAACTCTGAGGCAGAAACTCTCTTCCTGTTAAGTCCAATCATGTACCGACAATTCCGGGCTCGTACATTAATGCCAGTGGAAGAGAGAGATGCTTCGAGACAAACAGATCCACAAAAGTCCTCCTTTGGAAGCTTGGCTTCTGGTTGTGCTAGTGGCTCCTCTTGACCTATGAGCCATGGTTAACAGAATGGGACACTTTGATTGGCTAGTCTTAGTCACATGACCACAGAGGCTAACAGAGGCTCACATACGTGGCACACTAGAAGAGAGGGCCTTGAAAAAAATAGGACTCTGTTACTAGCAAAATGGATAACAGATGCTTAGATAAAAAATCAACAGATACTCAGCAATGCTTCCTACAGGATACAATTACTAAAGAGATCCTGGTCTTTTATTTAAATATCATGTTGTTAAAATCACAGGCCATGCATGACCCACCCTCCCTCTTCAACACCTTATGAAACCATCTCTGTAGTTGTATAAATCACCATAGTGTGGATCACTCATGTTTGAATGCATTTGCAAATGAGCTTCCCTTGGTAGGTAACACTTTTTCTGTTTCTAGGACTCAGGGTTCCCCTGTCCTCATGTAAGACTTCCTTTGACTTCCTAAGGTTGTAGTAAGTATCTCTCCATTGTATTATTATGAATCCTTACGCATATACACAACTCTAGCATCTAATATACTGCACCTAAAAATTATGTTTAATCCACTAGACTTTTAGTTCTTTGGCTGCAAAAACCGGGCCATATGCATATTTTTTCAGGGCCTATCACAAATCATAATATCGATTGCAGGTGGCATATACACTTTTCTCATCCATAGACTAAGGATAATAATATTTTACTTAAAAAGAATTTTAAAACAATTAATTATGTGTAATCATATTAAACATATTTGTCTTGCTCTTAGTCTTTTAAAGAATCAACTCTAACCTCTATAATTCCATCCTGTCTTTTTAACGCATTCTGAGTCTACAGACTTTAGAATATTAGAAATGGTAATCTATGTATATCGTCACCTCTTATGTTCTAGTACTATACTAGAATCTCCAGGACACATAACTTAAAGCTCACAACAGAATTTTCAAGGAAGCATCGTTACCCACAATTTCCTGATAAAGAAAGAATAGTACTAGCATGAGAGGAGTTTTACATGCTTAGTCAGACAGAGCAAGTTTTTAATTCCAGCTCTGTAACTATTAATTTCATGACAGTGTGCAAGTGATTTAATAACTCTAAGCCTCACTTCCCTCACCTATGAAACAGAAATAAGGGTAGCACCTTTTCAATAGGTTGTTAAGGAGATTGCAAGAAGGCAATGTCATGTATTAAATCCTCAATAAAATTAGAAATTATTATGAATAGGCAAAAGAAGTCACTGTCTCAGGTCACAGCTTGTAAGTGGCATAATTAATATTCAGACCTCAGCCTTTCTGATTCTACACCTGTGCTTCTAAGTGGAAGATTGCATTGTCTCTTATTTAAACAGCAGAAACTACAAGGAGGAGACATTCCTGCTTTATGCAGAAGCAAATAGAAAATTGTGGTGTAGAATGTATAAGACAACTCTCAGTTAACAACTAACAGTTAATTATTAGTAAATTACTTCCCAGGTAATAATTGACAACTAACTGGGAAAACAAAAGTAAATAGAATAGCTGCTTAGATTACCAGTAAGAAAAAGTATACAATTCTGTGAATTCAAGTATGAGGAAGGGGGAGAGAGAAAAGGAAGATTAAAAGGTGCCAAATAAAGATTATTGTATATATTCTCTTTATAATTTTGTCAAAGGATGGCCCTTAAATATGGGATTTGAATCCTCCTTAGGAAACGTCACAACAGCTTACCTTTATAGACACAGCTGAACATCCACTTGGCACACACACAAACTCTTTCACTACAAATATCTACTGTACTCACCAAAAGACCCTGCAACTCTCACACTTGACTTCCCCCCAATAAGGGTTAAGGACTGTTATAGACTTGGTTATTGAAAAGGAGTCTTGGAACTCTGCCCCTCTCCTGTCATTCCAGAAGAAGTGCTGAATGAAGACTTTATTGGCTGGTTTTTCATCTCAGCTAACAAAGTACAACATGGCATAAAATGCACATGAGGGTCATGAGGTTATTGAACATGTTATCAATGATCTCTTGCCCTGGCCTCCCACAGGAGGAGTGCAAAGCAAACCTGCCTCAAGGAGGCACAAAGATGACTCAAGGAAAGGCTTCAAAATAGTTTATATATAAACTTATTATAGCTCATTTCCTTTACTCCTGAAACTCAATCATTTCATATCTTCCTCTCTTCTGGTAGCTCAGAGTACAAAGTAATTCCCTGTGGACAAAGTCTGATGTTATTTAGTACTAAGCACCTATTAATAAACCACATTAGGATATATAATTGATTATCTAAACCCATTTTGGGGGTAATAAAGTTATCTACTTTTAAATGTCTTTTGGCCGAAATATGGATATAACCCAAGATTTTAATGACCCATTAGCTGCAATCATTTAAAAGTTCTGATTTTTTTCTATATCATACAAGTGAAAGGTTTTTTTAATCAATATTTTATAAATGTAGTACTTAAGACTTTGGCTGAGTTAGTTAAAAAGTGGTAGATTTGACTAATTTGAGAAGCTGGAATGAGAATATGTTGATTATAGTTCTAATATTTCTAATGTTGTCACCTATGATTGTTGCTTTTTCTCATTGAATGTGGAGTTTACCTGGTTAAGTAAGGTAAAATGAGTCTACTTTGCTATCTTTAATTATCTGCATAACTCTTGTATTCATTGCATTCTCAAAATAGGAATGCTGTGTATTATACATAAGTGTCTATACATAAAATGCAAACAAGTAAATAGCAAGCACACCAGATTGAGTTTCTTAGCTACCTTTTCAATTCCTAGTAAAGTCTCATCTTGGGTTCCACTGCCCTTTCTTCTACCCAACCTTCTAATTTTCACCCCTGAACCTCTACCACCGTTGCATGATGAAAAAACCCAGAGATGGGCAAGACCTCCTCCTAAGACAGGCACTGTGGATCATTGGAAGCTAATGGGCATTCTCTGAGGTATAATCAGCAGAACTTAATAAAATGAAAGCTTAACAGTGGAAAAAATGCAGGAATGAGTTCTGAAATATAATAGGAAGACAATAATAATACCATAAGTGCTTACCACATGCCATGCGCTGGAGTAAGATTAGTCCTCCCACAAACATGGCAAAGTCAAGAATATTACCTCCATTTGTCATAGGAGAGAAGCAGCTAAACACTCCACGACATGATGTACATAGCTCTGGGTTAACCTCACTAACTTCTGATGGTACAAGAACTAAATGTTAGATCTCTGTAACTCCAAAACTTAATGTCTTTCTATTATATCAGAATCTTAGTTATTAAGCTGTGTTTCTAAGAGCTCAAGGAAGCAGCAAATATTCAAAGAAGGCCACCTTCATAATAGATTGGAGTAAAGAAGAAAAAGAAATACTTAAGAAATGGGTTTTAAAGTATGGTCAGAGTTAGCTATGCTGAATAGATATTTTCTACAATACTGTGTTGGGCCATTGTTTCACTACTATAAAGAAATTCCTGAGGCTGGGTAACTTTTTATAAAAAGAGGTTTAATTGGCTCATGGTTCTGCAAGCTGTACAAGAAACAAAGTGGCATACGCTTCTGGGGAGGCCTCAGGAAATTTCCAATCATGGCAGAAGGTGAAGAGGGAGAAGGCACATCACATGGCAAGAATGGGATCAAAGAAGGTAGTTCCACACACTTTTAAATGACCAGACCAGGTCGGGAGCAGTGGCTCACGCCTATAATCCCAGCACCTTGGGAGGCCGAGGTGGGCAGATCACGAGGTCAGGAGATCATGACCATCCTGGCTAACATGGTGAAACCCCATCCCTACTAAAAATACAAAAAAATAGCTGGGCGTGGTTACACATGCCTGTAGTCCCAGCTACTTGGGAGGCTGAGGCAGGAGAATCGCTTGAACCCAGGAGGTGGAGGTTGCAGTGAGCCAAGATTGCACCACTGCATTCCAGCCTGGCGACAGAGCGAGACTCCGTCAAAAAAATAAAATAAAATAAATAACCTCCTGAGAACTCACTATCAGGAAGACAGCAACAAGTCATGTGGGATTCATCCCCATAATCCAATACTTCCCACCAGGCCCCACCTCCAGCATTGGGGATTACAATTCAACATGAGATTTGGGCAGGGACAAATATGCAAATTATATCACATACCATTTTAATTTCTTTTTCATTGTTTGTACTATATTTTTAGTTACCTTCATAGTGTTGTCCTGGAGATTACAATTAGCAATTTAATTTGTAACAATTTAGTTTGAATTAATGCCGTTAATTTCAATTGTACACAAAACCTTATCCCTATATAGTGCTGCATTCATTTCCTTCCTTTGTGAAGACATTGCTGTTATTATTATGTCATTGTATACATTGTATGCCCATCACCACAGATATATAATTACTGCTTTATGCAGCTTTCTTTTAAATCTATTAATAATACCTGAATTTCTACCACTGAACCTTTATCTTTAATGTCTCTTAATAATAGGAGAACACAATGAGTTAGAAGCAAAAATACATTTATGCTGCCTTTTATACATTCATACTCTATTTACTTATGCATTAAGTTGGTGCAAAAGTGATTGCAGTTTTGGATCATAAATTTTAAATCCTTATAACTAGGCTCAAACATACCTTCATTAATCAAAATAGGAACTATTACAATCAACACATTTTTGCCAATGACAGATAAGTTTCTTTATTCCTGTAGTGTAAAAATCATTCTTCAGGACTGAACAAATGTTTGGAATGCACTTTCTGCATCCTGCTGATTGTGGAAGCCTTTTCCCTGCAAGAAGTTGTCAAGATGCTTGAAGAAGTGATAGTTGGCAAGAGGTCCGTTGAATATGGTGGATGAGACAAAACTCTGTAGCCTTCAAAGCATTGGTTGTGCCATCTGCAGTTGAGCATTGTTGTGGAGAAGAATTGGGCCCTTTCTGTTGATCAATGCTGGCTGTAGGCATTGCAGTTTTCAGTATATCTCATCTATTTGCTGAGCCTACTTCTCAGATATAATAGTTTTGCTGGGGTTCAGAAAGTTGTAGTGGATCAGACCGGCATCAGACCACCAAACAGTGACAATGACCTTTTTTGGTGCAAGTTTGGCTTTAAGAATCGCTTTGGAGCTTCTTCTTGATCCAACCACTGAGCTGGTCATCAAAAGTTGCTGTATAAAATCCCTTTTTCATTGAATATCACAATTTGATTGAGTAACGGTTCGTTGCTATTGTGTAGAATAAGACAAGACAAAACGATATTTTTTTTCACTTAGCTCATGAAGTACCCACTTATCGAGCTTTTTCACCTTTCCAATTTGCATCAAATGTCACAGGGCCATAGAATGGTCGATGTTGAGTTCTTTGGCAAGTTCTCAGGCAGTTGTAAGAGTATCAGTTTCGATTATTGCTGTCAATTGATGTCGTTGTCAACTTCCAATCGCTGGCCACTATGCTCCTCATCACCAAGGCTCTCATCTCCTTTGCAAAACTTTTTGAACCACCACTGCACTGTATGTTTGTTAGCAGTTCCTGAGCCAAATACGTTGTTGATGTTGAGAGTTGTCTCCGCTGCTTTACAACCCATTTTGAACTCAAATAAGAAAATCACTTGAATTTACTTTTTGTCTAACATCATTTCCATAGTCTAAAATAAACATAAAATGAACAGCAAGTAGTAAGTCACTAGGAAAAATACATAAAGTGAGAAATGTCCATTAAAATGATTTATAATAAACCACATATATTAAAAAATGTATTCCAGTATCAAATGGCAAATTCCAATAATGAAAAAACCGCAATTACTTTTGCACTCACCTAATAACTACCTTTACTGGTGTTCTTTATTAATTCATGGGGATTCAACTTAAAGTCTAGTGTTTTATATTTCAGTCCGAAGGACTCCCTTTGGTGTTTCCTATATAGAAGTTTCACTAATGACAGATTTCTTCAGATTTTGTTGATCTCGGAAATTCTTAAAGTTTCCTTTATTTCACTGGAATAGATTTGGAGCTGTAAAATTATTAGCTGACAGTTTGTTTTATTCACACATTGAATACGTCATTTCATAGGTTCTTAGTTACTTGGTTTCTGGAAGAAATTAGTAGTAAATGTTATTGAGGATACTTTGTATGTGATGTCATTTCTTTTTTGCTGCTTTCGAAATTCTCTGCCTCCATTTATTTATTTACCTATTTATTTTATCTGGGGTGTTTGTTTTTAGTTTTGGTCAGTTTGATTATGATGTGTTTAAGTATGGATCTCTGAGGTTATGATACTTGGAGTATGCTGAGTTTCTTGGATATGTAAATTAATGTTTTTCATCAAGTTTGGAAATTTGGGTGTTTATATCTCTTCAAATATTACTTGTGCTCTTTTCTATCCCTTCTCTCCTTTTTGGAATCCCACTATGTGTATATGGGTGTATTTTATGGTGTTCTACATATCTGTAATGCTCTTTTCTAATCATTTTTCTTTATGTTTTTTTTTCTGTTATTCACGCTTATTGATTATTTCTTCTGACTGCTCAAATCTGATTAGTATTTTTCTCTAGTATTTTTTAAAATTTAATATTGTCTTTTTCAACTCCAGAATTTCTATTTATTTTTTTTAAATAAACTTTATATTTTTATTGATATTCTTCTTTATTTGCTGAGAAATCATTCTTGTAATTTCTTTTAGGTCTTTAGACATAATTTTCTTTAGTTCTGTGGAAATATTAAAATAACTAATTTAAGGGTACTCTGTAATAAGTTAAATGTCTGAACTTTCTCATGGAAAATTTCTAACTGATAGATTTGTTTTCTGTGTATTATCTACACTAAAATTTCAGTTTTTTAATGTCACAATTTTTGTTGAAAACTCAATATTTTAAAGAAAATAAATAATGTAATAAACATGAAAATCAAAATCCTTCTTCTCCCCAGAAATTGATACTGCTATTCTTTGTTGTCGATATTGTTGTTTGCTTAATTAGTTGCTTTTATGACCAATTCTATAATGTCTGTTTTCTTAGTTATACCATTGAAATATCTGTATGGTTGGCTTAGTGGTCAATTAATCATTATACAGTGTTTACTTTAAATGCCTGGAACCAAGAAATCTCCCTGCCTTTGCTGAAGAGTTCTACGAACATGTTGAAACATGCCTCCAACAATGATGCAGGCAATTTACAACTCTGCCTTAGCCTTCACTTCTTGCTTACACAGATACTCAAGATCAAGTGGAGGTGAAAGTTTTCCATTTTTTTCTCTTTTTTGGATGTACACACAACCCTGCACATGTGAATGATCTTCTAGATTACAAAGGATATGTCAGAGATTTTCCTAGGTTCCATGGACATCTCATTTCCTAGATTTTCATTTTAAGCATTTTGGTTAGCCCACTGTTTTCTCAACTACTATCCACCAATATAAATTGCCTCAAAATCAAATATCAATATCAAGGCCTTATTGATTTGTAATAATCAATATAAGGTTATTAATTATATTATAATTAATAATATAAGAATCATCCCAGTTAAGCAAGTAAAACATGAAGCACGGACTCAAAATCAAATCTTCCCACATCCAATGACTTAAAATCCTTTCCAGCAGACAGGTTTTTTGTTTGTTTGTTTGTTTTTTGATGAATTCAAAGCAATGTACTCTGCATTTTTCCACTGTTGTTCTCTCACTCATTCTAAACAATGATGATTAAGTTCTATTTTTTTCAGGATAAGCCAGTTGTGCTGGGATAACAACAACAACAGAGAATAAAAGAAGGAGTTATCTCAAAGTTCTCCAATTTCTGCCACAGTGAGAGGAGAGTTCTCTGGAGAGTCTTGCAGCAGCAATTAACTTATGTGTGAACTCTAATATGTTCAACATCTATATTATTGAGCAGATGTTCAACATCTGCTTGAACTCCTTGGCCCAAACTAGTTACATAGCTTTACTCTCACATGGGGTTCTCAGACAGAATTCATTCACCAAGGAGGCCAAGAACCAAAGAGATTCAGAGAATGCCCCACATGACTACCACAAACTCCTCCTATCCTGATCATGGCTAGTGTAGCCATTGTATTGTCTTTACAACAGTGGCTAGAGGCCTGGAACCTATCAGCCTGGCCCTCTTTTTTTTAAGGTATATTTTTTGTGATACTTAGTGAAAGCTTAACCACTAAACTCTATTGATTACTATTGCTGAGGACTTGGCAACTGTTAAACAAATATGTGTCTGTACTTTTTCACCAATGTAGACAAAGATTTCAACTATAAACACACAAAAATAATATTTTAAGCAGAACACTTTACAATAGTTTCCCTCCAATAAAATGATCCAGGTTTTGGGGAAATAAAAAGAAAAGAGTGACAGCAAACAAACAAACCAAAAATGAAGATAGTAACAAAAGCCAATGAATAGCATTTACAATAAAAAAAAGGGGGGTTTAGTCCAATACAGCAAGAAACAAGTAGTACTTGGTTTGTGTGTGTGCGGTAGAGGTGAGAAGAAATATATTTCAAAAATTCAACAATATAAAGTTGTCTTGTTCTTATCCTCTTTACCATCTGCATAGTTCTAGCTATGTGCCTCCATGCACATGCACAAATCCAAAATAAATTATGCTCTTAAGGTAACCAGGAAACACATGTAAAACTTGCCAGCCTTGCATAGTCAAACTATGTAATCTTAGTTGATATATGTGGTAGAATTCATAAAACCTGGGAGACATTAGGATGTTAAAAGAGAAATTCATAAATGGCTTAAGCCAATTTAATAAATTTACTGAGGCTCTATTCTGTACATGGCATTTTGTAAGCTTAACAACGTTTACAGATCTCGATAAGATGATTTTTTCCTTCCAAATTCATTTTCCCTTTTATTTGTTACTGAGATCCGCAGTTTCCCCAATGTGTTATTCTTTTGTTCTATCCTAATATCTTTGCACAAATTGTGCTTCTTGCTTGGAATGCCCTCCTTAATCTCATATGTCAGACTCCCCTCAAAAGTATATTCAAGAAACATTTGCCCTGTAATATCCCAGGAGGTATTACATCTTATCAGCTCCCTGGTACCTTGTACAGATCTCCATTATCCCACATAGGAAAGGGTATTTACATACTTTCATTTCTAACTCATCAAGTGCCTGCATTTATCTCTGTATCCTCACTAGTTAGCACTTTGCCTCACAGAACATAGATGTTCAATACGTATGTAACAAGGGTATTTGGTTCTTTTGTTCACAGCTCAAGTGTACAAAACTGTTCTGATTTGTCTTGAGAGCATACACACTTAGAGCCCTTCATTCACAGGTACCTGGGCCCATGTTATTCACACAACCTCTTTGTTTGGTATCTAGGGAGCCCTCAGGAGTTCAGATGTTTGAGGGTGTTAACCACTTCTTACAAGCCGGCCTCAAATATGATTCAGGATCTACTGACTCCTTGGACTCAGCCATCTACACTTCCTTAGACCCATTCTTCTCTCAGGATGACTCTGTTCTTCCTTTCAGAACAGGGAACAACTACAGTTAAGGTTACACCACCACAACACCCTTTCTTGGACAATAAGGTTCAATAGCTAAGATGGACTTTTACTATTTTCAACCCTTAAACAAACAAAAAATAGTTTATGTCCCCAACATGCTGCCTCTCTCCCTTAGAATATAAGGAAACAGATTTGAACTGAATAAAAATTTAGCTTTAGTAGCCATAGCCCATTCTGGTAAATACTTATTTTTTAAAAAATTTTATTTAAAAATAAATATGTAAAGTACAAAACTAATGAATGGGGAAAAATAAAGTCAAACAATTTTAGAAAACTAAAAAAGCTGTATAATAATCCTAAAGGAAACTTATCTTTCTATCCAAGGCAAAATCTCAGTCAGCGGGAGCTTAACCAACTTTGGGTAATAGAAACTGACCACTGAGGATCGTACAAAGGTTAGGAGTGCAGGCTGTGGATCTTGATTATCTGGGATCAAGTCCTAGTTTCAACATCTACTAGTACCGTGACTTTGAACACGTTACTTAATTGTATTGTGCACCTAATAGATCATCTACAAAGTGTACCTCTCCCACAAGGTATGTATAAGAATTAATATATTTGAGCTTATGTTAATAGCATGCTCCCCACACAGAGCAAGCATTTTGCAACTATTAGTGTTATTATTACCACACAGCTTATTCCACTGCTTTATTTTCTAAAAATTTACCTATTTACTATTATTTGTAGTAGAAATATACCTACTGCAAGAATATTCCTTAAAGCAGGAACACTTATTTAGCCAACTCTGTGTATTGCTGTGTAGTCTTGTAAACACTTAACGAATACATTTTTTGACTTAATTTTATGGATGGGAAAACTGAGATATGGATGATCTAAATAATTTACTGAAGCCACATCCTCACTGCAATGTGGGCCTCAGACTTCAATAACAGACTGTCTTGCCCCAGAGCCTACATGCTGGACCACAGTCTACCATCTCCTGATGCTCTCAGTTCAACTTTCTCAAAAAGAGAGAATGTGTTCTTTCATTCTCTCTCCACGTCTTCTCAATCCAGTGCACCTTGCCTTAAAGGGCTGCTGAACCCCTACACCCAGAGTACTCTCCAATAAATGCAATCATCATATTTTAAGCAGAAAGAACGTTATCAGGTTTTATTTCCCCTTCTATAAATCCTGTAGGATCAGACCAAACATGAGCTACTTGTTTTTTTAAGTGTTGCTCTGATCCTTCTCATTTTTCAACTCTTTTTGATATCCACTACATGTCAGACGGAGTACTCGGCAAAACCTTTGGAAATTGTGGAAGAGCAAAAGGAAAAAATAAGTGAAACTGCATTACAGTGTAGTAGTAAATGCAATACGACTATTCAAAGTATGTTTGGATATATGCACAATTGGCCTCAAATACAGAGAAGGCTTCCTGCAAGAGGTGATTCCTGGGCTGTGCACTAAGGTATAATTAACTGTAGAACCAAGTGAAGAGGAGTGGAGACTGGAGTGAACCAAGTTCTCCTGGAAAGAGGGATATCATGTTCAGGGTGCTATGGCATGTAAGCTCATGCAACTGCTTCAGAGTCTTCATGTGGCCTTCCAGGAAAGAAGAATCAACTGGCTGATTCAGTGAAGGCTCAGTGACTATATTAGTCATCATTTGCTTCATAACACATTACTGAAAGTTTAGAAGTTAAAACAAAACACATTAATGATCTCATAGTTTTTATAGGTTAGGAACATGGACAGAGTTCAGCTGGCTTCCCTGGTCAGGACGCTATAATCAAGGTGTTGGCTGAATAACAGTCTTATCAAGGCTCCAGTGGTAGAGTAATGACTCCCAAGCTCACTTATGTGGCGGTTATCAGGACTCAATTTCTTGGTATCTGTTGGCCAAAGACATCACTCAGTTTTTTTGCCACAATAGCCTCTCCCTAAGGAAGCTCAAAACATGGCAGCTGGCTTCTCAGAAAGAGAGTGAGCAAGAGAGGGCACCCAGGATAGAAGCCACAGTCTTATTGTAACATAATCCACCAAGTTTTTCACATTTATTTGCTCGAAGCTAATGTAGAGTTCCCTGATTAAATTTACATTTCAGAGAAACAATATCTTTTTTTTGGTATAAGTGTCTCCCAAACGTTTCATCTTTTTTTTTTTGTTTGTTTTGTTTTGGTAAAAATGTCTCCCGAATGTTTCAAGGAGCATGATAATACAAAAAAAAAAAAAAAAAAGTAAAAAGGTTTCTCTGAAATTAAAATCGAATTAGTTATTTTGAGTTTTCTTCTTGTTAAATCTGTCAAACGTAATCTAGTGACATCCTATCACCTCTGCCACATTCTATTCATTAGAAGTAAGTGACTAGGTCCATCCCCCATCCAAGGAGGTGGGGTATTAGAAAATAGTGCGAACATCGGGACTCCTGGGGTCCATCTTAGGAGCTGTCTACTGCAATGACCAAAGAAGTATGTTTAATTCTCTTCTTCATGGTCTTCATGGTACCCTCTGTATCTTTGTAGGGGCATTCCAAAATATTTTCCCTAAATCTTCTCTGCCTTTCACTGAGGGATTCTATATTAGCCTGCTTGTGCTACCATTACAAAATACCACAGATGGGCTGGCTAAAATGTCAGATATTGATTTTCTCACAGTTTTGGAGTCTGGAAGTCCCAGGTCAAGGTGAAGTTAGGGTTGGTTTCTGATGAGGTCTCTCTTCCTGGCTTGTGAATGGCCACCTTCTTATTCTGTGCTCAGTTGGCGTTTCCTCTGTGCTCATGAGGAGAGAAATAGTTCTCTGGCACCTCTTTTTCTTCTTAAAAGGACACCAAATATATCAGGTTAGGGCCCTACCCAAAGGCCCTGTCTTCAAATAAAGTCAGATTTTGGGTTACAGCTTCAACATTTTATATATATATATATATATATATATATATATATATATATATATTTATTTATATTTATATTATATATATATAAAATATATATATATTTTTTTGGTTGTGGGGAGGGCATAATCCAGTCTACACAGAACTTTCCAAAATAAAAGGACAAATTAGTGTAATCCAGGCTGCAGCTATGGTCACAGCCCAGCCCGTTGCACCAGTTGATAACAGAAAGCATATCCTATCCTCATTCTGGGCTTGAAGGCAACAATAACAGGCAAGAAGCCTAGCTCTCCTTTAGTCTGAAGTCAAGCCTGAGTGAGAAAGCACATAAAATATATTTTGGCAACTTCACAATATAAAGCATGCTAGTGCTGAATTTTGTACACATGCCTCACAAGGAGTGCAATCATATTTAAAGTCTGATTGTTTATTTATATTCCATGGTGCATAATTTAAGCAATTTGATAACCTAAGGGTATTTTATGGTACTTAATTTAGGAAATTTGATAGCCTAGAGGTTAATATTGAAAGGCAGGCATGGAGGAAACTCCCAACAATTTAGCACTCCCGTAGGAACTCTGTAACGAAGCCAGAATACAAAACAGAAGCAGATGGGTGATGCTGCTTGAGTTTGGAGTTAGAGCATCTGGGTTTATAGCTCAGGGAGTTTGATATCACAGGCTTATTGGCTTCACTGGAGGTTCAGGAAGCTCTATCAGTACCCTTCTCTCAGAGTCACTCACTGTTGAATCTGTAATGAGGCTCTTCTTCACTCCCCTTCTCCTACCCATTTAAATATATCAGATTAGCATCTTCTTAGGCAAAGCTTTCTCTCTGCTGAATCTCCACATGGAACATTTGCTATAAACTTTAACTGCATGCTTGGCATTTTATCTTGAATGAACCATACTATCTCATTGCCTCTGGCCATCTACAAAGAATTGGAAAAAATTCAGAAGCTAAAGAAATAATTCTAGAAAAAAATGCTGAATAGTTAAGGGTTGGAAGTACAGCCTATGGGACTTGAAGATTGATATCTCATGAGATTTTGCAAAATCATACACTTCAACAGGTAAACGTGTTTAGATGATACACAGCCTATCTAGTCAGCCCATTTCACTCCCTGGTTCTACATGTCAAACTTAACTATTTTGGTTAGCATTTTGTGAAAGTAGCATGCACTCTTTTTCACCTTTGTGCTTTTGAAATTAAGTTATCACTATGTGCAATGCCTAGGTCCCCCCCCCCCTTTTTTGGGTAACTCTGAGCAACCCTCCACAATTTACCTGACATGTCAACATCTCCAGAGACATTTCTTGATTGACACTTCTCCACATCCGTGGGTTAAATACACCATACTTGTTCTCCCATAGAAATTTTTTCCTGCCTCACTTTTGGCGTGTATTATATTGTTTTCTGGTTGTTTACTTGCTTGTATCCCTCTCCGAAATAAAATAATATATAACTCCCTGTAGACAGAGGTAACTATATTCATGGTTATATTCCTAAATCACAACTCCTAGAGGCTGTGTGGTACATAATAATTTTCTTAATGAAACAATGAATTAAGCATGAGGGCTTTTAAATTTCCACTTCTCTGTAGTTATAATCAAATGTCATCATATTAGTTTTATTGTCCATGATAGTCAATTATAGCATACAATTTTATAGAAGTAATTATCTAAAATTACTATATTAGCAGGATGTTTCACATATAATGACTTTTTTTGTCAATTTAAGTGAGCTCCTTTCTATTGTTTTCTTTTTTAAGAACAAAAAGATAGATGTTAGCATGTATTAACTTTGTTTTCTGCATTTCAATGTCCTAAATAACATGGATAGATTTTCTGATGTGAAACCATCTTTGGTTCTTACATTCAACACAACTTTACCCTTATTGTAAACATGGATAATTCTCTTTAAGTATTTTTTCTCTAATTCTTCTGATTTTTGGATGGGCACATAGCTTCTCAGAATAAAAATACTTTCAAGAACCCTTATAAATGGTAAGTATGGGAAGAATTTTTAAAAATATGATATAAACAGAAATTTTATGTATGACTTCCAAGACAAAATCTCCTTGAAAAGATAATGTTCTAATTTTAACCCTTGTATTCTTCCTTCTGGCTACTACATCTTTCTCTCTCTCTCTTGTTCTCCCTCTCTCTCTCTCTTTTTTCCTCTCTCACCCTCTTAAACACACACATACTGTGTGTGTGTGTGTGTGTGTGTGTGTGTGTGTGTATTTATATAAAACTTTTATTTCCAGGTGCAGTGGTTCACACCTGTAATCTCTGCCTGCACATTGGGAGGTGAAGGCGGGTGGATAACCTGAGGTCGGAAGTTTGAGACGAGCCTGGCCAACATGGTAAAACCTCGTCTCTACTAAAAATACAAAAATTAGCTGGGTGTGATGGTGCGTGCCTGTAATCTCAGCTACTCAGGAGGCTGAGGGAGGAGAATCACTTGAACCTGGGAGGCGGAGCTTGCAGTGAGCCAAGATCGCGCCACTGCACTCCAGCCTGGGCAACAGAGGGAGATTCTGTCTCAAAAAAAAAAAAAAGAAAGAAAAGAAAAAGAAAAACCTTTTATCTATACTATCTATTTGTTCTATAGTCGATACTGTCTATCATTTGAAGTTTTCAACACTAAATATGTTAAGATTACACTTAAAAGTTCATAGATATTTCATAGGACATTAGGTGAGTAGAGGCTGTGGCAGCTGGTTCAAAGTTGAAAACACAATATGGTGCTTTGGCTGAACATGTGACTGGCTTCCTTTTCTAATGCTGCTAGACATTCTCCTTGCTGGGTATAAATGTTTAAAATATGATGAAATAAGCCTGTTAGCTTATCAAACAACAGGTTTAGATAAATGATGAACTGGAGAGCCTGGAGTTTATTTGAATTTCATCTAAAATACAGAAAAGAATCCCATAATGATATCTCTGAAGAATGCTTGAAATAAGAATGTAAAAGCAGTGGGGAAAAAGACACTCAAAGTACAAAATTAAGGCAAAGTGCATTCATGCCCATAGTCAGTTGGCCATAAAAGGTGGATTAATCAGATATCACCTGAAGCTAAACCAGTTACTTTGACATAATTGGTTACTGAAAAGAGGAGACAGAATTATATGTTTAAAAAACCATTGACTCACTTGCATTATGTTTTCAATCTATTTTCTAAATTTTAAACGTCTCTATGACATAACATTTTTTTTCAGTGTAACATGTTCAGATTGAAATTGGGTGGTTGTAGGGTGCTGGGAGAGATTTTATAATGTTTGTGTCAGATGTGTCCCTAGGAAAGCATAACAGGGAAATGTGTGGGTGTTGAGTGGTTTTTAAAGGTGGCATTGCAAAGAGTACGTTCATTGTCTGTAGTCATGTTGGGAAAAGAACCATCTATGAAAATTAGGAATCCCAACTCTACATGATTTTCTATGCATGTTATTCTTAACAAAAAAAATAAATTTACTAACCTGTTTCAACAATTTCTTAGCTCACAATTTTCTTTTTGCATCCCAAGCCCATAGAAGTCTTTCCTATAAACAATGTTGTGTTTAAATTTTCAACACTTTATCATAAAATAGACTTTGTGCTAGATGATTTTATCCAACTGTAGGTAAAATAGTGTTCTGAGCACATTTGAAGAAGACTAAGTTAAAATATAATGTTTGGTAAGCTAGGTGTACTAAATGCATTTTCAATTTATGATATTTTAAACTTCCATTGGATTTATTGGGATGTAACCCTATTGTAAGTTGAGCAGCATCTGCATATAAATTCTCTATTTTTTGTATCACACTGAGAAACATACAATATAAGTAGAATTAAAATGTATGACTACAATACAACAAAGTTTGGGGAGAGAATAAAGAAATTGTGCTCTTATACAATTTTTATATTTGAAAATAAAAGGGGTTGTAGGCAGCCTTCTATAGTGACTTCTGATGCTCTCCATATAATGATATTCATACACCTGTATAATCCTCTCCCCTTGAGTGTGGTCTGGACCTAGTAACTTGCTTCTAATGAATATGATGGTAACTTCTATATTGTACTCCCTCTTTCTTTTTTCTCCTGCCTTTCTCTTTCTCTATTGTGTCTTCTTGACTTGCCCCTTTTGATGAAACGAACTTCCATGAAAGCCATAAAATAGATTTGCTTTCTATTTTCTTAAGTTTCTATTTTGAAAATTTAGGTGAATTTTTCCCTCTTCCTCTTGTACTTCCACTTTCATTCCCTTCTCTTTCTTTTTCCCTTGCTTTCTGAACATTTCTATTTCTGAAATCCATCAGATAGTGTGCAATAAGACAGGTGTCCTAACTTAGGGGACGTGGGTGGAGAGGGCTGTAGAGTTTGATGACCCAGAACAGGATATGAGAGCTTGAGACAAGAAGGAGCGAGTCCAGTGCTGGCGTTATGCAGCCTGGCCTGGATAACCACTGTCCAACTAGTGTACATCTTGAATTCTGAGTGGGATAAAGAGATCATTGGGGTGAAGACACATTCCTCTATGTGATATCAGAACTCAAGTGTAATTAAAGAGTATCCACATAGAGAGGGGACAGAAATGTGGCAGGAGATTGATTACATAAAAGAAAACTACAAGTGAGTAAATATATTAGAGATAATGGAATCCAGGCTTCTCAGTATTAAACGATGAATATAAAAACATGAAAAGTTTTTTTTTTAAAAAAAAACCCTAGATTGAATCCTGTCAAGTTGGATTGAAATCTAAACTACCTCTATGAACTCAGAATTTTCAACATACATAGATAATCAAACGTGAATGTATTCACTATGTACACATTTATTTTTATGTACAGTAATACATATTCCTCTTAGTCCATATTGTGCCTCTATAATGGAGTACCCCAGACTAGGTAATTTATAATGAACAAAAATTTATTGGCTCACAATTGTGCATGCTGGGAAATCTAAGATGAAGGGACCAGCATCTGCCAAGGTGTTTCTTACTGCATCATCCCATGGCAGAAAGGCAAGTGATGGTGACAGAGGGCAAAAGAGGGCCAAACACACCTTTCTATACTAAACTCACTCCTACGATAATGGCATTACCCTCATGACCTAAACAACGCTTAAAGGTACCACCTCTCATCACCTCCACATTGGAGATCAAGTTTCCATCATATGTACTTTGGAGATATAGCATTAGCTATATTCCTAATTGCCCACTGAGATGCCTTGGAGGCAGCAACAGGTCAACAGTACTGGATATACATAATACTTACATCATGGTTTCTGAATATGGTTCTCCAACAAAGGGAAGGAATAACACAATTAAAAATGAGCAAAAGAAGTCCAGGAAGGGTGGCTCACACCTGTAATCCCAGTATTTTGGGAGACTGAGCCAGGCAGACCACCTGAGGTCAGGAATTCAAGACCAGCCTGGCCAACATGGTGAAACCCCGTCTCTACTAAAATACAAAAATTAACCAGGCATGGTGGCAGGTGCCTGCAATCCCAACTACTGGGGAGGCTGAGGTAGGAGAATCACTTGAATCTGGGAAGTGGAGGTTGCAGTGAGCCGAGATCATGCCACTGCACTCCAGACTGGGCATTAAGCAAGACTCAGTCCAAAAAAAAAAAAAAAGCAAAATGAAAACAAATAGATGAAATATTTTAATAGATTATTTTACCAAGGAAATATATAAATGGCAGATAAGCACATAAAAATGCTCAACATTATTAGTGTTAAGGAGATGCAAAATTAAACCCACAAATGAGATACCACTATTTATTTATTAGAATAGTTAAATTTCATGTCCATAAGGATTTGGAAGAACTGGAACTCTCATACACTATTGGTATGAATGTCGAATGCTATAACCACTTTAGAAAACAACTAAGCTGTTTCTTTAAAAAAAAAAAAAATTAAACAAATATCTTGAATGAGATCCAGCTATTCCACTTCTAAGTATTTACCCAAGAGAAATTATAGCATATGCTCATGCAAAGACTTCTACATGAATGAACATAGAGGCTTTATCTCCTATTGCCAAATAATGGAAACAAACCACATGCTCATCAACAGCTGAATGATTAAATGAATGTGGTATACTTGCACAACAAAATGCCACTTAGAAATCTAAAGGATGAATCTATTGACATGTGCAATAACATGGATGAACCTCAAAATAATTAAGATGAGTGAGAGAAGCAAGAATAAACAAGCATGCATACTGTATGATTCCATTCATATGAAATTGTAGAAAGTACAACAAGCAGATTAGTGGTTACCTGAGGATGAGAGGTGGTGACACAGGGAGGGAATAGAGTCAGAAAATGGAAGGTAAATGTGGAAACTTTTAGGGGTAACACATTTTGGCAATTGTTTCACAGATATATACCTATATTAAAACTTATCAAATTATACATTTTATGTAAAGCAGTTTATTATGTGCCAATTTTGCACAACAAAGCTGTTTAAATTAGCAAAAAAAAAGAGACATCCTGTATGCACTCTAAAAGAATTTTAAGAGTTGAGTTTATATCTTCACACTATTAGCAAAAAATTAAAAAACAAAATAAATACACCAGAAATCAAAAAAGCCTAAAGTTCTTAAAATTTATTTAACAAAAATTTGTTAGACTTCCACATGAAAAACAACAAAACATTTACAGTAACTTAGAAGACCTAAACAAACAAAGAGATATATTAAAGATGTAATTCTCCCTAAATTCAGTGCAATGCCATCAACACTTCGCAATGCTGTGTTTGTTTGGTTGGTGTATTTGTTTTGGTTTTGATGGTAATTAACAAGGCAATTCTAAAATTCATAGGAAAATACAAAGAACATAGAATAGGGAAAGCAATGTAAACAAAAAGAATACATTTAGGAAGCCTCGTACCAGCTGATTACAAGACTTATTACAAAGTTATAGCAATGAAGACAAGGTGGTATAATATAAGGATAGAAATAAAGCTTAGTGGAACACAGTAGGGAGTTCCCAAACAGACTTACACTGAGGCCAATTTACTTTCAACAAATGTGCCAAGATAAATAAATGGGGATAGAAAGTCTTTTCAACATCTGATACTGAACAACTAAATAAATGTATGGAAAATAATGAACCTTAACATTTTCTTCACATCATTCTCAAATGTAATCTGAGAAGGATTGTAAGTCTACATGTAAAAATTGAAGTTGTAAACATTCTACTGTAAAATATTGTGAAATATATTTATGACTTTGGATTGACAAATATTTTGAGAACCAATTGAAAATAACCTTGTCATATAAGAAAAGAAATAATAAATAAAATCTTATCAAAAAAAGTATTAAAACCCAATAAATTATTGGTAATGCATACATCTGATAACTTATACTCAAAATATATGAAACAAAAACTCTTACAAGTCAACAATGTAACAACTAACCCCCAAATAAAAATGGTGAAAAGACTAAAACAGACATTTTAGAATAAAAAGTGTAAGAATTGAAAGACCTTAAAAAGATGTTTAACATCATTAGTATTCAAGAGGATTCAAATTCAAATTAAAATGCTTTACCCTTTCACATCTATTATAAAGAATAAAATTCAAAAAACTGACATCAGCAAATGTTGGTACAGATATAAAGTATCTTGAAATCTCAGAAATTACTTATGGGAGTATAATAAGATACAACTACTTTGGAAAACTGAACTTTCATATAAAGTTAAACATTATATACAGTCACCCTTAATACTGACATTTCCCTCTCAAATTTATTAAAAAGTAACGGAAGTATATTTCCAAAAAATCTCACACGCACACACACCCACACACACACACACAGAGAGAGAGAGAGAGAGAGAGAGAGACAGAATTTTGATAGTGGCTTATTTCACATAATAGCCAAAAAATGAAACAACCCATTCTACACTTGTCGATCAAGTGTAGAATGGGTAAGCAAATTGATTGTTCATACAATGGAATGCTACTTAACAATGGAAAAATAATGAGCAACTGTGTATTAAACAAGAGGAATGAGACCCCAAAGCATTATGATGAATGAAAGAAGCCAGGAAAAAAGTAGCTACTCTGATTTTATTTATAGAAGTCCAAATAAAGATACACTGATCTATAGGGATAGATAAGAGAGTAGTGGCTGTCCATAAGGAGGGGAATTGATTGAAGAAGTACACAAAGGAACTTTCAGGAGTGATTGAAATGTACTATATCTGGATTGGGTATTGATTACAGGGGGTATATATTTGTAAAACTCATTTGAATTATACACGAGATCTGTGCACCTTACTGTACAAACATTACCTTAATTGGAAAATAGGAATACAGAAGCAATATTCATAGATAAGTAATGGTCAAAAAGCAGATACAATTTAAATGACTGTCATAGGAGAATAAACAGAGTGAGTAAATTGTAATAAAATCATTCAATATATATTCATAAAAAATAAGAGTGAACAAATTGTATCTTCAAAGTACAATAACTAAATCTTAGAAATATAGAAAAATAGAAGATAGACATAAAATAAAACATGCACTATTATTCTATTTGTATTACATTTAAAAAAGGCAAAACTAATTCAGGATGTTAAAAATCAGCATTGTGATTACCCTTGAGCAGGACAGTAAATGGAACGAAAAACAAAAAAAGCTATTGGGGTTCTGGTTATATTCTGCTTTTTGAACCAGGTGATGACTGCATGGGTTTATTCTCTTGGTGAAAATTCAGTGAGATGTATAAACTAATAATCTGTATAATCTTCTGTATGTTTTTATCCTTCAAGATAAGTTTTGTCAAAAAAGAACAATTATAGTTTTTATTTAAACCATAATAGCAAATTAGTAAATAATCATATAAATTGCATAAAAATACCAGGTAAGATTAATCAAAGAATAAAAAATAGTTTAATATTTAAAAATATATTAATGTAAAACCACCTTAACATACGTTTGAGGAATAGTTATAAAATTATTTCAATATATGCATAAAAGTAATTCAATTTTCAACAATCTACAAGTCAACATTCATTCACAGTAACATTTATTGTTAGCAAAGTGGGAATAGAAGGAAAAGCCTAAATCTATTTAACTTTAAACTTTTGAAAAGTGTATTTATTAAAAATTTACAGCAAATAAGATACCAATTTAAGAAAAATTTAGAAATGATCCTATTAAAGTCAGACAGAGAAGACACCTATTATCTCTGCAGGGTGATGTTGAACTTGAAATGTTAGTCAAGAAAATAAGACAACAAAGAAAAATAAGACATATAAATGGGAAAGAAGAAATTACATTACTTTATGTGCAGATAATATAGTTATTTACATTAACAATCTGTTAGAACATATAAACTATTAGAACTAATAGTGTTAGGCAGGATTGCCATATATAAATGACATATAAAAATAACATCTCTATACACGAGCACAAAGAAAACAAAAGTGTAATAGCAAAAAATACATTCCATTTAAAATGGCAACCAAACTGTAACTATGAAGTTTTTAGAAACCAATCTAACCAGGTATAAACAAGATGTTCTTAGAGAAGATGACACAATTTGAGAAAAATAAAAGACTTGTATAAGTAAAGCAATATGCAATGTGTATGAATAGGAAGGCTCAATGTTATAAAGATGTCAATTAATCTACAAGTTCAATGCTATTCCCATTAAAACCCTGATAACATTTGCCCATGGAAATTGAAAAGTTGATTTTTGCATACATATGAAAAATTAAAGGCTAAAGAATTGAGAAGATAATTTTAAAGGTGAAGAATATATTACTGACAAGTATGCTATCAGATTTTTAATCCTATGCCAGTGAACAGTATGGCATTTGGTACAGTAAAAGGCAAGTAGATAAATGGATCCACACATGTATGGGAACTTGGTGTATGACAGAGAGATTATGTGAAATCAGTTAGCTCCATTTGTACTTTTCAATAGATTAAGTCCTATAGATTATGTTCCATTAAAAAATACATACAATAAGAATTGTACTGGGAGTAGGCATTCTTGTTACTCTGCCTGGATCTCTCAGGGTTGCTTTTGTCATTTCTGCACATTCCTTCTCAGTGTCGCTGTACTTTTCCAAAAGTCAGATTCTGTGCCTCTTTTAGGTGGACCAATTCAAGGCTCCCAAAGCTTGGAATTGCTTGGCTTTTTTAATTTTTTTATTTTATTTATTTATTTTTTGCTTCTCCTCAGCATCAGAGTCATAACTCCAGCTATTTCCCTTTTGAGAGGAAAAAAAAAAAGCCAGGTGCACTGCTCAAAGTTCTACCAACTGGGAGGATTACCCTTCACTACTGCCCTTCGGAATGTCCCCGAAAAAGGCACCATTTTCGAGTGCGCTTGCACATCATGCAGGGCCATCTGTAAATCAGGTCCGTGTATTCTCTTACTCTGTTAACTGTAGGGAACCATAGTTGTGAGACCATACTAACAGCATGGGAGAGAGAGAAAAGTGTAGCATAAGCTGAGGTCATAGGAGTTTGTGCCACTTCCTCACATAACTGAATTGTTGCCTCAGGGCCTGCTGGAGTACTCATGCAGTGCTGCTGTGCACACCCAACTTTAAAGCTTAGTGGCTTAGACAACCCAGTTCATGTTGGGCAGCTCAGGTTATCTGGTAACTTGATGGCTCGTGGCTAAGTGTCCAGTAGCTCAGTAGCAAGCCAAAAGCGCTATCAGAAGAAAAGCAGTTATCCACTCAGACAGGATAACTATCCAAGGATGGAAGGCTTTTCTCCAAAATCTGAAGGGTCTGCACTTTGATTTATTGGTGGGGGCCTGACAAAGGCTCCAAACAGCATCTTTAACTGCCCCTGATGCTTTCAGCACTATTTAGTCTTCTGGATCATACGGCCGCAGTAGAAACTATCTATCTCTGTCTTATATCACATTTCCATAGGGCCCCATTCAAAACTAGCAGGTTTTTTGGTGCATTTGTAGATGGGCCATGGCAGCACACTCCAATGAGGAATATGTTGCCTCCAAAATCCAAAATAGTTCACCAGATGTTGTATAGTTTTTTGGTTGTAGGAGAGGCCAGAAGCAACAACTTATCCTTCAACATAGAACAAATATCTTGACATATCCCAAACCACTGTATCCTCAGAAATTTCACTGTGATGGAAGGCCCCTAGGTTTTTATGGCATTTATTCTCCACCTTCTGACAGGTAAGTAAATAAATATCTTACCAATATGTCTAGACTACCTGCTACTGCTCACCAGGTTCAATCAGCATGTCATCATCAACATGATGGGTCGGCACAATGTCTTGTGGAAGGGAAAAGCCATCAAGCTCCCTGTGGACCGAATGTTGATAGAGTCTGAAGAGTTAGTACACCCTGACTGCAGAAAAGAGGAAAAATATAATTAAAATGGGAGACACTGGAACATGAAGGTGGACAATGTTAATGTTCATGGTTGGGTAGAAAAAGTAAGGTTGGAATATTAGAGGAGAAAGAAAATGAGAAATTAAGGACATAGAAAAAAAGTCTAACAGAATGCTACTTTACAAAAGGTAGGAGGATCAAAAAATCAAGTGAGATGTGTGTATAACACTAAATGCCACAGGTAAAGCTGGGATCGTGGGAACTAGAAGGGCGGATGAGTAAAGAATTGAAAGAGGTATCGTCACTGGTAGAACAAAGTCTCATAGAAGATAGAAGATAGGGGTTTGTTGTCACATGAACCTACACAAATTTTTAATGTTAAGTAGTCATGGTGTTCATTCCTAAACCTCTTTCTCATTCTCTGTTGATTTTTAATAGTTACTTTTTAAAATTTTAACTGAATATATACAGTATCTTCTTGAATATTTACAAAAGCATTAGTTAGATTTTATTAAATGTTCTTATGTTCCCTCAACTTTCTTTATTTCCTCTTAATTTGTGTATCTTGTTATCTTACTGATAATTTTTCACATCTATATATTTCTGTGGTTCTATTTTTTTAAAAATAAAACTTCAAGAAATAGTTTGAGACAATATTTAATATTTAACCATGCATATATAATTTATATATCCTTCATTATAGAAATAGTTCTGAAATTAAATGTCAGCACTATCAACTAGAAAATATTTTTGTTACCCAACAACTGAAGGCTTGTGCTATAGGGAAACAAAATTATCTCAGCTCTTAAGAATATTACAAGCCAGCTGGAAAAAAAATTATATAATACATTTACAAATACTAGTGACCCAAACAACATTCTTAATTGTTAGTTTCTCCTCCCAAACCATTTTTTATCTCAAACCATTATCTCTCAACCGATTTATTTGCAGGAACTTTGTCCTGCCTCCTTACCTCAATCATTATCCTTTGCATCCTGCTTAGTTATCAAATTAACCTTAATGTTGGACTCGAAATCATGTGGCTTCTCTGTTTCCATTTAATAGAACCCAACTTTACTAGACTTTCAAAATTCCAGAATTCTATTAACCAATATTTCTAGGATTGTAATTAATTGTTAAGAATGACAGTAGCCAGAGAGATTTATTTTCTCCTCAAATTACCAAGGCAGTTTTCATCCATATATAGAAAGTAGCCAAATTAAGTAATTTTTGGCTCATACACTACTAAAGTGTTTTCCTGGGTTGTGTTTCCAGAAAACCACCTGTACTATATATAAATAAATATAATCTGAAAAGAAAGTGAGGAGAAATTTAGTGATCAAATAAATATAGTGACTTCCACAACCTTAAAAAGGCTAATGTACATTGGAAAATGCGGTGGATTGTTCAGATAGCATTTCCAAAATTTATAAGACAAGGAAAATTTTTCTTGTAATTTTATCGCTTTGTGAATCGAGACAAGAGTGATATTCAAATCTTTTTGTTCTACTCCCTCTTAAAATTTTGATAAGTGCTGTACTTTCTTACACATTTAAAGTTTGCATCTAAAATGTTTCTACTTCAGTTTAATTAGTTGTATGGATATAACATCCAACCCTGTAAAAGTTGACATTTTTGTAATAAAACTGTTGTATTGCTTCTTAAAATGCATCCAATAGACTCTAAACACTATAACAATTTGCTATTCATAACTATTCATTTAAAATAAATGTGAATAAGCTCTTCTTTAATACTTAGAAATTGTATATATTTTTATCTTTTTGAACTTGTATTTTTGTTCTACTTGCTACACAGCATTTTAGCCTAAAGTAATGTGTCATGCATAAAACTCTTTTATCTTAATACATAATGAATGAGTTAACTTGCCTTTCAGAAACCTGCAATATAAGTCCTGCAAGGCCTGCCATGGCTCATGCAAAGCAAGATCACCACTTCAGCCTGCTGCCTCTTGGGCTGCAATCTCTACTACTTGCATGAGACCATTGAGACTGAACCCTCACACAACAAGTTAAACGAAGCAGCTTTATCACTCCCAGGTAGGCAGCAAAAGACAGCAGAAGCCTAGGATTCATGGAGAACCTGTTCTCCATGGCTCTGGAAACTGCCCAGGATGGATGGAGTCTTGTCTGCCTCTGCCCCCACCTGCACCACAGCTGAGGGACGCTGAAAAGCAGCCCGCCCTGGGTTTTATACCCTGAGGAAAAGATGACCACTGGGCTAAAGTGTTGCAGTATGTTCTGTTTCTACAGTGACAAGAGCAGGGCCTGGGCTGTTCCAGTCAGTCACTCTCTATCTCAGAACATTACAATATCAGCACATTCTGCAGTTATCCTTGAGAATTACAAGTGAGAAAGGGTGGAAAACTTGGTTGGTCCAAGGCCACCCAGAAAACTGTCCGAAAGCTCCCCATTTCCTAATGAAGAAAATAAAAATTTCTTGGTATAAATTTAAAGATTCTGTGATTGCCAATAAACTTTTCCATCCCTGTTTCATGATAGTAACTTTTCTTTTTTCTACACACTAGCACAAGTGAAATTCTCATGGTTCCTATCCTTGAGCTTCTTCAGGTACCTGTCTATAGGACCCTGTCTATTTTTCCAGAATGCCTGTTTGCATTTCTTTACTAATTCCCCTTTATTTCTGACTACTAAAATTCTGTGTACCTTCAAATCTCCACTTTGCACTTGTATGACTGTTCTCATACAATCATGAAAACTTCCTTTTTCTTTCCTCGAAAGGTAGTACTGTCTTGGTCCCAGTTACAAAACTTCTCTGAGAGCTGTCTCATGACACATGACATCACATTATTCTTCTTAGCTTAGCTATTTATATATTTGTCTTGCCTGTCCTACCTGAACACCAAGATTCTTGAAGCCTTAACACTTATTCCCGACCTTTTAAATCTGTCACAATAAGAGCATATTTATTTTTTAATTCAATCAGTAAACCTTTATTAATACATGGGCAAATAAGGTACTGACCTTGAACTCCCAATCAATAAAGGGCATTTTATCAGTTAGGTGTTGCCACAGTAATTCCGATTCAATAAATACAATCTCAAACTATCAAAAAATTACTACACATACATTTACTTTTTTCTCTCCTCAGTGTGTGAATTAGTTGGAGTTTAGCTAGTTTGGGCTGGATTCAGCCATGCTTGTCTCTGGACTGCAGGTCAGGCTAGAGTAGGCTTGACGTGTCTAGTTCTGAGAACTGGGATGAAGGCACAGCAGCTACACAGCTGACAGGGTATGTCAGCTCATGGTTAGGACAGAGCACAAGAGGACAGGCCCCACCACACAGCACATTTCAAGATGCCAATTATGTCAAATCTTGTTAACATCCTATTGGAAAAAGCAAGTCACGTGGGCTAAGGGCTGGGAAACACACAGCACCCATTGTGGGAAGGCTATAAATGTACATTACTACAAGAGAGGAAAGAATTAACATCAAGAATTCAATCTGCCATGACCATATAATTATTTGAATGAGAAGAGATTTATGAACGTTATGAAAAAGAAAATATCTTGTACTAGAAAAAATGTTGTTGTTATTGTTTTCCACAGAGGAGATGACATTATTGCTGACATTTAGGGTGAACTGTTTTCCAGGTACTGTGGGCAGAGAAGCACAGTAAAATAGCAGAGGCTACTGCTTACAGGCACAGAGCAGAGCATTGGGATGAGACAGTTGGAGAGATGCTTAGTGTCACGGGCTGGATGGTACAGCATCTGTGAGACAAGATGGAGACAGAGGTACCCAGTGTTCTGAATTTGATGCTCATCCCGTTCCTTGACAAGACATTTGACTTTTGTAGACAATAGGTTACCAAGGTTTATTTGGCTTTACTGTTAATGTTTTCTAAAAATTGACCTGCTAACCTGTATTATTCATTTAATACGTGTTTTTAAATAAGGGAATGAATAAATGGATAGTCACTTCCCTCCCTCCCTCCTTTCTACATTCTTTTAACAGGCAGATCCCTGAAAAAGGCTATGATGTCTTAGAGGGTTACGGAAATGCAGTAAAGTTACAAATTATTTGTACATAGAGGTGGAGGCAAATAATAATATAGAGAAAAAAGAAACACTCACTGAAGCAACAGAAGCAGACTTGGCTCAGCCTGGCTCGTGGCCTCCGACTGTGCCCTAGAGGAGCTATTTGCTCGAGACCTACTCCAGGTTGGCCTGGCATGAACACGTGACTCTCATCTTCAGTTAGCGTGGCTCAGCGTCCAGATCAGCGTCTGCGGACACCCCTCACCACAGTGGCTGCCCTGGAGCTCTGAGAGCCAGGCTTGTGAAAATGGAACAGAAAAGGCCACTGGCTTCAGCTTGGTCCTCTGCCGCCACCTGTGTGCTGGAAGCAGCCACCGCACCGGACTGGAAAGCGCCTTGCTCTAGGGCCCTGGATGCAAGGTCTGAGGCAGCCCTTGAGGAATATGGGAGAGGGAAAGAAACTAGGGGAGCAGAGCCTTAGAAAGGCAGGCTCCTTATCGCCCCGTCCTGCAGAACTTTCCTCTGTGAATAAATTCAGAGATCCTCTGATACAGTGAAGGGAAGAAGAAACACTAACACCAGCCCAGAGCTTCTGGCCCAGAAACACAGCACTGGGTTGTGGATTAATCCACACTGTAAAGAAACTTTGAGATTGTTCAGCTAGTTCCATCAGAGCAGAAAGGGCATTTTAGAAATGAAAGACTTGGAACCAACCCAAATGTCCAACAACGATAGACTGGATTAAGAAAATGTGGCACATATACACCATGGAATACTATGCAGCCATAAAAATGATGAGTTCATGTCCTTTGTAGGGACATGGATGAAATTGGAAATCATCATTCTCAGTAAACTATCGCAAGAACAAAAAACCAAACACGGCATATTCTCACTCATAGGTGGGAATTGAACAATGAGATCACATGGACACAGGAAGGGGAATATCACACTCTGGGGACTGTGGTGGGGTGGGGGGAGGGGGGAGGGATAGCATTGGGAGATATACCTAATGCTAGATGACGAGTTAGTGGGTGCAGCGCACCAGCATGGCACATGTATACATATGTAACTAACCTGCACAATGTGCACATGTACCCTAAAACTTAAAGTATAATAAAAAAAAAAAAAAGAAATGAAAGTGCAGATTCTCCTCTGCCTTACTGATTCTAAATGTATTTCTGTGGCATATGCAAAATGGACAAGAAGTTCTATTTAACAGAAAATGGAAACTGAGTCACAGAGAGGGTAAATAACATGGAAATATCAAATCATCTTGATCTGGCAACTGTGGAATAAAACTAAAGTCTTCTGAGAAATTTTTAGCTTCTAAATTATATTTATAACTGTTTCCAATATATTGGGCCAGTTCTACCTTGTAAAATAAACATCTATAATAACCACAACTGTTAATGAAATTACTCTTTCAGGTAAGTTCTAATTCCAAATATTCTTTTTTGGTTATTGTGCCATGTCAGACAGTATGACCTCATATGATTTTGAGGTCAGAGGCACATATTAATTTTGCTAAATTAGTAATTCCATCTTGTTTGTAGAATTTGGAATCTTTATGTAATGCAGATTGCCAGGAGCTTAGATGGAGAATAAACCTCTTCACATAATCCAGGGCAGATCAAGTGACCCTGTGCTCAGAGGGTTTCAGGGGACCTAGGAAAGATTCCTAAATTACAAACACCTTACTTCCAGCAGAACAGCTCTCCTTCCATAATAAGTGGAAGTGCAGCAGCATATACCCAAGCAATACTATTGGTTTCAAATTATATTCTAATGTATATTTCTGATAATGCATTTTTTGTTTATTTTGTCTGATTTTTCTAGGGATTGAGTTTCATTACATCACCAGAGAAAAATTAAAAAGTGACATAGAAGAGCCACAGACTGACAAGCCTCAGAGTGCCTGTGGGAACATGGCAACTAGCCACAAGCTGGAAAGTCTGCCGCATTCTGAAGGGCTGCACTCACCTGCATGGGAGTCACTTGGCCATGCTCTGGCCATATGCAATCATGCCCAAATTAGTGCTATAGAAATTGAATTAATGCAATACAGTTTTAAAAAATGTGTTGTTCATTGTAATGGTCAGTCAATCAGCCTGGACCACACTTCAGTCAACCTCCACCATAGTTCAGATGCTATCAACTACTTACCACATGGCTTGAGGCAATTCACTTAGCCTCAAAGACTGTTTCCTCATTTGTTAAAATAAGGCTATTAGGAGTCATTTGTTAAGTCATAAGGTTTTTGCATGAGAACTGAATTGTCTTACAATGTCTGCCTGGCCCAAAATAAAAAGTCAATAAATATAAACTTTTTTTAATATTAGATAAAAATTTTGTATAAAAAGCAAAAGATGCTGAGGAAATTTAGGAATGATTCCCCCTATAATGGAAGCAGGGTAAATATTCATAAAAATTCCTCAGTGAAAATAAGGCTAAGGTAAGGAATACACTAGAAGAACAAGGAAATTCCATTGAGTTAGCAAGGCATCAATACTGTGTATGTTTTGGTAGCAAGTTACTAAGCATACTTTGCTGCTTGCAGTTTGAGTGATCTGGGTGTAGTCCCTTAACCTCTCTGAGATTTGGTTTATTTATTTGTCAAAGGTTTATATTCCTATCTTTCAGATCTCATAGAATTTTTGTATCATAATAAATAGAACAAGTGAAAACATCTTATAAACTATCAAATGTATTACAAATTGAAATTTTCTTATGAGAAAAGAAAAGAAACGAGACAGATCTTAATATCTACTCAGAGAAGACGAACTTCCAGATAACCTTTTAGGAAAAGAAGGCTTTCAAATGGCAATGGAGAAGACAGAAAGGAGCTGGGATGTTCACAACCCATAACGCCGTGGTTCTCAGTAGATGTGAGAGTGTGCAGAAAATTAGCCTCCCAAGGGACTTTTGGTAATGTTGGAGATATTTTTGGTTGTCACAACTGGTGGGAATTACTAACTGGCACCTATACGGTGGATCCCAGGAATGCCATTAAATGTGTTCCAATGCACAGAAATGCACCCAAAACAAATATTTACCCAGCCAAAAATATTAATAGTTCTGAGGGTGTCAAACCCTGCTCTGTCAGATGAGTAGTTTGCATAGCAGATATGGAGATTTAGTCCAAAAACATCGGTGGATTATGAATGCTGGATGAGCAGTGGGGTCTGTAATGGTTAATTTTGTTTGTCAACATGAGCGGAATAAAAAATATCTAGAAAACTCGCAAGGCATTATTTTGTGAGGGTCTTTCCAGAGGAGATTGGCATTTTAGTCAGTGGAATTAGTAAGGAAAACCTGCCCTCAAGGTACATGAGCACCATCCAGTTGGCTGAGGGACTGGATAGAACAAAAAATAGAGGAAAATATTTTTTTCTTTCTTTCTAGTTTGGAGCTGGAACATACTCTTCTTCTCCTCTTGAACATTGCAAGTCCAGCCTTTGGACTCCAGGACTTACAAAAAGATGCCCCACCCTGGGTTTCTCAGGCCTTCGATCTCAAACTGAGAATGACAGTAATATGGTTTGGCTCTGTGTCTCCACCTAAATCTCATCTTGAATTGTACTCCTGTAATTCCCACATGTTGTGGGAAGGAACCAGTGGAAGATAATTGAATCAGGGGCAGGTCTTTCCTGTGCTGTTCTTGTGACAGTGAGTAAGTCTCACAAGACCTGAAGGCTTCATAAGGCATACTTTTCCTGCACAAGCTCTTTCTGCCTGCCACCATCCATGTAAGATGTGACTTGCTCCTTCTTGCCTTCTGCCATGATTGTGAGGCTTCCCCAGTCACGTGGGACAGTAAGTCCAATTAAACCTCTTTCTTTTGTGAATTGCCAAGTCTTGTGTATGTCTTTATCAGCAGTGTAAAAATGAATTAATACAGTAAATTTGTACCAGTAGAGTGGGGCACTGCTGTAAAGATACCTAAAAATGTGGAAGCAACTTTGGAACTGGGTAACAGGCAGAGGTTGGAACAGTTTGGAGTGCTCAGAAGAAGATAGGAAAATGTGGGAAAGTTTGGAACTTCCTAGAGACTTTTTGAATGGCTTTGCCCAAAATGCTGAAAGTGATACAGACAATAAAGTCTGGGCTGAGGTGGTCTCAAATGGAGATGAGGAACTTGTTGGGAACTGAAGTAAAGGTGACTCTTGCTATGTTTTTGCAAAGAGACTGGCTGCATTTTGCCCCTGCCCTAGAGATTTTTGAAACTTTGAACTTGAGAGAGATGATTTAGGGTATCTGGTGGAAGAAATTTCTAAGCAGCAAAGCATTCAAGAGGTGACTTGGGTGCTGTTAAAGGCATTCAGTTTTATAAGGGAAGAAGAGCATAAAAGTTTGGAAAATTTGCAGCCTGACAATGCAATAGAAAAGAAAATCTCATTTTCTGAGGAGAAATTCAAGCCAGCTGCAGAAATTGCATAAGTAATGAGGAGCCGAATACTAATCTCCAAGACAATGGGGAAAAATGTCTCCAAGGTATATCAGAGTCTTCAGGGCAGCCCCGCCCATCATAGGCCCAGAGGCATAAGAGGAAAAGGTAATTTTTTGGGCTGGGCCCAGGGTCCCCATGCTGTGTGCAGCCTAGACTTGGAACCCTGCGTCCCAGCCACTCCAGGTGTGGCTGAAAGGGGTCAACACAGAGCTTGGGCAGTGGCTTCAGAGGGTGCAGGCCCCAAGCTTTGGCAGCTGCCACATGGTGTTGAGCCTGCAAGTGCACAGAAGTCAAGAACTGGGGTTTGGGAACCTCTACCCAGATTTCAGAGGATGTACGGAAATACCTGGATGCCCAGGTAGATGTTTGTTGCAGGGGTGGGACTGTCATGGAGAACCTCTGCAAGGGCAGTGTTGAAGGGAAATGTGGGGTCAGAGCCCCCACACAGAGTCTCTACTGGGGCACCACCTAGTGGAACTGTGAGAAGACAGCCACCATCCTCCAGACCCTAGAACAGTAGATCCACTAACAGCTTGCAACATACACCTGGAAAAGCCACAGACACTCAACGCCAGCCCATGAAAGCAGCCAGAAGCAGGGCTATATCCTGCAAAGCTACAGGGGCAGAACTACCCAAGACTGTGAGAGCCCACCTCTTGCATCAGTGTGACCTGAAGGTGAGACCTGGAGTCAAAGGAGATCATTTTGGACCTTTAAGATTTGACTGCCCTGCTGGATTTTGGGTTTGCATGGGGCCTGTAGCCCCTTTGTTTTGGCTAATTTCTCTCATTTGAAATGGCTGTCTTTACCCAATACCTGTAACCCACATCGTATCTAGGAAGTAACTAGCTTGCTGTTGATTTTACAGGCTTATAGGTGGAAGGGACTTGCTTTGTCTCAGATAAGACTTTGGACTATGGACTTTTGGGTTAATACTGAACTGAGTTAAGACTTTGGGGGACTGTTGGGAAGGTATGATTGGTTTTGAAATGTGAGGACATCAGATTTGGAGGGGCCGGGGCGAATGATATGGTTTGGCTGTGTCCCCACCCAAATCTCATCTTGAAAACTACTCCAGTAATTCCCATGTGTTGTGGGAGGGACCTGGTGGGAAATAATTGAATCATGGGGGCAGGTCCTTCCCGTGCTGTTCTTATGATAATGAATAAGTCTCATGCGATCTGATGGCTTTATAAGGCGAAGTTTTTCTGCACAATCTCTCTTTGCCTGCTGCCATCCACATAAGATGTGACTTGCTCCTCCTTGACTTCCACCATGATTGTGAGGTTTCCCCAGCCACATGGAACTGTGAATCCAATTAAACATCTTTCTTTTGTAAATTGCTGAGTCTTGGGTAAGTCTTTATCAGCAGCATGAAAACAGACTAATACAGACAGCAACTGCTTCCCTAGTTCTGAGGTCTTAGGACTTGAACTGAGCCACATAACCACCATCCCAGGATCTTCAGATTGCAGATAATCCGTAGCGGGACCTCTAAGCCCTCAAAATCATATGATCCAACTTCCCCAATAGAATATATATACACACACATGCGCATATATATATAATTATATATATATATAAAATTTCAACTTCAAGCATCAACTTATACACTGATTTTTCTTTCCCTCATCCTCTCCTAATACAGCAAAAGCAACCCCTCCTCTTCCTCACCCTACTTAAAGTGAAAACAAGATGAAGACATTTATGACGTACCACTTCCACTTAATAAATATTAAGCATATTTTCTTTTCCTTATAGTTATATTTAAAAAATTCCCCTAGTTTATTTTATTGTAAAAATAGAGTATATAATAACATACAGAATATATGTTAATCAATTTATTATGTTATCAATAATACTTCTGTATCTGGAATTGGTGGGTTCTTGGTCTCACTGACCTCAAGAACGAAGCCGCGGACCCTCGCAGTAAGTGTTACAGTTCTTAAAGATGGTGGGTCCGGAGTTTGTTCCTTCTGATGTTCGGACGTGTTCAGACTTTCTTCCTTCTGGTGGATTCGTGGTCTCGCTGGCTTCAGGAGTGACGCTGCAAACCTTCGTGGTGAGTGTTACAGCTCTTAAGGCAGCACGTCTGGAGTTCTTCATTCCTCCCATCTTGAGTTGTTTATTCCACCCGGTGGGTTCGTGGTCTCGCTGGCCTCCTGGTGGGTTCGTGGTCTCACTGGCCTCAGGAGTGAAACTGCAGACCTTCACAGTGAGTGTCACAGCTCATAAAGGCAGTTCCATCCCAAAGAGTAAACAACACAAGCTTTATTGCAAAGAGCGAAAGAACTAAGCTTCCACAGTGTGGAAGAGGACCTGAGTGGGTTGCCACTGCTAGCGTGGGCAGCCTGCTTTTATTCCCTTATCTGGCCCCACCCACATCCTGCTGATTGGTCCATTTTACAGAGAGCTGATTGGTCCGTTTTACAGAGAGCCGATGGGTCTGTTTTGACAGGGTGCTGATTGGTGGGTTTACAATCCCTGAGCTACACACAAAAGTTCTCCAAGTCCCCACTAGATTAGCTAGACACAGAGCACTGATTGGTGCATTTAAGAACCTTGAGCTAGACACAGGATGCTGACTGGTGTGTTTACAAACCTTGAGCTAGACACAGAGTGCTGATTGGAGGGTTTACAAACCTTGAGCTAGGCACAGGGTGCTGATTGGTGTGTATACAATCCTCAAGCTAGACATAAAAGTTCTCCAAGTCCCCACCCAACTCAGGAGCCCAGCTGGTTTAGCCTAGTGGAGCCTGCGTGCCAGGGCCGTGGGTGAAGCTGCCAGCCAGTCCCGTGCCACGTGCCTGCACTTCTCAGCCTTTGGGTGGTGGGTGGGACCTGGCACCCCCAGAGCAGGGGGCGGCGCCGGTTGGGGAGGCTCAGGCGGCACGGGAGCCCACCACAGGGAGGCAGATGGGGGCTTGGGCATGGAGGGCTGCATGCAGGTCCCGAGCCCTGCTCTGAGGGGAGGCAGCTGAGGTCCTGCCAGAATTCGAGCACCACGAGGGCGGGCCGGCAGTGCTGTGGGACCTGGCACACCCTCTGCAGCTGCTGGCCCGGGTGCTAAGCTCCTCACTGCCCCTGACTGGTGGCGCCGGCTGGCGGCTCCAGGGCCCTCCAAGCTGGCGGCCACCTGGAACTCACGCTGGCCAAGGCGCTCACAGCCCCAGTTCCTGCCCACGCCTCTCCCTCCACACCTCCCCGCAAGCAGAGGGAGCCAGCTCCGGCCTCGACCAGCCCAGAGAGGGGTTCCTACAGTGCAGTGGCGGCCTGAAGGGCTCCTCAAGCATGGCCAGGAGTAGGCGCCGAGAGCGATTGAGGGCTGCTAACACGCCATCACCTCTCACTTCCTCTTAACAGTAGGCTGTTATGATTAAGTTTTGCAGGAGTCAAAACATGTATACGAATTTTACTGAGCAGCACTCCTAACCTTCATGTTGCTTAAAGGCAAACCATATATCCTGTTGGTTCTGTTTCTCTGGAGAATCTTGAACTAATACAGGAACTTTTATATACAATGAGAAACTAAAATTTACTTGTCAAGAAGTGATGAATTGTGCTTAGTGAAGAAAGACAATCACTCTCGATATAATCCTGTGGCTATAAATTAGCAAGTAGATATATGCAATTATTTATTGTAGACTAAAGATAAATAAGATACTAAATAGATTAGAATTGAGTCACTCTGTTTCTATATTGTTGTGTTTTGAGGAGTGAGTCTCAATAGTCTTTCTCATCAACACCATTTCCAGTGAGACTTCACTATCCATTGAGGGTAGGACACGTGGGGGATTGAAGTTATTTATCCCCTTGGGCTAGTCATGGCCCTGTGATTTGCTTTTTATCCAATGAAATGAGATCAGAGTGGGGCGTGCCAGTTGTGAAGAAAAGTCTTTAGGAACTGTTATGCAATACACCATGCTCGGTTTCTTCTCTTGCCATGTGATACAAGCTATTTTTTCAGATGTTGCAAATATAAGATGGTGGCGCTTCCTGACTGGTACATGAGAATGCCTGACTCTATCTTAGCTGAGCATTGCCATGGAAAATTCAGGTGTTTAGGACTCAGATATATATTGGCTTGTGTTACCCAGATAATTAATGAGCAGAAGTATAAAGATGTACAATTCTTTCGCATGAAGAAGATAAATTCCAAAGAGGTTAGAGGACTCAACCTTGCTTGGTCTATAAGTGTTGACTCTTACATTGCATTCAAGCTCCAATGCAGTTTTCATGATACTACAGTGTCTTGATAGCTTCACAGAATTGTCTGTGTTACTCTAGTACATATTTCACCTTAGATTTATTTTTATTCAGCATCATTTACACATGTTTATTTAGCTTCATTTCACTGTGCACTCAAAGAGTGAAAAGACGAGGACCTGCATGTTTTTCCATTCTGTGTTTTTGTTAGTAGTATCATTATTACATTATTTTGTTTTGAGATAACTGTAGATTCACCTGTTCTTATAAGAAATAACACAGAGAGATCCCAGGTTCCTTATAAGCAAGTTACCAGTGATAACATCATGTATAATGTAGTATTAATGTCATAATTAGGATATCAATGTTGATGCAGTCTCAACAGAATTGTCCCATAACCAAAAGAATCCTTCACGTAGCCCTATTATAGCCATGCCAACTTTCCTTCCTGACCCACACTCTCCTAAACTCCTGGCAACCACTACTCTGTTTTCCATTCATACAATTTTGTAATTTTGAGAATGTTATATAAATGGAATCATACAAATATACATTTTGGTATTGGATTCTTCTTCCACTCAGCATAATTCCCTGTAGACTTATTCAAGTTGTTGAATTTATTAATAGTTTATTCATTTTGGTTTCTGAATATTATTTGATGGTATGCATGTATTGCAGTTTGTTTCAACATTCACTCTTTGAAGAACATCTGTGTTGTTTCAAGTTTTGGGTTATTATAAATAAAGCTGCTATGAGCATTTATGTTCAGATTTTTATCTAAACAGAAAACTTAAGTTTTCAATTCTCTGAAAATGCCTGAGTGTAATTGTTATATCATGTGTTGATTACATAATTAGTTTTACAAGAAACTGCCAAACTGTTTTCCTGGGAGACTGTATCATTTTACATTGCCACCAACAACGTATGAGTGATGCAGTTTCTATATATATTCTTGCCAGTATTTGGTGTTGTCTCTATTTTTTATTTTAACCAACGTGATGTGAGTATATTGACATCTCAAGGTGGTTGCATTTTAAATTTCCCTAATGACCAATGACCAATCATGTTGTACAACTTTTCATGTAGCTACATGCCAATGGTATAATCTTTTCAAAAAAATATTTGCTCATATCTTTTCATCATTTTCTAATAGAACTTGGTTTTCTAGTAAAATACTGAGTTGTGAGTTTTTTATATCTTCTAAAGTTTAATACTTTGTCAAATATGGGTATTGCATTTTTTTCTTGTCTGTACTTGTCTTTTCATTCTCTTGTCAAATTCTTTCACAGACCAAAGGTTTTAAAATTTGATGAGATTTATCAATTTTATTGTCTCTGCTTTTGCCGTTAATTCTAAGAAATATTTTTCTAGTAGTAGATTCTGAATACTTTCTCTCAATATCTGTAAAAGTGTTATAGTTTCCCGTTTTACATATAAGTCCATGATCTAACTTGAGTTATTTTTGTTTAAGATGTGAAGTTTAGATCAAGGCTGATTTCTTGAAAAGGTGATAGTTTGTCCACTGAATTATTTATGCACCTTTGTCAAAAAGAAGTTGTTCTAAATAATTAGTGGTGATGACTGCATACTCTGAATATACTGAAAACACCTAATTATATACCTAAAAGGCTAAATTTTATGGTATGTAAGTTATTTATCAATAAAGCTGTTATAAAAAGTTCATATAAAATCACGTGTGCAAATTGCTGTGAGTCTATTTCTGAGTTTTCTATTCCATTATATTGATCAATGTGTCTTTGCTTTTGCTAGTACTACTCTCCCTTGATGACTGTGGCTATATAGTAAGGCTTAATTTCAGCTAGAGTGATTTCTCTCATTTTATTTTCCTTTTCAAGATTGCCTAACCATTACAGGGCCTGTGTCTTTCATACAAACTGTAGAATAAGCTTGTTCATGTCTCCAAAGAAGCTTGCTGGTATTTTGATAGCAATTGCACTAAACCTGTAGATCAACTGGGGGAGAATTACCATATTTACTATGCTAAGTTTTCCTGTGTGTCAACACAATGTATCTCTCCATTTATTTATTTTTGTTTATTTATTTATGTATTTATTTGTAATTTTTTATTTCAATAGGTTTTGGGAATCAGGTGATACTTGATTACATGAGGAAGTTATTTAGTGGTGACTTGTTAGATTTTGAGCACCCATCTCCTGAGCAGTATGCACTGAACCTAATTTGTAGTCTTTTATCCCTCACCCCCCTCCCACCCTTTCCCACAATTCCCCAAAGTCCACCGTATCATTCTTAAGCTTTTGCATCCTCATAGCTTAGCTCCCACTTATAAGTGAGAACATATGATATTTGGTTTTCCATTCCTGAATTACTTCACTTAGAATGGTAGTCTCCAGTTCCGTACAGGTTGCTGCGAATGCCATTAATTTGTTCCTTTTTTGGCTGAGTAGTATTCCAGTGATAACATCATGTATAATGTAGTATTCCAGTGATAACATATATATATATACACACACACATATATATATATGATGGATATATATATATATATCTCACTGTTTCTTTATACCTTCATTGATTGATGGGCATTTGGGCCGGTTGCATACTTTTGCAATTGTGAATTGTGCTGCTATAAACATGCCTGTGCAAGTATCTTTTTCATATAAAGACATCTTTTCCTCTTGGAAGAGACCCAGTAGTGGGATTGCTGGATCAAGTGGTAGTTCTACTTTTAGTTTAGTTCTTTAAGGAATCTCCACACTGTTTTCCATAGTTGTACTAGTTGTACTAGTTTACATTCCCATAAGCAGTGTAGAAGTGTTCCCTTTTCACCATATCCATGCCAAAATCTATTATTATTTTTATTTTTTTATTATGGCCTTTCTTGCAGCAGTAAGGCATTGTGGTTTTGATTTGCATTTCCCTGATCATTAGTGATGTTAAGCATTTGTTGATGTTTGTTGGCCATTTGTATTTTTTTTTGAGAATTGTCTATTCATGGTATTAGCCCACTTTTTGATGAGATTGTTTGTTTATTTGTTTACTTGCTAATTTGTGTGAGTTCCTTGTAGATTCTGGATATTAATCCTTTGTCAGATGTGTAGATTGTTAAGGTTTTCTCCCTCTCTGTGCCTTGTCTATTTGCTGACTGTTCCTTTTGCTGTGCAGAAGTGCAGTAGTTTAATTAAGTCTTATCTATTTATCTTTGTTTTTGTTGCATTTGCTTTTGGATTCTTGGTCATGAAGTTTTTGCCTAAGCCAATGTCTAGAAGCGTTCTTTCAGTGTTATCTTCTAGAATTGTTATAGTTTCAGGACTTAAATTTAAGTCCTTGATCCATCTTGAGTTGATTTTTGTATAAGGTGAGAGATGAGAATCCAGTTTCTTTCCCCTACATTACGTTTGGCTTGCCAATTATCCCAGCACCTTTTGTTGAATAGGGAGTCCTTTCCCCACTTTATGTTTTTGTTTGCTTTGTCAAAGCTCAATCGACTGTAAGTATTTAGGTTTATTTCTGGGTTTTGTATTCTGTTCCATTGGTCTATGTGCCTATTTTTATACCAGTACCATGCTGTTTTGGTGACTGTGGTCTTATATTATACTTTTAAGTCAGGTAATGTGATGCTCTCATATTTGTTTTTTGGTTAGTTTTTGTTTGTTTGTTTTTGCTTCAATCAGGCTCTTTTTTTTTGGTACCATATGAACTTTAGGATTGTTTTTTTCTAGTCTTGTGAAGAATGATGGTGGTATTTTGATGAGAATTGCATTGAGTTTGTAGGTTGCTTTTGGCAGTATCGTCATTTTCACAATATTGATTCTACCCATTCTTGAGCATGGGATGTGTATCCATTTGTTTGTGTCATCTATGATTTCTTTCAGCAGTGTTTTGCAGTTTTTGTTGTAGAGTTCTTTCACCTCCTTGGTTAGGTATATCCCTAAGTATTTTATTTTCTATTCCAGCTATTGTAAAAAGAGTTGAGTTCTTGATTTGAGTCTCAGCTTGATCGATGTTGGTGTATAGAAGAGCTACTGATTTGTGTTCATTAATTTGTACCCTGAAAGTTTGCTGAATTCATTTATCAGTTCCAGGAGCTTTTTGGAAGAGTCTTTAGTTTCTTCTAGGTATATGATCATGTTGTCAGCAAACAGCGACAGTTTGACTTCCTCTTTACCAATTTGGATGCCCTTTGTTTCTTTCTCCTGTCTGATTGTCCTCACTAGGACTTCCAGGACTATGTTGAATAGAAGTGGTAAGAGTGGGCATCCTTGTCTTGTTCCAGTTCTCAGAGGGAATGCTTTCAACTTTTTCACATTCAGTTTTATGCTGGCTGTGGGTTTGTCATAAATGGCTTGGATTGCTTTGAGGTATGTTCCTAGTATGCCAAGTTTGCTGAACGTTTTAATCATAAAGGGATGCTGGATTTTGCTAAATGCTTTTTCTGCGTCTATTGAGATGATTCTTATTTTTGTTTTTAAGTCTGTTTCTGTGGTGTATCACATGCATTGATCTTTTTTGATTTATTTATTCAGTATTTCATGATATTCAGTATACAGTTTATGAATATGTCTTTTTAGTTGGTATATCTCCATATTTCATTCACTTTAGAGCAATTGTAAATGGTACTGTGCTTTAATTTTGTTTTACATACTTCATTGCTAGTCTGTAGAAATGTGATTGACTGATCCTCCCTGCTGGTGCTGCCAGTCTCACCTATTGTTTTCACTTGGACTCTTTGACTTAGGAGAGAAATGAGCTCAGCTGATCCACCATCTGTTACTAGGTTGGGAATTGGAAAACACCGGACTTGGATCACCGTCTTCAATTGGGTGAGTCATAAGGTGGCCTTTCACTATGTTACTTTTCTAGTCCTGGGGTGGCAGACAAGTTTGTTTTCCTCTTCTGCCTTTTAGAGTTCTCCCTTGGTTGCCTCTTGCTTTATTTATAGTGTTCATTATTGTGTTTAGCTGGGAGGAACAAGGAGAGATGAATCTTCTCTGCCTTGTATAGATCAGACTAGAATTCATCCTGGGCTTTCTTTATAAAGATTGCTATTTATTCCCTACTGAGTATGATGTCTATATAGAATATAGGGGATGTCAATAAAGAGTACATTGTTTATGAGAAAGAATAATGGAATTCATATTCTTTCTCAATTCATGTCAAATATTGAGGTATTTGTGGTATGTTTTGTATTTTCTTCTAAAGTCTACCTAGGACTTTATATTTCTGTCCTGTATTAATTTAGTCTCCTATGCTGATGAAGAAATTAATCCATAGATGTAATGAAAAGCTGCTACCACTGAGCAGCATCAATACATGTCTGTTTTTCTTTGATGCCTCAATGCCGTTTTGAGAAATATGTTGACTGGAGAATAATCTTCAACCTCCACCTCTGCTTAGCAATTATATTCCCCAGGAAAATTTGGAAATAAAGCCATCTGAGACTAGAAAAGTCAATGTGCTCAGTAGCAAGACTCTTCTCCTGCTGCTGGGCCATGTATCTCTTCTTTCTTTCCTGCCTCTGAGGTGTCAGTCTCTGTACTGGGGGTTGACTGCTTCACTTGCTTTCCTTGTCACTAGGCTCTATTATTTTTGGTACATTTTCCCTTTGCTACCTCATTGCCCTAAACTGACACTGAGTGCATGTGGTTATGGTTTAATCAAGAATTATAGTATATGAAGTTTGTAAGAATTGCAGAAATTGCCTCAAGGCCACTGCTGTCATTTTTGCTAATCCTGAGTTTAACTGAAACTCCTCTGCTGTTTCCTCAAAACTTAATGTTTCATTTATACTTTCAAAGACACACATAAAAATCAATATTCTGTAGGTTGGTTAGAGGAGAGGGCAGCAGAGATGTATGAATTTCATGATATAATCATAGGCACCTGCATTTGGAAAATGTGGAGAAAATGCCTGTAGCCTTAAGTTTTGGAGACTTAGATCACTTCCTTCTAATTATTCCCTCTGAAATATGTTTAACACAAAATTGCTTCTTCTAACATTACTCATTTTGAATTGTCAATGTCATATCATTGTTGACTTTTTGAGAAATTATGGTAAGATTGGGTCCTTTGTGATATAAATGTTTATACAAACATATTTTGCCCCTTGTGCCTGGTAATATTGTTAGAACGTTATAGTTTCTCTTATATTCAGGTTACCTAGCCTAGCAATCTGATGACGATCTCACAGGTAAAGAAATCCTGGGAGACTTAGTCTGGTGATGCTCTGGTTAGACAATAAATGTTTGGAATTCAGTCTTGAAAGCTCTGTAGGATGTTGAAGTCCCTGCTCCTCTTCCTAAGTCTCGATTCCATACTTGTCTTCATCACACAAATTCATTTTGTTTATTACATGTTCCTTTTGATAATATAATACAGGCACAATTATCTAAAGTTAAGTATTTTACAATAACTTAGAAGTCAAGTTCTATCCAATAAACAATAAGAAAACTTATTTTAGTGACATGTGGCATCTGACATTTATTGTTGATGTGATGAAATCATTATAAATTCATGGGACCAGCCAGTGACAGTATCTCACACCTATAATCCCAAAGTTTTGGGAGGTCAAGTCAAGGAGAATCGCTTGAAGCCAGGTGTTTGAGACCAGCCTGAGCAACATAGCATGACTCCATTTCTACAAAAACAAAAAATTAGCCAGATGTTGTGGCAAATACCTGTAGTCCCAGCTACTCAGGAAGCTGAGGTGAGAGGATCACTTAAGCCCAGGAGCTTGAGACTACAGTGAGCTAGGATCACACCACTGAACTCCAACCTGTGCAACAGAGCAAGATCCTGGCTCCAAAAACAATATATATTGATGGTACAATTCTCTCTAATCGCAGGTAATGAGGGCTTAGAAATGTAACAAAAATTATTCCAGATCCTATATTTGTTAAAAAAAATTTCTTAGCAATACAGAAAAGTATGTTCAAGATTATTTAGTTTATTATCTGATTTCAGGTAGGACAATGGAGAATTGTATTAACGAATGTTTTAAAGATTTTACAAGGAACACACATCAGGCTTCATCAGCTCACATCAGTACACCTAAAGCAAGCTAGCTTTATAGTCTGTGCATTTATAAATCTGTGTCAGGAAGGTTGAGAGGTAAAGTATAGATGAGTATATGTATGTGCTTCTTCATGTATGTGACTAAGATTAACATCGGCATATAAATATAAAACAATTCTTCGCCACATTATATTTTCTCACAGACATATTATGTTAGAATTTTAATACATGATGGCCCATTGGATTGTCTATTTCAGACTTTTCATTTTACGAATAAGAGAACTGAGGCCCAAATGAGATAAATGACATTACTGAAGCCACAGTCTATTCAAATCTGAATTCGCTTAATAATTCACTTAATGTTCATTGGTCAATAAACAATCAACGAACTGCTTGGACTTTGGTCCCTTATTTGCAAAGCTGCTGTTATAGATCAGAATAGTGTTTCTTAGAAAAGAAAACAATATTAAATCCTTTTGGCATTCCTCTTTGGTAGTAATGTCCAAACTTCTTAGCATAGTATAAAATTCTGTCATGGTGTGCTATCTCCCACATCTCTCATTCTGCATTGGCTTTTTTCCCCTTATATTTTACATCTCATATCCGGATTTCTGAACCTTGACACTATTGATATTTTGGAGCATACAATTCCTGGTGTGAGGACATGGGGCTGCCCATGCACTGCAGGATGCTTAGCAGCATCTCTGTCTTCTATAGATTAAATACCAGTGGCCACCCTGGACCACCCCCAGTTACGACAATCAAAAATGTCTCCAGAGATTCCAAGTGCCCCTGGGGTCAAGTTAGCCACCACCCGCCCCCGCCACATACACACACACACACTTTTTGAAATATTGCTTTGCATAGGAATCTATGGAATATAATAATTTAAAACTTTTAGCAAGCCAAGAAATTGTCTTCCAGGATGCTTTTATTCATTCTGCTTCTGTATAGAGCACTTCGATGTCCTTGCCCACCTGAAATATAAAAACAACTTATATTTCAAGACTGATGCCAACTAATAACCTCCTTCCTGAAGTCTCTTTTTGTATCATTTTCTTAGGAAATGCCTACCTTTCCCTTTTTTGAAGCATCGGGTTACTTTACGTGAATGTGTAAAATAGAACCCTTGACAGTATTGTACTCATTAGTGAATGTGTGCATCTCACTTTTGAACTGTGAACCAATTAACAGACCATTCAAATTCATCAGAAAATCCCATGCAATGCCTTCTCTATAAGTTCAGATTTCAAGGGATATCCTCAGAATTAGTTAGTGAGTGCAGGAGTAAGTTAGTAGATTAATGGAATGAACCAGTGAGTGAACAATTGCTCTATGTAGCTCACTTAACATATGTAAAATTTAGGTTTCGTTAAACAAAATGTTTTTCACTAAATTACCAACTAAATAAAAATCGAATACCTTATGTAAAAATGAATCATGGAAGTAACTCTTGAGCCTGACTGGCAAAACAATATGCTTCTTTCACCCTGTGAAGGCCTAGTTCCGTCTATTCTACCCCAATTCTATCAGACATCAGATATGTTATATCTCTTACATTCTTACTTAAATACTGGTTAAAAAATTTTTGTGAAAGCCAAAATGTAACCGGTATAAGCAACATTTTCTCCAGGAGTTTGCTGGAAAAAAAATATGCATTTCAAGCTGTACAACACTCCACCTCTTAACCTGTACAAAAGATAATGAGGGACTCTCTATGTAATATAGCCATATTGATAATTACATCTTTCCCTTGCTTTGATTAACCTAATATAAATTTCATCCCAATAACCCTGGGGCAATTTTCAGTACTTCACTAAATGCTTAAAAATAACTACTAATAAAATCATTTTAAAAGGACTATGGAATTCTAGAACTGCCAGCATCTTAGAGCTCATTTAGACTGACACTGACATTGCTGATGAAGAAGCTGAAACCCCCCAAAATAAAAGGACTTGCTCACGTGGGGCCATCAGATAGTGGCAATCTCAAGACTCTAGTCAAAATCTGCAGTTTCAGCTTAGCAGGAGGATGTGTTAAGTTGTTGAGAGAAACAAACACAATTAAAAGTGGTTTAGGGCCAGACACAGTGACTAATGCCTGTAATCCTAGCACTTTGGAAGACCAATGCCCATGGATCGCTTGAGCCCAAGAGTTTGAGACCAGCCTGGGCAACATAGAGAGACCCTGTATCAACAGAAAAATACAAAATTTACCTGTGCATGGTGGGGTGCACCTGTAGTCTCACCTACTCGGGAGGCTTGAGTGGGAGGATCGTTTGAGCTTGGGAGGTCAAGGCTATGATAGCATCACTGCACTCCAGTCTGGAAAACAGAGCTAGATCCTGTCTCAAAAAAAAAAAAAAGTCTTCAAACTTTTAAATTGAAAAAATTTAAAACATATAAAGGCCAATTAAAAGAGAAAGTAAGTAAGTTAATGAAGTAGACTGGAAATTCACTGGAGAAAGTGGAAATGAAAAGACATGAAATAGAAATAGAAAAAAAAAGAGGTTAGTTAAGAAGTGAGATAAAGTGAAAAAAAAAAAGAGAGAAACACACAGGCAGTAATGGGTCACCAAAAAAACAGAAACATTGTTTTCGTAGGAAAGAAAACAGAAGTCGTTTTTCTGGCTTTATCCCAGCTGATCGCTGAACCATATTTAGAAAATTGCTTCCTATTATTATCATTTGTCCACGTGCCCACCATATATTTAACTAACACTAAGAGATGTCTAAACTCTCCATATTTCCTTCTGTGGACACTACTCCCAACAGCTCAGCCAGGGCAAGTCACCTGAAGGGGAAGGTTTTTCCCTACTCTTTAGAAACAGGCTGCTAAATTAAAGCCAGTTTTCCCCTCTGGCCACAGGTTTCCCTTCAGTAATTTACATGAACCAGTGAATCTGATACTTGATTTAGATCATTTTACTGTCCTGATTTATCTTTTTCTTTAAATTGTTTTGTCAGCAATTTAAACATGATCAACACATTTCACACTGCTCAGTACTTAAAGGGATCGAGGAAACGTTATACAAAAAGACCGTTGAATTATTACTCTCCACATTCTTCAAGGGCAAAAACTCCGTCCATTATTTTTAATTTTCCAAAGTTCTGAGCAAATAGTATGCACTTATTAAATATTAGTTAAATATGTTAATTAAAAAGTGTATTTTTTCAAAACAATATTTTGGTTATTTTTTTCTTTCAAAATTTTATTTTATGTATTTCAATAGGTTTCTGGGGAAAAGGTAGTGTTTGGTTACATGAATAAGTTCTTTAGTGGTGATTTCTGAGATTTTAGTGCACCCATAACCAGAGCAGTGAACACGGTACCCAATGTATAGTCTTTTATCCCTCATCCCTGCTCCCATCTTTTCCCCCAAGTCCCCAGAGTCCTATGCCCTTGCTTCCTCATAGCTTAGCTCCCACTTATGAGTGAGAACACACATTGTTTGGTTTTCCATTCCTGAGTTACTTTACTGAGAATAATGGTCCCCAATTCCACCCAGGTTGCTGCAAATGCCATTATTTTGTTCTTTTTCATGGCTGAGTAGTATTCTCTGTTGTATATATACCACAATTTCTTTATCCACTGTTGATTGATGAGCATTTGGGCTGGTTTCATATTTTTACAATTGTGTATTATGCTGCTATAAACATACGTGTGTAAGTATCTTTTTCATATAATGATTTATTTTCTTCTGGGTACACACCCCGTATTGGGATTGCTGGATCAAATGGTAGTACTACTTTTAGCTCTTTAAGGAATCTCCACACTGTTTTCCATAGTGGTTGTACTAGCTTACATTCATCCACCAGCAGTGTAAAAGTGTTCCTTTTTCACCACATCCATGCCAACATCTATTATTTTGTTATTATGGCTATTCTTGCAGGAGTAAGTTATTGCATTGTGGTTTTGATTTGCATTTCTCTGATAATGAGTGATGTTGAGCATTTTTTTAATGTGTTTGTTGGCCATTTGTATAGCTTCTTTTGAGAATTGCCTATTGTTGTCCTTAGCCCACTTTTTGATGGGATTTTTTTTTCTTGCTTTGTTTGAGTTCCTTGTAGATTCTGGATATTAGTCCTTTGTCAGATGTACAGATTGTGAAGATTTTCTCCCATGCTTTGGGTTGTCTGTTTACTCTGCTGATTGTTTCTTTTGCTGTGCAGAAGCTTTTTGGTTTAAGTCCCATCTATTTATCTTTGTTTCTGTTGCATTTGCTTTGGGGTTCTTGGTCATGAACTCTTTGGCAAGGCACATGTAGAAAAACGAAACTGGAAACTCATCTCTAACCTCATACAAAAATCATCTCAAGACGGATCAAGGACTTAAACCTAAGACCTGAAACCATAAGAACTCTAGAAGATAATGTTTAAAAAGCCCTTCTAGACATTGGCTATTTTGGTTATTTTTAAACATGCATATAGAGACATTCAGTTTAGACTTACAAAGTCTCACGCATTTTTCTATATGTGTTTTAGTACTCAAAGGGAGTATAGTTGAAACAATAGGTTTCTATCTAGTTTATTTCAGAGAAAATGTTGATATTTCAAGTCAATTTATTCAACTGTTTTATCATGCTTGGTGAAACAATGAATACATTTCTTTTTTAAGTATTTTTGTTCTTAACTGTCACATAATAATTATACATATTTATGGGCTATGGTGTGAAGTTTCAGTATATGTATACATTGTGTAATGATCAATTCAGGGTAATTAGCATATCCATCACCCAAACACTTGTCATTTCTTTGTAGTGAAAACATTCAAAATCCTTTTTTCTAGCTATTTTGAAATACACAATGGATTATTGTTAAATATAGTCATTCTACTGTGCAATAGAAAACCAAAAATTATTCCTCCAATCTAACTGTAAACTTGTACCCATTGACAGAGCTCTCCCCAAGCCCCGCTCCCTCTTTTCCTTCCCAGTCTCTGATACCCACTATTCTACTCTCTAGTTCTGTGAGATCAACTTTGTAAAATTTCACATGTAAGTGAGATCATGCAGTATTTGTCCTTCTGTGTATGGGTAATGTCAATTATCATCATGTCTCTAGGTTCATCCATGTTGTTGCAAATGACAAGCTTTCATCCATTTTTATGCCTGAATATTATTTTATTTTGTATATATACCACATTTTATTATCCATTCATCATCTAATGTCCAGTAATGGACGTTAGGTTTATTGCATATCTTGGTTATTGTGAATATTGTTGCAATAAACATGAGAGTTCAAATATCTCTTTGATATGTTGACCTCATTTCCTTTGGATATATATCCCAACTGAGATTATTTGATCATATGGTAGCTCTAAGTTTAATTTTTTGAGAAACCTCTATATTGTTGTACAGAATGGCTGTACTAATTTACATTCTCACCAACCATGTATAAGAGTTCTTCTTTCTCCACATTCTTGCCCCATTTATTACTTTTGCCTTATGGATAATAACCATTCTAACTTCGGTGAGGGGATATCTCATTGTGGTTTTAATTTTCATTTCCTTGATGATTAACAATATTGGGCACCTTTTCATATACCTGTTGGCCATTTTAAATGTCTTCTTTGAGAAATGTCTATTTAGATCTTTTGCTCATTTTTAATTGGATTATTTGTTGATTTTTGTGTGTGTGTTTCTATAGAGTTGTTTGAGTTCTGGATATTAATCCCTTATCAGATGCACAGTTTGTAAATATTTCCTCTCATTTGTAGGTTGTCTCTTCACTCTGTTGACAGTTTTCTTTTCTGTGCAGAAGCATTTTAGTTTGATGTAATCCCATTAGTCCATATTTGCTTTTGTTGCCTGTGCTTTTGAGGTCTTATCCAAAAAGCACTTGCCCAGGCCAATGTTATAAAGTGTTTCACATATGTTTTCTTCCAGTAGTTTCATAGTTTTGGGTCTTATATTTTAATCTTTAATCTGTTTTTGCATTGATTTTTGTAAGGGATGAGAACTAATTTCATTAAGGCCTAATTTAATTCTTCGAATATGGATATCCAATTTTACCAGCACTATTTATTGAAAGGACTGTCCTTTCCCTAATGTGTATTCTTGGCACCTTTGTCAAAAACTGGTTGACTATAAATGTGTAGATATATTCCTGTTCTCTATTCTGTTCCATTGGTCCATGTGTCTGTTTTTATGCAAGTACCATGAGGTTTTGGTTATGCTTGCTATCTAGAGTATTTTAAAGTCAGGTAGTATGATGACTCCAGGTTAGTTCTTTTATAAAGCTTGTTTTGGCTATTCAGGGTCTTTTGTGGTTTCATACCAATTTTAGATTTTTTTTCTATTTCTAGGAAAATGTCATTGGTATTTTGATAGGGACTGTGTATTGCTTTGGGTAGTACAGACATTTTAACAATATTAATTCTTCTGGTCTGTGAACATGGGACATCTTTTCATTTATTAATGTCCACTTCAATTTAGTTCATCAATTTTTTATCGTTTTAATTGTAGAGATCTTTCACCTCCTTGGTTAAATGTATTTGTAGGGTTTGGGGTAGCTATTTTAATTGGATTGCTTTCTTGATTTTTTTTTTTAGATAGTTCACCATTGGCATATAAAAGTGCTACTGAATTTTGTTTGCTTTTTTGTATGCTGAAATTTTACTGAATTTGTTTATTAGTATAATAGGTTTTTTTGGTGGAGTATGTAGGATTCGCTATATAAGATTATGTCATCTGCAAACAGGGACAATTTGTCTTCCTCCTTTCCGATGTCAATTCCTTTATTCCTTTCTCATGCCTAGTTGCTCTGGCTAGTACTCACTGATAAGATTTCTATTTAGCCTATTTTAGTGAGAACTTTGATGTCTAAAGGTGCTTATCAGTATATTGGAAATACATAACGAAAGCTCCAGGAATTTAAAGCCCTCTGGGCAACCTGTATCATAGGGAAAAAAGAAAAAACCTACAGTATTTCAATAAAATTTTAATTCTAATGCAATTGAGCCTCTTTGCCTAAAAATCCAACTTTAAACTTGACATTTCAGAGTTATTATAGTGCATTAATCTTTGTTTCCTTCTAATTGCCAAAGACACAAATGAATAGTTAGAGGGCGGACTTTGAAGACCAAATTCTGCACAGATAGGCTTTGACTGAATGGGATTTGAGTAAGAGGTCCACAGCCTCTTCCCAAAACAGCTCTTGAAAGTGGGCAGCTGTGTCTGTTGTGGGCCTGTCACTGAGGGCATTTTTATTGATCTAGAGCATTCCTCTTTGGAAGTAAACTTGGAAGAAATAGCTGGCTTCACCACCGAGAACAGTTATTCATCCACTAAACAGTTGATTTATGTTTTATTGTATGATACCAGTGAAAAAAAAGTAAGTGATCTGCTCCTTATGTTGGTTCTGGAAACACTTAGTATCAAAACTACCATTCACATATAGACAAAGGATAGGTATATACATTAAAACACATTCTTAATGTCACAAATATTCTCATCCATGACTTTTGTATTACTTTTAGTATATGGTTGTATTTCACAGAGTTTTGTAATAATTTTTAAAATACACATAAATGCTTATGTAACACCATGTGTCAAATATTAATGTAAAAATGGTTCTTCCATTATCTCATCTAATCTTTACAACAAGGTTTTTAGGAAGACAGAATATTTACCTCATGTTCACGGGAAATCTAAGGGCCAGAGAACAAAGTAACTTGCCATGGATTGTATAGCTAGAAAAAAAAAGAAAAAACAGAGACAGGGTTTGATCCATCATTCTGGTTCTGAAGTTCATGCTCTGAGTCGCTAGATTCTGCTGCCCTATGGTGTGCTAGACACTGTAGAATCTACTTCTTTAAATTTATCTTAAATGAAGTAGAATTCAGAGAAGTAAATGAGTAGGCTGAGATTACCAGGTGTCTGTGACTTAGTGCATAGAAACACCTGGCCATTTGCATTCCATTGTTTCTCTAGGTATGTTTTTTAATGCCCATTAGTCAAGCCACCGTAGAATTTAAAAATTTTTGTGCCGTTTCTCACATTTTAATGTGTATTGCACAAAAAATACTTTCTAATTGAATTCTCACAGCTTTGTAATAGCTTTAATCTTTAACTTGATTTTAGCTCTTCTGTAGAGGAGGGCCTTAACCTTAATTTCTGGGTCTTAGTATTGCTATATCAGACTTTTCATCTACCTGTATGATGAATTTCATCTTAGTACTCATTGACTTCCTTGTGTGAACACATATATGTTGATTGATTGAGATTATACTGGCCCCAATATTCTATACCAAAAGTTAATTAACTTAGTTTACATCAATATTTGTGAAATAATTTAAATATTGATGCTTAATGACTTTAGTTAATATGAGCATCTGTCAATTTTGCAATGGAGATTTTTCTCTTTCCTAAAAACTCAAACCAGAAAGAAAAATTTTCCTACTTTTCTAAGCTGTTGTTTAACGAACATCTTTATCAAATAAGTTTGACTCTCATTTAGAGTTTATTTTGTTTTCTTTTTCATTTCTATTCATTACAAAAGTTAAATTACAGCCACAAAGCTGTAGGCATTTTGCTAGTCATTGATGATACAGAACTGAAAAGAATATATCCCTACTGAGGAGCTGAGAAGGTATTTCTGGTAAAAGGCAGTGAAATGCATAGGTGCCTGGAAGTTACTGAGTGTCTATAGAATAGGCATTTGAAAGTGCTGTTCATCATATATGTGAATGAATAATTCACATATACATAGATGGCTATGGACACATACAGGAAAATAATTTGAATTGTTCTTTGAAGGACTGAATAGGAATTAATAGAAGTTGTGGTGTTTGACTGAACAGTCCAAACAGTTTACAATTAAGGCTCTCAACCCAAAGCCATGATTCCCCACTTTTATGAATACATTCTACAAGAAATTCCATAAGCCATCTCTACTAGCTTCTCAGTACTCTTAACATTTTTTAATTGTGGGAAAATACACGTAAAATCTACCATTTCAACAATTCTGAGGTATACAATTTGGTGGCATTAAGAAAATGTATAATGCTCTTTAATGATTACCAATATATATTTCCAGAATATTTTTGTCAACTCAAATTATTATCTACCCATTAAGCAATAACTCTTTTTCCCTCTCCCAGTCCCTGGTAAACTCTCTTCTACTTTATTCTACTATCTGTTGCTATGAATTTGCTTGCTATAGATTCTAAATACATATAGCATCACAACAATATTTGTTCTTTTGTGTCTGGGTTATTTCACTTATCCTGTCATTTTCAATATCCATTCATATCATAGCCTGTATCAAAATTGCACCCATTTTTCAGGGTTTAATAACATTTGATGGTATGTATATATATACCACATTTGTTTATCCATTTATCTGCCGAAGGACACTTTGTTATTTACAACTTTTTGTTATTATAATTAAGGCTGCTATAAGCATTAGTGTATAATTATCTGTTTGAGTTCCTTTTTTCAATTCTTTGGAGTGTATACCTAGGAGTAGAACTGCTAAATAGTATGATAAATCTATGTTCAACTATTTTAGAAACTGCCAAACTGTTTCCCATGGCAACTATACCATTTTGCATTTCTGAGCAGCAATGTACAAGTGTCCCAATTCCTCCACAGACTTTCCAACACTTGTTATGAATTTACTAATTAAAATTAAATAATTAATTTATGATTTAATGGCCATTCTAATTAGTATAGAGTGGTACTTGCTTGTAGCTTTGATTTGTATTTCCTTAATGACTAATAATGTTTAACATCTTTACATGTGCTTATTGGCCATTCGTATATCTTCTTTGGAGAAATGTCTACTCAAGTCCTTTTTCCATTTTTGAATTGGACTGGTATTTTTTATTGTTGAGTTTTAAGAGTTTTTTAAGCATCCTATCTATTCATTTATTATAAGAAACATCATTTGAAAATATTTTCTCACAGGGTCTCTTTGTTCCGAGCCCTCCTCCCTCTGTCTCTGTACGGGGAAGGTGTTTTCTTCTTTTCTTCTTTCTTTCTTCTTTCTTGCCTATTAAACTCTTTGCTCCTTAAAACCAAAATAAGAAAGAAAAAAAAAAAAGAAAAGGAAATATTTTCTCTCATTGTGTGAACTGTCTTTTCATTCTCTTGATATTGTCCTTTGATGCACATATTTAAAAAATTCTTTTTTTTGTAGTTTTGTACAAGTATTTATTATTATTATTATTATTATACTTTAAGTTTTAGGGTACATGTGCACAACGTGCAGGTTTGTTACATATGTATACATGTGTCATGTTGGTGTGCTGCACCCATTAACTCGTCATTTAGCATTAGGTATATCTCCTAATGCTATCCCTTCCCCCTCCCCCCACCCCACAACAGGCCCCGGTGTGTGATGTTCCCTTTCCTGTGTCCATGTGTTCTCATTGTTCAATTCCCACCTATGAGTGAGAACATGCGGTGTTTGTTTTTTTTATGAATCTCAAATTGTTTATTTTTTCTTTGTTTAAGTTTTGGTGTCATACTTAAGAATTTATTGTCTAATATGAGGTCATGAAGATTTTTCACTTTTTTTTTTCTAAGACTTTTAGCACTTAAGTTTAGATCTTTTTAGCAATTTTGAGTTAAGTTTTGTATATGGTGAAACGTAAGGGTCTGTTCTAGTCAGTTCTCACACTGCTCTAAAGAAATACCTGGGACTGGGTAATTTGTAAAGAAAAGAGGTTTAATTGGGTCACAGTTCTGCAGGGTGTACAGAAAACATGGCGGCATCTGCTCAGCTTCTGGTGATGCCTCAGGAAACTTAAAATCATAGCAGAAGTTGAAGGGGAAGCCACCACTTCACACGGCCAGAGCAGGAGAAAGAAAGAGTGGAGGTGAGGTGTCCCACACTTTTAAATAACCACATCTCACAAGAACTCACTCATTATCACAAGAACAGCACCAAGAGGGCTATCTGCCCTGATTATTCAATCACCTCCCACCAGGCCTCTCTTCCAATGTTGGGGATTACAATTCAACATGAGATTTAGGTGGAGACAAAAATTTAAGCCATATCAGGGTTTAACTTCATTCATTGGCATGTGAATATTCAGTCTCCTCAGAAACTTTTGTTGAAAAGAATGTACTTTCCCAATTATATGGTCTTCCCACCTTGTTGAAACTCAGCGACGTATGTGCAGATTATTACTAAGCCATCTACTCTGTTTCAATGGTCCATATGTGTACTTTATGCCAGTATCACATTGTTTATATTACTATAGCTTTATGTTGATTTTGGGGATCGGGCAGTGTGAATCCTACAAGTTTGCTATTTTTATTTCAAAATTGTTTTAGCTACTCACAGTTTCTGGGGATTTCATATGAATTGTAAGATTTTTTTTTTTTATTTCTGTAAGAAACACCTTCGGGTTTTTCACTGGGATTGAATCTACAATATTACATCTTCCAATCCATGAACACAGGTGTCTTTCCATCTGTTTAGGTCTTCAAATTCTTTCAGCAATCTTTTGTAGTTTTCAGTTTGTAAGTCTTTCTCCTCCTTGGTTATGTTCATTCCTAAGCATTTCATTCTTTTTCGTTGTTATTTTATTTTACATTTTTAACTTTTGTTTTACTTTCAGGGGTACATGTGCAGGTTTCTTATATAGATAAATTGCATATCACAGGAGTTTGGCATATAGATTGTTTCATCACCCAGATAATAAGCACGGTACTTGATACGCAGTTTTTTGATCCTCTCCTCTCAAGTAGACCCTGGTGCCTGTTGTTCACTTCTTGTTGTCCCTGTGTCCTCAATGTTTATTCATTTATTTAACTAATTTTATTTTTCTGAAACAGAGTTTTTTCCCTGTCACCCAGGCTGGAGTGCAGTGGCGCAATCTCGGCTCACTGCAACCTCCACCTCCCAGGTTCAAGTGACTCTCCCGCCTCAGCCTTCTGAGTAGCTGGGACTGCAGGTGTGTGCCACTATGCCCGGCTAATTTTTGTATGTTTTTAATAGAGGCATGCGTTTGCGTGTTGGCCAGGCTGGTCTCAAACTTCTGATCACTTGATCTGCCCTCCTTGGCTTTCTAAAGTGCTGGGATTACAGACGTGAGTCACTGCACCCAGCCCATTTGTTCTCAATGTTTAGATCTCACTTATAAGTGAGAATATGTGATGTTTGGTTTTCTGTTGCTGTGTAGTTCGCTTAGAATAGTGGCCTCCAGCTGCATCAATGAGGCTGCAAAGGACGTGATATTCTTTTTATGAGTGTGTAGTATTCCATGTATATGTGTACCACAAATACATTTTCCCTTTCTTTTTTTTTTTTTTTTTTTTTTTTGAGAGGGAGTCTCACTCTGTCACCCAGGCTGGAGTGCAGTGTCATAATCTCTGTTCACTGCAACCTGTGCCTCCTGAGTTCAAATGATTCTCCTGCCTCACCTTCCCGAGTGGCTGCGATTACAGGCACGTGCCACCATGCCTGGCTAATTTTTGTATTTTTGTTTTAGTAGAGATGGGGTTTCAAGACGTTGGCCAGGCTGGTCTCGAATTCCCAACCTCAGGTGATCTGCCTGCCTCAGCCTCCCAAAATGCTGGGATTACAGGCATGAGCCACCACGCCCAGCCTACATTTTCTTTATAACATTTCCTTTATCCAGTCTACCATTGACGGGCATTTAGGTTGACTTCATGTCTGCTATTGTGAATAGTGCTGTGATAAACTTATGCATGCATGTCTCTTTATGCTAGAATAATTTGTATTTCTTTGGGTATATACCCAATAATAACATTGCTCAATCAAATGGTTATTGTAAGTTATTTTAGAAACCTTCAAATTACTTTTCAGTGGGGCTGAACTAATTTACATTCCCACCAGTGTTCCCTTTTCTCTACAACCTCAATGGCATCTGTTATTTTTTGATTTTTAATAGCCATTTTGACTGGTGTAAGATGGTATCTCATTGTGGTTTTGATATGCATTCCTCTAATGATTAGTAATACTGAGCATTTTTTGATAAGCTTCTTAGCTGCATGTATGTCTTCTTTTGAAGGGCCTATTCATGTCCTTTGCCCACTTTTTAATTGGGTTGTTTAATTTGTACTGGTTAATTTGTTTAGTTTGTTATAGATTCTTTATATTAGATTTTTGTCAGATGTATAGTTTGCAAATATTTACTCCCATTCTGTAGGTTGTCTGCTTACTCTGATTATAGTTTCTATTGCTGTACAGAAGCTCTTTGGTTTAATTAGGTCTCATTTGTAAATTTTAACGTTCATCGCAATTCTTTTGGCATCTTTGTCATGAAGTCTTTTCCAGGGCCTATGTCCAGAATGGTATTTCACAGGTTGTCTGAGAGACTTTTTTATAGTGTTAGGTTTTACATTTAATACATCCTCAATTGATTTTTGTAAAAGGCATAAGGAAGGTGTCCAGTTTCAATCTTCTGCATATGGCTAGCCAGTTATCCCAGGATCATGTATTGAATAGGAAGGCCTTTCCCCATTTCCTGTTTTGGTCACCTTTATTGATGGTCAGATGGTTCTAAGTGTGTGGCTTTATTTCTGAGCTTTCTGTTCTGTTCCACTGGTGTATGTGTCTATTTGTGTACGAGTACCATGCTTTTTTGATTACTGCAGCCTTGCAGTATAGTTTGAAATCAGGTAACATGATGCCTCCAGATTTGCTCTTTTTTCTTAGGATTGCCTTGGCTACTTGGGCTCTTTTTTTGGTTCCATTTGAATTTTAAGAGATTTTTTTCTAATTCTGTGAAGAATGTAATTGGTACTTTGATAGGAATAGCATTGAATCTATAAATGACTTTGGTAGTATGGCCATTTTAACAATGATGATTTTTCCTATTCATGAGCATGGAATGTTTCCCCATTTTTGTGTGTGTCGTCTCTGATTTCTTTGAGCAGTGCTTTGTAATTCTCATTGTAGAGATCTTTTACCTCTTTGGTTAGCTGTATTGTTAGGTATGTTATTCTTTCTGTGGCTATTGTGAATGGGATTATATTTTATGTTTGTCTCTCAGGTTGGATATAGTTGGTATATAGGAATGTTACTGGTTTTTGTACGTTGATTTTGTACCCTGAAATTTAGCCTAAGTTGTCTATTAGAAGAAGGAGATTTTGGGCAGAGACTATGGGTTTTCTAAGTGTTAAATCATATTGTCTGCAAACAGAAATAGTATGACTTCTTCTCTTTTTATTTCAATGTTTTAATTTTTTTCTCTTGCCTTATTACTCTGGCTTGGATTTCCAGTCTATGGTAAATAGGAGTGGTGAAAGAGGGTATCCTTGTCTTGAGCCAGTTTTCAAGAAGAATGCTCCCAGCTTTTGCTCATTCTGTAAGATGTTGGCTGTGGGTTTTCCATAGATGGCTCTTATTATTTTGAGGTATGTTCCTTTGATGCTTAGTTTGTTGAGGGTTTTTAACATAAAGAGATGCTGAATTTTATAAAAAGCCTTTTTTGCATCTATTGAGATGATCATGTGGTTTTCATTTTTAGTTCTGTTTACATGGTGAATCTCATTTATTGATTTGTATATGTTGAACCTACCTTGCATCCCAGAGATAAAGCCTACTTGATTGTGGTAGATATGAGTTTGAGGGAATTTTCATGGACAATATCCTAAAAATATGCTTTCCACGTTGTTGTTTTCTTCCCCTCTCTTTCAGGGGTGCCAATAAGTCATATATTTGATCTCTTTACATAATGTCATATTTCCTGGAGGTTTCATTCATTCTGTTTTATTATTTTTTCTTTATTTATGTCTGACTGAGGTAGTTTGGAGTACCAGTCTTTGAGCTCTGAGCATTCTTTACAAAACATATTCAAACATATTTACTTTTTACTTTTTTTAATTTTTAATTTTCATGGATTCATAGTAGGTATACATATTTTTGGTATACATAAGATGTTTTGACCCAGGCACCCAATGTGAAATAATCACATAACAAAGAATGGGGTGTTTATTCCTACAACCATTCATGCTTTATGTTACAAACAATCCAACTATTTTTTTTTAGTTATTTTTAAATGTACAACTAAGATTTTTGGCTATATTCACTCTGTTGTGTGATCAAATAGTATGTCTTATTCATCCTTTTTTTTTTCCCCGCATTCACGAGCTCCACCCCCCACCACCCACCATCCTTCCCAGCCTCTGGTAACCATTCATCTACTCTCTTCGTCAATGAGATTAATTGTTTTGATTTTTAGATCCCACAAATAAGTGAGAATATGTGATGTTTGTCTTTCTGTGCCTGGTGTATTTCACTTAATATAACGATCTTCAGTTCCATCCCTGTTGTTTCAAATGATAGAATCTCATTCTTTTTCATGGCTGAATAGAACTCTATTGCGTATATATACCATTTATCCATTCATCTGTTGATGGACACTTAGGTTCCTTCCAAATCTTAGCTATTGTGAAAAGTACTGCAACAAACATGGGTGTACAGTTATCTCTTTATTATACTGATATCCTTTCTTTTGGCTATATACCTAGCAATGAGATTGGCTGGATCACATGGTAGCTCAATTTTTAATTTGTTGAGTAACCTCTAAAAGGTTCTCCATAGTGGTAGTACTGATTTAAGCACCTTTTCATTGGTATCCTTGTCACTTATATGCTTTATTTGGAAAAATATCTGTTTACATGTTTTGTCCATTTTTGATTGTATTATCAGAATTTTTCCTGTAGAGTTGTTTGAGCTCCTTATGTACTCTGGATATTAATCCTTTTTCAGCTGGGCAGTTTGAAAATATTTTCTCTTATCCTGTGGGCTGTCTCTTAGCTTTGTTCATTGTTTCCATTGCTGTGCAGAAGTTTTTTAACTTGATGTGATCCCATTTATGCACTTTTTCCTTGGTTGACTGTGTGTGGGGGACACTGCTCAAGAAATTTTTGCCAAGGCGATATCCTGAAGATGTTCTCCAATGTTTTCTTGTAGTAATTTCATAATTTAAGGTTTTAGATTTAAGTCTTCAATACATTTTGGTTTGATTTTTATATATGGTGAGATATAGGGGTCTAAACTTATTATTTTACATATGGATATCCAGTTATCTCAGCACCATTTATTAAAGAGACTGTCTTTTCCTCCAGTGTATGTTCTTGAAAACTGTGGTGAAAACGAGTTCACTGTAGGCGTGTGGGCTTTTTTCTCAGTCCTTGATGCTGTTCCACTGGTCTATGTGTCTGCTTTAATCCCAGTATCATGCTATTTGGTTTACTGCAGTTCTGAGGTATGATTTGAATTTAAGTAATGTGATTCCTTCAGTTTTGATCATTTGCTTAGGGTAGCTTTGGCCATTCTGGGTCTTCTGTGATTTCACATGGATTGTTTTACCTACTTGTGTGAATGATGTCCTTGGTATTTTGACAGGGATTGCATTGAATCTGTAGATTACTTTAGGTAGTATGGACATTTTTATAATATTAATTCTTTTGATCTGTAAACATGGAATATCTATCTATCCATTTTATGGTGTTCTCTTCAATTTCTTTCATCAGTGTTTTATAGTGTTTATTATGGAGATATTTCCATTTGGTTAATTTTAGGTATTTAATTTTATTTGTGGCCATAATAAATTGAATTGATTTTTATTGATTTTTCAAATTGCTCAGTGTTGGCATATGAAAATGCTACTTATCTTTGTATGTTGATTTTGTACCTTGAAACTTCACGGAATTTGTTTATCAGTTCTAATAATTTTTTGATGGAGTCTTTAGATTTATCCAAATATAAGATATCATCTGCAAACAAGGATGATTTGACTTCTCCCATTCCAGTTTGTATGCCCTTTATTTTTTTTTTCCTCTTGTCTGATTGCTCTAGCTAGGAATTCCAGTATATGTTGAATAACAGTGGGAAAGGGGGCATCCTTGTCATGTTCCAAATCTTAGGTAAATGGCTTTCAGTTTTTTCCCATTTAGCATAATAATAGCTGTGGGGCTGTTGTATATCGCTTTTAATATTTTGAGGTGTCTTTTTTCTATAACCAGTTTTTTAGGATTTTTTAAAATCATGACATGATGTTGAATTTTATCAAATTCAGTTTCAACATCAATTGAAATAATTATATGGTTTTTATTCTTCATTCTGTTGATATGATGCATCACATTGATTTAGGTAGTTTCGGCAATCCTTGCATCCTAGTGATAAATTCCACTTGTTTACAAAGAATGATCTTTCTAATGTATTGTAGAATTCCGTTTCCTAGTGTTTTTTTCAGGATTTTTGCATCAATATTATATTAGTCTGTTATCACATTGCTGATAAAGATATACCTGACATTGGGTAATTCATAAAGAAAAAAATGTTAAATGGACTCACAGTTCTATGTGACTGGGAAAGCCTCACAATCATGGCGGAAAGTAAAAGGTACAACTTACATGGTAACAGACAAGACAGAATAAGAGCTAAGCGAAAGGGGAAACATCTTAACAAAACCATCACTTCTCATGAGACTTATTCACTACCAAGAGAACAGTATGGGGGAAACCACCCCCATGATTGAATAATCTCCCACCAGCTGCTCCCACAACACATAATTATGGGAGCTACAATTCAAGATCAGATTTTGGTGGGGATACAATCAGGTCATATCAAATATTAATCACAGATATTGGCCTGTAGTTTCTATTTTTGATGTGTCTTTGTCTGGGTTTGGTATCAGGGTAATATTGGCCTCATAAAAAGAGCTTGGAAGTATTCCCTCCTTCTGTAAATTTTGGAGCTGTTTGAATATGATTGGTATTTGTCCTTCCTTAAATGTTTGGTAGAATTCATCAGTGAAGCCATCGAGTCCTGGGCTTTTCTTCACTGGGAGATGTCTTATTATGGCTTCATTTTCATTATTTGTTGTTGGTCTGTTCAGGTTTTGGATTTCTTCATGGTTTAATCTTGGTAGGTTGTATGAGTCTAGTAATTTGTCTATTTCTTCTAGATTTTCTAACTTATTGGCATATAGTTGCACATAGTAGCCAGTAATAATCATTTGGATTTCTACTGTATCAATTGTAATGCCTACTTTTTCATGTCTTGTTTTATTTATTTGGATCTTCTCTCTTTTTTTTTTTTCATAGAGGGTCTGGCTAAAGGTTTGTCAGTTTTGTTTAACTTTTCAAAAAACAAACTTCTGTTTCATTTTTTTGTATTTTTTTATTTGAAATTCATTTATTTCTTCTCCAATTTTTTTATTATACTTTTAAGTTCTAGGGTACATGTGCACAACGTGCATATGTATACATGCGCCATGTTGGTGTGCTGCACCCATTAACTCGTCATTTACATTAGGTATATCTCCTAATGCTATCCCTCCCCCCTACCCCCACCTCATGACTGGCCCCAGTGTGTGATGTTCCCTTTCCTGTGTCCAAGTGTTCTCATTGTTCAATTCCCACCTATGAGTGAGAACATGCAGTGTTTGGTTTTTTTGTCCTTGTGATGGTTTGCTGAGAATGATGGTTTCCAGCTTCATCCATGTCCCTACAAAGGACAGGAGCTCATCCTTTTTTATGGCTGCATAGTATTCCATGGTGTATATGTTCCACATTTTCTTAATCCAGTCTATCATTGATGGACATTTGGGCTGGTTCCAAGTCTTTGCTATTGTGGACAGTGCTGCAATAAACATACGTGTGCATGTGTCTTTATAGTAGCATGATTTATCATTCTTTGGGTATATACCCAGTAATGGGATGGCTGGGTCAAATGGTGTTTCTAGTTCTAGATCCTTGAGGAATTGCCACACTGTCTTCCACAATGGTTGAACTAGTTTATAGTCCCACCAACAGTGTAAAAGTGTTCCTATTTCTCCACATCCTCTCCAGCACCTGTTGTTTCCTGACCTTTTAATGACGACCTTTCTAACTGGTGTGAGATGGTATCTTATTGTGGTTTTGATTTGCATTTCTCTGATGACCAGTGATGATGAGCATTTTTTCATTTGTCTGTTGGCTGCATACATGTCTTCTTTTGAGAAGTGTCTGTTCATATCCTTTGCCCACTTGTTGATGGGGTTGTTTTTTTTTTCTTGTAAATTTGTTTGAGTTCTTTGTAGATTCTGGATATTAGCCCTTGGTCAGAAGGATAGAATGCAAAAATGTTCTCCCTTTCTGTAGGTTGCCTATTCACTCTGATGATAGTATATTTTGCTGTAAAGAAGCTATTTAGTTTAATTAGATCCCATTTGTCAATTTTGGCTTTTGTTGCTGTTGCTTTTGGTGTTTTAGATATGAAGTCCTTGCCCATGTCTATGTCCTGAATGGTTTTGCCTAGGTTTTCTTCTAGGGTTTTTATGGTTTTAGGTCTAATGTTTAAGTCTTTAATCCATCTTGAATTAATTTTTGTATAAGGTGTAAGGAAGGGATCCAGTTTCAGCTTTCTACATATGGCTAGCCAGTTTTTATTATTTCTTTTCATCTACTAATTTTCGCTTTGGTTTGCTCTTACTTTTCTGCTTCTTTAAAATGCATTGTTAGATTGTTTATTTGAAGTTTTCTCTGGTGATATGATTTAGTTTCTTTTTATTTTTTGTGTATCTATTGTATGCTTTTTGACTTGATGTTTCCATGAGGCTTGCAAATACTAACTTAAAACCCTTTACTTTAACTTGATAAAAACTAAACACTATTTGCATAAACAAATATGCAAGCAAAAAGAAAACTAATAAAAACTCTATGCCTTAATTTTGTCCCCTACTGTTTAACTTTTTGTTCCTCTATTTATATCTTATTGTACTGTCTTGAAAAGTTGTTAAACTTATTATGTTTGATTGGTTAATTACTTAGTGTTTGTACTGAGGGTAAGAGTAGTTTACACACTGTAATTGTGGTGTTAAAGTGTTACAACGATCTGTTTTTCCATGTATTACCATTACAAGTGTGTTTTGTACCTTTAGGTGATTACTTACTGCTCATCACAATCCTTTTCTTTCCAGTTGAAGTTCTTCTTTTAGCATTTCTTGTAGAACAGATCTGGTGTTGATGAACTCCCTCATCTTTTGTTTGTCTTGGAAAGTCTTTATTTTTCCTTCACGTTTGAAGGATATTTTTGCCAGATATACTATTCTAGGATAAGAGATATTTTCTTTCAGTTTAAATACATCATGCCACTCTCTCCTGGACTGTAAACTGCTGCTAGATGTATTGAAGGTCCATTGTATGATATTTGTTTCTTTTCTCTTCTACTTTTAGGATCTTTATTTATCCTTGACTTCAGGAGCTTGATTATTCAATGCTTTGCTTATCTAGAAATGTATGAAATTCTCCTTCATTCTTGATAGATATTTTTTTCTGGATACAGGTTCGTAGTTCAGAGGTGTTTTTCTTTCAGAATTTAAAATATGTAATCCCGCTGACCCCTGGCCAACATGTGAGAAATTAGTTCTTATTTTTATTGAGAATCTCTTATATGTGTGACAAGTCTTGGTTCTCATTCAGCTTTCAAAAGTCTCTTTGTTTTATGATACTAATGATTGCCTATAATGTGTCTCACTGTGTATCTTAAATTGTATTTTGTTTGGAGTTAATTTAATTTCTTGGATGTGTATAATCATATCTTCCATTAGATTTGTGAACATTTTAGGTATTATTTTCTTGTTTTTCTGCCCCCTTTCTCTTTATCCTATCCTGGGATTCTTATAATGCAAATATTGACACCCTTGATGGTATCTCACAAGAACCTCAGGGTCTGTCCATTTTTCTTCAGACATTATTCTTTCCACTCCTCAGACTAGATAATTTCTATTGTACTATCTGAAAGTTTGCTGATTCTTTCTTCTGTTTCCTCAAATCTGCTATTGCACCCACCCAGTGAAGTTTTCATTTCAATTCTTGTAACTTTCAGTTTCTAAATTTCTGCTTGGTTCTTTTGTATAATGAATCTATATATTGATATTTATATTTGTATTTTGATATTTGTATATTGATATTTGTAATTTTTTAGACATATATATATAGATATTGTAGCTATATATTGATATTTATATTTTTTAGACAATGTTTTCCTGATTTTTATAGTTGTTTCCAATATTTTCCTTTATGTCATTGACAATTTTTAAGACAGCTGATTTAACTCTATTTTATGTTGATTTCTGCATCTCAGCTTAGTAGGAATATTTTCTGCCAAATTATTTTTTCTTGCAGTTGCTCCATATTTCCTGTCTCTCTGTATGTTTGTTGTTGTTGCTTTTGCTGTTGAATCTGGATATTCTGAGTATTATGTTGTCTTAACTCTAGAAATCTAATCCTCTCAATCCTCAGAAATTGCTGATTTTTCTTGTTTAGAGCTTAAGGTATCTATTTGTCTTTTCCAAACTAGTTTTTTAAAGTGTATATTCATTGCTGTATGTGGTCACTGAATTTTCTATTCCATTGTCTCTGCAGTCAGGCAGTGACATGGTGAATATTTCCGTAAATTTCTGGCTCCAAAAATAGAAAAAAAAAATAGATAAAAGGGCCTGTCTCTTTAATTGCCTCTCAGCTAAGACCCTGCTTTGGTCCATGATTATTAAAAGAATGATTGGCCTCTGTGCCTTTCTCTTAGTGATGAAGCGCAATGAGCAGCAATTAAAAAACACAACTGTAATTTTTGGAAGACGAGCTCCTTCAGGCCTACCCTGAAACCAGCAAGCCATATCAGGAGCACATGCCATCATTCTCATGGCTTCCTGTTGTAGGGCTACCAGATGGGGTATGATAGTTGCTACACATAATGTGGATAGTCACTAAAGTTTACCAAAATATACCAGTGTCTTTTTCAAGCTCTTCCCTGGATACTGCAAGTGCTTTATTATACACCAGAGTCTCAAAATAGTTGCTTTAGACAATTCCTGTTAGCTCAATTGTTATTGTGGTGACAAATCAGTTTCTAGAGCTTCTTAGTTTTCCATCTTCTTTGACTTTTGCAGAATTGGGGGTTAACAAAATACTGAAGAAAAGTAAAAAACAATATTTATTCATTCCAGATTTTTAAAAATTCCTCTCTAGACTGTTCTGCCCATATCTTTGGCACTTATTTAACTATGCAGAAATGATGTCAAGGAAAGACAGTTACCAACCCAAACTTTTCTGGAAATAATGGCATCTGAAATAAGCAAATGAAATAAAATACAATTAAAAAATAATTCACTTGTTTTTAAAAGTGTAGAACATTCTCCAATGTTCAAAATAGTGCCAATTCTACATATATTTATTGTCTGCCTTTATATGTGACACAGAATTAAGTTATTGTGAAATCAAAAATAAGCATAACACTATATGCACCATCAATAACTTTCTGATCTACGAAGGATGAGCAGGTGAAATTATGTGCTAGAGAGAAATAAAAAAAATAGAGTCATGGTTCAGTTCTAAGTCTATCCCTAAAAAGTGCAAATACATTCTTTGTGAGTTTATAATTGCCTCAGGTTCTGTTTCTTTAACTGTTGAATGATCTCTACAGGTACATGTTAGGCTCAAGATCTAACATTTTATCAATAAAATATTCTGAGTTCAAGGTTTTTGTTTTGTTTTGTTTTGAGACAGGGTCTCACTCTGTCACCCAGGCTGATCACAACTCCTTGTAGCATCAACCTCTTGGGCTCAAGCAATCCTCTCACGTCAGCCTCCCTAGTAGCTGGGACTACAGGCACACGCCAGCCTGCCCAGCTAATTTTTCTATATTTTTGGAGAGACAGATTCTCACGATGTTGCCCAAGCTTGAACTCCTGGCTTCAAGAAATTCTTCCACCTCACCCTCCTGAAATGCTGGGATTATAAGCACGAGCCACTGCATCTGGCTGAATTCAAGGTTTTTGTCTGGATACAAATTTTACTTGCCTGTTGTGCTACACTCCATCTCTCAAATCTCTTCTGAGGTCAGCATTTTTGGAGCTTCTTTCCTAAACACAGACCATCCACTTTTTCCATTTTTTTTTTCAGGAAGAGAAAATATACATAACTTCCAGGTTGAAGAATTGCCCATTCTTTCTTCGTGTTCTGCATCACATCTTTTTAATGAATAGGCTTCCTTCCCAAAGTCAGGGAGAGTAAATGAATCTCACTGAGCTATTCTTCTTTGGCTGTAACTTAAAGACTTAATGCACATACTTGCAAGTTGTGTGATAATAGTGTTAAATCAAGGAATTGAATAGTGAAAAAGAAATCAGTCAGCTGCTTATGTCGTCTTTGCAGTGAGAAACAATTTGACTGATTTTTATTTATATTTTTGTCCATTTATGTAACTGTGTTCTTTTCTTTCACTTATATGAATGAGCCAGGTGTTTTAGTGTACTGTAGACATAGCCTTGATCATTTGTGTTTTTTTAAAAGGCAAATTTAAATGAAGAAAAATAGACAGAGAAAATGGTCAGAGATAACAGGATGAAAGTCATCCAATATAAAACATTCAAACCATACTCTAAAAAATACTAAGTGAGCAACATGTTAAACTTGAATGATTTATTAATTTTATCAGGAAACACTTATTTTCTACCATGTTTTGAAATAAAAAATGGCCATTGAGAATATGAAAATAAATATAATGGAATTCTGTTCCTAGTTAGGTTAAATTTGAAAGTGAAGTGTATTTGTAAGCATTTGAGTACCTGCTGTCTTTATGCAATAAATATTTATTGTGCCATGTGTGATGCTGGATGCATAAGATAAACACAAAATAAGAGAACAGCAGGTTTTCTCATTATGGAGTTTATAACCTAGATAGAAGAGACTGATAAGACAAGGCCTTATAATAAATTATCATGATTGTCATGAAAAATCTGTAGTACCATGTGATCCTTACCTGGCATTAAAAAAAGAGTGAACATCTGAAAATTAGGAAAGATGTCCCTGGGAAACAGACATTCAAGCCCAGCCTAAAAATAGCTTACTGAAAAGCAGAAGCAAAAGTCAATAGATGGATATTACTGTGAGAGATACTAGGAAGTAAGTACAGAAACATTCAGCATTTTCTAATTCACTAAAACAAGCCCTTCAAGTATCAACCTTTGAAATATCTCAATATTAAAATTAATATAGAAATCAATCTACATGTCCATGAATGGATGAATAAATGTGGTGTATATATAGACAGTGGCATATTATTCAGCTTTAAAAGGAATAAAATTCTGTCATTTGAAACAACATGGATAAATCTAGGCACAGAAAGACAAATATTGTATATGTTCTGACTCGTGTGTGGGCTAAAAAAGTTTATCTCATGAAGATAGAGATGAGAATGGTAGTTACCAGAGGTTGGGAAGGGTAGTGGGGTGGGGGTGTAAAGACAGGTTGGTTAATAGGTACAAAATGTAGTTCAATAGAATAAACAATTTCTAGTGTTCACTTGCAAATTGAATGAGTATCATTAACAGTAATTTATTCTGTTTTTAAAAATAGCTAGGGGAGGAGGTCTGGAATGTTCTCAACACAAAGAAGTAAATGCTTGAGGTGATGGAGGTCCTAAATACCTTCATTTGATTACTGCACATTATATGCATGTTTAAAAATGTCACATGTACCCAATAAATACGTACAATTATTATTTACCCAAAAACTAATATAGAATTATTAATCTATTAGGGACTGAGCTAAATTTGAGTTACTCTAATAAATCATCAAGGAAAAAAATGAAAGGAGGTATTTCTTTCCAAAGAAGGATTGAAGAGCTCTTTTAAACAACATCTTAAGAAGTAAGGTGCAAATGCACTTAAGTTGTCAGGTCCGTGAATACTGCATTTCTTTTCTTAGCTAATGCAGTTTTCACTTTAGTTTTGAAAGAAACAAGTACCACACCAAGGTATTTAAAATAATAAATGTTAAGGTTTTATGTGATACTCAGAGTGATGCTTATCTAAAGGGGGTGCGGAGCCTTTTTAGCCAAGGAGCCATTGTCCATTGTCTTGTTTTTCACATGAACTTTCCATTTGTCTTACAAGTCTGGGTGTGATAACAATTAACCATATATTCTTGGTCAAAATGCCTAACACTTGATAAAAGCCTAATAAATATCTGCAATTTTAATATTATTATTAAATAAATATTATTAATAGTATGTAATATATTATTAAATATTATCAAATATTATAATATTATTATCATAACATATTTCCCTAGCATTTTGATTAACAAAAGGAAAGCTCACTTTAAGACATAATCTCACTGTTCACAATATTTTATGTTGATGGTTTCTACCCTGGGAAGTAGAAAACTTGAAGAGTATTACTCTCACCCTTACAGAGAAGAAGAAAAAACTACATCAAATTAGTAACTTAGTTTGAAGTCATTGAGAGTTGAAGTCACAATGCAACAAACTAAACCAAACTCTGAGAACTGGTACCTACAGGAAGAGAAGTGAGACAAAGCACTCCTTTGAATTATGCAACCAGATGTCAGTAGAAAGCAATAAGCAAAATAGTTGACAAATTGCTGAAGACCAGGTGTAATATTTTAGGATAGCATAAAACCCCACAGTGCCATAGAAACTGGGTGAACCTGCACTCTCTTGAAGGCACTTTCTTAATGAACTCCACCAGGTTATCCCAGAAAATATCAGAAAAAAAGCTCACAGGATTGTCTATTGCAATGCAGATCTAAGGAGGGGAATATTTCTGAGGGACTGGTCAGACACTCTGCTTGGATTATTATCCTCTTCTCCACGATGGAAGAAACGCCTTATTCTAGGAGCAGAAGAAAGGGAAGCACTGCTGTCCCTAAAACATTAATGAAACTACCATAGTTAGGGGACTGGAAGAGGTAAAAAACTAAATCAATAAAACTGTCATGATTACACACTGATACTACAATTTTAGCTGGAGAAAGGGCATGAGATTAAAAGAAAAAAAAAAGGCCACACCCAGACACCCAGGAGATTCAGGGAAATAATGTATACTTAACACAAAGGTTCAATCAGAAGAATAGAGGCTGCAACCTCACCCCACCCTGAATGAGCTAATGAGCATGAATTAGAAAGTAATAGCAGAATGCAGTTGGTAAAAGAACAAGAGATGCCCTTTCTGAGACACAATGTAAAGGAAATACCTAAAACTCAGAAACAAACAGACATTGTTATGGAAAGACAACCTCCATACTCCATACAGCAATTCATTTACATCAATTTGAAGTTTCTGGTGAAGACCTAGCAGAAAGAAAGGTGTGTCCAACTTCAGGTATAAAAAGTATTACCCTAGTGTCTAGTGTACTATAAAAATGTTTAGCATATAACAAAAAAGTAACTATAAGGCATGTAAAACACAGGCAAAACCTCCAACGAAGTTACGATTAGAACTATACTCCAACATGACATAAATTTTAGACTAATAAAGAATGTTAAAAAAAGATTGATATGCTAAAGACTCTAATGGAAAACAGATCAGATGGTTAGTTTCAGCAGAGAAATGGAAATTGTAAAAGTAAATCACTGGAACTGCTAGAAATTTAAAAAAAAAACAGTAATAAAGATGAAGAATATTTTCAAATAGCTCATCAGTATATTCAACACAGCTGAAGAAAGAATCTGCAAATTTGAGGAAAAATCAATAGAAATCAACCTAACTTGAACACACAAAAAATAAAAGAGTACAACAGCAACAACAAAATCAAGACTGAGCATGCAAGAGCTGTGAAACAATATCAAGTATTCTAACATGTGAAATTAGAATGCTGGTAGAGAAAGAGAGCAAACAAGAAATTTTCCAAAACACAGCTGATACCAAATCACTGAGGCAAAAAGATAAGAAAAAGGGAAGCAGGATAAAAATAAAACAAACAAACAACAAAATAAAATTTAAACACACACACACCGTCTAAGGGTATGATATTCAAACTGCTAAAAACAAAATAAAACAAAAAGGAGAAAATCTTGATGTCTCTCAGAGAAAAAAGAAACATTTAACAAGTAACAAAGATAAGCATTACAGAAGAATTCTTGTCAGAAGCCATAAAAGATCATTAAAAAGTCATATTATTAAATGAAATAAACTATAAACCCAAAACATTGTCAACTCCGATTTCAAAACTCAGAAAAAAAATACAAAATATTTTTTATCAGAAAGACAAAAAGTAAGGAAATTAATTGTCAATAAACCTAAATGAAAAGTTAAAAAATTCTTCAGCTGGGAGGAGGGGTGGAAAATGCCTGACCAGACTCACGTAATGTGCACCTCCTCCACAGAGGACAGCCATAATAGTAAGCATATACTCACAATCCAAGCACATCATCTAGGAGAGAATGCCTGGATTCATCAGAGAAGAGACAAGAAGTGCCAGAAGTAAGTAAGAAGATGGGCTTGAGGCAATTTGCCCAGCCGCAAACCAACTGAGAGTGGGAGAGGCTGGACATGGAGAAGTAGTAAGAAAGAAATCCCCAGAGCTCTGAAACAGGCTTTAACAATCTTGGCTACAGGGGAAACACTCAGCCTACTAGGAATTTATGCCTGGCATATGGAGTGGCCTAAAGTCTGCAAAGATGTTGCTCCAGAAAGAGAACGCGTACAGAATCCCACAGGCAGCCAAGCCTGGAGCAGCTTCAGCTGAGAACCATTTTGAGAGCCCCGATACCAGGAGTAGAGACATGGCTGCAGCCACGGCACTGCTCCAAGGACAGAGAGGAAGATGGGGTGCGCCCACTCACCCCCTGGGAGAGTATTTGCTGCTCTGCTATAAGCCACTGGGACTGAGACATGATTAGACCACACTCCCCATAGCTTCTCACCCAGGCTGTTTTCTTGGATGGTATCCCCCACCTTCTCTGGTCCTAGACCAAATAGCATTTTGAGAATTTAATGCTAAGCTGCACCCCTCACTCAACCTGAGTTTAGGCTGACACGCTGAAGCTGCTGCCCAGCCTCCAAGGGAGGGTTACTAGGACATCCTATGAACGTCTAGTCTAGCATAACATCTTGGAACAGGCTGCTGTGAGGCAGAGACTTGAGTGGACTGTATTTCCCACAGATTCTTGCTCATATTGCTTGCCAGGGCGATGCCCCATCCTCTCTGATCCCCACCAAGGTGGCATTTTGAGACTTTAACACTGGTCTGCCTCCCAACCTTGGCCTGAGCTTGAATTGACATGGCAATAGCTGCTGCTCAGGCAAAAAGGCACAGGGAGATGAGGCCATCCTACACATGTATAGGACAATACCCCCTACCCTGCAGTGGGCTGGTATGACTGAAAGTGATGAGACTGCACTGCCTCCAGCTTCTTGCCAATGGTGCTTGTCTGGGTAGTGCCCCACCCTCCCTGATTCCAGGGTCAACATATAATTTTGAGAGACTAATGCCGAGCTGCAATCCGTGCTTGGCCTGAATTTGGGCTGGCAAGGCTGAAGCCACTGACCAGCCAACGCGGGACAGGGAAGCCAGGTTCTCCTGTGCATACCTAGGACAATACTAGATGCCCTGCTGTGGGATGTTGTGAGATAGAGTTGCATGTGGACTGCACTTCCCAGAGTTTCTTGCTCATGCTGCTCACCTGAGGGGGGCCTACCCTCTTTGGTCACAAACCTAAAGCTGCCACCACTTTAAAAGTTTAGAGACATTGAATCAGCAGCCATAGCAGGCATTTTAGTCTTAAGCCAGAGATTGGAGCACTTGCTCTGGAATGAGGAAGGCCCTCACGGCCAGAATTAACCAGTGAGTGTGGAGAGTACCCCCGCAGTAGGTGCTGCAATTAGGCTCTCCTTCATCTTAGGGCTGGAATGGGAGGAGAGTAACTAAAGCTGAGGTTTCTCCTGGGTGGTGAGACTTTCAGCAAGGGACAGCTTTGTCACCTGGAACTAGTCTCTGTGTATCGTTTTGGATGTCTGAGCCTGATCCCTTGGTCAGCTGGAGCATAATACCCCACAAACTTTGAGGAGTGGGAGGAGGACCCCACTCCCTTGGAAATCTAATGCTCTGTGCAGTCCACCTCTAAGAGAAGGGGAGTGCCGGTCATCATAGACCCCCTTGGACCAAGGGAAATGTGGAGTGTGTCACCAGTCACAGAAGGCAGCACCATTCAAGCCCAGGAAAAGACATGGGGTCACCTTTTGCTTCCTAACTCCCTCCTCAGTGCACTGTTTCAGACAATGACTCTTCCCATAGGCTCTTCAGGAAACATGGGCTGAAAGACACTACTTTTCAGGCTTCTCCGGTGGCTTCGCTGTGTGCTGGGGGAGGGCACTTTTCACACTTCTCCATTGCCTCTGCCCCCTCCCTACTGACTAGCTATTACTCCTCAGTGCCATCTACTGGAATTCAGCCTGAATTACACCGCCAAACAAAATTATGTTGCCACAAGCTACATCTAAGAAAGCCACTGCCCAAATTCTCCTCTGAAAGCACATAGAAATGGAAACAATTGATCATACACAATACACACCACAGCATACTCTCAAGGGAAAAAAGAAAAATAATCAAGAAGTCCAATCAAAAATGTAGCAAATTCAAAAAATAGAGTGCAAGAACTCTGGCAATATGAAAAGCCAGAATGTCTAGTCACCTCCAATGGATCCCACTAGTCCCCAAGCAATGGATTCTAGGCAGAACAAAATGTCTGAAATGACAGATATAGAATTCAGACTATGAATTGCAAAGAAACTCAATGAGATGCAAAAGAAAGTTGAAATCCAACAAAAAGAAGCCAGAAAATCAATCCAAGTTTTGAAAAATGACATAGCTATATTAAGAAAGAACCAAAAAGATGTTCTAGGAATGAAAAATTTATTGCAGGAATTTCAAAATACAGTTGGAAACCTGAATAACAAATGGGACCAAACAGAAGACAAGATTTCAGAGCTCAAAGATTAGTCCTACAAGTTGACTGTATTAGACAAAAAACAAAGCAAAAAGAATTTTAAGAAGTGAACAAAGCCTTCTAGAAATATGATATTATGTAAAACAATCAAATCTATGACTTATTGGCATTCCTGTGAGAGAATAATAGAAAATCAGCAACTTGGAAATCATATTTGAGGATATAACTCAGGAAAAATTTCTTAATCTTGCTAAAGATTAAGAAACATGCAGATACAAGAAATTTAGAGATCTCCTATGAGATACTACACAAGATGCCCATCCCCGAGGCACATAGTCATTAAATGACTATCCAAGATCATTACAAAAACAACAAAAACAAGGCAAAACAAAACAAAACAAAGTTTAAATACAGCTAGAAAAAAAGGTTATATTACCTGTAAAGAGAAGCCCATCAACCTAACAGCAGAATTCTCAGAAGAAACCTTAAAAGCCAGAAAAGATCAAGGGCCCATTTTTAGCATTCTTAAAGAAAAATATACCAGCGAAGAATTTTATATCCTTCTGAATTAAAACTTCATAAATGACAGAGAAATAAAGTATTTCCCAGGCAAGCAATTGCTAAGAGAGATTGTTATCACTAGACCAGCCCTACAGGAGATACTTAAGGGAGTTCTAAACATGGAAATGAAAATTAAATGCTGGATGCCACAAAAGTACACACAAGCATAGCCCACAAATTCTATAATGCAATCACACAATCCAGACTACAAAGCAACTATCTAACAACACCATGATAGGAACAAAACCTCACATATCAATATTAGTTTTGAACTTAAATAGACTAAACACTTCATTTCAAAGATATAAAGTGTAAAATTAGATAAAAATCAAGACCTATTCTTTTGCTATCTTCAAGAGACTCGTCTCATGTGTTCTGACACCCATAAGCTCAAAATAAAGAGATAGAGAAAATTGTATCATGCCAATGGAAAACAAAAAAAAGCAAGGGTCACTAAACAGACTTTAAACCAATACCAGTAAAAAAGGACAAAGAGGCCAGGCACGGTGGCTCACACCTCTAATCTCAGAACTTTGGGAGTCCAAGGCGGGCTGATCACAAGGTCAGGAGATCGAGACCATCCTGGCCAACGTGATGAAACCCCGTCTCTACTAAAAAAGATACAAAAAATTAGCCAGGCATGGTGGCATGCGCCTGTAGTCCCAGCCACTCGGGAGGCTGAGGAAGGAGAATGGCGTGAACCTGGGAGGCAGAGCTTGCAGTGAGCAGAGATCATGCCACTGCACTCCAGCATGGACGACAGAGCAAGACTCCGTCTCAAAAAAAAAAAGGACAAGAAGGACATTCAATTCAACAAGAAGACCGAACTATCCTAAATATGTACACGCCCAACATTATAGCACCCAGATTTAACAAAGAATTACTTCTAGACCTAAGAAAAAACTTTTACATACACATAGAGATAGTGGGGTACTTCAGCACCACACTGATAGCATTAGACAGATGATCAAAGCAGAAAACTAAACAAAGAAATTCTGGACTTTAATTCTACACTTGACCAATTCGACCTCCATCTACAGAATACTCCACCCAACAACCACAGAATATGCATTCTTCTCATTTAAATTCTACACTTGACTAATTGGACCTACATCGACAGAATACTCTGGCCAACAACCACAGAATATACATTCTTCTCAACTGCCCACAGAACTTACTGTAAGACTGACCACATACTCAGTCATAAAGCAAGTTTCAACAAACAAAAAAATTTAAATTATACCAAGTATCTTTTCAGGCAACAGAGGATAAAATTAGAAATCAATACCAAGGGGAAGTCTCAAAACACAAATACATGAAAACCAAACAATTTGCTCCTCTTAAATGATATTTGGGTAAAAAACAAAATTAAGGAAGAAATTGAAAAATTCTTTGTCACAAATATAAATAGAGACAAAACATACCAAAATCACTGGAATGTGGCAAAAACTGATAAGAGGAATGTTTTAGCGCTAAACACCTACATTAACAGACAGAAAGATCTCAGATTAACAAACTAACCTCACACCAAAGGAATTAGATAAAGAAGAATAAACTGTACCCAAAACTAGCAGAAGAAATGAAATAACTATGATCAGAACATAATTAAATGAAATCGAGACTCAAGAAAACATACAAAGATTAACACGATGAAAAGTTGGTTCACTGAAAGGATAAACAAGATCGACAGACCACAAGCTAGATTAACAAAGAAAAAAAGAGAAGATATAAATAATCACAATCAGAAATGACAAAAGAGACATCATAACTGATCCCACAGAAATAGAAAAAGCCCTCAGAGATTACTATGATCATCTCTGAACACAAACTAGAAAATCTAGAGAAAATAGACAAATTCTTGGAAAAATGACACCTTCCAAGATTGAACCAGAAAGAAACAGAAATCTTGAAGATACCAAGGAAAAGTAATGATATTAAGTAGTTAATAAAAAGCCTACCAGTCTAAAAAGCATTGGATCAGATAGATTTTCATCTACATTCTACTAGACATGAGAGAAGAACTGGTTCCAATCCTACTGAAATTGTTCCAAAACATTGGAGAAGGGTCTCCTCCCTAACTCATTCTATGACCAGAATGCTCTTGATACCAAAAATCTGGCAGAGATACAATTAAAAGAAGAAAACTACAAGCCTGGAGAACATAGACACAAAAATCTTCAACAATATACTAGCAACCCGAATCCACTAAAACATCAAATAGTTAATTAACCATGATCAACTGGGCTTTACTCCTCAGACAAAAGGATGGTTTAACCCATATAAATCAATAAATGTAATTCATCATATAAACAGAACTAAAAAAAAAACCATATGAATATCTCAATAGCACACAAAAAGCTTTTGATAAAATTCAATATCCCTTCAAGATAAAAGCCCTCAATAAACTAGGCATCAAAGAAATATATACAAAAATAATCAGAGCCATCTATGTAAAATTCATAGCCAAACATCATACTGTACCTTAAAAGCTGGAACCATTCTCTTTGAGAGCTCAAACAAGACAAAGATGTCTACTCTCACTGCTCCTATTCAACATACTATTAAAGTGCTAGCCAAAGCAATCAGGCAGAAGAAAGAAAGGGCATCTAAATAAGAAAAGAAAATGGGAAGTCTAATTATCTCTCTTTGCTGACTTTATGATTCCATATATAGAAAACCGTAAAGATTCTACCAAATTTCTCCTAGGCCTGATAAATGACTTTAGCAAGTTCTTGGGATATAAAATCAATGTACAACAATCAGGAGCACTTCTACACACCAATAATGTTCAAGCCGAGAATCAAGTAAAGAGTGCAATCGTGCAATCCCATTTATGATAGCCACACACCCACACATAAAATGTAGCAATACATCTAGCCAAAGAGATGATAAAGAGATGAAGGATCTCAACCAATAGAATTACAAAACACTGATAAAAGAAGTCATAGACAATATAAACAAATGGAAACAGATTCCATGCTTAAGGATTAGAAAAATCAATATTGTTAAAATATCCACACTGCCAAAGTAATCTACAGATTCAACACTATTCCTATTCAATTTCCAATGTAATTCTTCACTTAATTAAACAAAATATTCTAAAATTTGTATGAAACCAAAACAAGAGTCTGGATAACCAAAAAACCTAAGCAAAAAGAACAAAGCTGGATACATCACACTACCCTACTTTAAACTATACTACAAGGCTACAGTAACCAATAAAGCATTGTACTGATTAAAAAAAAAAGAAAGAGAAAGAAAGAAAGAAAGAAAAAAGAAAAAGAAAAAGGAAAGATAAAAGAAAATGTCACATGGATCAATGAAACAGAATAGAGAAAGCTGCAAAGCTACAACCAACTGATCTTCAACAAAGTTGACAAAAATGAACATTGGAGGAAGAAAACCCTAACCGATAAATGGTGCTGAGAAAATGGCTATACATATGCAAAAGAATAAAACTGGGTGGGCACCTCTCATCATATAAAAAATTTACTCAAGGTGGATTAAATACTTAATTTAAGATCTCAATCTGTAAAATGCCTAGAATAAAACCTAGGAAATACCCTTCTATACATTGGCCTAGGCAAATAATTTATGACTAAGTCCACAAATGCAAATCCAACAAAAAACAAAAATTGACAAGTGGGACCTAATTAAACTAAAGAGCTTCTGCATGGCGAGAGAAACTACCAACAGAGTAAACACACAAGCTACATAATGAGAGAAAATATTTGCAAATCATGCATCTAACAAAGGTCTAATATTCAAAATCTGTAAAGAACTTAAACAGATCAACAAGGAAACAACAAATAACCCCACTAAAATGTGGGCAAAAGGTATGAATACACATTTCTCAAAAGAAGACATACAAGCAGCCAATAAACATATGAAAAAACATTCAACATCATTAATGATCAGAGAGATGCAAATAAAAACCACAGTGAGATACCATCTCACACCAGTCAAAATGGCTATTACTAAAAAAAAATCAGAAAATAATAGATGTTTGGAAGACTGTGAAGAAGAGGAAACACTTATACACTGCTGGTGGGAATATAAATTAGTTCGGCCCCAGTGGAAAGTAGTTTGAAGATTTCTCAAAGAACTAAAAACAGAATTATCGTACGACTCAGCAATCTCATTAATGAATATATACCCAAAGAAATATAAATTGTTTCAACAAAAAGACACCTGCACTTACATGTTTATTGCAGCACTATTCACAATAGCAAATATATGGAATCAATCTAAGTGCCCATCAATGATGAGTTGGATAAAGAAAATGTGGTACATATACACCATGGAATACCATGCAGTCCTAATAAAGAATAAAATTATGCTCTTTGCAACATCATGGATGAGGTTGGACGACATTATCCTAAACAAATTACTGTAGAAATGTAAAACCAAATACTTCATGTTCTCATTTATTAGTGGGAGCTAAACAGTGAGTTTGCACAGACACAAAGTTGGGAACAATAAGTACTGGGGATTCAAAAAGGTGGGAGGGAGGGAGGGAGAGAAGGGACACATTTTGAGAAACTACCTATCAGGTACTCTGTTCACTATTTGGATGACAGGATCATTAGAAGCTCAAACCTCAGTGTCATATAATATATTCATGTCAAAAACCTGCATATGTCTCCCTTGAATCTAAACTAAAATGTTGGGTTGTGTGTGGTGTCTCACGCCTGTAATCCTAACACTTGCAGAGGCCAAGGCAAGAGGATTACTTGAGCTCAGGGGTTTGAGGCCAGTCTGAGTAACATATCGAGACTTCATCTCTACTAAAAATACATTTTAAAAAAATCAGCTGGGCGTGTGACGCATGCCTGTAGTCTTAGCTATTTGGGAGGCTTAGATGGCAGGATCACTTGAGCCCACTTCTTTGCAAAAATTGAGAAGATAGTCCTAAAATTCATATGGAAATTCAAAGGACTATGAATATTCAAAATAATCTTGAAGAACAAATTTGAAAGATTCATACTTCCTAATTTGAAAAATTACTGCAAAACTACATTAATCAATACAGTGTGGTACGGTCCTAACAATACATGTAAACCAATGGAATCAAGTTGAAAGTTCAGAAATAAATCTTCACATTATATCTAATTAATTTTCTACTGGATAGAATAGTAGCTTCAATAAATAGTAATAAAGTGACTAAACAGCCACATGAAAATAATAGTGTGTACCTCTACCTTATACCATATGTCAGAATTAACCCAAAGTAAATGAAAAGCCTAAATGTAAAAGCTCAATCTATAAAATTAAAAGAAAAAAAACCTAGGCACAATCTTTATGACCCTGTAAATGCAACACAAAAAGCAAAAGCAACAAAAGAGAAAAAATAGACAAATTGAACATCACCAAAATTAAAAACTATTGTGCTTTGATGGACCTCATCCATAAAGGACCTCATCAATAAAGTGACAACATAAGCCACACCGTGACAGAAAATACTTACACATCATATACCTGATAAGGGACTTATATCTAGAAAATATGCACAACTATTAAAACTCAATAGTAAAAAGACAATAACCCAATTTAAAAATTTACAAAAGATTAGAAGAAATATTTTTTCAGAAGAAAATCACAAATGTGCAATGAGCACATGAAAAGATGCTCCACATCGCTAGCCATTAGAAATCTTGTGGCCATCTCATAGTGACCAAATAGACCTCACAAAATGTTTGATTCAGCCATCAAGACTGATGATGGCACAAGGACCAAGGTGGCAAGAAAAGTTCATCATTTACATAATAAAGCTAATGAGAAGAGCATGACAGCCCTCGTAATCTGGTTTAAAAAGTACTCAAGAGAGCAAAGAAAGGAAGTTGGTTTAGAGTTTTTATGGAAGTTAGGAAGTGATGCTGAGTGAGCTTTCCCATACTTGAGGAAGGACTTGCGCGTTATGAGACTTCTGTCCATGCCCAAAGACGGAGTGCTCTGGCTTATATATCACCTTGTGCAGACACAAGGCAGAGGGAACAAGAGAGGGGCTTAGTGGCAGTCAAACATTAAAAATTGATTCAGACTATTTATTTCAATGCAAAGCTAAACCAGTCAAATACCACTTCACATCCACTTTAATAGCTACAGTCAAAAAGACAAACTTTGGTGAGGATATGGAGAAATTAGGTCCCCCATAAAAGGCTGGTGGGATGTAAGATGGCTAAACTATCCTGGAAAACAATATAGCAGTTGCTCAAACTATGAGACATTAAGTTACTATGTGACTCACCAATTCAACTTCTAGATGTATACTCAAGAGAAATGACAACTTGTGTCCACCCGAATGTTGTACACAAATGTTCATAACATAATTATTTATAACTAAAAAATGGAAACAATTCAATCATTCATCAACTGATAGATGACTAAATAGAATACGGTATGTTCATAGAGAAAAATATTACTAGGCAAAAAACAGAAATAGAGTACACTTGTCCCTGGGTATTGCAGGAGTATATGCAGGAGATTGGTTCTAGGACTAACCAGGTAAACTCAAATCTGGGCAGACTCAAGTTGCAAATTCAGCTCTGTGGTGTATAGGAAAAGTCACCCCTCCATTCATACAGGTTTTGCATCCCATGAATGCTGTATTTTCGAACTGCATTTGGTTTAAAACAAAAAAAAAGCATATAAGTGAACCTGCACAGCTGAAACCTGTGTGGTTCAGAGATCAACTTTACTTGACATGTGCTACAACATGGATGGCCCTTGAAAACATTATGCCAAGGAAAAGAAGTCAGTCACAATGGGCCACATATTGTGTGATCCTATTTGTATAATGTTCAAAATAGGCAAATGCATAGGGACAGAAAGTACATCCGTGGTTTCCTAGGGCTGCAGAGGGGTGGGTGGTTAAGATCAACAGTCAGAGGGTGTGAGTTTTCTTTTTGGGATGATGAAAGTGTTCAAAAATTGAAATGATGGTTGAACAACCCTCTTAAAAGCCATTTAATTATAACTTTAGTGGGTGAATTGTATGGCATGTGAATTAAATATCAATAAAACTTTTAAATAAAAAAATCTTCAACCTTTTTCTCACACCTAATATAAAAATTAATTCAATATGGTTTCATGATTTAAATGTAAACCTAAAACTATAAAATTTCTAGAAGAATATACAGGAGAAAAACTGGTGAACTTGGATTGACCGAAGAATTATTAACTATCACTCCAAAGTATAACCCATAAAATAAAAACTTGATAAACTTTTAGTTGAATCAACAACTTTTGCTTAGTGAGCAGCAATTCATTCCCAATGATAATGTAAAATAGTACAGCCATGTCTGGAAACGTTATCTGCTTTGTTATATAAAGTTAAACATACTCCTGCCATATGACCCAGAAATCCCACTTCTGAATTTCTACCCAAAAGAAATAAAATATTTCCTTCACATAAAAATATGTATGTGAATGCTATGGCAGCTTTATTTATATTGCCCCAAACTGGAAACAACCAGATGTCTTTCAACCCCTAGTGCATAAACAATCTGTGGTCCATCCATACATTAAAATACTACTATTAAAAGAAACACACTATTGATTCATGGAACAACTTGGATGGTTCTTAAATGCCTTTTAGGAAGTGTAAGAAGCCAGACCCAAAGGCTACATATTGTATAATTCCATTTATATTACATCCTCTGAAAAATAGAGGAAAGATAACCAGTCAGTGGTTTCCAGGGATTGAGGGAAGGAGAAATTCTTCACAAAAGGAATGTCTGGGGTGGTGGAAGTGTTCCGTATGGAATGGTATTAGTGGATAGGCAACTTACTCATTAGTCCAAACCCCATATAACTATACGAAACGCAATGTAAACTTTACTGTATGTACATTTTTTAAAAGAAACCAAGATGGAGGCAAGTGACTCCGTAAAGTGAAAACACAGAAAGATTAATCATCTGTCCCAGATTAAGGGAGACTGAGAGCCAAGGCAAGTAAATATAGCGTGGAAACCTGAATGGGATCCTAGAACAAAAAAAAAAAATTGAAAAACTAATGAACTTCAAATAAGTTCTATATTTTAATTAATAGCATAGTCTCAAAGTTCATTTCTTAGTTTAGATAAATGTCTCAAGATTGAGATGTTAGAATAAAAGGAAACTAGATAATGGGAATATAGAAATTGTAAATGTTCTGTAAGTCTAAAATTAACTCAATTTTTTTAAAAATAAAAAAGCATTAAAAAGCAGGGTTAAACACCAGTGTTAACCACCAGGGTTCAAATGCTTTCACTGACTTCTTTCAATATATCTTTCCTGTATTAGTTCATACTTTTTAATTATGTGATGTCCATGTCCTAATTCCTGGAACCTGTGAAATACATTGCTTTATGTTGGAAAAAAATTTTTACGTATGGGGACATTATCCTGAATTAGTCATATGGCCCAGTGATGTAATCACTTGAGTCCTTATAAGAGGGAGGCCGGGGGTCAGCTTTGGAGATAAGAGAGAGAAGAATGTGGGAACAGAGAGGAATCTCAGATGTCCTGGCACTGGCTTTGAAGATGAAGCAAGAGCTACAGGCATTGGAATGCAAGGACGGCAGCTTTAGAAGCTGGAAAAGACCAGGAAACGGGTTCTCCCTAGAAATTCTGGAGGAAGCCTAGCCCTGCTAACACCCTGATTTTGTCCCAGTAAAGCTGATTTTGAGTTTATGTCTTTCAGAACTGTAAGAAAATGACTTTGTGTTGTTTTAAGCCGACAAGCTTGTGGCAATGTGTTCAGGCAACAATAGGAAAGCAATATGTAGGAATATGTTCTAGTCACTGTATGGGTTTGGGAATGAAATGGGACAAAAATTGATAAACTGCATTTTATTAAAAGTAATGGTAAAAACAGCAATTACTTTTGCACCAATCTAGTATTTCAAAACAAAAATGTATTTGATTGCAATTGTAATGCCACCTGGACTCAGTGAGACTTTTTTTAGCTTGTGAATAGAAGCTTTTAAATGAAGTTTTATTGGATCAGGGCCAGTTGCGGTGGCTCACACCTGCAATCTCAGCACTGTGGGAGGCCGAGGAAGGCGGATTGCTTGGGCCCAGGAATTAGGGGCTGCAATGAGCTATGATCATGCCACTGCACTCTGGCCTGGGCCACAGAGTGAGATTATGATTTTTTTTTTAAAGGATTAGAACATCTCTCAGTGGACCTAGATTTCAAGTCGAGTTTGATTCTCACTAATAATTCCTGATGACTACTGTATCATAGGCATAGTCATAGTGATGGTACATTCTATAGCAACAGCATCATAGCTTTTTCCCAGCTTATAGATTACATCATTGAGAGTTACCTATTAAAGATCTCTGGTTAAATTAATAAAAGCCTTAAATGCAAATGCATATATATCTGTGAAAATGACCAATTTTATGAATGAAGTGTGGGAGTGATTGTGTCCAGAGAAAGTAGGAGAAGAAGCTGTGTTCACTGTCCTCCTCGCATTTGTCCTACAGAAATTTTATCAGGGGGTAGAGGTTGGGCTATCAGGTGGCAGTACAAAGAGGATACTGCTGCTAGGTGGGCTGACCTCTAGGTCATTTTTCTTAGGTTGGGTAAGGTCTGTGTGTTCAGACAGGATCTTGATGTTCTCAGATTAGGAGTTTCAATATTTGCCATTTTGTTTAGGTAAATTTCTTCCCATAACCACTCACTTGCCTAGGAGCCATTTTCAGTACTCCCATTAGACTGTTCAAAAGTAGAAACTCATACCTGGAAAGCAGTGGCTCTTATCTTCTCCCCAGCCTATTATTGTGTTTTTATGTACATAAAAGAGATTCAGATACTATCCTTGTTTAGGACCTCTTGTTTAGTGTATAGGGAGAAAAATAAAACCAAACATTTAACCTGAAAATGTCTAATCTTTAAGACAGAGATACCTAAGGGCATCCCCTCTGGCCATAGGTAAAATCCAGATCCAGAACATTTTGACTGGATGAATTTGAAACAAAATTTGTCATGTGTGAGGATGGGCAAAGGGAGTGAAGGAGGAACAAGTCGAAATTGTTAAATATTTTTTACTATGTCAGTGCTACCCAGAGCAGTTCGCATATGTTTTGGCCTCATATCCAGGATCCTCTGGTTAGCAGTTTGACATTTTGAATGATGTGCTTAGTTAACCATCTCTCCCTTTCTGTTTCCTCACCTGATAGTAGATTAAAATCTGTATCACTGCGTTGTTGTGAGGATACAATTATATCAGGCAAAATGCCATAGTAATAATACAAAGAAAAACCTTATTGGTAATTTATTAGAGACGACAATAATATTTTCGCTCATACTATTATTTATAACTTTGTTTAAAATGTATTATCTATATCTGTTATAAATTTAGCAATAGGAGATAAGTTGGAAATTTCCCAATGATGCTAAAAGCTGGTCGATCAATTTGAGTCAAGTAAGGAAGCATTATTTCCTTGCTGGGTTATGCATTTCTAGACGATCAGATACTAGTCTAACCTAAACTACCTTCACAATGTCTACCTGTAAGAATGTCCAGTTAGAGTCAAAATTTGAGTTATAAAAATTTGCTATTTTTAGAAATGCAATTTTCTTGTTTTTAAGTCATATAATAACTCGCAATAAACCAAAAAGGAGCTATTCAATAGAGACATGAGGAAGAATTCTTTCAATCCTCAAACATGATTGATGTGTATTTAGCAGAAAAATTCTCATAACAATAGGGGCTTTTTAGTATGTGAAAGAGGTAAGCTAAGTAATTCATGTTGTTCTTTACAGTCTTTTAAGACAATGAATACCATCGTCAATACTTTTTATTTTTAAAGCACTTTAGAAATAACAACTCTATATTCCAATTTCTCTATTTCTCACTGGAATTTGAATAAAATAAGTCTTGTAGCACCCTTTCCAATGCAATTTTAGAAAGTATTTCCAATGGCCATGACTTGGTGACATAAATTATAACAATTATTTTTATAATAAACACTAGTATTTCTTAAAAATTCAAGTTCATAAAAAGCTATAAGCCTCACAGTTCTATTCTCAGTAAATATTAAATATATTCAAGCTGAGGAAGCTGTGACTCATTTATTCAAAAATAATATAGCTTATAATTGGTAAAGCCATATCTTGAACACAAGCCCAACACTTTTCCCATTACATTTTATTTCTCAGTTGAATAGGGTAATTGGCTCATCTGTACAGGTTTAGTGTTCAAGCCTCTACAGTGTGCAGGGGCATTCAGTTACTCTGTCTGTCTACCTGTTACATGGATCCTTTACTTGCAACGCAGAGGCAGCAGGTGACTGTTTATTTTGTACTAAAGCATCTTCAGTGTGGTTGACCAGAGATGCAAAACAAAATAGCAGCTAGCTCATACTTATGCTTTTATTGAAGAAATATTTCCAAATATATCATGAACAGGAAAGGATCCAACTTCCAGCCAGTAATTTCTCATTAATAAAGAGAATGTCAGTTCGTCTGATTTATTGAGAAATCTTTCTTTACCAGAACAGAAATGTGTTTGTGTCTCGAGTTATATTTTCCACTGAATTACCTGATGGATATGTTATTCTGGATCACCTGAAACTGAAGAATTCTTTTTAAAATAAATGCTAAAAAAGTACCAGTCCTAATGGCAAAATAAAATTGATAAGTTGAAAATAAAATGTCAGAAATCCAAAGAAATTAAAGTTCTCATAGCAATATTAACCCACCATATGGCACATCACGTCTAGATTACGGGGAATTTATTGACCTAGTAGCAAGCTAAAAACAACTTCTGTGAAACAGAAAATAAGAAATTTTGGTCCAATGTTCATGCCATCATGAGTAAGTCTTGATAAGTAAGTAGGTCTTGATAATACAAATATTACTGATTCATTATTATTGGTACTTCAGTCAGCATTTATGACAGAAAGAAAATCTGCTTTGGTGTTGGGGAGACATAAACACAAATCCACATTTTTCTCCTTTCTCAACTCAACCCTGATTGCATCGCTTTACCTCTTTGTCATTCAGTTTTCTTATCTCTTATGTGGGGGAAATATTTCTGTGACCTAGATTATGGAAAAGATCTGGAACAGTAATTCATACAGTGCAGGTTCTGGATCAATGTTAATTCCTTTCCAGGAGGATTTTTTTCCAGATGGGTTCTCCCTCTGTCACCCAAGCTGGAGTGCCGTGGCATGATCTCGGCTTGCTCCAACCTCCACCACCTGGGCTCAAGCTATACTCCTGCCTCAGCCTCCCAAATAAGTGAGACTACAGGCATATGCCACCACACCTGGCTAATTTTTTAATTTTTCTGTGGAGCTGAAATCTCACTATGTTGCCCAAGCTGGTCTGGAATTCCTGGGCTCAAGTGATCCTCTTGCCTTGGCCTCCCAAAGTGCTGGAATTACAGGCGTGAGTCACCACATCTAGCCCCCATAGGAATTTATAAGTATTTCAACAGTCAAGGCAAAGTGATATGGCACGATACAAAACAAGAGAATCCAATGTAGATGTTCATTACTCTCCCTCAGCAGGCTTGTAATTTCTCAAAATGGCATTGAATGTATGTGCTAATTTCTTAATATATTTTTAATTCATTAAAACAATTTTAGCCTAGCAGAATTTGAGATGTACAACAATTTTGGAAAGATGATAGAGAGATTTAATAAAATTCTGAAATAGTAATGTAATCAAAAGACACATGAAGGTCCGTGGGAATTAATAGATACTCCAAGTGAAACTTTATTTGACAAGGAGGTAGGGAGACATCAAGGTGAAGTTGCTGAGCAAGATGGCTGTGAGGAATTTTGTAAGAAGAAAAACAATTCGTTTCTTTTTTTCTTTTTCTTTTCTTTTTTTTTTTTTTTGTTTTTGAGACAGAGTTTTTGCTCTTGTTGTCCAGGCCGGAGTGCGGAGTGCAATGGTGCGATCTTAGCTCACCGCAACCTCTGCCTCCTGGGTTCAAGCAATTCTCCTGCCTCAGCCTCAGGAGTAGCTGGAATTAGGGGGCGCGCCCGCCATCATGCCCAGCTAATTTTTGTATTTTTTTTTTTGTAGAGGCGGGGTTTCTCCATGTTGGTTAGGCTGGTCTCGAACTCCCAAGCCCAGGTGATCCACCAGCCTTGGCCTCCCAAAGTGTTGGTATTACAGGCGTGAGCCACCATGCCCGGCCAACAATTCATTTCTTGTCATTAGTCCTTGCCTTCTTCATCTACAAATTGAGATGGCTTTGATTAGACCACATATAGAGTGTATTACAACTATGACATCAATCTCTTCTTATGAAAAGGATGCATCATTTCTAGGGTATTAAAATATTAAATAGCTATTTCCAATCTCATTCCTTTACTCTTCGTACTTGGCCTCCTCCTCCTCTTCTTTGTATTTGTCTCTTTTTTTTTTTTTTAGACCTCTTCTTTCTCTACCACTTATTCTATCTTTCTTCTTCCTTCCCTTGGTCTTCACTTTCTTCCCCTTCCCTTTGTCTTCCTCTTCTTTCTCTTCTTTCTCCCTCTTCTTTCTGAGCCTCTTCTTGCTGTTTTTCTTTTTCAGGGTTTATAGAAAATCTCCCAATATTTTTTGTTAATTATCTAACAGAAGTTTGATAACTCAGGCTTACAGTGCTGTTTTTTTTCCCCTGTTGTTTCATTTTATTTCGTCTCTATGTAAAAATACTCTATTCCTCCTGATTCAGAAATATTCCTACCTGGTGACTCTTCAACTCTGAACCGTCTCCAGGTTGTTTATAGCTGTAGCGATTTTGCTCTAGGTCCATGGTAACAGTTACTTTTTTCACTGCCATACATTGGCCCCTGCATCTCACATTCTGAACTATGTGATCCTTTTAGGGCTCGTGAACTTTTTCTTGTCACATCTATATTTCAAGGACATCTTATTACTTATTTATTCATGTGCCACTTCTTTACTAAAAGGGTTTGAGGCAGAATAAAATAAAAGTCATAAATAATAAAGCTAATAAAACAAGAATTACATTTTTTAAAAAATTAGACATTGAAAAGGAAAATGAAAACATGTCTTCCAACCCCATATTTAGTTAACCATGTGCTTCCTGGCAGCCAAGTAATAAAGAACTATATGGTGTTATCTTTCAATTTCTCATCAGAGAGAATAAATCATCCATTTAAAATAAGACTCCATTTTATTCTAGCAATATATTGAATAGAAATTTGTCCTGAAGTAGCTTATATAGAAGGTAGTGTGGATCATAGTAACATAATGATATTCTCATCTTTGAGCATATACAGAATTTGTTTTTGGTTTTTGATCTTTTAATGATTTCTTTTTTTAACGAAAGCATATCCATCTTTGAGCATATACAGAATTTGTTTTTGGTTTTTGATCTTTTAATGATTTCTTTTTTTAACGAAAGCATATCATCATTCGTAATTAACTAATTGAAGGCACTTCTACAGACACCAAAATGTATTATCCATATTTTATTGCTTTTTTTAAAAAAATTGATGTTTAAAAGTAGTCACAAATATAATGCCACCAACATGTTTAAATGAAATAATTAAACAGATCTACCTGTTCTAATCTTCCATGCAGTCTCATTCCCCAGAAATAACTGCTTAATTGAACTGTTTTGCCTGGTAGTTACTACTATATTTTGAAATAATGTGCTTATACTCCACTTTCTTAATCTATTGTTTATACAGTAAGTGTGCCTATTATGATAGAGGAGGAATTATCCCTTTAACTAATATGCATACACATGTACTCTTTCACAAATCTCCTTCGTCATTTCTAGAATATAGTTTATCTTTACTATGACTTAATAGCCAAATTGTACAGCAATATAACCAAAATACGGTCACTGCAGAGTCAAAAATGTGTATTATGATTATATTTCCTAGTTGGCAAGCTCCATGTTGACAATTTTCTTTGGTTGTTGTTGTAGTTGTTGTTCACCCACGCATCTCCAGATTCTGAAAACGTACCTGGTCAACAATCAATGTAAGGAACTGTTGAATAAGTAAACTTTCTTTCAGAGCATTTCTGTTTTCCTAAATTGATAATCACCTCATGATTTTCTCTGCAATTTAACATTCATATATACATTATTTTCTTTTTCCAAAATCACCCTCTGATTATTTTATTTCTATTGTACTTCAGTTTGCCTAGACATAGCATAGACATATCACACTCAGAAGCCTTTATGCAATTGCTCTAGACTAAACTAATGATTCCCAAGATTATCATTGTAACAAATTTTAGTAAGTAAAGATAATGAAAGCATCTAAAACATAAAAATGACAGACACATGGGAAATGAATAGAATTACTAATTTTTTTCTTCATCTCAGCATAAATTCAGCAAAATATATTAATTTATTAATCCAATTGCTAATTTACTGGGCAACATTTTGAGAGCTTACTATATGCCAGACACTGTGCCTACATTGAATGTCAAAATACACTCCTCAAGATATTTACAGTTAGGTTAAGGAAGACATAACAAATCAGGCAATTGCACTCAGAATATTATCAGAAGGTAACTTAGTGATACAAAAGAGAAAACAATATGGAACTCCTTGGTAGGAGATAATCTTGGAGAGTCTACTAAGAGCTGATGGCATTGGATCAAGTTCATAAGGGATAAATGGGCAACCAGGAAAATTAAGGAACACAGTCAAAAGCAATAAGGCAAAAAATGTGGAAGTTACACAGCACACAGAAAAAAAATATGGTATAGAATAGGTGGAGCATAGGCTTATGAGGCAATGAAGTAAGATAATAAAATAACTTATGGGCCAGTTAAGGCAATGTGTTGACTTTGAGGAGAATTAAGGAAAATATTTGGATATAGGAAAGATTATTTGAAAGCTGTATGTATGTAGGATCTATTGGAGGTTGAAAGACTAAAGACAGACCACTGAGGAAGCTATTGCATTAGGCTTAAATATTGCTTTGAAACTCTGAGTTTAGAAAATTTCAGTAGGGTTATATAGAAGTAGATAGAACGGGCCAGGCGCGGTGGCTCACGCCTGTAATCCCAGCGCTTTGGGAGGCCGAGGCGGGCGGATCATGAGGTCAGGAGATTGAGACCATCCTGGCTAACACGGTGAAACCCCGTCTCTACTAAAAATACAAAAAATTAGCCGGGCATGGTGGCCGGCGCCTGTAGTCCCAGCGGCTGAGGCAGGAGAATGGCCTGAACCCGGGAGGTGGAGCTTGTAGTGAGCCGAGATCACGCCAATGCACACCAGCCTGGGCGACTGAGCAAGACTCTGTCTCAAAAAAAAAAAAAAAAAAAAAAAAAAGAAGTAGGTAGAACTGAGAATTAAATAAGCGACTGAAAGCAAAGAATTTATATCTTAGAAAAGATCGGCTCAAAAATCACACATTTAATGAGGCGTGTCTTGATAATAGAACTGAAAACTTCTTACTTTAGGTGCTTTTTAGGAATTGATACACACTTCATCACAAGAAATTGTCACATCTAATTTATTTTTCTTTTGGTAAACAAAAACATTATTCACCTAATACATACATATACAGCGATCCTTGCCTTTGCACAGATTAATCCTGGTTAAAAAAGAAAAGCATGCTGCATATGAAACAGTTCAGAGTATTACAATTAGAAACAGAGCATAAATATAGCAGCAGTTCACAGAGATGAGTAGGAGACAAGCATAACAACATTGCAGACAGGTCGCTTACTTTAAGTTTTCAGATATGTCAAATCCAAATAGATTTCCAAGAGCAAGGATAAGATATAAAGTGATTATTAATATTTGAGCAATAATAACTGGTGTCTAGTAAGCTCATACTCTAGCAAAAAGCAGAGTAAAGTCATCATTTTAATATATTATTTAAAAGAAAGCAAACTGAGGAGAGTTAAGGAAGATAAAAGAATCAGAAGTGAAAAGTTGGTTTAAGATATGCAATTTACATTGACGCTGTGATTTCTTTCCTCATTTGGAGTGTAAGACCCCATGAAAATTTATATTCCATCAACGAATATTTACTGTGTGCCCAGGGAGACCAGCAGAATAGAGGATTCACCATAACGGACCCAGGGAAACATTTTCCTGAAGAGCATGACATCTTTACTTTTAGAAAGCATCTTTCTTTTCATGCCATTAATGTGCTCCTCGCAGCTTTTTGTCTAAACAAAAGAAATATAAGCAAAAATAATAATATAATACCATAGATGTGTGTGCCTCTATGTGTTTTGCTTCTGACCTAGGGAAAATTTTTAAATTATTTATTTTCACAAAATTACCACCACATCAGGTCTCACTCCAGTTAATTTTGTGATGGAAAATAGTTATTAATGAATAATATCCTTGCATATGTATTTCAACTTAAAGCAGTTAAATGACAGAAGGGGAAACAATGCACCAGAAAGAGGCAGTAGGGAGTGTTCACCAACCAATCAGGAGACTGCAAAAGTAGGTTACATGCTCCACTCACAACAGCTTTTTCATCCCTATTATTCAGACTATTAATATTAATCGATTCTGGGAGAGAAAGTTAGGGACCTAGTCTTCCATCTTGCTGTGAAGAAACTGAATATTGCACAATACAGAATAAATGGAGTGTTACTGATGCCATTTTGTCTCAAATGAAGTTATGCCAGAGAGCAATCCCTTATCCTCACTCCTTCTCTTTTGGTTGGAGTCTAACCAAAATGTAGCTAACCCTTACCTCAAAAACAAAACAAAACAAAACAAACAAACAAACACTTCTTGCTTGCTAAAGCTGATAGGGCTGTGTTAGATGATTGTGAGTTGGGCAGGACCTTATCCCTACCTAGGAACAAGGCTTCATTCTCCAGGCTGGGTGAAACAGCAACCTGCCCCCTGGCCCTGTAATTTGAACATGATTTAAGAGTGAGAGACCTATGGTATTTTTTCCCCCAACAGAGGTGTTTGCTCTTGATGTCCAAGGAAAATTAGGCATGGAATTAAAATAGGCTGGCTGGATTCATTAGCTGTAAAGTTTTCATTTTTCATTATGTGCTGTAAGTCTGAATGATTTCATTAAAAAAAAATTAGTGCATCAGGCACAGGATATTAAAGATCATAAAGATAGGTAGCTCCACACCCAGGAGGGGATATTTTTCTAAGGGATGCAGATTCATTAGCGTTTGTGGCTGTGTAGTTTAGACTTGACAAGGCTTATACATTTCCCAGCCACTGGTGTTCTTCCATTAATGACACATTTCATTTAGAGTTTTGAAGGTGTGTTGAAATTGGTATATTTTGGAACAAATAATGGTTTCTGCTACATTTACACCCATGCATACATGGCTCATGGACTATAGGAATTCTCAAGGAAAAAAATACTTTTATGTGGTGGCTCAAAAATATTCAGAAAAAAACTTAAAAATCACAAAGAAAGAAAGAACGAAAAATAAAAACTAGTTTCATTCTTGGCACTGATAAACATAATCTGATCAAAAGTGTTTGAGCCAACAAGTTGTATGGCTCACTACTGCTACTTATACAGAAATGGTTTACTGTAGTGTATTTTTATACAAAGAAGAAATCACAAGCATATTATTTTGCCTTAATTTGGTAAATATTATCTCTGTGATTTGGATATATTTTAAAACTATTGAGAACACTTGTTGCCGATTTTTGCATTAGAAACATCACTATAAGAACAGCATTTGCACAATGCCAGAAGCAGAAGTGTAATATGTGTGATCTGTTAAGAAACTACAACCGGTTGCATTTGAAGTATAAATAAATTAATTGGGTCACAGGAGAAAACACAGTTGGGGGAAGTTAAAGAAAAAGGATTATATTTCTCTTGAAAATGTTAGCATAAGTTCACAGCGAGTATCTGGAAATATGGTTTTCCCAGTACTATTTGTTGAAATGAATACCTTTTCCCCATTCAATTCATTTGGCATCACTACTGAAAAATAATTGAACATAAATAGACCAAAATAACTATAGATTCTTAAATGATTGGGGAGGTGAGAGGTATCTGAGCTGAAAACATTTCTACGCAATTAACATGGGAAGGCTTTTATTTTTAGAAAATGGAGATAATGTGGACCTTGTATTCTGGTTAATTTTCTAGTTTAATTAGAATAAACTATGTCAAGCTTTTAAAATACTTACTCTTCCATTAACTCATTTTTCCTTTATTCATTTTTATGTGCCTTCAGGCAATTTCCTGTTTTATAATGTTAGCTCCTGAAGCATATCTTATAATTTATTCTAAAATCCCCAGTGTCTGACACAGAGTAGGTCCTCAATAAGCAGTTAATGAATAAATAATATTGTGCTGTTTAGATATCATGTTCACATCTCTCTGCGGTTGAAGAATTAAAAACCTGAAGAGGATTTTTTTAACCCGTCCTAGATTGCACAGCAAAAACCCAGTCTTATAATTTTAAGATGGGCATGTTTATCACCTCTCCAGACTGTGGAATGATCTGTGTTTTAATAAAGTTTATTGTAAGACGCTTCAATGCAATAATATACCTGGCTCAATATTAAAGTGCTAAATTAATGATGCAGAAAAGCAGCAATTAATGCTCACAGGAATAAGATCAAATAATCTAAAACTAAAAATACCTCTAACAGAGAAAAATGGAGTTTGAATCTCCGGAATAAAGATTTTATTTTTTTCATTTCAAATTTCCCCAGTGTTCATCTGCAACATTAAACCAAAGATGTTTTAAATAAAGAGCATGGCCTCCTAGACTCTCTCCAGTGGAATCCTCAGAAGAAATAAAAATATACATCCTGGATTGCTCAGGATATTGACTAAATTTCAGCATTTGACATTATGCTTTCTAAAATTACATTGAAAAATAGCAGTTAAATTCTGAGGCAAGATTTAACAGAAAAATAAAGAACCTTGCTCAATCATCGTAGGGTTCTGAAGACTGGTCATAGCTTAATAGACAATTGCAATAATCCAAAGAGCCAGAGAGCTGATGCAAAAACAATGATAATAGATCAGTATAAACATCAACTAAAATAATTCCACTCAACTTAAATTTTACAAGTCATTTAATTTCAAAACACAAAAATAGTTTTAAAAAAATAAATACCTAAACCACAAAAAATGAACTTTTACATTTGATTTATTTTTAAATTAAAAAATGAACATAACAACAGAAGAGGCATGATATTTGAGAAAAAGCATGACAAAGATCTGTGCTGTGTGACCTTGGACAAGGTTTTCAATGTCAATACTATTCTATATTCTTGTTTCTTGAAGGAGTGATAATAACTCCATAAGATTATCGCGAGAATTAAATTAGAGTTAGCAGAACTATTAGTTACTGATCTTAGAGCTCTTTTCCACTTCTTTCCATCTTTTTCAGATTGAGTTTGTTGACAAGCAGCCTCTGAGATGAGTTATGAATGAAGGTCACTGAGAAATGCTCTCTGGGTGATCATCTAGGAAGGAGTAATGGAAGGAAGATGGGCAAGAAAGGTTGGCTGCAAGACAGCCTCAGGAGACATTTCTGTCAACCCCATAATGACTTCTGAAGCCAGGAGTCCCGTGTTGACATAGGTGCTGGGGGTTTATATTCCACAAGACCAGATATTGGTTATAAGCTGCCTGGGAATTGGGGCTTGTCTTTGGGTGAGAAGCTGTCTTCAGTTGAGGGTATCACAGCATAGTTGCAGATATAATTACCCCAGTCATGAAGGGGGTTTTGGTGAAATGCCATAGTTTCATCTCACTTTAGCAACATGCTGGCATTCCTTATGAGATTGAAAGTTAAAATTAGGCACATTCTTGGCATCGTTTTTTGTTTGAACATTGTCCATGTACAATAACACAGCACTGGACATTGAGAGCTATAGGGTTCTGAGAATGAGTTCCCTCACTCATGAAAGTGAGGGAGAGAGACAAAGAAAGGAAATAAATTCTGTGCAAGAGATTTCCTCCCCTTACACCCTTTCCCTTCCTGCCTTGGGCATTGTTTGTAAAGGCACAGGCCTTGCTGCTATAGCAGCCACCTTCTAGAAATTTAAGGAAATGGGGAGAAAAAAAGGTCAAGCCAGAACCCATCTGATGCCATTCAGTAACTAAATTAAACAATTTTGGAACTTCTTATCTTGCTATCTTTATTACAGATGATAGTCTCTTTCCTGGTGTTTTAGGCATATTTTCTTCTTGATGTTCTCCGTGGAGAAAAAAGTATCTTAATTAATGTAGAGTTTTAGAAGATGAAGGATCTGGTATATAATAGATGTTTAACATTGATTTCTTCCTCTATAAAACAAAAATTTTTACAGGATTCAGCTGTGTAGGACTCTTAAAAATGTTTCATTTTAGAGAGCTAGATTTTATAATAAGCAAAGCATCTGATGGATGTAATTTTCATATATAAAGTATAATAATTTACTATCTGGGGAAAAAGTCTTCTAAACAGAATTTACATATTAACTGATATCTGCTTTATACATTAACTGATATCCATCCATATGAACAATACTAGTAAATAATATTTTAAAGCAGGATGTGGTGAGGTCAGATGTGTGCCTCCACCTGAATGGTCTCTCGCTTCTGTTCATCTAAAATCCTTGTTACTTTTTGTAGCTCTGCTCATGCCATCAGGCTGCCCATTGCCAGGGTCCACTGCAGAACAAGTGCTTATCCACCCAGGCCTTGGTACATTTCTGTATCTGTAGTCATCTACAAAGACTTCAGAAATCAGTAATCAAATCCTACTAGAACTAGAAGCAAATGATTAATGCAGAAACCCTCAATAAAACCACTGATGGCTATTTTTTTCCATGCATTTTACTAGAGGTCCATCAGTATTGTTGGCTCATTCCCTGAATTTTAGCTTTTCAGCCACATGTGGTTTCAAAAGAAATAGACTGTAGGTAGATGAAGACTTTAGTCATTCTTTTCCCAATGTCATCTGTACTTTCTTGAGTAACAGTGGTATTAGCAGTAATAGTTGCTATTTGTTAAATTTTTACTGCATTGGGAATAGTAATAAACACTCTATAAGATATTATTTACTCTTAACAAAGTCCATCAAAATGAGTAAGATTATTTCTGTTTTAAAGGTGAAAAAAATTAAGAAAATGTTCAAGATCAAATAGATAAATGGTTCAGACCTGGCCATTAAATTTACATTTTATTTACTTTGTTAAGTATTAAAACAATTTAAACAGGCAGGGTGTGGTGGCTCATTCCTGTAATCCCAGGACTTTGGGAGGCTGAGGCAGGCGGATCACCTGAGGTCGGGAATTCGAGACTAGCCTGAGCAACATGGAGAAACCCTGTCTCTACTAGAAATACAGAATTAGCCAGGCATGCTGGTGCATGCCTGTAAGCCCAGCCACTTGGGAGGCTGAGGCAGGAGAATCGTTTGAACTTGGGAGGCGGAGGTTGCAGTGAGCCGAGATCACACCATTGCACTCCAGCCTGGGCAACAAGAGCGAAACTCCGTCTCAAAAAATAAAAAATAATAATTTAAATATTGTAGACCCATGCACAGATTTGGACATATATACATATAGCTTTTCCTGTTTTGGGTTATTTCAACTACATGCCAACTACTCTGAAAATCACAATGGTATAAAGAATTGTCCATATTTTGAGAATAGTATAGCCAAAGCACCAAATCCACATAGCAGAATTCAATCCTCTATTGCACTTTTTTTCTAAAATATGTATCCCCATTATTACAAAGAAATTGTTAATGCACAGTGCAGTATTTCATAGACTGGGGAATGTCACACAGTCTGTAGTCATTTTTGAAAACTCAGGCTCTCTTTTAAAGAAAGAGAAGTACTCTGCTGAAAATATGTTCAATGGTATGGCTCCATAAATACACATTTTTGCATCTCATTTTCATGAAGATCTCATGGGTACAGCAGTCACCGAGCTTTACCGAAACACTTCCGTGCCAGAAAAACAATATAACTCAACAGACTCAACAGACTCAATATAAAATTATTATTATTTTAAGTGTTATTACTTTTATAGCTACATGAATGCCTGTGGCGCTTTGCAGCAAATAAAAAACATGCTATCAAATAAATGTATACAAAATATCAGAACTAAAGAGCTTATAATTTAAGGACTAAACTAGCAAAAGACTGCAGGTGCTTAAAAAATGAGGACAACACTGCCTTTGGAGATTGGGAAGAAAGAAGAAAAATACGTAGTTCTGAATTTTGGAGGATGCTAAGATGGCAGATTTATTCAACCATTTCACTTTCATTTAGATCATGGGAAATAGTCAAGTCATGCACATCAAAATTCAATCTATTAAGGGTGAAAAATGAAATACACATTTTTGAAAATCAACAACACAACATCAGTGCTAGGATGTAGTGAAAAATATGTACAAATATTTTCATCCTATATTGCGCCATCCTCTTCAGCGTCCTCCTTTCTGTCCTGAGGCTGTCTTCAGAAACTCTGTTTTTCCTCCTTTTTACTCTTCTTCCCAGTTTCCTTCTCCTCTCTTTTGCCCAAAGGAGCTATGCAGGGCTCTTCATGATTTCCAGTGTTTTAACTTTTCACTGTCATCTCTTGGTGACACCTCCACCAACACCTACCCTCAAGTCAGATTAAACTACTTACAGCTGCCTAAAGTATCTCTGAAATTCTAATCCTTAGATCAGAAAAGCTACAAATAAATATAACCTAACTTTCTACTCCTTTGCTGCCTCCCAGCTTTTCTCCAAGGGGATATTCCTGTTTAACTCTACTCACTCATCTCGGACCTTGTCATCTTCAGAAGACCTCCACTCTCCCGGGCTTGGTTGTGCAGCCAACTGTTCTCACCTGTCTTCGTGTGTCCTCCTGTTGGGTCAGGGTGGATGTATTTTCTCAATCCTACAAAAGCCTGAGACCAGTTCCTTTGGAGAATGGTTGTCTTCCATCTCTCTAGTCCACTCCAGGCTCTTCCACACTCTTTGTCCTCTCCTTAAACCCCCTCAATCACAAACCCAGATCCTTGACTCTCAAGTTGACATCATTTTATAATTCCCACTCCCTCTTTTTCTATAGTCGCCATCGTTTTATTGACAATGGCATGACAAGCATTTCCCCTATTCCTATAATAGCAATAATATATGTTATTATATATTCCCTATTTTATATATGTAAAAAATAGGAAATTTACATATATAATAGGGATATATTATATATATGTATAATAGGGAATATGTAATATATCCCTATTTTGAGATATATCTATATCTCTATTTCCTATTTTGAGATCTATATTGATCTATCTTTCTATATATATTTTTTGAGATATACATATATCAAAATATATATATCTCAAAAATATATATATAATATATATAAGTGTATATACATATATATATCTATATATATATGTTTTTTGAGATGGCGTCTCACTCTGTCACCCAGGCTGGAGTGCACTGGCATGATCTTGGCTCACCGCAACCTCTGGCTCCCAGGTTCAAGCGATTCTACTGCCTCAGCCTCCTGAGTAGCTGGGACTACAGGTGCATGCCACCAAGCCTGACTAATTTTTGTATTTTTGGTAGAGAAGGGTTTCGTCATGTTCGCCAGGCTGATCTTGAACTCGTGACCTCAGGTGATCCACGTGCCTCGGCCTCCCAAAGAGCTGGGATTACATGCATGAACCGCAGCACCCGGCCAATAGGGAAAGTATTTTCTAGATCTGTTCTCAGACAAGAATTCTTGTTTTGGTGGATTTCCTCTCCCTGTTCCCTTCATGCTCAGCCAAGGAGGCCCCTCACTCCACTCAGAAATAAAAATTGGGTGCATATAATTATTTAGAAAACCTAGATACCAGCAGAGACTAGGTGATACCAAAGAGAGAGAGACAATAATGGGAGACTTCAAGGGGTGACTGATGTTTAATCCTACAGGAAAACTCTGGGGGGTCCTGTGGATACAGACCTTGCTAAGGGACAAGAGGACAGGAGTATTTATGTGCCCACATCTGTCATTCATTGTTTAAGAGCTTCCACCAGAAGGACATTTACTCAGGAATACAGGATTTAGCAGCCACCCTCAGGGAAAGCTTCTAAACAAGATATAGATGCTGAGAATTGAAAGGCAGGCTGCCATGTGTGGGCACAGCAAGGTGGACGAAGGTATATGGGTGGAGCACCAATAGCATCTGCCATCATTCGACCATCATATTCTCGGACTGCTTTGGGTTATGGCTGTAAGAATGTGGAATCTTTCCAGCCTTCCTGTCTTCACATTGTCTCACAGAACATATGTTCTGCTACTAATTTACTTCATTAGATTTCAACAAATATACAAGACACTGCTAACATGTTAAACATAAGACGATACCTTTTAAAAGTCTCCTACATGTATTTTGTAGAGTGAATACTTAATCTGACATTATTTTACTCGGTTGCATCGGGGCCCCTTCTAATCGGTGCTCCTACCCATTAGGCACACACTGAGGTATAAACAGTTGAAGACAACTGGAAGTGTGACACCCTTAATCTGATTTCCTTTATTCTCTCCTATCCTTATTTCCTAAAGCAAACTACATTTTAACAGCACAAACATAATTCAAGATTCTTGACAAAAAGGGACGATCTATCATGTTGGAAGATTCTTTGTCCTTCTTGATCATATGTAAAACATGATAATGTCAACAAAGAGAAGTAGTTACAATATAACTAGAATTTATAGTGCACTTGGGGGATGAGAGGAGATAGGTAGATGGGAGTTAAGCAAGTATTAGACCATTAGGAAATCTGTCAAAGCACTGAGTAATGGCCGCTATGAAAATAATAAAAAATACAAAATGAGTCTGAGTGCCCTGGCTCACGCCTGTAATCCTAGCACTTTGGGAGAACGAGGCGGGTGGATCACTTGATGTCAGGAGTTCGAGACCAGCCTGGCCAACATGATGAAACCCTGTCTCTACTAAAAACACAAAAATTAGCTGGGCATGGTGACAGGCATCTATAATCCCAGCTACTTAGGAGGCTGAGGCAGGAGAATTGCTTGAACCCAGGAGGCGGAGGTTGCAGACAGCCAAGATGGTGGCATTGCACTCCAGCCTGGGTGACAAGAGTGAAATTCCATCTCAAAAAAAAGAAAAGGAGAATACATGTCCCATTCAAATTTGTAGACTGTGGTCTGAGTGCACAGTCTTAGGTGCTGAGTGTTGCTAGAGAAATAAACGCATGTGCTAGATTTTCCTTCCTTGCATGTTAGCAGAAAGTACATTTTAGTGCCGAGTTGAAAAAGTTCCCCAGCATGGTTTGAGGCCTGATGTTTTTCAAAGACATCAGAGGTCTTTCCTGCTGAACTGTGAAAGGATTTAAAGTTATTCCACACTTGAGAAAGCTGTTAAAATAAGGAAAATTTTGGTTATTGCTCTCATAACTGTTTGATCTTTCCATTTGTTTAACAAAATGTGTGCTATCTCAACTGTTAACCACAGGATGAGATTTGTTCTGTGTCATAATAAAGGCCTTAGAGGAAAGGCCAACATATGACTCATCCTAGTGATACAAAATCCTTACAAATCTGGGATAATGTGTGAGCCCTATCTATTCATGCAGGTGTTCCAGCAGATGCTGACATTTTCTCCATTCTCTTCAGTAGAAAAATTTGAGCTGATTTGCTGACTATTGAATTTAGAAGTCCACTGACAATGAGAATCTTTAAAAAGTTCCTTTCTGGAAAACCAGTGTGTGTGATTGTGTATATGTGTGTGTATTTTATTTGTGTGTGTGGATGTGAATGTGTGCGTGTGTGTGAGAGAGAGAGAGGGAGACTGTGTGGGTGTGTATGTATGTTTGAGAGAAAAAAAACAGCCACCAAAAAAATGCAATTAATGAAGATTTTCTGTGCACACTTTGTTTGAATTCCACAGTCTACTTTAAACACTCTGAATGATTATAATTAAAAACTCTTCCGTGGAAAGATAGAGATTGCTGAGTCTTTAGAAAGCATCTTCTCGGAGATTAAAATATCTATTTTCCTTTCTTTAACATTTGTGTATGTAGAGGGACAAATTAGAAATAATTAAAGTGAGTACAGGAATACCAAACCCTAATGAGTGCCTGTTTCGGATATGTTTTTAAATAATGTGAGATCTTCTGTTGAAGAGAGTGCAAAGACATTTCTAACGAGGATTGCAGAAGAAACTGAATGTAAAAGATCGATGTAAGGCCCAGAATACCATAGATGCTCTTAATATCTGAACTTTCTAACCTTTCCATTTCTTCAAGGTTGAGTTATTCAAATTCAAAGAAGATGATCAATCTTCTTTTGAAATAATACCAAATAAAAAGTGTAATTGTAGTTTTGTTTTGTTCCAATTTTATTTGAAACACAGATGCAAATTTTGTCACCAGAAATTTAATGAGTAGAAAACTGAATTTAGGCCTGGTCTTGTTACATCTATAAAGGAGACAAAATGCTAGCCCTGTGTTTCTATCTGATGCAGCCATCTCAGGTGAGTGAAGAATTCTATTTGTGCTCTTGCATTTAGATAAGTCTGTAACTGGGACAATAAAAGATATCTCTGGCAAGTGTTATTTGTGAAGGGTAAAGCCACTACTATGGGTAGTGCACTAATCACATTTTTTTTACTAAATTTATTTTAATTTGTTTAATGAAAAAATGAATGTGTAAATTTAAAAATCAAATAAGACTAAATTTTCAAAATGAAAAGGAGAAATCTTTTGTTCAATCCCTTCCTATTCCATAGTTCTATCAAAGGTGATCACATTCAAAATTAAATCCTATTTTCAGGCAAATGCTGTAGTGTGGCTAAATAAGATGATAAAAAAAAGAAAGCTATTTCTTGGCTTAACAATATTAGACATCACTTAATATAGTAATTGGGGCTTAATCTCTCTTGTTAAACCATCTTTATATTTTACTTTCCCAATATTGTAACACATCAATATTTTTTGTTAAGTTGTCACAGTTTTTATTTTATGATTTGTAATTTATAAATAATGTCTGGCTTAGTCAGGAATTATGTTAATAAGCATTGTTTTCTTATACACATGTCTAATTTCTTGTTTGACATTAATATACATTCACCTGCCATACCATAACACATCCCTCCTGGAGAGCCCCCTACCAGTGGTACTCCCCCTGTCACCTACAGAGTGTTTTTGCTAATAGTTTGGAATCATCCCAGGGCCTCCAGCCCAGCTGGGGCTTGAGTTTGAGAAAGCAGAAGGCAAAGCCACTGACTCAGTCCCAGACCATCAGGATACGAACTCATAACCCAAGAGTGTGGAGCTGAGTCTTGCCTCCTGAAAGCATCCAGAAACAAAGCCATTCAACTATACCCAACTTGCACCACAATCAAATCCTCAAGGGCAATAAAGATCATAAAAATGAAAAGCCCCATCCAAAGTACAGCAACTTCAAAGGATAAAGGAACATCAGCTCTCACAGATGAGAAAGAACCTATGCAAGAACTCTGGCAACTCTAAAAGCCAGAGTGTCTTCTTACCACCAAATGATTGCACTAGCTCCTCAGCAATGGATTCTAACCAGATTGAAATGGTGAAATGTCAAACAAAGAATTCAGAATCTGGATGCCAAGGAAGTGCATCAAGATAAAAGAGAAGGATTAAACCCAATCCAAAGAAAACAGTAAAACAAACCAAGATTTGAAAGACAATATAACCATTTTAAGAAAGAAACAAACTGAACTTGTAGAAATGAAAAATATACCACAAGAATTTCAAGATTCAACTGGAAGTATTAACAACAGAATAGACCAAGCTGAGGAATGAATCTCATAGCTTGAAGACAACTCCTTTGAAGCAACACAGAGAGACAAAAAAAAATAATTTTAAAAAGTGAATTAAATATCCCAAGAAATATGGGATTATATAAATAAACAAAATCTATAATCCATTGGCATTCCAGAAATAGAATAAAAGAACACAAACAACTTGGTAAACATATCTGAAGATATAATCCATGAAAAATTTCCCAATCCCACTAGAGAGGTCAACATGCAAATTCAAGAAATACAGAGAACCCCTGTGGGATAAGATCCAAAGTGACCATTCCCAAGACACATAGTGATCAGATTCTCCAAGGTCAACATGAAAGAAAACAGTCTCAAAGGCAGCTAGAGAAAAAGGAGAGGGAAATTACAAAAGGAATTCCATCAGGCTAACAGTGGACCTTCAGCAGAAAGCTTACAAGTGAGAAGGGATTAAGAAGCTATTTTCAGTATTGTTTTTTTTCTTTTTCTTTCTTTCTTTTCCTTTCTTTCTTTCTTTCTTTCTTTCTTTCTTTCTCTTTCTTTCTTTCTCTTTCTTTCTTTCTTTCTTTCTTTCTTTCTTTCTTTCTTTCTTTCTTTCTTTCTTTCTTTCTTTCTTTCCTTCTTTCTTTCTTTGAAACAGTGTCTCAGTTTGTTGCCCAGGCTGGAGTGCAGTGGCACAATTTTGGCTCACTGCAACCTCTGCCTCTTGGTTCCAGTGATTCTCCTGCTTCAGCCTCCCTAGTAGCTGGGCTTAAAGGCACATGCCACTATGCCCAACTAATCTTTGTATTTTTAGTAGAGATGTGTTTTCACCTTGTTGGCCAGACTGGTCTCAAACTCCTGACCTCAAGTGATCCTCCCACCTCAGCCTCCCAAAGTACTGGTATTATAGGTCTGAGCCATCACACCCAGGCTCAATATTTTTAAAGAAAATAAATTCCAACCAAGAATTTCATATCTTGCCAAATCAGGCTTCTTAAGTGAAGGAGAAATGGAATCCTTTACAGACAAGGTAATGCTAGGGGAATTCTTTACCACCAGACCTGCCATACAAGAGCTCCTAAATGGAGTGCTAACTATGGAAAAGAAAGAATGATATATGCCACCACAAAAAGCCACTTAAGTACACATCCTACTGATGCTATTAACCAACTGTATAATCAAGTCTACATAATAACCAGCTAAAAACATGATGACAGGATTAAATTCTCACATATCAATATTGATACTGAATATACATGGTTTAAATTCCCCAATTAAGAGACGCAGAACAGCAAAATGGATAAAGAAGCAAGACCCACTGCCTGCTGTTTTCAGAGATCTTTTTCACAAGTAATGAAACCCATAGGCTCAAAGTAAAGGGATGGGAAAGATCTATCAGACACATGGAAAACCAACAAGAGCAAGGGTAACTATTCCTATGTCAGATGAAACAGACTTTAAACCAACAATGACCAAAAAGGACCAAGAAGGGCATTACATAGTGATAAAAGGCTCAATCCAACAATAAGACTTAACCATTCTAAAGATATACATACTCAACATTGAAGTACCCAGATTTATAAAACAAGACTTTAGAGATATACAAAGAGATTTAGATGACCACATAATAACACAGGGGAACTTCAACGCCCCACTGACAACGTTAGACAGATTATCAAGGCAGAAAACAAACAAAGATACTATGGAGTTAAACTCGATACTTAACCAACTGGACCTAATAGACATCTACAGAACACTCCACCCAACAACAACAGAATGTATAGTCTTCTCATCTGCACACAGCACATACTCTAAGATTGACCGCATGCTTGACCATAAAGCAAGTCTGAACAAACTCACAAATATATAAACCATAACAAATATATTTTTGGATCACAATGCAATAAAATAGAAATCAATACCAAAAAGACCAATCAAAACCATACAATTAATTGGAAGTTAAACAACTGTCTCCTGAATAATTTGGGGGTAAAAAACAAAATTAAGGCAGAAATAAAATTATTTGAAACTAATGGAAACAGACACACAACATATTGGAATCTTTGGAAAGCAACTAAACATGGTAAAGAGGAAAGTTTATGGCACTAAAAACCTATATCAACAAGTCAGAGAGATTTCAAATTAACAACTTAATGTAGCAACCAGAGGAACTAGAAGAATAAGCACAAACCAAACCCAAAGCTAGCAGAAGAAAAGAAATAACCAAAATAAAAGCTAAACTGAACACAACTGAGATGCAAAAATCAATACAAAAGATTAAAGAAACCAAAAGGTGGTTCTTAAAAAGATTAAACAAGATTGATAGACTACTAGCTAGATTAATTTTTTAAAAATCCAAATAAACACAATCAAAAAGGAAAAAGGTGACATTACAACTGACCCCACAGTAGTACAATATATCCCCAGGGACTATTATGAATATCTCTATGCATACAAACTACAAAACCTAGAAGAAATTGATAAATTCCTGGAAATATACAGCCTCTCAAGGATGGACCACAAAGAAATTAAAATCCTGAAAAGATCAATAATGAATTCTGAAATTGAATCAGAAATAAAAGCCTACAGACCAAAAAAAAAAAAAAAAAAAAAAAAGGCCCTACCAGACATATGAAGAAGAGCGAATACCAATCCTACTGAAATTATTTCAAAAAAATCGAAGGGGATGTAGTCCTCTCTAATTCATTCTACATAGCCATCATCATTCTGACACCAAAGACTTCCAGAGACACAATTAAGAAAAGAATACTTGAGGCCAATATCTCTGATGAACCTAGACACAAAAATCCTCTACAAAATACTGGCAAAGCAAATCTATCAGCATACCAAAAAATTAATTTGCCACAGTCAAGTGGGCCTTATTTCTGGGATGCAAGATTTGTTTACCATATGCAAATCAATAAATGTGATTCATCACATAAACAGAATTAACAACAAAAACACATTATCATCTCAATAGACACAGAAAAGGCCTTTGATAAAATTTAACATCTTTTCATGTTAAAAACCTTTGGCAAATTAGCCACCAAAGGAAGATACCTCAAAATCATAACAGCCATCTGTGACAAGACCACTATCAACATCATGCTGAATGGAAGCATGAATGAAACCTGGAAGCACCCCCATTGAGAACTGGAACAAGACAAGGATTTCCATTCTAACCACTGCTGTTCAACACAGCCCTGGAAGTTCTAGTCAGAACAATTAGTCAAGACAAAGAAATAAAAGGCATCAAAATAGGAAGAGAAGAAATCAAACTCTCTCTGTTGATGATACGATTCTATACCTGCAGAACTGCATAGACTCCACAAGAAAGTTTCTACAACTAAAAAACAATTTCAGTAAAATTTCAGGATACAAAATCAATGTACAAATATTAGTAGCATTTCCTTACACCAGTAATTGTCAAACTCAGAGCCAAATAAAAACACGATCTCATATACAGTAACCACAAAAAGAATAAAATACCTAGGAATACAGTTTAGCAAGGAAGTGAATTACCTCTGCACTAAGAATTACAAAAACGTGCTGAAAGAAATGAGAGACAACACAAACAAATAAAAAAAATCCATTCTCATGGATAGGAAGAATCAATATTATTAAAGTGGGTGTACGAATGCATTTTTTACATTACTATAAGGAACTACATGAGCCTGGGTAATTTATACAGAAATTAGGTCTAATTGACTCACAGTTCTACAGGCTTCATAGGAAGCATGGCTGAGGAGGTCTCAGGAAACTTAAAATCTTGGCAAAAGATGAAGGGGAAGCTGACACATTTGACATGGCTGGAGAAGGAGGAAGAGAGAGAAAGCAAAGGGGAAGGTGCCACACACTTTTAAACAACCAGATCTCCTGAGAACTCTATTATGAGAAAGCACTAGGGGGATGGGTCTAAGCCATTAGAAACCACCTCCATGATTCAGTCACCCCCACTAGGCCCCATCTCCAACAATAGGGATTACAATTTCACATAAGATTTGGGTGGGTGGGAACACAAAGCCAAACGACATCGTTTGCCATACTGTCCAAAGCAATTTATAAATTCAATGCCGTTCAAATGTCATTTTTCACAGAAATAAAAAAAGTATTTCAAAATTCATGTAGAACCAAAAAAGAGCTGCAATCACCAATACAACCCTAAGCAAAAACAGCAAAGCCAGAGGCATTGCACTATCTGGCTTCAAACTACACTACAAGGTTACAGTAACCAAAAAAACATGGTACTCTACCAAAACAGACATACAGATCAATTAAAAGAATAGAGAACCCAAAAGTAAAGCTACACCCTTACAATCATCTAATTTTCAACAAACCTGAAAGTAACAAACAACACAAAAAGGACCCCCTATTCAATAAATGATGCTGAGATAACTGGCTGACCATATGCCAAAGATTAAAACTAAACCCTATCCTTTCACCATATATAAAAATTGACTCAAGATGGATGAAAGATTTAAATATAAGACTGAAGACAATAAAAATTCAAGAAGAAATCCTAGGAAATCATTTTGGACTTCAGCCTTGGCAAATCTTTTATGACTAAGTCCTCAAAAGTAATTGCAGCCAAAACAAAAGTTGACAAGTGGGACCTAATTAAACTAAAGAACTTCTGTACTGTAAAACAAGCTAACAGCAGAGAAAACAGATAACCTACAGAATGGAACAAGTGATTTGCAAACTATGCCTCCAACAAAGGTCTAGCATCCAGAATCTGTAAAGAACTTAAATCAGCAAGCCAAAAACAACCCCATTAAAAAATGGGCAAAGTATATGAAGAGACGCTTCTCAAAAGGAGACATACATGAGTCCAACAAATATATGAAGAAATGTCATCACCATTAATCATTAGAGAAATGCAAATCAAAAGCACAATGTGATACCATCTCACATCAGTCAGAATGGCTATTATGAAAAGTCAAAAAACAAGACACTGGTGAGATTGCAGAGAAAAGGGAACAATTTATACACTGGTGGGAATGTAAATTATTTCAGCCACTGTGGAAAGAAGCTGGAGATTTCTCAAGACTCTTAAAACAAAAATACTTTCCAACCCAGGAATCTCATTATGGGGTATATACCCAAAGGAAAATTAATTATTCTACCACAAAGATACATGCGTGTGTATGTTCATTGCACTGCTATTCACAATGGCAAAGGCATGAGATCAACCAAGATGTGTATTAGTGGTAGATTGGATAAAGAAAGTGTGGTACATATTACACTATGGAATACTACATATCCATAAAAAGAATCAAATCATGTCCTTTATAGCAACATGAACACAACTGGAGGCCATTATTTTTAATGAACTAGTACAGAAACAGAAAACCAAATACCACATATTCTTTTAACTAGAAGCTAAATGTTGAATACTTATGGGCACAAAGATGAGAACAAGAGATGCTGGGAACTGCTTGTGGGGTGATTCTAGGAAGGGGGCAGAGGCTGGAAGGCCACTTATTGGGTACTATGCTCACTATGTAGGTGATGGGATTATGCATACATCAAGCCTCAGTGACACGTAATTGACCCGTGTAACAAACCTATACGCATACGCCCTAGACCTAAAATAAGAGTGTAAAAAACAAGAACACTAAACACTTATTTAAAAATTGTATTTGATTAGTTTTAGCAGTATCTGTCATTTTTTTTTCTCTCCTAGCTACACTAGACCTTTAAAATCCTATATGCGTTTTCCAGATGCTGAAATGCAAAAATCACCTATTAGTTCCATAACAAATTTCCAAGATCCTCCCTGTTCTATTGGGCCAACTGGACTCCAGACGTCCTACACAATGCTTGAACTTCCTTTGCCACTTCACTGTCCAGGATCTTTTCTTTCCTAGATCCCATATCCACTACTTTAAAAATTTTACTTTGTTGTACTGAAGCAAAATTGCTTGTATTTTTTAAGACAGAGATTGGTATTATCAGGGAAAAGATATACCTTTCCTTCCCATCACGGCTGAGGCCATTATAACAAAGGGTGGATTAACAAGAGAAATGCATAGCATTTTATTTAATATAAGTTTTGTGTGACACTGGACACTTTATAAGGAAATGAAGACCCAAAGAAATGGGTAAGTCTGTATTTTCGTGCTTACGTTTGATGAAGGGTGGGCAGTCACAGAGAAATATGATTGGAAAACAAAAGGGCATGATCTAATGATGATAAACTGGGGGTAGCATTTTCTGAACCCCATCCATATTCATAATTTTTTAGACCTTGTGTGTTTAAAAACACATCTAATCTCTCTTCAAGATTAAGAATTTGGCCAAGGGTAGAATTCTACACTCAAATTAATATGTTCTTAAGCTTTTGGAGATTTTGCTCCACTAGCATCCTGTATCACTATTGAGGAGTCTGGTGATGTCTGACTGAGAAATGTCTATTGAAAAAAGATATTAACTTGTGTAACCCTATGTATGTAGATGACCTTGTATCTTTGTGACACTCAAGTTTATCATCAAACAAAATTTGTTGTCTGCTGTATGTATAAAGTGGACTATAGTAACAAGATTGTATGTGCAATTCAAAGAGGCTTGATCCCAAGAAGCCATCAGAGGCAATATTTTGGGAGAGTATTTAGAATTCAGTAATCACAGGAGTATTCTGAGAGTCAAGAGCATTGCTCCTGGCTTCATTCCCAGCTCTACAAGGTATAAGTTTTGTGACCTTGAGCAGAGAAACTCACCATTCTGAGCCTGAATGGCATCAACTGAAAATAAATATATTAATATCTGCCTTGCAAATTTTTCATTATAGATGTAGCCAAGACTTCAACAATCAGCAATGTCTTTTTATGTTAAGTGTGCCTATTTTACTCTATCAAGTAGTAAATTTTAAATGCATTTTGCAAGTTGGCTTTTTAAAGAGTTAACCTTATTTTGATATGCAATAATATATTTTGTGCCAGCCATTAATTATATTAAAAAAAAAGGATGAAAAGCTGCATTTGTTAAAAACATACAATATTTCAGCAAACTCAACACACAGAAGTCAGTGCTAGAAGCTATCTTCCAGCAAATCTTCTAGTTGAATATACACAGTTTGAAGTGGGAAATAAAAATAAAACTAAAGAAAAATAATATAAATCAAAACAGGAGTGCATTCATTTCTCTCATTAAAAATCAAAGAAATTATTAACTTCATCACTTTTATAACTAAATTAATGTGTGTGGAAGAACAAAAACAGCAATACATCATATTCTAATCAAAGAGTAGAAATGAAAGAACACAAATTAAGTAGCTCATTATACATGTCAATTATGTGCATTAGACAACCAACTTTAAAATTACACCTTGCAACCATGGATAGAAATTCTTTTCAACTATGCAAATGTACTTACACTTAATTCTATTTCCCTGATAGGCAATCTAACACTTCAGGCTTTTCCTCTCTCTTTTTTTTTTTTCCCCTCCCTTTAGCAATTTAAGCCCACCTAGTGTATTTCCTGAGTGTTCATCTCACTTTATCAACAAAGATTAAAGACTTAGACTGCCTGGTAATCCCATTATCTTGCATGATAAAAGCAAATGTATCTTTGGCCACTGCCTGCAGAACTCAAGGGATTTACCATGACTGAGTGTAAAATCCAATTAATTCTCAGCTTTCTTAGCAGTCATGTGGATCATTAGTTTATTCACTTGAATGCATATGTTTACCACTATTTTACCAGGAGATTTTCTAGAATTTATTAAAACTTTGATTTGATTTGGCGTAAAACTAAAATTTAAAGCAGTACTTGTTTATGTAGAAATAGTTTACAAATCAAGTATTCCCATATGAAAAACAAACAAGAGGTCATCCATTTTAATAAAATGAACAGTTGGACTCTTTCATTTGAATAGGCTCATTTCAAGATCTGAGCTAGAGAGGGGATTATGTTCTTCAGAACAAATCCAAATTTTACATCTGTTGGGGGGAAACACATTCTCCCAGCTCTTATCACCAAACCCCCTTAAACATACACAAACACACACGCACAAACCCTGCAACAATTTGACAAATGAAACTGGATGAGAGGAACAGGAACACTTGGGTAATAATCAGAGATTTAACTTTGTTTATCAAAATTATGGTGCCATTGTGAGGTCTAGATAATGAGATATTTTGTAAAACAGTTGACAAACTTCCCAAGACACAATAAATTGTAAGAAGTAATTGCTCTTATTATTATACTAGTATAAAGGATCAGAAACCAATACCCCAAAATATGGTGCTTTTACAGGCTGAACTGAAGGAGCAGCCTCAAGCTCTGACTGCTCCCACCTCCATCTCTCAACCCTCTGTCTCTCTCAAAGTACAGGATGAACCCTGAAGTACCCTTATCTCCCTAAGGCCCAGACCACCAAAGAAGGAAACAGTTACTGGTGGTCCATTTTTTGAGTTTTCATTAAATGACCTCATATTTCAGGAAGAAAGAATGAAAAAGAGTATAGAACAATCTGTACCCCACTGCATGGTAATCACCCTTTAATTCACCCACATGCACATTGACACATTTGAATGCCATCTCTTCTGTTAATCTACAGATACAACAAACATTACTAAAGTAAAAACAAAACAAAACAAAAAAAGGAAATAAAACCACAGACATTAGTAAGTCTGTTGGAAGTATCTTTTAAACATGTATTGTATCTGATTCTTACCAGTTAAGCTTGCTTTTCTTTAGAAACATTTTGAGTTCAGTAAACGTTTATTGAGAACTTGCCATGGAAAGCAAGGCTTTGTGCCAGATATCTGTAGTTCAGAGTTTCACATATTCATTAATTTCAATATAGGGATTTAATATAATAAAAACCCTATATTCTTATTTTACAAATCAGGGAACTGAAACGTGGAGAAGATTCATAATCTGCCCAATGTGACAGTACTAATCATTTGACTAAATGCCATTCTGTTTCTGAAAAATGATCATAAAGGATAGTTTTACGTAGAGGGTATTGAATTAGGTATTGTGGAGTTACGAAAAAGGTAAAAAATATTAGGATTATTTTCAGGAAGTTGTTGAAAAAAAACAAACAGGAAAACAGCCCTGTAAAAAAAAAGAAAACAAATTCAGATTGAAAGATGTAATCATGCCTGTGCTCAGCCTCTGCCTACACGATAACTCAAGGATGATTTGTTAAGTGACCATAATTTGTGTAAAATAGGGTTTCTGTTTGCATCTTCTCTTTACTTTGCATGTACTTTGAATGTAGGTGGCTGTTTTGGTAAAGGGATGGAGAATTTCATTTCACCTGGTAATTTACAGCTGGGATTGAATCTGTAATTTAAATTAGCACCTTTATTTTATAAGCCAGAAAAATAAAGACAAGACTTCCTCCCCAAATGTCCTTATGAATTTATGTAAAAGCCTTTGTATTTTTTAAAATACGATTTTGCCTTTGATATTTCGACTTAAACCTATACATCCCAGTGTCCTTATTTAAGGAGCTAGATTTTTTTTTTACTTTTATGAAGCATGGATTTAATATTATTAATTCAATAAATATTTATTCTACACCATTGCAGACACTAAATGTATACAGTGAAAAAAAAAAGACATAAACTATCAAGGGTCTCACATTGAAAGAGATCTCATGTGTAAGAAAATATCTCACTCAATGGTAGTGAAAGAATAAAGGCATAAGACTCATGAGAAAGATGGTAGCCTTCAAGATGATTCCCAGTGATGCCCACCGCTGGATCTCCACAGCCTTACTTAGTCCCCTCCCACACTGTGCCAACATTGGTCTTGATGGTCAATTGGATAAGGCATAAGTGGTAGGATCCCACTCCAAGATCAAGTTATAAAAATGTAACCGTAATAGTTCCATTGCCTGATGTGCAGCAAATCGATACACTAAAACATCGAGGGTTGTAGTAGAGAAAGAGTTTTAATCACAGGGCCACCAAAAAAAGAGACAGAAGGAAACCTCAAAATTGCATTCCCAGAGAGTTTGGGTCCAGGGATTTTAAGGAATTTGGAAGGGTAGTGGGTAAATATGTTGATTGGTTGAAGTGTGAAGTGTGATGCCATGAAATAAGAAGTGAAGAAACTGCATTATCACACTGACTTGGCTCATTGGCAAGGTCTTCAGAGCAATTGGCATCAGCCATTGTGAAAAAAACAGATCAAATGAAATGTTTTAAGCTCCTAAAGTTAAAGGTGCTGATAGGGTTTGAATCTGTGTCCCCACCCAAATATGTTCAATTGTAATCTCCAGTGCTGGAGGTGATGGGATCATGGGGGCAGTTTCTCATGGCTCAACACCATCCTTCTTGGTGCTCTTGTCACAATAGTAAGTTCTTTGAGGTCTGGTTGTTTAAAAGTGTGTGGCACCTCCTGCCTCTCTCTGTTTCTCCTGCTCCGGGCCGTGTAAGATGTTCCTGCTTCCCCTTCACCTTCTGCCATGATTTTAAGCTCCCTGAGGCCTCCCCAGAAGCAGAAGCAACTATGCTTTCTGTACAGCCTGCAGAACCATGAGCCAATTAAACCTCTTTTCTTTATAAATTACCCAGTCTCAGGTATTTCTTTATAGTAGTGCAAGAATGCCTAATGCAGATGCTATCTATAGAAACAGTCAGGAAGTTAATGGTTTAAATCATGGCCTATGTGGTCCCTAAGCCCCTACAGAGAAGTAGGTCAAAAGGCACCCTGATTAATGCTTCACTAAAGCCCAGCTTCTTGTTAACCCTGTGGAGACAGTTTCAAAAGGCAACATGTATTTTGTTTTGCTAACTTTTTCATACTCTTTCTCTGCTCCTGGACCACACACATGGTCTGGGGGAAGCCAGCTGCCATCCCAGGCCCTATAGATGGTCTCATGTAGTGAGAAATGAAATCCTCCTAGTAACTCCATAGGAGTGAGCTGGGAAGAGATGCTCTGCCCCTTCAGATGACTGAAGCCCTGGCCAGCACCTCAACAACAGCCTCCTGAGAGACCCTGAGTCAGATCCTCTGAGTTAAGCCACGCTCAGATTCCTGATCCTCAGAAACTGCATAAGTTAATGAATGTTTATGTTTTAAGCTGCTAAATTTTGGCGTTGTTTTGCAACAACAGACAACTAATCTAGACAGTTGCACAATTAAGGAAAATAAAATTCAGAGATGGATATGATTGCTTTCTGTGTGGACAAGTTAAAGTAATAGAGCACACTGTTAGGGAATTCATAAGCGAGTGAAATGGTTTTAAAGAATAGTTTGTGTTTTTATATTAATTTGTTAGAGAGGAGATCAGGAGATCCTGAGGTGAAGAAAATACTCAAAAATGCAAAGGCGGAAGTGAATTAGTGAGAGAGCATGAATGCTCCAACTCCCTGGACTCTGGATGCCTTGAGGCAGTTAAATAGAAAGAAATGTTGGTGCCAGATGACAAAATGCACACACTTACCTATTGTCCAATGTAGGAACTAGAACATTGTTTATTAGCCAGGGAGTGAGAAGTAATTGTACTAATTGTATTCTATTCTTAATAAGAGATTCTTGAAGTTAGGCTGTGCTTTAGGGACTTTTGCAGGGCAGTGGCAAACTGCAAATATTCTTTAATCTATACCCCAAAATAATATTCTAAGGAATTAGAGACCATTCTCACTGCTGAGGAGTTCACAGTTTAGTGGGAGGTGTGGGCAGGTAAAACAGTTACAAGGTAGGTTGTATGTGCTCTAATAGCAAAAGCTAAGAGAAGTTGTATGTACAGAGTAGTGTTTTGTGTGTACCTCGATGCTGATAATGAATAAGGAGTCAACAAAGAAAATTAAGAGGTCAAAAGGAGAAAGTGAGAAAGTATACATGTTATCTGCATGCTACAAGGAAGCCAAGTCCTTTATACATGTCTAAAATTCAGTCTTTATAATAGTACTCAGGAACTGATACTTTTTAATGCCAATTCACAGGTGAGAAAAATGACGCAAGTACTTTAGTCACACAGCTGGGAAGAGATCGAGCTGGGATTTAAATCAAGTTCTATCCAATAATACTTTTCTTACACTTTACACTCTTCTCTGATGCCATTCTGCTGTGTTTGTCAGCAGTCACTGTAATTGGAAGTCAAGTTTGCCAAGCAAGGCTGAATCAAATAAGACTTTTTTCTTGCTTTCTAACTGAGAACTAGATTGTCTCTTTTGGGGCTGATGCTCCTACTCAATTAAGCTAATGCCATATGATGGGTTTGGCAGAAATTCATTATCTTGGTTGAATGACTGAACCCACCATGTTGTGACTCAGAATCCATCAAAGGGCTTGGTCTGGTAGCCCTGTATAAACAATACCTAAAATAAGCTCCTTACAAAAATTTATTTTGCTTTGTGGAGTCACATAAGGTAAGATGGGAAAGAGACTACTGACTTGTAAAATGTCAAGCTTGAGATAATTAAAATAATTTATTAAATGGGAGTGGTCTCTATTAGACATAAACGGACTCTAATATTTTTTAACCCAGATGCTTGGCTGTAAATCAATTATGATACTAATAATAGCCTAGATGAATAAAAATAACAGATCATTGAAATAGAATTTTTATTGCATTTAATAAAAATAAAATATCTTTATATTATTCTGTTATTGTCCTGGGTGTTATGTAATCACATTTTTTCATAATAAAAAGTAAGCAAACATTAAAAGAGAAATGCACTATTACTATGTTGCAGTCCCCTAAGAGATCTATAATTCAAAATGCGTTTGTCAGGCATTTGATGTAATTCATTTTTTTCTGCCTGAAGCACAGGCATCTACTTCGAGAAAAACAATAAACTGGGACCCATGAGACTGCTGACACATGGACTTTACTTCCTCTCGTTGTTCTCTCCTTTAACATCATTTTCATGTTTCACTGGGTCTCTTTCTTCTTTATACCAAATAGTGTGATCCCCTATTTCCTTGGGACTCATTGAGATGTACTGACCTGGCACATGAATGCTGCAACAGAACACTCTCATAATGAGTTGAAAGGGGACTTCCCAAAGACCTTATTCAGAAACTGTTTATCCTTCACACCTCCACGCTGAAGGTGATCTTCAGTTTGACGTGAGTAGGGTGTTATGCTGGCCCAAAACAGTCTAGAAATACATAAAGTTTGTAATTTAAATTTTGGTAATTGCTCATGTTAAATTGTCACCTGTGTATTAATTTAAGCCCAAACCTTTCACAGGGCAACAGTAAAAAAGCATCTGAGAAGCAAATATGTTAGTGATCTTCCTTCGTTAAAAGAACAATGACCTGTACATCAAGGACTTGTGCCCATTTCTGAAGGGCCTTGGAAAAGTCAGTGCTTGACATACTGCTGTGTTTTAGGTGCTGGCTTTTACTTGAGAGTCCACCAATTCAAGTCCAAAAGAAAAATAAAAGAAAAAATTTCAATTTACAAACTCAGCCTAAAACCACAACACAACCACACCATTAACTTCTGGCTAGAAAACTTCCTTTTTTATTTTTTTTTTGAGACAGAGTCTTGCTCTGTCACCCAGGCTGGAGTGCAGTGGCACCATCTCGGCTCACTGCAAGCTCCACCTCCCGGGTTCACGCCATTCTCCTGCCTCAGCCTCCCAAGCAGCTGGGACTACAGGCGCCCGCCACCATGCCCGGCTAATTTTTTGTATTTCAGTAGAGACGGGGTTTCACCATGTTAGCCAAGATGGTCTCGATCTCCTGACCTTGTGATCTGCCCACCTCGGTCTCCCAAAGTGCTGGGATTACAGACGTGAGCCACCGTGCCCGGCTTGAAAACTTCCTTAAATGTTTAACCTCCAACAATGAAATTAACACTTTTTAAATTGTTATCTGTCTTCTGCATTCTTTCACACACAACACACACACACACACATACACACACATATTCTAGGTATTGGAACTATGTCTTGAAGATAAATGAAATACAGCAATACTATATTTTAATCCTCCAAATTTAAGAATTCCTAAATTACTTATTTTGTCACTACTATTAGGAAAATATTTTAGGTGTAAAGAGCACAGTATACAGGAGCCAAAGAGCAGAACAAAGAGATACCCTTTGAAACCACAGTAAAAATATTTCTGGAATATTGAATGATTGTAAAACATTACCTGAGCATTTTTCTGTTAATTTTTTAAATAATAAATGATAATAAAAAGCTATGAGTTTCAGTCCTTGAACATTTATTTCAAGCCAGACAGTGCAAGAGAAATTCTCAAAGTCCATATTCATATAATAAATTCTCAAAGTCATAAATAGCTACAATGTTTAATTGTCTCAATCGAAACATAGTCTTACACAATTGAGCTGATTCCCCACAATTGGTATGGTGGAATACATTTAATGAATTGTATGATTGAATTTATCACTCACATTATCAAAATTGATTTCCATCAAGATAGTTGAACCAGTAGCTTTGTGTACTGACACTGCCAAAGTATACATTTATTAAGTTGTTCTCACCCTGTAAAACCCACCATCTCATTCACCACCTCGTAACAACTCCATGAGGCTAGCAGTAGTATTTCATTTGTGTCTGTCTGTCTGTCTGTCTGAGACAGTCTTGAAGAAGTGATGTAACTCATGTGCAAACATCTCTCCTTCCATGTCACTCCTATGGTGATGATTCTTTCAGTCTCTGCCAGCAAAACTTTTCTCAGTCAAGCTAGATCACTGAGGGGTGTGGTGAGCAGCATTGCTATAGAATAGCCAGCTCAGCCAAACCAGGAAGGAGTGAGACACTTCTATTTCTGACTATATATACCCTCTCTCTAACCTACCCACATTCATCCATTGATTAATTAACTCTTTTATTATTTTTATTAACATTGACTGAGTATCTTCTATGTGTCAGACCCTGTTAGCTTCTGGGGTTCCAATGATATATAAAATGCAATTCTTGCTTTCAAGTTGACTGGAGATGAGTGGCTGAAATAGACAAACAGACCTGCACATAATTAAGTGGGTGAGCAAAACGCCATCATAATAATAAGCCCATGAGCAAGAGAAAAAGCCTATAAACCGATGATAAGAAGTATGTTTTGTCTGAGATGTAAACTAAAGGAGAACTGGGATTGTAAAAGGCTTTAAACATAGAGAGCACAGTGTACAATGGCCAAAGAGCAGAAGAAAACAAGGCACACCCTACCCTGCACGTTGGTCTGTGTACCTGCCTGTAATTGGAGGTGAGAAACAGTGAAGTAACATCAGATTTTCATTTAAGACTAATCACTCTGGCTACAACTTGGCTAATGGATCAGAAACTGCAAAGCCTGAGATCATGAAAATTAGAATGATTTGAGGTAGTTCACTTAGTAGGTGATGTGAGCTGAACTAAAGTAGAGGTAGTGTGACTAAGAGAAGAAGAACCTTAAATATTAACAGCTATAATGATTAATACAGGAAGTGGTGGTTGATTTCAGTAAACGATCAAGCAAGGATGCATCTCCAGTTTCCAGATCACGGGACGACTGTTCTCAGCCTGTAAATTCCATCCGTTTGATAACTAGAACTCATAATAATGAGTAAAAGGAGGGAAGAGTTGCAGGTTGTGTGAAGTATGTATAGATGTTGAGAAGTGGCTGGAAGGAAGACATTCAAAAGTTCTCTGAACACATTGAGTATGAAGTGCTCATGAGATATCTACGAGATGTTGAATCACCAATTGCACGTTGAGGTCTTGAGCTCAGGAGAGAACTGTAAATGTCAGCAGCTTATAGGTTGTAGTTGAAACCAGAGGAATAGATAACCTTGCCCAAGGAGACTGTGTGTATGAGTGGTTTTAATTCTATTCTAATCAATACTAAAAACTAACCCAGAGAAATGTATCTACATCTACCTATATTAAATTTTATGATAAAAAATTCAGAGATCAAGTTAAAATAAAGAAAAAAATTGTTCTAATTATCAAAAAATAATAATATGAGTAAACAATTCCATTGATGTAATGATGTCAAAAAACAAATACAAAGGGTTGAAAGACAGTCGGAGATGAGAGTATTTTTTCCATATTTCACACAATTGGTCTGGCCTTCATGATCAAATCCAAGGTCACTTCTTTCTTTCATCACCTCAAACGTTTCTGACACAGAGCTCAGTGCACAAGAAAAAATCACTTGTGGTATCAGAATAGATGTTGGAATTGGCTGGGCCCGGTGGCTCACGCCTGTAATCCCAGCACTTTGGGAGGCCGAGGCAGGCGGATCACGAGGTCAGGAGATTGAGACTATCTTGGCCAACACAGTGAAACCCCATCTCTACTAAAAAAATTACAAAAAAAAAAAATTAGCTGGCCATGGTGGTGGACGCCTGTAGTCCCAGCTACTTGGGAGGTTAAGGCAGGAGAATGGCGTGAACCCGGGAGGTGGAGCTTGCAGTGAGCCAAGATTGCACCACTGCACTCCAGCCTGGGCAACAGAGCAAGACTCCATCTCAAAAAAAAAAAAAAAGAAAAAGAAGGAGTAGATGCTGGAATTATAAATCTTGATTCCTAACTCCACACTTTACTAACTTGATAATGTTAGGCTATTTAATTAGCCTTTCTGAGTTCCATGGCATTCTTCAGCAAATAATTAAATATAAAAATACCTATTCCAGGGGGCTGTTGTGAGGAAGATATGAGGGAATATAGGAGAAAGTGCTTTATAAGCTCCAATAGGCTCTAAATAGCATGCAAATTTGGTATTAATAACATGTGAATGCCATCCTTTACCAGTCAAGGTATGGATGTGTGTGTGTGTGCAGGTGCCTGCATGTACACTCACTCATGTGTTTATTCTCTTTATTGCAGTTATTTTATGTTATTGCAATGGAGGTATAAAGATTAATATTTTACTTACATGTTGGATCATAATTTCTAAGCAAATACCCACATTGTAAAAAGAAGGAAAATATGCTATACCCCCAGGCAGTATTAATAATATCCTATGTTGTTACTGAAATTGTGCTACTTAATGAACAAATAAATGGATTTTATTCCTTCCTCTGGGCCTTTCTCCAATTGTTCTCAAGACTCAAACTTGAGGTACAATTACCAGTGGCTAGAAATGTCATGAAACTCATAAACAATGACTGTGCTCATGTATGGAAGAATTTCTGCAAACAGCCTCACCATTCTCCAGATCATCTGGGGCTGGAGTGTCTGGTAGCTTCCATCCAACTGTCACTTGTTCATCACTGACATCTGTCCACTTTCCTCTATTTGCTAACTATGATGATTCACTAGTTTAGGCCTAAGTTTTCCCACAGGTGCGAGACTACAAATGTCTTTCAAGAGGTTCCTCTTTACAAAATACGGTTCTCAGTCCTAAAAACCCAATACCTTCTTTTATAACACATGCTTTTATTTATAAACTATAATATTGTACTCTAACTTAAGTGCATGTGATTTTAAAAGAAAAATCATTTGAATTTCATATTTTTAACAGAAGATAAAACTATATATATGTATATTTATTTCAGCATGCAAATACTGAGGCAAGACTACACTAGAACACATGATTAAATGGTCAAATGCCAGGATTCCCTTGTCTTGTATTGGTGACTTAAATAATAACTGTTGCTGATAAGATTTCCTGAAATAGTAGACATCTCTTGGTAAAGTTATGCATAAAATAATATATATTTGCCCCTCAATTTACCAAGTATGTATCAGAAGCATTTCTGTGTATACATATAAAATAGAATTAGGTTCTAAGCTCAAATAGTTATAAAGTTGTTTTCAGCTACATGAATTTCTACTAGGACATGGCAAATTTAAGTGTGCGGAAAAGACTGTTCATCAAAAAAATATATATATAAATTTTTTTCTGGGAGCAAAGCTAGACAAATTCCCTGGCCTCACTTGCAGTCTAAGTAATAAAATAAAGCAGAAATCAGGTCTGCCATTTTTAGCCAAGTCTTTTAAGAAACACTGTTATGTCTTTTATATCAACCACACTCCTTGTCTGAAATAAATGATAGGCTCACATTGAGTCATTTAAGAAGAGTTTAATAACATGATTATAAAAGTGAAGTCAGGATATAAGGATGCCATAAAGGATAGTGCAACTCCCAGGACTAATAGCAGGGAGGTCTTTGAACTCCCTAAGCCTGGAAGAACATGAGGAGGATACAGATACTAGAAACACAGAGACAGAGAGGCCTATAGAGGGGAATATCTGCCAGGAGATAGAACCTTCAGCTGTGGACACAGCCAGCAGGCAGCAACTCCACTGGGAAGGGAATCAGTAATCCAATCTCTCTCCTCCGTCCCACTTATTGCTTGCTCATATTCCCTATTGGCCGAGCCCAAATTCAGCCTAGTGGTGAGACAGGACCATTGGTGCAGGTCTCTTGGGGCATAGAGCAGCCCGAAGAAGAATAAAGAGGAGTGTCAGAAAAATGTCAGCACATTCCTCTGAAGCACATTTCCACTCTCATTGCCTGGCTTCAGTCAAGAATGATTGCTCTAGGGTAGTGGTTCTAGAACTTGCTCCCAGAGCAGCAGCTTCTCGCTTGGGGAAATTCTTAGAAATGTAAATTCTTCAGCCCCACTGCAGCCTTACTTAATCAGAATATGTGAAGGTAGGACCCAGATTCTTGTGTTTTAACAAGCCATTCAGATAATCCTAATGCATGCTAACCTTTGAGAACCAATGCTCTAGGAAGGTGGGAGCCTTGGTTGAGAGGGTCCCGGAAGAAGGAAAATTATCAGTCAAAGAGCCTCCGTCATAGACTGTTGTGTGATGTGCAAATAAACTTACATTGTGTTGAGTCATTGCACAATTTTGTGTCTATAGTTTCTGAAGTCTATTCCCATCCTAAATAATACAAAGGTATTATTTTTTCTATATGAGCATCCCCCTCAGGTTGCTGGACATCTGGAATGCTGGGTTTTTGCTAATCCTGAGGGAACAACCCCTAATCTCAGTCGATTGGACCGACACTACTTTCATGGGTAATAATTTTTTCAGAGACTGAGCAGAACAGAGTCTGTATATTTTAGCAGAGATAGTTTGGAGAAGGTTTAGCAGAGAGGTTAAGATTAGAACATCTTTGACTTCCTACCACTGTATCTACTAACCTGCTCGCATCTTTCCCCATATATTCTGCCTTTTCTCTCATTGCACTGTGAGAAATATGCGTGTTTCTTTCTAAACTTCTGTCTATTATCTATTTGGTAATCCTCTGGATTCCACGCCAGACTCTGACTATTCAAAGTTTTAACGTTTACAGATATATTCTATCTTTCCTGCATGGCCAGTGTAGTTAGATGGCCAAGCCCCAAGGCAAGAGAAAGAGATGAGTACTTTGCCTACTTTACTTGGAGACATAGCAAAAGATATGAGTATGTGATCTAATTACAAAGGGCAAATAGAGAGCTGCAAATAATTCAGTCTTTCCCAGGTAATATACAGTCATGTAACAGTATTTTTATAGGTTAAAGAAAATGACCAGGAATGTCAACAAGACCACCCATACACCCCAAGTGGCCACATTGGCTGATTAATTCCTAATCATATCTTACTTGATGTCATATTTTTTTTTTACAGTTGATCATTCCTACTTCTTGAAAATTCTTGTTCTCCAGGCTTCTGGAACACCATACCTCTTGTTATACTACCACCCTACTGTTTTTTTTTCTCTCATGTATTTTGCATTTTGCAAATTCTCCATTTTTTCCCCAGTTTTGGGACCCTTGACTTTTATATCCATTTTCTTTCCCTAAGAGCTCTCATTCATTCAGCCACATGGCTGTAAGTGCAGTCGGTGTTTTGATGACCTTACATTACGTGTCTCTAGCTCGTCCCCTGTGCTCCAGAAAGACTGGCTGCTTGCCTGGCATCTCCATCTGGATGTCTAATAGGGATCTGACCTTCAACAAAACTGCTGTTTCCTCATTCACAAGTTCTCTTTTGTCTTTCTGTCTTTTCTGTTGGCATCACCATCTACCCAATAATTCAAGACAAAACCTAGGCATCCTCCTCTCATGTTTTTTTTTTTCTTGTTTTTTTTTCCCCCTCGCCATCTCCATATCCAATCTAACAAATTCAGTACAACTCCCTCTAGTGTATTTCCTGGGTTGGCAATTTTCTCATCACCCTCACTGCTAGCAACTTGGCTCCTGCAAGTTTTCCTTATGTTTCCTTCTCTCTAACTCTAGCCTTCCTCCAACCCCCATGACCCTCAAGTTTACTGCATGCATTTGTACTTCGGGGTGAGCAGCACCATAGTTTGCAGACTGCTTGTTCTTCCTTCTTCCTGGAACACTTTCTCAATGATCTGTATGTTACCAGCTCCTTTATAGCACTGAACTCTCAGTCCCTTAGGGAGCTTCCTTGACCATGGCAGCGGAAGCAGCTCCCTCCCTACCCCATCTACAGGAGACATTCTGTCTTATTATCCTTTGCATTTTTCCCGGGGTACTTCTCATTAACTGGCATTATTATTTATTTGTTTACACTTTGATCATCTATCTTTTCTCACAAAAATATATTCTGGATGATGACACGGGCTATTTATTTTCTTGTTATCCTCCTACTTGCTCCCCCAATAATTATGTCAGAGTCTAGTAAATCACAGATAGTAAATACATAGCTATTGAATTAGTGAAATAAGAATTTGTGTTTCTATTTTAAACACCGACCCCATATAAGGAAGTTGGTTGAATTGGCCAGAGTTCCAAAGCAAGAGAAGAATGGAAACTACTATCTTTTTTGTCTTCCAACTATTCTAAGCCATGCTGCTATATTAAGCAGTTTTAAGGTGGTAAGCACATTTCACGGTGGTGTAATAATATTTTTTCTTACTTTATCTGATCAACCATTAATTTTTCTGAAAAATATTTTGTGTGTTAATGTATTGCAATTTCTCTGAGTGGTACAGCATAGGCTTGAAATTGTAATTAAATGGACCAGACTTTAGCAAAATAATACTTGGATCAGCAAAAATTCTCCATGTTAACTGTAATCACAGAGTGTGAAGCTGTGAATTTGCCAAAATACAAATTTATTGTGGTATCGTGTATTGTGGGGATTAGCATGCCAATCAAATCAGCAGCGAAGAACCATACAGCTTGATTGGTTTATTATCAGAAAAATTAATATATATGCAGGTGCTTTGTTCATTAGAGATTGTGGAGAATAAGAATAAACAAGGTCACTATCACTGAAAAGTGTAGGAACAATAACAAAGACAACAAAACAAATAGAAAAATGCTCTCTTGAACTTTTGTTCTTTTTCCATCTATATGCACTATAGACGTATCATTTGATCATTATTCCTTCCTGCCAAAGAAGGAAACCCAGATTTGTTGAATGCCTCTTATGTAAGATTTTATACAAATGATTATTTGAAATCACATTATTCTATTTATCAGAAAGTCAGTGAGGTAGCTAGTAACTGAACTCAATTTTATTTCTAAACAGCAGCAGTAAAACAATAACTACAACCTCTAGCATGTATTATTATGAACTCAGCACTGTGCAAAGCATTTTACATGCATAATTTAATCCTCGTAATGAGCACATAAGATATATTTTAGTACTTTCCTGAGAAAACTAAGATTTTTCAATGTTAAGTTCTTTGCCCAAGTAACCAAGGTCCAGGTTTCAAACCCAGGTTCATCTGAAACCAAGGACTGTGGTGCTTATAATTAAGCTGCTTCCAGGAGTCTACGCTCTTCCCGCAATGCTACCCTGGCAATAATATCATGAGAACACTTTGCCCAATTCTGGTCCTTTTCTCTGAGGTCTAGTTTCTAACGTTTTCTGCATTTGGGTGGCCGGTGAATGGAGCGGGTTTATCAAATCATTTGAAACGGTTCAGATCAGTGATCTAGAGTTGGTTGAGTACAGTGGGAGAAGAGAAATAGGAAAAAGCTGCTGAGTATAGAGTATAGCAGAAAGTGGTGTCAGACAGGCAGCGGGTGATCAGAACTTGTGTTTTGACAAAATGCTACTAAGAGTGTTGAGCTAGCTAAAATTCTAAAATTTGCTTTTTGCTTTGATGGAACACATTCATTTATAGAAATAAGAGTTTGAGAAATGTCATCTGGATAAATGTGTTTCAGTCCTGGAAATACAGTATGGAACAAAATATATAAATATATACAGTACTTTCCTTATCCTTAAACTTGAGCTTACTAGGGAGCAAAGCTAAGTGATACTGTGATTAATGTAAAAAAAAATTCAAATTAGTATTTTCAAATTGATGTTGAAAATAATAGTCCAGAAAAATGATTAACTATTAGCTTTTCATTTTACATGAGATATCAGATGTCAGAAGGAACCAGTGACCAAATTATGAGGGCCCGGGGAAGAAGAGATGGTACAGCTTTTTAAAATCTGATCATGGAGCTTCCAAGTCTTCATTTTGAATACCATTTACCCAATTTTTAGGGATTGGTAAGACTTGTCTTGGGATAACTCAGGCAATTCAGTCAAGCCCACTTCTAAATCCCAAGCAATTCTATTCATCTATTACAAACATATGTCCAGCATGATTTCCCTCAATCTGGTAGATTCAAAATAAGGACTTCTAATAAATCTTAGCTCACAATGCATTTGTAATTAGATTGGAGAAGCAATGCATATATATGAAACAGCATTATGGATATATGAAAGGACTTTGAGATAGCTGATAAAGTTGTCAATCAACACTTGTAATATGTGTTCTAAAACAGTATTTCTAATACTAAAAATTCATTCTTTAATTAACATGTTCACATATTTCATATTCTTGCTGACATTTGAATATTTTATAATCTATGTCTATGAGAAAGTATAATTAACGTGCCATATCAAAACAGTTGCGCCTTCAAATTATTATTGTTTGATTCTTGACATTTTTAAAGTCTAAATATAGTCATAGAATGCCCTTCAATATGGAAATGTCTTCCTTACAGCAAATCTGGCTTTTATTTACATTGTGGCAGAAACCCAATTTTTTGATAAAATTATTTCCACCAAAGGTTGAGAATCATTGTCATGGCTTTTTATATCTGCTAAAAAACAGCAAAAAATATTCAAAAGAAAGTAATAGGTCACTGTGAAATAGAATTATTAGGAAGTAAGGCTCAGCACTGTTGAGTAATTTGATGGAGGTCTTAGAGATACTAATGGTAGAATGGGAAATTGAATGCATATCTAGCTGAGACTTTGTATATTCTAATAAACACATGTCATAGAACCACTTTCCTAAGAAGGACAGGGTGGGATTCAGATAAAAAGAGAAGAAGAAAAAACATTCACACACCAATACAACATGTTCCTGAGGTGGAAATGATGAAGACAGGAGAGAGAAGGAAGACATGGGTGGGCCGAGGAGTGAAAGTTATGGTGAGAAGAAGATGAATGTTGGTGTGATCTCCTCAATGGAGAACTCTGTCATTTGGGGTTTTTGGAAAAGAGTCAAACTTATTCAGACAAGAAAAAAATAAAAACATAACAAGTTTGAATCCCTTTACCAGGATGGTGATAATATGAAAGTGGGATCTGCCTGAATGCACCTGCAGAGTTTCCACCCAACTGTTTGCATGAGAAAGAGACAAGCCTTGGAGAGGCTCAATCTTTTGGGGCAGGAGCTACACAAAGCTTTATTTAAGGACAGGAGTAAAGAGAAAACTGATAAAATGATCCATTGGAATTGGAGATGGATTGGCTATTGAGGAAAGGAGGAGATTAAGTCAAAAGCTGTTCTGGAGAGTGGGTGCTTGGAGATCTGGAGGAATAATGTACGCAGTGACTAAAAGTGTGTCCTTTAAGGAAAGTCAATCCACACACAGAAAAGTAATAATTTTCCCATGGCCAGATACAGAAAAGCAATGAGTCGACCTGATCTGGCATTCTTGTGAGGAAAGTCATCCTTCAATATATATATTTGTACATTTTTTTCTTGAATCCTGAATTGCTTTTGATCTAAGGGTCGCATCTTGGTCCTGTGATTTAGCTTTGCAAAATAGCTTGATTGTTAGAATAAAGGCAATGTACAAGATATAATCATTACTATAATTTTAAATGCATAAGTTATAAATAATTGATGGCTGTTATTTATTCATCATTGAATTAGAAATTCATATTGAAGTTAAGTGAGCTTCCTGAAAGAGAATTTCTATTCTCGTGCCAGCTGAAGATATTTGGAAAATCACAAGAGCTTATGACTGACTGATTGTCTTAATATTCATAAAATGGCCAAACTGTGTTTGATATCCTCTAGATTACATTAAAATGGAACACCAGCAATATTAACAAAACAACTAACATAAAACATACACTTTTTTGGTTGGGTGATGCCAGATGTCAAGGAACAGTGAGTTGCATTTAAATCTAAAAATACATATTGAGGCCCAAATACTGACATTTCGTAGCAACAAACCCCTCAAACCACTACATGGATCCTGAAAACTCTAAGCAAATGCATATTCTTTATTATTTGTTTGGAACTTGACCCATATCTATATCTAAACTCTAAATCTATTGAACAAAATCAGGCACTATAGAAAACTCCATCTGAATAACCTATTGTACATTTCAAAATAGCTAGAAGAGAATAATTTGAATGTTTCTGGCATTAAAAAAGACATATTTTTAAGGTGATGGGCATCCTAAGTATGCTGAGCTGATCTTTACAAATTATATGAGTGTATTTAACTATCACACAAACTCCAAAACTATGTACACCTATTATGCAGAAATAAAAAGAAAGTTCATTCTTGTTTTATTATTTTGTCCCTTTAACCCTGAAATATAAAAGCCAGCCAGACCTGAGATTTTTCCTTTTACACTATTTGCTGATACCACCCACTGTGTCACTCCATAAACAAAGAAAGAGGAAAGTACCAAGAAAGTTTTTCTTGACACACTCAAGCTTAGTAGTTAAAAGCATGAGCAATGGAGTTAGGATGTACAGGAAGAAATCCTTGTCTCACCATTAATTCACTGAATTACTGAGAAAGTCATTAAAACCTTGGTTTTCTTGTTTGCTGAATGGAGCTGGTGACAGTGCCAGTGTGACATGGTTGTGGGTACAGTCAAGGGTGTGCAAATGGGAGCCCAACACTTAGAAATACTAGTGTTATTATTGCCAAAAAATGTATTTTTGTATTGTTACAGCTGCACATGTGCTTTTTGTTCACCCAAGGACAGGCATAATTTTTCCTTGCCCATTTCTTTCTGGTCTGCAGCAAGGGTTCTCTTAGTATTCCTGACCTCCTAAATATAAGAGAATAAAATAACAAGAGATAAATTTTGAGAAACAAGAGAACTCTAACATATTCCAAATCTGGTTCTAAACAATGAGAACTCTTCAAGGCATTGGACAGTGAATTTACTAAATTCACTTATGAGAAGTCCTCCTATAGGGGTAAGGCTGGGAGAGGAGAAGCTTTGAAGAAGTATTCTGAGGTTAAAAGACATCCAAAAGTGGGTGCAGGGGGTTGTTATTTCAGCTGTGATTTGGCTTGGACATCTTCCCAAGACAAAAAGAGATGGGCTGAAAATCGTTTGTTAAGCAGGAGAGGAAAGACTGTATAGGTAAGAAACATAAAGTGTAGCGCAGAGTGATGGTTCTCAAACATGAATGTGCATAATTAATTAATTACCACAAAAGCGTGTTTAAACAGTTTCCTATGCCCTACCTCCAGATTCTGATGCATAAGGTAAGAATCATGAATTTGCATTTTTAATAAGCCTCCTGGTAATACAAACAGGCCTGTCATTTACCCTTTCAGAACCACTCAAATAGAAGAAAAGAAAAATCACCCACGTGTTCTAGAATCACCCATTCTCCAATTTTTCTGCTTCCATAGTTTACCAATGTTCCTGATTGATCATATGCCAGACACTTGAAATTAAGGAAGGTAAATCAAGGCCACAAATATCTTTCGTGTAGAGGAATTTTTTAGGATAGTAACAACAATAAGATCAATAACTACCATTTATTTTGTTCCCACCTCTTTATATACATCAAAACTAATATATATAGTAGTATAACAAAAGTATTAAGAACATCATTTTGGAAGAGAAAAAATGAGATGCAGATAGTTTATGTCATCTCTCCAAAGTAATACAGCAAATGAATAAATGTAGGAGACAGGATTCAAGCTGATGCTTTTCTGATATTAAAGCCTATTCTTTCAGTGTGATGTATCAACTCCAAAAAGGAGTAGTTATCAACTGGTCATACTAGACGTTAGCTTAGCAAAGAGGAAATCAAGCATTAAACAGATAAAGCAGTCATGGTTATAGACAACTTCTCATTAAATCTTACAGTGTTTGGCCTTTACAAACATTTTTATTTCTCTACAAATCTCATGAGAAGGTGTCATAACCTGAAGAAGGATTATAATTCATTTTTATACTATGAAGTGTGATATAGAAAATGGTGTCACCCTGGTTCAGAGCTCTAAAATCTAGTCAGGAAGCCATTCGAAGAAGAACTACCTGCACATCCTGCAACCTTGCAAAAAGAAACAAAGCAAAACAAAAAAAATGCAAGAACTTGCCTGGAACCTTTGAACTGGGTCAAAGTGCAATGACCAGAACATCCTGGAAAACAGCGGAATTTCACCAATGCTGCAACTCCTGAACAGTGACAAAAAATGATCTATGGATTCATGTACTAAGTCAGCCACCTCCACCTGTGACAATTTCTTCAAGAAAATTTATGTAATCACCCTCAGTGCACTTTTAAAATTCCCTACTCCCTTCCACCTCTCTGGACACGGTTTACCCTTTACTGTAATTTGTGTCTATGTAATTATAATTCCTAAGACCCCCCCGCCAAAACACCTTATCTTACTGCTTTGCAATCTTGTCTTTCCCCTCTTTTTGTTGAAAACATTTTTTTTTCATGTGTGTTTGTGTGTTTGTCTAGATACTTTATAAACTACCCTACCATTCCTCTGTATTTGCTTCTAAATGTGTGGTGTATATGTATATGTACAAATTTTCTGGGTAAGGTACAAAAATTCATAAGATATTTAATTTACTATTTTAAATCCAACATTCATGTATTTCCAACTATACGTTTATTTGATAGTGTATAGAAAAAGCTTTTGGACATTTCTATTTTCCAACTTTTCCTGTAGACATTTTGAGAGAGTTAAGTCAAGTCATTAAATTGTGCTTTCTTTCCCCACAGCTAAATAAAGTTCCTTTACTTTTCTGTTTTAAATCCACATCTCATTCCTATAAAGCATGAATTCATGAGTCTTCTTTTCAAGAGAGTGACTGGCACGTACAAGGGACTTAATAACCATGTTTTACTGAGTTACCAAGCAACTGCCTCAACCCAGTTAATACCAGCAATGAAAGAAAAGAGATCCATTACTTGTTTACAGACGAAAGTCAAGACCAATTTGATGATGACTTTGAAAATTTCCAAGGGGGAATAATATGTGCCAACTGATGAAAAAGGAGGAGAGAAGAAAGGAAATAAAGATAAGAGAGGGGAACAGGGAGAGAAAAATTCACCTTATTCTGCTTATGGTAATTAGCAGGATTTATTTATAAAGTAAAAAGCATATTGGAAATTGAGTGCTCAGACTAGTGGTACAAGCGATGATTTTTGAGTTAGAAAAATAAAGATTTGAATCCCAATTCTCCCTTGGACATTTACCCCTGCGTATTACCTTAGCTTTTCATATCATTAATTTTATTTTTCATTAAAAACATGGGAATGTTATTCTCATATAGATTATTGTGAAGGTTAATGAGATAACTGCTAGAGTGTGTAACAGAGTTTATGAAGTTGACATTTAGCAATGGCAGCTGTATTATTATTGTTGTTATTATTATTGTGGTTATGATTTTGAAATACTCAGCCTCATATTCATGCCCATTTACATCCCACAGCTCTGGTTTAGTATTCTTACTCCCCCTATTTGAATTCTTGAGTTAGTCTCCTGGCTCAACTCCTGCTTCTAATCTCACCTGTCTTTAATTCCTGGTGGAATTATTTTAAAACACAAACCTCATCATACTATATCTCTATTTAAGAAAGGAAATTGAGATGTTGCTAATTTTCATGAGCACCTATACACATGAAGCATGTTTCATATGTTCACTTAATTTCCCTTATTCATTATAAGCCTAGAGAGGAAAACTTTCCATTTCTATGTTAGGAGATGAAGATGTCAAAATTCAGAGAATTAAGGACTTTCACAAGTAGTTGGCAGAGTTGTTGAGATCATAAGAGTGCAGAGCTTGACTAGTGATTATAGAATGAAACAGAAACTTCTTAGAAAAGCACAGAAGGTATCCTATCTCTTGATCTGATCCTGACTTTAAAGTTACCAGCCCCTCCAGCCTCTCATGGCCCTGGGATGAGTCCGGGTATTTCTATGCTTTCACAAAGACTGCTTCTTCTGCTAGTATGTCTCTCCAACTCTTTCCCCTGAACACCACTGACTGATCTTTTTATGACTCTGCATCAAGAGACGACTTTTTGAAGCTTCCCTGGAATCAGACAATCTTTCTTATTCCTGGCTCCCAGGGTAACCCATGCTTGAACCTGCACAATTGTTCCAACCCATATTACTATTGTGAGTAGATAAGTTTGCCTCACCCAGAGACATTTCTTCTAAGGGGAAGGAGTTAAGCCTTGTCTGTCTTTGTGACCGCAGTCCCTAGAACAATGACCAGCACTCAGAAAAATCTCAATAAATATGTGATGAAGGAATCAACCACTGAATACATGAAAACAGAGAACAATGAAACTCAGCCCATAGTTCCGCTTGAATTTTACCCAGACTCTGATCATAAAGGAAATTTAAAGCCTTGTCTTCATCTACTTGAATTTTCTAGTTGAGGGATAAAATCTACAAAGAAACAATCCATGAGACAAAATAACTCAATCAGTACAGGTATTGTTTTTGTTACATTGGTGATCTAACTTTATTTTGTAATTCCATTGCATAGATGACTAATTATTATACTACAAATTTCCCCAAATACTGCAAAGCAACTAACTAAAATGATTTTACAAATTCCTAATTTAAGAAATCCTTTTGACCAGGCACAGTGCTCACGCCTATAATCCCAGCACTTTGGGAGGCTGAGGTGGGAGGATTTCTTGAGCCCAGGAGTTCAAGACCAGTCTGGTAAACATAAGAAGACCCATCTCTACAAAAAATTAATAGGTTAGCCTGGCATGGTGGTGCTTGCCTGTAGCCGTAGCCACTTGGGAGGCTGAGGGGCAAGGATCCCTTGAGCCCAAGAGGTCGAGCCTGCAGTGAGCTGTGACTGTGCCACTATACTCTAGCCTGAGCAACAGAGCAAGAGGCTGTCTCAAAACAAATTTTTTTCCTGAGCAATATTTATCTATAAGTATATGGAAAAAGATGCAAAATCAATTAATGCAAAGAAAACATACATAACTTTACATAACATACATACATAACATAACATACGTAACAAAACATAACATAACATACATAACATACAAACTTTTACATAACAAAAAAATACGTAACATTAACTTATATATAAAACTGAAAATAAGAGAAAGATGAATATAAATCATATTCATAAATATATGTGGAAAATAGGTAAAATGAGTAATAGTGGTTATAAAAAGGTTATGCGGGTCATCCTGGAGGTGGGTTTAGAGAACGAGAATGCTCAGGACTTCGGAGGGCTAGGATGCAAGCTCTCCCAGAAGTAACTAAATCTGACACTTCTGGTTACTTCTCTTTCTTAAAATATTTGAATGACTTTATAAGAAAGCCTAATGATTCACTATCTTTCTTTTTCCTTCTGTAAAGTACCTGGAAGGCCCTACAATTCACCCGCTCTGCCCTCACTAAGCCTTACTTTCACCCGGTGCACATGGTGTGGCTGCTTGCCTCTTCCTCCCCTTAGTTAAAACTTAATTCATCCAGTCTGGGTGGAAGCACAAATGAGTCTAAGCATTTCTTTTTTCTCAGCAAAAACAGCTCATTTTACTTAGTTTGAGGAATCCTAAATAGATCAAACACCAAGAGCAGGAACTTATCTCTATAGAAGTCAAGTAGAGTTAGGAGAGGATGCCTAAGTCTTTAATAAAATTGGCTTTATTTTCCTGTAACTTCATCTCTGGAATAAAAGACATTATATACAGGCAAATAAATACACACATACATACAAACTTACATACATATTAAGGAACACCTTTCCACTTGCTAATTCATACCTGGCTTCCTAGTAATGGTCTGTGTGTTCCAGAACGTCAAAATTAAATCCGTAATTTTCATTAATGAAGAACTCCATTTTTCAAATTAAGCGCAATATGACATATGACAGCACACCTCTAATTCAGTGTTTTATGCCAATACTTGCCTTTCTCTGGAAATAATGAGAGATCTCCACATGACAGTCTCCTGGGGAAGTGATTTGGCCACTAGTGACAGAGAGAAAGGAAATGAGCTGAGTGGATAATGCAGGAAGGAGTCACAGGCTTCGCTTGACAGGGTATTAATCTGAAGTTGTTTTTTTTTTTCTCATGCCAGTTTATAATGATGATGTGGTAACTGATGAATGTAGTCTATTTTAATGGGATGCTGTTTTTTTCAATGTCTTCACTATCTTTACTTTCATGATGATTTCATGCAGTACTTCCATGTAGTGTGCTTCATTATAATACACTGTTTTGGTTACTAACACTACTTAAGATAATAGAATGAAATCAAATTAGGAACTTTGAAGCAGGGGGAATTGAAGAGGAAAACTTACATACTGTTTGTCTCATGTCGAGCGGCATAAAGTGGTTTTCTAAAATAAGAAAGAAAGACATACAGAAATAAAATTTTTTAAAGGGAAATAAAAAAGGAAAGAAGGTAAAGAAAGAAAAGAGGGAGAGAGGAAGAAAGAAAGAAGGAAGGCAGCCATTTCATGTTGGTTCACAGAAGTGAGATAGTGTATATAGCACACAGGCAGTAATACAAAATAAAGCTTAAAATAGAACATTATCCCTACAGTTGAAATGAAAGCAAGCATTTCTGCCTTCCTCTTCCATCACAGAAACCAGTAATATCCTCTCAAGTTAAACTTAATAGGCCTTTCATTCAATTCAAATATTCAAAATTTGTGTTGCAATTATTTGAGGAGGAAAATTATAAGACGCTCATGCAAATATCATTAATATTGGAGTCATTTTACAAAAAGTCCAAGGGAGTTTACATGCCATCACTGTAACAAGAGCTGTTAATGAGGTTTCAAATGCCTGAAATCAAAATTTCTTTATGGGAAAACATGCCATTACAAATAGTAAACCAGCCTGTCTTGCATGAACTATGGCTTTGAATGCTTTTACTCTTTGCATGCTATTTTTGCAGTGATGGTGAGTTTCTGGACTGTAGCTACTAATTCACATATTAGTGTCTCTACATCTGGACCACATCAGCAAATACAAGGCATTAAGATATTCACTACCCCTCACTAGTATCACTGACATGACTAAATAGGCACATCACTCTTCTCTGTTGAGGTCAAATTTAACCCTTTAAGCTTTGGTATCACAGTTTGCCATTATCAGCTGAATAGATGTGCTATTGGAATAAAATGTATTTGCTACCCAGGGTCTAGAATGGTGACTTCTTGAGGTCACCATTATTTCTAACCATAATAAAGTAGTATCAATATGGTAGGTTGAGTATTCTAACATCTGAATCTTTGTGTGGGCTTCTTTTCTCTGCCAGAAATTCCCTTACTCAATTTTACCTTTTTTTTCTATCAATGTTAAGCTGTCTTTAAAACTTCAGCTCAGATATCTCCTCTTTCATGAAGCTTTAATACATACATATTTTAAATTTTGGGTTCTTCTGAATTGAGTTGGCTGGGTTGGCTGCCCCTCTACAATCATATAGCAATGCCTTGTGATTGGAGCACCTAACTCATTCTATTATAATTTTTTTTGTTTGTTTTTTGTCTGTCACTCCCCCTAGACTGTGAAGTCCTGGAGGGCAAGGATTCTCCTTTATCTGTCTCTGCTTTCCTGCCCAGTACCTACTCTGGTGGATAGCGTGCAGTTGATACAGCCCTGGGAGGAAGCTATTGTGTGAAGGAGTGATAAATGCAGACAGTCTGATTGTTTGAATCTCAAAACATTAATTTTGTACTAATCATGGTTGAGCCATCAATGGCAAACCTAACACTCTGCTCAGAGAAAGATGGCACAAAAGAATGATGACACACATACCTCAAAAAGTACTTGTCCAGGGAAGTAATTTCTCACTTGTGAGATTTTCAAGGTTATTTTGCAAGTCAATTTATGTGTGTTTCTAATTGGGATGCTTAATAAAGAGCAGGTGCTTGCTTTTGAGCTTCTGTTCTTATTTCTCATTTATTTCTTTAATTTCTTGTCTTGAGATGGCCCTCCTAGGTAATCCCAGATAAAACAATGATCTATCACTTCCAGTTATGATGTTCAAATATGTAATTGCAAATATTGAAAAAGAAATAAAATTCTGAATACTATGTGATATTTATTTCATATGTCCTTGTATATCTCATTCCAGGGATTATACTGCTTAAAGATTCATGAATAATAGTTTTTCTTCATTTCCTCTGTTGAGGTCTATAAGGTCAGATTTGATTTGCGCTTGCCAACGTCTAAATGGGTTCCAGTACCATTTCAACTGATGTGTTATTCTTAATTTATTCATTTTTGAATGTTTAAGCTGTCCGACCTAGTATTAATTTACTGGCCTTATGTCAAGCCATTTTGCTGTGTCAGAGTCAATTCTTGGAATATTGAATGTGCTTCACAGGATAAACGTAAAGAATGTTTATATAAAACTCCATTTTATGATGTACTTGCCCTGACTTTATTTTCTTGTTGATGCAGTTTTTCTCTGAACTCACCTGCAGAATTTGCTATTAAAAATCCAATCAGATGGAGATTAGAAATGAGTGAGAATAAACATGATGGCTAACTGTGGCTGTGTGTTGATCCAGAATCAAACTTGCTAATTTTGAAAATTGATCACTCACCAGATGATGTCTGATTGATTGTCATCATCCAATCAGTAAATTATGTACTGAAAATAGACAATAATTGATTAGGTAGTAAGTAGTTTTTGTTAATTCTTTTTGTTTTGCTTTGCTTTGCCTTAACCTGCTTTACTTACAAATTTTATCCAAGACAATGTATCCATTAAAAACATAGAAATTAGGAAAAAGTGCCTTTATCTGTAAAGCATTTATGTATCTACCACATTCAGTCACTATTAATGTTGTGTTGTAGAATATTTCATATATATATATGTACACACAGATTGAGCATCACAAATAAAAAAATCTGAAATTCAAAACAACCCTGGTCCCAAGCATTTCAGATAAGGGATGCTCACCCTGTATGTCTGTGTGTGTATGTGTGTGTGCACATATGTGTATATGTTTGTGTGTCTGTGTATATATATGGTGCTGCATAAGGTATACAACTACATTTTATCCTATTATCATTTTTACCATAATAATTTTTATGCACCATCAAAATATTTCACTAATGTACTATTGATAGCCATTTAGAAGTCTTCATAACAAGATTTGTGGTTATAAATAATTGTGTACATCTATCTTGTTTTGTAGTAATGCTTTAGAATATATTCCCAAATGTGAATTTAATGCCGCACAGGTTATTAACATATGAAAAAACGTTGATACACAAGAACTAATGGATTTCAAGAACTAATATAGACCGCCTCTGTTACGACTATTTTTATTTAACTTTCTGACTTAATTCTTGCATGACCTGATCATAGTTTCAGAGAAGCATAATAATTTCAACAAGAAATCATCCTGTCCCACTCTTTACTTTTTTATTCATTAAATTATGTTGTGGGATATCAGGAATTTGCTGAGAATTCCCTTCGACTGGGTGAACGTTTGCAAAAAGCCACACCATCCTTGGACTGTAGCATGGTGTGCTGGATAGAGCCAGGGTAAGGACTCAAACAGACCCAAGTTTTCATAACAGATCTAATATTTACGAACGGTGTAAGTTCTGCAAATTACTTAACCTCTGGGAAAACCAGATTCCTCCTTTGTAAAATGGATATTCATGTTTTTCTCCTGCATTCATACACTCAATTATTTATTCAAAAATATGAGTTGAGTTGCTTCTATCATCTTGGCATTATTCTAGGTGTTTGGGATGGAGGAGTTAACAAAATAATCAAACATTTTGGCTTCATGGAGCTGACAGTGCAGTGGGAGACAGAGACAATAAAGAGATAAAAAATAAAAAATAGAATGCTATGAAGAAAAATTAAAAAGAGTGAAAAAGAGAGGCCTGGGAGGCCTTTCACATGTAGTCGAGGGAAGGTAGTTCTGAAGGGTATATTAACTGCAAGGGATCCACCAAAATGAAGTGACTCAATGAAGTTATGGGCATATCCAGGGCATCTTCCTCTCCCCACTCTGGGATTTGTGTGTTTCTTTGGTCTGACTCACCAACAGAAGAAGCTTTTGGAGCAAGACGAGATTAATTCATACTACTGGTCTTGAGAAGACACTTAAATTAGTCAAGTCCTCTCTCAGGATGTTTCTTTCCTTTCCCTGTTGATTCCCTACATTTCTGGGAAAGAAGCTGGATGAATTGAATGGAGGTGCTTGCTGAGAATCCAGCTCATTCCTTGTTAGAATGTATTAGAAAATACAGGTTAAATGCAGATTGAGGGACTCCAGACATGGAATGTAAGGGGATCTGGAGTCTGAAATGTGTGTCTAAATTTGGGCCTGCTTACTGATGAGGATGTAAGTTGGAGCAAGTGACCTCTCCTTTTGCAATCTTATTACTCTCATCTACATAATGGTGTTGACAACATCCACTTTTCATGGTTGCTGTGGAGATCAGATAAAATAGTGCTGAGCACAGACAAATAATAAAGGATTGGCAACTATTATTATTGCTATGAATAATCTGAATGAAGTCTATATTTTATCACTTTGACAACTCCTGAGAGCCTTTTGAGGCATTGTGAAGAACGATGTTGGAAGCCCTGGATACTGTTGAGGGGAAACACCTCATTTCACTTTTGAGAAAACTGGCTCACAGGGATGGCCCGGTCAGTCAAGTGCCTAAATGTCTCCTTCTTCCCAGCACAGCCTCTCACCACTGTGGAATTCCTGGATGTCTCTTAATCTTTGTAATTATGCCTTTACCTGGCACTCCTATCTAGCAATTTCCAAACTTTTAGATGCCTAGTTTCTCGTTAAAACACTACAGTGTGCCCAAGCTGACAGCATCACCTTTGCATATGCTTTTTGTTAGGATTCTGAAGAGCTTCTTTCTTGCTGCTTTTTGCTCCTAATTATGGCCAGCTGTAAACTAATTAACCTCTCTAGGTGCCTCCCGGGAGGTGACAGTGCTTGGCAGCCAGGACAACGGCAGCACTACAGCTGGGAATAAATGATAACAAAGCATATTGATTCCCCAAGCCTGCTGACCACGTGATTTCCTCACCAGCTCCTTGCTAGCAGAGATAAGAAAAGCAATCAAGAGCAAAGCATGGCAATGATGATGGTGAAGGACTTAAATGTTCTTAGTGTTTCAACTTTGTTCCACGGTCTAATGTCTAACCAGAGTACTCTGCAAATTAATGAAACAATGAACTGATTAATGAATGATTGAATACAAGAATGCAGTGACATGGTGTAAAACCAAGTGACCCACTCAAAGGTATCTGTGCATGCATTGTCCACCCTGTTGCAAGGGCTTAGCTAGGTCCTGGGTTCTTGGAGCTGGGCAGTGGATGTAAAGAGAAAAGGCAAGGGGCTGCAACCCTCAAGGAATGTGAACTCTGATTCAAGGGATAGGAGAGTAATTCCACTTCCAAACTCCTGTGAAGAGGCTGCCTCTGTGTTTTATGTGTTTTGTTCTTAAGCTGATGTCTCTTTCACCTTTTCTGTCCGTGTGTATTTATGTGTATGTGTGTTCTTTTATTTCTAAATTTCTTTTTAAATTTATTTGAATTTCTTCCCTTCCAGCTGCTTCTGGGAACAAGTCATGCCTTGTATAACATGGTATCTTAAGATGCTTTTATTGGAATTTGTGCATAAAAGGTAATTGTATTGTTCTACTGCTGGGTAGAAGAATAAAAAAATTGTCTCCTCTCCCCTGAGTATCACCTATGAACTGAAATTTTAAGGCTATTGGAGTGGGGAGTGTGTACCTTTGCACAAAATCCTGAAGCATAAAGGTCTAACTACATTTATTTCTTTGAGGAAATGTTGTAAGCAATTTTTGACCTCAATTTCTATAAATACAATAAGGGCATGCCCCTTCTTGTCCCTTCTCAATGTTGAAAGAACTTGGGATGATGTACAGAGTTCTTACCTCATTAAGCCCCAGACTCCCTCGGATATCACTTAATCTTCCTGTCTGCATGTGAGACAATGCAGGCCCAAATGATTGAGGTGAGTTGTCCAAGATCCCAGGCTATGTGGCAGATAAATGGTGTTAAATTTAATCTACTGCCTTTCTTGTGATATTCTGAAACAGGAACCTCTTACTCTATTAGTTAAATTCTAACAAATAATGAGAATTTGCTTTCTTGTTTTGGTTGGGCATATTGGGTTCAATATGATCTTACTGCACATATTATACAAAAAGAACTTCTCTTTTAAAAATATAAAAAATATATACAAATATACAGAATACATACAAAAGCATACAAAATATATACATCAATATACACAGTAATTATGCTTTGTGAAAAGCTTAATCATATATGTTGACTTTGTAGCATTTCAGAATTTATCTTCTAGATGCTTTCTACATAATTGATGTCACCAGATGCCTTAACTGTAGTTAGACTGTCCATGACTAATTGTCCCAAATGGAAATTTCACTCTATTATGTTTATAAAATAGAGAAATAACACTCTCTTTATATATTTGTGTGTATATATTTTTATATATAATTATTAAAGTGAATATTAAAATATACAATAATTTAACGACATTTCTCATTACTTTTCAATGCTCCCTGGACCAAGTTTTATTTCTAGCCTGATTCTAACACGTTTTGAAACTTAGCGGTTCTCAAACTAGAGTTCCCAAGACCACAGGTCTGCAGAGTATTCCTAAATATATTACTAAGACAGAAATCCCAAATTAGTTTGAGACACACAAGATTAGACAAATTTGAACAAGTCCATTTTCTGTGAGACTGCTGAACCTTTAATCTCAATACTGACATTATGAAATCTCAAATAGGGTATTATATGCTATGATTTCCAAACTTATTTGACCAGTACTCTGTTCCCTTGGAATACGTAATAGCATTTTTGGTTTTTAATATGTGCTACAAACTGAGAAAGTCTGGCCCAAATATTCCTGTGGACCTTGGCTTATCTGAAGCTCTAATACCCTGTGCAAATTTTATTTGCTTTGCCTAATTAAGGAAATGACTGTGGCATCCCTCTTCATTGTCCTCCATATCGCAGACATGGTGGACCCTGATGGCAATTCCCATGCGGCAGGCTAGGTCCTATTTAGATCTCCCATAGTTCTCAGGAAATACCTTAAGATACCTACCTTCTTTGTAACTTCCCGAAGTTCCTGAGTGTTTTTTGTTTTTGTTTCTTTTTCTCTCCCACCTCTAGGGAAGAAGAATTAAGAAGATATTAGATGGTGTATTCCTATCAGCCACATTACTTTTCTGTGTGTTTTACTTTTTTTTTTTTTTTTTGAAATGGAGTCTCGCTCTGTCGCCCAGGCTGGAGTGCAATGATGCAATCTCTGTTCACTGCAACCTCCGCCTCCTGGGTTCAAGCGATTTCCCTGCCTCAGCCTCTGAGCAGCTGGGATTACAGGTGCACACTACCACACCTGGATAACTTTTTTGTATTTTTAGTAGAGATGGGGTTTCATTATATTGGCCAGGTTGGTCACGAACTCCTGACTTCGTGATCCTCCCACCTTGGCCTCCGAAAGTGCTGGGATCACAGGCGTGAGCTACCACACCGGGCCTACTCAATCCAATTCCTTTTACTCAACACGGACTCCTCAGCAGGGTGCCAAAGACCCAGCCTGAGGTGATATGCTGCCTCTACTCACTCACTGACTACAGTATGAGCCTCTGACATAAGATTTAACTTGCTTTCTGATAGAAGCTACTTTGCTTCTAAAAATCTTGAAATGGTGAAATTCCTGGTCATACAAGACTTTTTCATGACACAAAAACAAGAGTCAATGGTCTAATTTTTTTATCTATGAAATCTTTTCTATTACTTCACAATCATGTGAGTAGTTTTATTTAAAAAATGATCTTATGGACAAAGAAATGTAGTTTTGTAGGAATGGGTTAATGTAAATTAATTTTTAATTATTCAAGTATAGAAAGATAACTTTAATCATTAACATTACACTGTGAAATACTTTTGGTTTTATTATTTTTAGGAATATTATTAATGTCAAATGTTAAAAAATCAATTCAGTTAGAAAATGCCTCACAAATATTGCTTCAATGAATAAACATATTTTCTTGGATTAGCACTCAATCACAGGCAAACCATTGTCTTTTCATTGTTGTTTTACTTTCCTTTCCTAGAGAGGATAAATATCCCCTTTGCCGTCTTCTTCACCCTATCTATTTGCTTAGTAAGCATTTGTTATATTAAATGCTGAAATAAAGCTCTGTCTGCCCTAAGACTTGATGTATTTTCATCCTTAGGAGCAAAGCATTTGTCTGTGTTGTACCCAATGAAAAGGATAATTAAATCTCTTAGGAATTAGTGCCTAAACATATACCTCAAATTGAATACAGTAACTTGAATACAGGGACAAGAAATAATGACTTATAATTATATGAAGTAATTTTCCAAGGACTTCAAAGACAAACTGCAATATTACTGAATTTATCCTGAATTTTACTGCACGTTCCATATGCAAGCAGAGATCTCATAAACTTTCTCTGACAGACCTCTTTTCATTCCTCTGAAGGACAACTTCAGAAGTTACGCTGTGGTTCTTTTTGTTTGCACATCTCTCTGATCTCTGTGGAATGAGTGGCTGAGAAATAGATGCACCAGAGTACATTTAAGTAAAAATTTGTTAATATTGAAATAAATAAAATTTTTAATTGAAACTTGCAACCAAAGATTTCCCTGTGAGTCCCCAAAATTATAACAAAAATGCTGGCTGAGAACCATACTATGGTAGAATTTTGTGTATTTTATGCCATCAATAATTTTCTTGAATACTTACCTTAGGAATAAATGCTTACTTTTCCAAAAACATAAAATTTGTACTTATAGACAATCTTTTATTATAGTTACACTTCATTATTAAGTGCATTCAGAATACAGAAAAAGAAGAAAAATTAAGAATATTAAAAAATTATCTGAAGATCTTTATGCAGGCTCTCTCAATCAAACACACTTGCCAGTACACTAGGAAAATAGGCTGCTGATATGGTTTGACTGTATCTTCAACCAAATCTCACCTTGAATTGTAGTTGAACTTGAAGTCTGATGTTCAAGGGCAGGATGCATCTAGCATGGAAGAAAGATGAAGGCCAGGAGACTCAATGAGCCAAGTCCTTCCGTGTTCTTCTGCCTGCTTTATTCTAGCCATGCTGACAGCTGATTAGATGGTGCCCACCCAGACTGAGGGTGGGTCTACCTCTCCCAATCCACTGACTCAAATGTTAACCTTTTTTGTGAATGCCCTCACAGACATAACCAAGAGCAATACTTTGCATTCTTCTATCCAATCAAGTTGACACTCAGCATTAACCAGTGCAGCTAGCATTGTGCTTGGCACATAGTAGACATTTAACATACACATAAGGTAAATCTGAATCTATATATTCGGAAGCTATTTTCAACTCTCTCTCTCTCTTTCTCTCTCTCCATCTCTCTCCCTCTCTCTCTCTCTATATATATACACATACACAGGTGGTTCTCAATCTACAAATGGGTTACATTCTGATGAACCCACTGTATGTTGAAAATTTCTTAGGTCAAAAATGCGTTTAATACACTTAACCTACCAAATACCATAGTTTGGCCTAGCCTACCATAAACATGCTCAGGATGTTTACATTAGCTTACAGTTGGGCAAAATAGTGTAACACGCAAAGCCTTTTTTTATAACAAAGTGTTTAATATCTCATGTAATTGATCAAATACTGTACTGAAAGTGAAAATAAGTGGTTATATCAGTACTCAAAGTATGGTTTCTGCTAAGTTTTTATCACTTTCACTTCATTGTAAAGTTGAAAAATTTAAGTCAAACCATTGTAAGTCATTGAAACATTTTAAGTCGGAGACCATAGGTATATGTGTGTGTGTGTGTGCACATACATACAAATACATACATACACAATACACACACACACATATATATATAGAGAGAGAGACATATGCCATATTTGGTATATACAGAAATGTATAGAAATATGTATATACACACACACCTATACATTTCTGTATACACACACACACCTACATATGCAGGCATTATTAAAGAACTTTTTCAATTGAAATAGGGCATGAGGGATAAAAGGAAGTTGGAGAAATAGCAAAAAAGAATGAGAGAAATTCTAAAAACCAAAACCTTAAGATCTGTGCAAAACTGCTGAATTTCCAATTTCAAAAAGACTTACTGGAAGGCAATCTTCCTACATTAAATTTCTAGAAATGCTTAATATTTTAAATATCTAAGGCTCCCTTGAGCTTCAACAGGAACATGAAATCAGACTTGAATTTATTACTGCCAATTACATTGAAAGAATCTAAATGGAAATGAATCGTATTTTTCATGACCCATATGCCAAAGCCAGAGGCATAGCCTCGTGGAAAAAGACACTATGACCCCAAAACCCCCTTTACTGTGCTTCACAAAATAGGGAGAGACAGGTAACCCACAGGGTCTTGCTGAGTTGCTATGACTAAATAGGACTGGCCCCACCAGCCTAGGTCAACTCCAGTTCAATTTCACACTTACTGCATGACTGATAGTATTCTACAAGGCTTCGTTTAATGATGCAAAAAGAATAAGGTACAGTCCTTGAGCTACTTGGAATTACAGAGATAATATGGCCTTATGTCTAATATGCATGTTTTAGAGTTGCACTGCTTGGGTTTAAATCTTTCCTAAACTCTAATCAGCTCTGAGTCATTGCCCAGGTTATTTAAGCCTCTGGTACTCCGCATGAATATAGAAATGATGATACTACATGCCTGTGTGTATGTTGTATGTGTCTGTTTAGGATCTAATATATGTAAAATATTGCAACTTTACAGAGTTATGCCACAACCGTATAAAATTCTTAATGTTTGACTATTTTTATCTACAAAAGTGCAAATTCCTCATGGTTAAACCAAGTAATAAGTTATCAGTAAATTGTAGCAATTATTAACAAACTGTATAGAGAGGTTGGTTTTGTCTATCAAATAACTAGAATATGCACCAATATTTTACATAATCAACAATAAAAACCTGGTAACACTGTAATTGCTCAACAGATTCTTCCTGCCCACTGCACATACAGAACTAATTCACTAAGACCATGGTATTGCAATAAAGAAAGAGTTTAATTAACAGGAGACTGGCCACATGGAAGATAGAGTTATTACTCAAATCAGACTCCCTGAAGGCTTGGAAATTGGAGTTATTTAAAGATAGTTTGGTGGCCAAGGGACTCAGGAACAGGTTTTGCTGATTGGTTGGGGATGCAATCATAGGGTTGTGGAAAATGATCCCTACATACTCAGTCTGCCTCTGGATAGGGGGACCACAGGACCAGTTGAGTCATGAGTCCACAACGGGCCAGTGAGTTGTCAGAATGCAAAAATCTGAAATACACCTCAAAAGGCGACTATTTGCCTGTACAATACTGATGTTATCTATAGAAGCCATTGAGAAAATCACAAGTCCTGTGACATCTGACCACATGACTCCAGAGCAAAAAGGAATTATAAAAATTATGCATACATTTTAGCAGAACTCAGGCCCTTCCCACAATCCTCATCTCGTGGCCTTTCATTAGTCTTACAAAAGTTGTTTTGTGCCCCTAAGCAAGGAAGCGTTTAGTTTTAGGGAGGGACTATTATAATTCTTGCTTTCAAGTTAAACTATAAACTAAATTCCTCCCATGATTAACTTGGCCTATACCCAGGAATAAGCAGAGACAATCAGCCTATGAGGGTAGAAGCAAGATGGAGTCAGCCATGCTAGACTTCTCTCACTGCCATAATCTCTGCAAAGGCAGTTCAACACCATAATATAAAAAATGCTAAGTATTCACCAACATGAGATACATGGTGTCATATATCAAATAATAAGTACACATTCAGCTAGAGCAGTGCTTCTCAGCTTAAATATACATATGGATCACCTGGGGTATTATTAGAGTGCAGGCTCTAATGACCCAGTAGGTGTGGATGGGACTTGGTCCATGCTGTCCATAGAGGACCTCGTTGAACACCAGGAACCAGAGAAACAGTTTAAGAGCAAGGGGCAAGTGATTATGGCACAGTTTAGGACAGATGGGCACAAACTGAGGGCATCCTGATATACTTAAGCAAAATGGAAGATTAGACAGGAGAAAGAACAAGAAGATAAGAAAGGGGGGACCAAGAGAGGTACCATTTTATTAGTGCTGGGCAGTAAAGGGAGAGGCTAACTGGGTCATGTTTGATGTAAATAGAGGCTGATTCACTGGGTGGGACTAGGATGAACTCTGGAGTCATAAATACCTCCAAGTTTTGTGGAACCTGAAGTTTATTGTTTATTGGGGGTGGTTCTTTTAAAGAAAAAAATACAAAGTTTAAATATCAAACTAGAATGAGAAAACTAAATCCTCGATGTATATAAATTTTAAAAGTAATACAATATCATAATTATTACAATATCAAGAAAAATAACATAATTTGAGGGAATTGAACCACATGAATTCTCAACATTTTTTTCTTATGGTTCCAATACCCCAGGACATAAGGAGAAGTGTCATGGAGAGAAAGTTGAAGTACACAAATCATAGCAGTTTCAATCCTCAGTGGGCAATATATTTTACTTTTGCAAATTTTACTGGCCCTGTGAACATAGAGCTAAGAAAAGTTTGTGTAGAAAAAAATACCTGGAAGCTTACACTTCATGGCCTGCAGGGTTTATCTGCCTCGGCCTGGACTTCCATATTTTGTAATTAATATTTGTTTAAGTACCAAAGCTTGGGAAAAAGCTCATTTTTTTTTCTATTGTGAGAGGTTATTACCATCACAATACTACCACTGACTTGCACTTAAATATAGTTTCTTTAACAAAAGAGAAAAAAAGTGGATTTTGAAACATCATGCGTGGTTTGAGCTTCAACCCGAGTGGGTCATGTGAGCTGGCTGAAAACATGAGTGTACATCTTCACGTGAGCTGCCCACTGAGGCAGAATGCCCCTGACTATTTTCCTATAACTTAGGGGGCCAAGCCACTGAGTTTGGAAAAAGCAGCCTTAAGTATTATGAAGAGGTATCTTTAAAATAGGACCTTATCATACAAAGGATATCAATATATCAATTTTTAAAGAGCTGTCTTATATTTCAGTCCCTTATATCTGTCACTTTTTCAAGCTTTCAAAGACAACCCTCTTAAGGACAGCTCCAGTTGAACCTGGGGTTGCTAGGAGATGTAGCCAACGATCAGGAGAGTGTTGGTGTCTTTCTTGCCCCCTCCTCACTTCTGTTAACATCACCCTGGGGAGCGAAGGGCTGATGCTGTCAGACTTTTTGGCATACCTGTCCTGCTACTGATGAGGAGGACAGAAAGGTCACACAGTCTGCTTAAAAGACCAACAAAATAGGCCGGGTGTAGTGGCTCACGCCTCTAATCCCAGCACTTTGGGAGGCCGAGGCAGGTGGATCACGAGGTCAGGAGATCAAGACCATCCTGACTAACAAGGTGAAACCCCGTCTCTACTAAAAATACCAAAAAAAAAATTAGCCGGGCGTGGTGGCGGGCACCTGTAGTCCCAGCTACTCTGGAGGCTGAGTCAGGAGAATGGCGTGAACCTGGGAGGCGGAGCTTGCAGTGAGCCGAGATCGCGCCATTGCACTCCAGTCTGGGAGACAGAGCAAGACTCCGTCTCAAAAGAAAAACAACAACAACAACAACAACAACAACAACAACAACAACAAAATAGTGTCTGGGCATGAATATCATGTTAGGTTTTGATTTATTCTTAGTTCTTGTTATGGTTTACCTTTCCCCTCAAAGCAGAGTTTACTTAAATCCACTTCTGAAATCTCTACCCTACTTGCTCAATGTGTTCTGAAATTCTTCAATAGATACTTAGCGAGATCCTATTTTATGCCAGGCCCTCATAGCTGCTGAGTATTCTGCAGTCTGGTAGGAGGTCCAGGTATAGGGCAGGTTATTACGATGCAGTCTGACAAGAGTGATGCTTGAGATACCTATAGGGTGTGGTATTAGCACAGTCAAATAAACCAGTCTTTGCTTAGAAAACTCAGGGAAAACTTCCCAGAAGAGGTGATAGAGACTTACGGCATTTGTTGTTAAAGTAAGGGGAACAAATATAAAAATGGCATAAAGTGTAGTTGGAGAAGTAGTTAGTAACAAGAATATGAAAGGTTAATACTATGGCAAAGACCATCAGTGATAGACTGGATAAAGAAATTGTGGCACATATACATCATGGAATACTATACAGCCATAAAAAGGAAGGAGTTCATGTCCTTTGCAGGGACATGGATGAAGATGGAAGTCATCATTCTCAGCAAACTAGCACAGGAACAGAAAACCAAGCCCACATGTTCTCACTCATAAGTGGGAGTTGAACAATGAGAACACATGGACACAGGGAGGGGAACATCACACACTGGGGCCTGTCGGGGTGGGTAGGGGGCAAGAGGAGGGAGAGCATTAGGACAAATACCTAATGGATGTGGGGCTTAAAACTTAGATGAGGGGTGGATAGGTGCCCCAAACCACCATGGCACATGTATACCTACGCAACAATCCTGCACGTTCTGCACATGTATCCCAGAACTTAAAAAGAAAAAAAAGAAAAAAAAATGTATTCCAAGGTAATGAGAATTTATTGAAAGGATTTGGATAGAAGTTATTTGTTTGATAAACTTCAGAATCCAATCCAGTTAGAACTGTATTGCATTAGTCCAGAAAAGAGAATTTAAAGACTTTGTTTAGAGGTAGTAGGCATGATCTTGATGAGGAACGGATACATTCTGTATAAATGTGCAGGATAGAGCCAACAGAATTAGGTATTAGATTAGATGTGGAAGCCAGAAAACATTGAAAAATCTAAAAACAAAAAATAAAAGGAGCAGAGAAATGGTTTAAGTAACCAAGAGGATAATGGTACTACTTACTGATATTTAGGATGGTGGGTGACAAGAAAGAGTTCAGTATCTTATATATTAAAGTCTGAGATGGCTATAGGTCATCCAGTGAAGAAGATGCAATTGATTCTTGTTATTTATCATAATAAGTCATCAAGTTTTCATGAACACTGAATTCATAAATACTGAACCCTGGCCCCTAGGACAAATACAAGCTTAAGTTCCTAGCAGCCCCTGACCACAGTTTCACTAACTGATCAATACAGAACTTGGTTTTATGTGTGTTTATGTTTAAAGATTTGTTTAAAGCACATCACAGCTTTTTTGCACGTAGGAATGCTAGAGGGCACTTAAACACTACATTTGGGGGCCAGAGTAAACAGCAAAATTACAAACAAGCATAAATATGGGAAAACATGGCACTAGACAACCAAAAGGACACTTGTTTACAGTGTGAACGATGAAACAAGAAGCCAAAACACTGCCTTGTTCAACCTCAGCAGGGAATATGCGCATTGGGTGAAAATCACTTTTTTCAGTGCTTTGCGTATGTCTGCAAATGGCCACAAAACTGTCACAGTATTAGAATAAATTATAATGAATATGTGAATTCACAAATACAGAATCCATGTATAATGAGAATTAACTGTATTCAAGTATAGAGCTCAGAAACATCTAGGAAGAAGATATATCTTTGAGAATCATCAACAAAATGATACTATTTCTAATGCTGAGAACAGAGGAGATCACTTAGAAAAACTAGAAAGAGTAAGGCCAGGCCCAGTACCAGATTCTGAGGAGCTCCAGTATTTAGCCCATGGAAAGCCATCGTTCCATGTTAGGTAGAGAAAATGAAAGTACAGCCAACAAAAAGCACTGAGAAAGAGGAGGAAGGAAAGAATGTGGTGCCTGGGCAGCCAAGAGCAGAGATTATTGTAAAATGGAGAGCTGATTCCTATCCCAAGTGCTGATAATAAAGCTAAAAAATGAAGCAAGAATTCTCTCCTTTGGATTTTTGTATCATAAATGCATCCAGTGCCCTTGACAAGAGCAGTTCAGTGGAGCGGTCAGTGGATGCCCACATTGGTCTGAGTTGAAGCACGGAATAGTAGGTGAGAGAATTGAAGCTGTAAGTATTAGTAGCAACTTCAGTGAATTTTGAAATAAGGAAGAACAGGTGAAGGGACATATGGAGAGTGATGAGGGGCAATGGGAGGTGTATATGTATATACAGCGAGAGAGAAAGACAGACAGAAACTAGGAGAGTAGACCATCATTGGTCTAAAAGAACACCAAAAAATCTTTTGGATCAAGGAAAATTATTAGACTAACTGCCGTAAAAGAGAGTGCTATCTAAACAAACTTAGTAGTTCTTCAGCACAGAATAGTCAGGGGAGAATATTTATGGGATTTTAGATCCAGGCTGGTTGATTGACTGAGATCGGACAGAGTTTACAACATAAAAGTCTTAGATGGCTTTAATGAGAATACTGGCTACTTGAAGATTACAGGGGCCCTGTGAGAAGGAGGGAGGTGGGGTGTGATCTTAAGCACCTGAAACTGACACAGGAGGGAAGAATTCCACATACTGTAGTAGCTTGAATGAGCTGAGAAGTAGATTCTTCCCCCAGGCCCTGCAGAAAGGAACTCAGCCCTACTAAGACTTTGATTACGGCCTTGCAAAACACTGAAGCAGAAAACCTACCTGGGTTATGTGCAGACTTTTGAGCCATGGAAACCAAGAAATAATAAATTTGTGTCATTTTAAGCCACCAAATTTGTGGTAATTTGTTATGCAGAAGCAGAAAAATAATACAACTCATCTACTTAGTCCAGAATAACCTTGATCTCAAAACCTGATAAAGGCATTATAAAAAAGGAAAAATAACATCTTTCATGACCAAAGCAAAATGCTACCAAACCAGTTTCAATATATACTAAAAACTATCTTATATTGTCTCTATTGAATTGGGCTTATTTCATTATAAACTGGCATGTCATTCATTTGATGAGCAATCAATTAATTCAATGCATTAAGATAACATAGAACAAAAATCTGATGGTAATTCTAAAAGATGCCTGTTATCATAGCTTCTGTTCAACTATTTATGGATGGTACTGACTAGGCATATAAGCCAACAAAATTAAGCAATGGCATAGGGACTGAAACAAAAGACATGAAACTTTCTTCACTCACGGATGATTGCCTAGATAGGTGATTGAAAATAAATCTATGTTTGGGAAATTATAATTAATAAATTAATAAATTTAGCAAAGTTGTTGCACATAAAAATCCACATGTAAAACTGAATTTCATTTTCATATACTAATAAAATAATAGAAAATAAAATTTAAAATAAGATAGCATTTACAATAGCATCTAAGATTGTTAAACATCAAAGAATAGAACTTGAGAAGATCATAGGAGATTACAATGCAGTACAAAATATTATTGAGATAATTTTAAAGGCATAAATATATGAAATATTATACAAAGATACAAAGTTCACAGATTCGGAAATTCAACGTTGTAATAATGTCAAGCCTCAAATTGATCTATAATTAATGTAGTATACTTAGAATATGTAGAATATGTATATGTAATAGAGAAAATAGAATGATAGATATAACAGAATGTACTCTTATATGATATATCTGTATATCATCTTGCTACATGGAATTGTATATTATCATTATAGTACTATAAACCATAGTTTGACTTTGTTCAATCAGTCCTATAACATCTGCAAGATGATTTGTTGGTCTACAATTACTTTTTCAACCTTAATGAACTATTTTCAAAAAATTTTCATTGTGAAGTTATAATAAAATGAAAAGCACCCAAAACCCCATAAAACTATGCAATACATTGTTTTTTATGCCAGAGTAAGTACTTTCTGCAAATCATTAGTTTGAGAGGGATCCCAGTTCATGTTGGTAAATATACACTAGTGCACTCTCTCTTTTTCTCTCTCTTATGTGCACACACACACAATTTAAGTGGTCAGCGTATATCAAGGCTTTTCATTCATGCATTTAATTCATGGTTTTACTCCCTGAAGATGAGAACATCAGGGTGCATTGGATTATTGCAGTACATGTCACAGAAGGAGTCTTTAGAGATTAAAGATGTACCTTATTCATGTCAAAGGAAATTTGAGTGGATGTTGACTCTCATGGCAAATCCAAGTTAGAGAAATATTTACCACTTTTGAGATCTTGAATTATATTTTAATATTTGGAGTCAAGGAGCAGAGAAAGCAAAAAAGTCAACAAATAAGTTGCTTATTAAAAAGCAACCTAAGAAATGTGATAAGTTGGTCAAATTGGCTCTCAGTGACCTGTTTCCCTTAAGGATGGAGTGGGCAGAAGTTTGGAAGGGATGCTCTCGAACACAGCAAAATTATTTTAAAGTGAAAACAAATATTTAAAAGGAACTATTAAGTGCATGACATTATTATGGCAATCGATTTAAGTGTCATTTTATGTTTTTCTGGGGAAAAAATTGAGAGTCAACATAGTATTAGAAAGCAATAATGCGCATTCTTAATATATGAGAATAAAATAGCAATATTTGAATTTTATGGCTTTTCTATGGAAATACTATATATCAGATTGTACTAGAAAGTGAAACAAATAATCTATAAAAACTGAGTTGAAATATAGTAGTTTAAATAGTCTTTTTAAAAAACTCTGCTCACTTATTTTATAGCTCAGCTCAGTCTTTCTCTTACACACACACACACACATACACACACACGAACAAAATATATATAAACCTACTTTCAAGATCATCTCCCTATGGCCTCATTTGAACATGCCATATCGTTTTAGAGCATGTTTTAAATTCATTTCTACTGGAGAAAAACCTGTGCAAATACCTGAAGAAAGTATGTGGCAAACTCTGAAAGAAAATGGTTGTAAAATTATGAACAATAACCTTAATAATTTTTAATTCATTTTTGCATTCTATCGATGGCAATATCTCTTAATATTTCATATATGTACTAAGATTGGTTAGAGCAAAAAAAAAAAAAAGAATCAATGATGGAGAGAGAAGAAAATAAAACTATATCCAGGTCACCATCAAGTGTGAAAATCAAGTGTGACCTGGCTGAGAAAGCACATGTATACACACACACACACACACACACACACACGCACACACACAGCAGAGAAGCGGCATTTCTAGAGATAATGGTCAAAAAGAAGGTGATATAATGTGCTATGTTTTGGGTGGTAGCTTAGTAGTCTGTTTTTATATAAAATAGTATTTGCCATATAGGAAAACTTTGTTTTTGTTGTTTTGATAATGTTTCTACTTTACTTATATATAGTCTACTTATATTTCTTAATTGTAACTGTTTCCCAGTTCTAATATTCTATTCATTGATTCCCTTGAATTTCTAGTAGACAACTCTGCCATCTAGGAACGTAAGAGTTGTAACTTTTAAAATTAAATATATAGGTCAGATATATGTACATATATTTTACTTGTTTTAATGTTCTGGCTAGGACCTCTAAAAAGATGTTGAAACTTTGATTATAAAAGTGATAGTAGACATTATTATCCCCTTCCTTGCATCATAAGAATGTTCCCAATATTTTTTTTATCACCAAACATGTTTTCTTCATACAGATACTCTAACAGATTACGAAAGGCTATTTTTGTTCAGTATTTGGTATGTGTATTTAGTTTTGCCTCTTAGGAATTGTGTATTATAGTCATGTTTAGTTGATTTAACTACCAGTTTTATTTTATTGAAATGATAATATTTTTCTGTCATTTGTTAACATACTGGTTTCTATTAACATATTCTCTAATGTTAAATATCCTTGAGAATCTAGAAAAACTAGAGATAGTTGTCTGAAAACCTCTTTTAATATGCATTGCTTTCAACTCAGCAAGCAAAACTCAGCAAGGTTTTATTAAGAAATTCTACTTCTGTTCACAATGATATTTGCCCAGATGTTTGTTCTTTGTTCTTTTAGTTTGTATTTTCTTTTTCCATAAGCAATCAGTACTACATTAGCCTTGTAAAATGATTTAGTTAGCTGTGCATCTGTTTCTAGGCTTTGAAACAGGATATGTAACATGAATATTATCTTTATCTTGACACCAAAGTAGGTCAAGCCAAATATAACTTTTTGGGTTCCAGATACACCGACAGAGCAAAACAAACACAAAGACTTGTTGGGCAGCCTGCTGTGCACATTCGTGCTTCTCTGTGTCTAAAATAGAAGTACAAAACTTTAGTGAGAGTTTATTACTCTGGTCAGATTTTTCAGATTCTACAAAAAATTGTGAACAGTTCTTGTTTGTTTCTCATAAAATCAATTGTTGCCACAAAATTTTTCGATAATTTAAGATACTATTTATATATAAAAAGATACCTCCATTTTATTTGTATTATTTTGTTGACCTCTGAATTTGTAAAATATATAATCATTGTACTTAACAAAGTCAAATATTGTCTTTGGCCTTTTTCTTTTAAAAAATAGTATTTCTACCATTTTAAAGGTTGTTAATTATTTAAGAATGCATCTTTTTGGATTAAAGTTCAGTTCACTTTTTTAAAAAAACGGTTTTCATTAATTTTTATTGAAAATATTTCAGGCTGTAAGTTTTCCCTACTTAGATTTTGATTCTACCTGGAAGCATTTGCGTTTAACATGTCTCATGGTTATATATTTCTAAATGGTTTTTAATGCCAGTTCACATTTCTTTGTTTTTCTTTTCCTTTGAGACAGGATCTTGCTCTGTCACCCAGGCTGGAGTGCAGCATTGCTAACATGGCTCACTGCGGCCTCAAATTCCTAGTTCAGGTGAGCCTCCTGCCTTAGCCTCCTTAGCAGCTGGGACTACAGGCATGTGCCACCATGTGTGGCTTTCTTTCTTTTTTTTTTTTTTTTTTGAGAGACAGGGGTTCACCGTTTTGCCCAGACTGGTCTCTAACTCCTGGGCTCAAGCAGTCCTCCTGCATCAGCCTCTCAAAGTGCGGAGGTTTACAGGCATGAGCCATCAGGCCCAGCCAACGTTTCTGGTTTAAGCCGAGAGTTTAAGGATATTACATAATTTTAAGGTGTGTAGTTTTCTTTTTCAGTTTTTGCTGTTCATCTCTAATTTTAGTGCATTTTGGTCAGTGATTGTGAGTTTGAGTTCCATTTTTTGATTCTTGGTGATATTTGTGGGAGGTTCCTGTGTATGTGTTTTGTGGATGTTTAATATATGTTTCAAATGATGTGTAGTTCCTATTCATAAGGTACAATTATTCACATGAGATTAACCTTATTAATTATGTTGGTCAAATCCTTTCTACCCATTTTTCCCATGACTCCTCTCACAGCCCATGTTATTTCTTATCTAATAACATTTTTTATTGTGTTGTTTATATAAATGTAAGGGGTAAGAGTATAATTTATATTTAAGTAAAAATAGTAAGGAATTTTCTATCATTCACCCCCAGCAACAGTCCTCATTATTCTAAAACTCCATTGTCTACCATTGTCCACATTCCACACCCAACTTTCACGTATATACATTATTTAGCTCCCACTTATAAGTAAAAACATGGTATTTGTCTTTCTGTTTCTATGTAGTTTCCCTTAAGATAATAGCCTCCAGGTCTATCCACATTGCTGCAAATGTTGTGATTTCATTCTTTTTGGTGGCTCAATGGTATTCCATTGTGTATATATACCATTTTCTTTATCCAGTCTTAACTTGCTGGACACTTAGGCTGGTTCCATAATTTTGCTATTGTGAATAGTGCTGTGATGAACATTCAAGTTCAGGTATTTTTTTAATATTATTATTTATTTTCCCTTGAGTAGATATCGAGTACTGTGATTACTGGATTGATCAGTAGTTCTATTTTTAGCTCTTTGGGAAATCTCCATACTGTTTTCCCTATAGGTTGTGCTAACTTAAATTCCCATCAACAGTATAAAAACATTCTCTTTTCTCTGAGTGTTCACCAACGTCTATTACTTTTTGTCCTTTTAATAATAGCCATTCTGAATGATACAAAATATCTCATTGTGGTTTTAATTTGCATTTCTCTGATTATTATTAGTGTTGTTGAGCATTTTTTATATGCTTTTTGGTCATTTGCATGTCTTTTTTTTTAAAAAAAGGTCTCTTTATGCCTTTTGCCCACTATTTATTGGAATTATTATTATTATTTATTGTTGTTGTTGAGCTGTTTGAGTTCCTTATAAATTCTGGATATTAATCTCCTGTTTGATGCATAGTTTGCAAATATTTTCTTCCATTTGGCTGGTTGTCTGTTCACTCTGTTGATTATTTCTTTTGCTGTGCAAAAGCTTTTAAGTTTAATTAGCAAAAGCTTTTAAGTTTAATTAAGTTTCATTTGTCTAGTTTTGTTTTGGTTTCCTGTGCTTTTGAGATCTTGGTCATGAATTATTTGCCTAAAACAAAGTCCAGAAATGTTTTTTTGTAGGCTTCCTATAATATTATTATATTTTAAGGTCTTATATTTAATAATTTATCCATCTTGAGTAGATTTTTTATATAGTGAAAGATTACGGTACAATTGTATCCTTCTGCATATGTCAATCCAATTTTCCTAGCATCATTTATTGAATAGAGTGTCCTTTCCCTAGTGAATATTCTTGATGATATTGTCAGAGATAAGTTTGCAGTAAATTTGTAGCTTTACTTCTGGGTTCTCTAACCTGTTATATTGATTTATGTGTCTGAATTTTTTTTCTTCACCAATATCATGCTGTTTTGGCTACTACAGCCTTGTAGTATAATTTGAAGTCAGATAATGTGATGCCTCCAGTTTTGCTTATGATTGCTCTTGCTATTGGGACTCTTTTTTGATCCCATATACATTTTAGGATTGTTTTTTTCCAATTCTGTGAAAAATGATGTTGATGTTTTGATTGGGATTGCATTGAATCTGTAGATTGTTTTGAGAAGTATAGCAATTTTCACAATATTAATTATTCTAATCCATGAGTATAGGATGTTTTTCTATTTGTTTGTGCCAACTACAATTTCTTGCATCAGTGTTTTGTAGTTTTCCTTGTAAAGATCTTTTACCTCATTAGTTAAGTATATTCCTGGGTATTTTTCATGGCTATTGTAAATGGGATTGCCATCTTGATTTGGTTCTCAAATTGATTGTTATCATTGGTGTAAAGAAATGCTTCTTATTTTTGTATGTTGATTTTCTATCCAAAATCATAACTGAATTCATTTATAAAATCTAAGATAACTGGGGTGGAACTTTTAGGGTTTTCTAGATATATGATCACATCACCAGCATATAGGGATAATTTAATTTCTGATTTTCCAGTTTAGATGCCTTTTATTATTTCCTCTTACTTAATTACTCTAGCCAGGACTTCTACGACTATGTTGAGTAAGAGTGGTAAAAGTGACCATCCTTGTCTTGTTCTAGTTCTTAGAAAGAATGCTTTCATCTCTTCCCCATTCAGTATGATGTTTACTGTGTATTTGTCACATATGACCTGTATTATTTTGAAGTATGTTCCTTCAATGCCTAGTTTAAGGATTTTTATTATAAAGGAATGCTAAATTCTGTCAAATGATTTTTCTGCATGTATTAAGATGATCATATGGTTTTTGTGCTGCATTTTGCTTGAGTAATGTATTACATTTATTGATTTCATATGTTCAACTATTTTTGCATCCCTGGCGTAAAACCCACTTGATTATGGTGCATTATCTTTTTGATATGTCAACACACAAATATTTGGCTTGCTAGTATTTTGTTGATGATATTTCTGTCTGTGTTCATTGGTTAAATAATGTTATTCAGACTATGTGAAAAAAGGCAAATACTATGAGCCAACTGTTTGTTTCAACCCACAAACCATTTCTACATTTATTTAAAGGTAACAGGTTATCATCAAATAACATCTATTGTCTCTTCTTGTCTGATCCCAGAGAGTCAACCAAAAAGTAACATTTTTGGCACTTTTTGCCAGTGCTCATGGGAAAGATTTGTAGATAGCAGCTGCAGGACACTTTCTCCAGGGTGGATTTAGTGTTTGATAACCAAGTACAATGATACAAGATCTCCTTACAAACCTCAGTGTTTCTGAAACAAGAGGATATTTCTGAAACAAGAGGAAACTTTCTTGACGACCAGTCAGGAGTGTAGTCTCACAATTGAAGTTGGGCAAAAAGTGGTGTGTTTCTTGCCTTTTAAAGAGTAATTTATGAGTATTTCTAAAATCCAATGTTTATTTTTTTAAATAGATGGATATAGATTTCACTAGAATATATAATTGTTATACAGAACTTATTACCAAGTAATCATTAAACTTTGTTTTTCTTTTTACTTCCTTGCCTCTTCTTTACAGAAGGGAAGGAGAGTTTACCCTGGAGTTTATAAGTTCTATAAGGACAATGATTTTTTTCTTCACCATTTCATCTACAGCAATAAACCAGTTAACACACAATTTTTTAAAGTTTTATGAATTAATGGATGAATGAACAAATGGGTGTGTTAAACATCTGCCGAGAAGTAATGAAACAGATTGACTCCTAAATGTCTCTAGATATGGTGGGATTGTAATATTCACAATTAGAACTAACCTATTGTCTCGTATATGGTTATATTAAACATTTTTGTTCACCAGCCAGGAAAAAATACTCTTAGATACTATATACTTTCAAGAGTCAGCCTGCGAATAACTTTTCATATCCTTTCCTGCTCTTACTTTGATGCTAACCTAAGGCTGCTTCCAGGTGGTAACTTAGTGAGGTATATTGCTGTCCAATCAATTGACTGATTGCATTCTTTTTCTCATCACTTCCCTTGTCTTGCTTTCCTTTCGGCTGAGAAAATTCTGCGTTTCTTAACACATTATCATTTCAACACCCTATCTATTGGCCTACAGGTTTTTGTCGTTGAACACATACTTAGCAGTAGCAGCAGGTTGCTGAAATCTTGGGATCCAACATAAAACTATTTGTAATAGCCGGTAGATCCTAAATAACACAGTTTCTCCAGAGCTAGAAATGGTAGCTACTTTTCTTTATATTTCATGAAGAAATAGAGCTGCAATCTCAAATAACTAGAATAGGCTTAAAGACCTGGATAGTTAACATGATAGATTTGAAGAGACAAATTAAAAAAATCTACATATGTAAAGAGTCAACTTTGTATTTGGAGTCTGGTGTTCAATTTGCTCTCTTAGAAATCAGAAGTTCACGAACTCAGAAATTTTGGAGGCTGCAGAACCATTGGAAGTCTAGCAACATAAAACACATCAAAAGAGAATAGCTGGGTTTATCCTTGGCACAGTCAAGCTCTTCTACCTTGTGACAATCTGTTTCCTGGGGTCCCATGTTCTATTTTAACCTGAAAATATAACAACATTCAGTTATTACCTTAATAACAATAACTATGGTTTATTGGTTGCACAAATTTAATTACAAGCATCCTGAAAGGTAGGCATTATTTATTAAGTCTTTCTTTACTTACGGAGAAAGAGATGCACAATTCAGTTAGTTAGTGGAGTGGCCTTAGGCTACACAGCTCCTAATTAGTGGAGACTGTGTGGCTTTCTTATTATAATTATTTCTCAGAAAGAATGGTTTCTTAACACTTGCATTTGAGTGTAAAACCAAAAGCTTCACCTACATTTTGAAACTGTTAGTCTTAATGACTCTTAAGGTGGAATATTTTATGTTTCCTTAAACACACAAGAGCCTTTGTCCCAAATCTCTCTGCATATATAGACTTCTTTTTTTGTCATGGCAGACATAGCAATCATCTCACTTGTGTGTTCAGTTGTTCCTCAGTGTCTGTAAGAAATTGGTCCCAGGATCCCCTAAGGATGTGAAAATCCATGGTTGCTCAAGTCTCTTACACAGAATGGCATTGTATTTGCGTACAACCTACACCCTAACATATACTTTAAATCATCTCTGGATTACTTGTAATATCTAATGAAATGTAAATACTATGTAAATAGCTGTTATACTATATTGTTTAGGAAATAATGACAAGACTAGCCTGGGCAACCTAGTGGAATCCCATCTCTACAAAAAATAAAAATAAAAAAGCTAGGTGTGGTGGCACATGCCTATAGTCTCAAGTACTCTACTGAGGAGTCTGAGGAAAGATCACTTGAGCCCAGGAGGTCAAGGCTGCAGTGAGCTGTGATTGTGAAACTATACTCCAGCCTGGGTGGCAGAGTGATATGATTTGACTGTGTCTCCACCCAAATCTCATCTTTAATTGTAGTTCCCATAATCCCGACATGTCATGTGAGGGACCTAGTGAGTGGGAAATAATTGAATCATGGGGGTGGTTATCCTCATGCTATTCTTGTAAATAATGAGTTAGTTATCACAAGATATGATGGCTTTATAAGGGTCTTTTCTCCTTTTGTTTGGCACTTCTCCTTGCTGCTGCTATGTGAAAGAGGACGTGTTTGCTTCCTGTTCCACCATGATTGTAAGTTTCCTGAGGCCTCCCTGGCCATGTGGAACTGTGAGTCAATTAAACCCCTCTTTCATCTATAAATTACTCAATCTCAGCTTTGTCTTTATTAGCAGTATGAGAACAGACTAATACAGTAAATTGGTACCAGGTAGTGAGGTGCTGCTCTAAAGATACCCAAAATTGTAAAAGCAACTTTGTAAGTAGGTAATAGACAGAGGTTGGAAAAATTTAGAGGACTCAGGAGAAGACAGGAAAATCTGGGAAAGTTTGGAACTTCCTAGAGACTTGTTGAATGGCTTTGACAAAAACTGATACTGATATGGACAACCAAGTTCAGGCTGAGGTGGTCTCAAATGGAGATAAGGAACTTGTTGGGAACCAGAGCAAAAATGACTCTTGTTATGCTTTAGCAAAAAGACTAATAGCATTTTTTCTCTTTCCAGGAGATCTGTGGAACTTTGAACTTGAGATAGATAATTTAGGGTATCGGGCAGAAAAAATTTCTAAGCACTAAGGTATTGAAAAGGTGACTTGGGAGCTCTTAAATCTTTCAGTTTTGTGCATTCACAAAGATATGGTTTGGAATTAGAACTTATGTTTAAAAGGAAAGCAGAGCACAAAATTTTGGAAAATTTGCAGCCTGATTATGCAATAGAAAAGAAAAACCCATTCTATAGGGAGAAATTTTAGCCAGCTGCAGAAATTTGCATAAGTAACAATCTTGCTAATCACCAACACAATGGAAAAAATGTCTCCAGGGCATGTCAGAGACCTTCCTGGCAGCTCCTCCCATCACAGGCCTGTAGGCTGAGGAGGAAAAAATGGTTTCTTGGGCTGGGTCCAGGGCCCCACTGCTGTGTGCAGCCTAGGGACTTGGAGCCCCACCTCCAAGCTGCTCCAGCCCTGGCTAAAAGGGACAAATGTACAGCTCAGGTCATTGCTTCAAAGAGTGCAAGCCCCAAACCTTGGCAGCTTCGAGGTGGTGTTGGGCCTGCTGGTGTGCAGAGGACAAGAATTGAGGTTTGGGAACTTCCACCTAGATTTCAGAGGATGTATGAAAATGCATGCATGTTTAGGCAGAAATCCACTGCATGGGAGGAGCCCTCATGGACAACCTCTGCTAGGGCAGTGTGAAAGGAAACTGTGGGGTTGGAGCCCCCACACAGAGTCCCCACTGGAGTACTGCCTAGTGGAGCTGTGAGAAGAGGGCCACCATCCTCCAGACACCAGAATGGTATGGACAACTTGCACTCTGTGCCTGGAAAAGCTGAAGCCACTCAAAGCCAACTGTGAAAGCAGCCAAGAGGGGAAATGTATCCTGCAAAGCAACAGGGGGCTGCCCAAGGCCATGGGAGCCCATCTTTTGCATCAGTGTAACCTAGATGTGAGATACAGAGTCAAAGGAGATTATTTTGGGAGTTTAAGGTTTAATGACTGCCCTATTGGATTTTGGACTGCATGGGGACTCTAGCCCCTTTGTTTTGGCAAATTTCTCCCATTTGGAATGAGTATATTTACCCAATGCATGTACATACATTGTATCTAAGAAGTAACTAACTTGCTTTTGACTTTAGAGGCTCATAGGTGAAAGGGACTTGACTTGCCTCAGATGAGTCTTTGGACTTGACTCTTGAAGTAATGCTAGAATGAGTTAAGACTTTTGGCAACTGTTGGATGTGCATGATTGTGTTTTGAAATGTGAGGCCATGGGATTTGGGAGGGACCAGGGGTGGAGTGATATGGTTTGGCTGTTTCCCCACCCAAATCTCATCTTGAATTGTAGTTCCCATTATCCCCACGTCATGGGAGAGACACGTTGTGAGGTAACTTAATCATGGGGGAGGTTAACATCATGCTGGTCTCATGATAGTGAATGAGTTCTCACAAGACCTGATGATTTTATACAGAGCTTTTCCCTCTTTTGCTCAGCACTTTTCCTTGCTGCCGCCATATGAAGAAAGACATGTTTGCTTCACCTTTCACCATGATTATAAGTTTCCTGAGGCTTCCCCAGCCATACTGAACAGTGAGACAATTAAACTTCTTTCCTTTATAAATTACCTAGCTTGGCCCGGTGTGGGCAGATCACAAGGTGAGGAGATTGAGACCATCCGGGCTAACATGGTGAAACCCCATCTCTACTAAAAATACAGAAAATTAGCCAGGCATGGTGATGGGCACCTATAGTCCCAGCTACTCGGGAGGCTGAGGCAGGAGAATGGTGTGAACATGGGAGGCGGAGCTTGCAGTGAGCCAAGATGGCGCCACTGCACTCCAGCCTGGGTGACAGAGTGAGACTCCATCTCAAAAAAAAAAAAAAAAATTGCCTAGTCTTAGGTATGTCTTTATTAGCAGTGTAAGAATGGACTAATACACGGAACAAGATCCTGTCTAAAAAAATGTTTAAACATAATAATAAAGCCAAGAAAAAGAGTCTGTAGGGTGGGCACGGTGGCTCACACCTGTAATTCCAGCACTTTGCAAGGTCATGGCAGGCAGATCATGAGGTTAGGAGTTCGAGGCCAGTCTGGCCAATATGGTGAAACCCTGTCTCTACAAAAAATACAAAAATTAGCTGGGCAAGGTGGCGTACACCTTTAATCCCAGCTACTCAGGAGGCTGAGGCAGAAGAATCATTTGAACTCAGGAGGCAGAGGTTGTAGTGAGCTGAGATCATACCACTGCCATCCTGGGTGACAGCGAGACTCCATCAAAACAAACAAACAAAAAAGGAGTCTAAATGCTCAGAATAGACAAGTAAAAAAAAAAGAAAACTTTTTTTTTTCACAATAGTTTGAATCCAGAGATGTAGAACCCAGGAATACAGATAGCCAACTGCATTTACTTGATGATGCCTTGATGATGTGAAAGAGCTGTCTGGGCTTCCTAAGTTAGGGCGATTTATGTCTGAGCAAAACATTGAAGAGTCAGTGCACATAATGCGTTATTCAGCAAATATTTAGAGATAGTATCATATGTTAAGACTTTTTTCTTTTTTTTTTTTAACTTTAGGATTTGAAGTAAGAGAATCATAAGGGGGCAATAATTAGTTAAATCTAATATGAGATTAGAATTATAGAAAATCAAAGCTTGCTTCCCCAGAGAGATACCTAAGATGGACGATAAAAATGGCAAGCAAGTTCCCAGTAATGAAGACAAAGAGGAAAATAGACCAATTTTCTAATTTGAAGGGCTCTGAGAATAAAACCAATTAAACTGTCTCTAGAACTAAGGCCTGATCAAATTTTCTGAGCACACACACAATATATTGCACAATTACCACAACAACTTCCACTCAACAGTAAATAGAAGTCTTATTTTTAATAGGCATATCTTATAACCTATCTTAATGGAGTATAGTTATTAAATTATTGCTCTAGGAATGCTTACTCCAGGATGAAAATCCTTTAATTGAAATTCTTAAGGCCAGAATTGCTCCTGATTTTTTATTTTTTGGATTTTGGAATATTTGCATATAGATAATGAGATATCTTGAGGTAGGACCTAAGTCTCAACATGAAATTCATTTATGTTTCATATGTACCTCATACACATAGCCTGAAGGTGATTTTATACAATATTTTTAATAATTTTGTACATGAGACAAAGTTCACGTGTATTGAATCATCAGAAAGCAACAGTGTTACTATCTCAGCCACCCACATTGACAATCTATGGTGTCATGTTGAAACTTAAAGTGTTTTAAATTTGGCGGTATTTTGAGTTTTAGATTATTGCATTAGAGATGCTCAGCCTGTATTTTTTTTATTCTTTCTATCTTAATTTGTATTTTCTAACTTTAAATACATATATCATTTTTAATAATTAAACACTGTTAACTTTCTGGAAAGTCTGATTTTTTAAATTTTACTTTTTTATTTTTTCTTCAGACATTTGTTAAGTTAATTTCTATGGTTAGCTGCAGATTATAGGAAAAATCTTTTACCAAATTAAAAATAGTCCTCCCAAACTCCATACACTCAACTTCTACACTAACCAATCCAAACCAAACTTTAATGCGATCACTGCTTCACTACATTGTGGTAAATTTTTGAATTGAAGAAAGTCTCAAAGACTCAAGCGTTGTCATGGATTAGAGTAATTTTTAATCTACCGTTCATCACAAAGCTTACAAGTTATACACATGTCCACTCAAAATACTCAAAAGCAACAACATCCTGTGGAAATATAAGCAAGACATATACTCAATTTGGAATTTTCTAATAGGCTAGGTGTGATGGCACATGCCTGTAATCCCTCAATGTGTCTATGTACACTATGTGTATATATATATAATAGAATTTTCTAATAGCTACATTAAAAAGTTAACTGAAGCCAATGAAACTAATGTTAGTAATGTATTTTAACACAAAATGTCAAAAAAATTATTTCAGCATCAATTCAATGTAAATTGCCAATAATATATTTTCATTTTTTTCTGCATAAAGTCTTCAGACTGTAGTGTGTCATTTACACTCATGTCAATTTGGAATAGCCACACTCCAGATGTTCCACAGCCACACATGGTGAGTAGCTTACATATTTGCGCAACACAGCTCTAGAAGGTAGATATTGTTTCTCCTCAGGAGGACTCACAGGAATTATCTAGTACAGAAGATCCTTTTTCTGAATATTTTTCTGCAGTCCATTGCAGATCCCAACTTACGGTCTTACTGCACATGACTCTCATATGTGACCCACACAAGTGTCAATACCTGGGCTGCACTGTGCTCCACAAGGTGGGGTTTGGAGGCCAACGCAATGACGACATGCCTTGTATATGTACATAAAATAGATGGCTCACAGGACAATTATTTAACCATCATGACACTAAAAGATTATTTTTCAGGCTTGAAAATCCTAAAAGTATATTGCAAAGGTGACCTTCCTTTTGCCAATAACCTAAATGAAAATGTAACCTGACGATTGTGGTAACATGTTCTTCTCTTATAAAATTTGACCCAAAAAGTCTGTATGCCACCAAATTCACACTTGAAATTCTTTACTAATTCTAATTAGTACATAGAAGTGATTATAATTGATTTTATTAAGTACCAAAAACACTTAAAAGTATTTTAAGAATTTCTTAATTTTATAAATTTAGTCCTTCTTTTAACAAAGGTAGGTTTATTAAATTCTGACTAGAGTTACTAAAAGCCATCCTTGCCAAAGAATTTGCTTATATTTATTTTAAAACCTTATATTTAAAAAGCTGTACTACTTTTTAATACATTGGAAAGTCAATGTTCACATGCGCACTTTAAAAAGTGGTTTATAATATATGAACATCTGCTCTGCTCTATTCAGAAGATCAACAGGGAAAGTGTGATAGGATATTAAGTGTTGTCCACATCATTACTGTTACAATGAGTAAGATAAATATTTGAACATAATGGCATAGTTCATCATAAAAACATATTGAGGTTTTTGGGGAATTCATACTGTTTCATTTAAACACAGCAGAAAGTAAAGGCTTGAAGTGTGCATGGAGAAAGGGCTTGAGGAACTGGGAGCTTTTCCCTTACTATGATATTCAGTAAAGCCCTATTAACTCAGACCCTTCAAAGTTTGAAAATTAAGGTTTTCAGGCATGGTACAATTGATTTGAGGTTAGTAAAAATTTGGGAATAATATCTTTCCTTGTGATGTATAAAACTATTGCTCATGAGAAAGGAGAATATGGAACAATCAAAGCAAGGATTCAAAAAAAAAAAAAAAAAAAAAGGAACCAGAACAAAAAGGAATATGTCTCTGTAAAGGCTGTTAGAGTTTTGAATTCAGGAAGTAGTGTTGACCGGCAAAGGGTCGGGGCATAGATGACAGACACAGGCGATTGGTATGAGCCCTGGCTGCTTCTCACCATGTACTCTTAGCTGTCATTAGAATCCCTGGGCTTCTGCTTCCTCACCTTTACAGTAAAAGGTGGAAGAGATGATCATTAATTTTCTTGCCAGCTCTCAGAGTTCAAGACTGTAATTTTTATATGCTAAATAATATATGTGTTTAGGACATATTGCTACATAATTGAGATAAATGGGCATTTATTCCTGTTCAATAAATCAGGGCTTAGGTAGTATTTCCTCTATAAGTTTTTTTTTCCAGCTTTTCCTATTTTACTTCTTCTTCATAATTAGAGAAAGCAGCCAACAGATGGATGTTGGTGTCGGATTTGTGACACTGCCCATCTCACCGCTCTAATTTTGTATCCACTTGTTCAATGATGGCAAAGATAGTATTTTATATTAATTTAGTACTTAGGCCAGTATTTGTACATAAGTACTAAATAGATAACAAGATATTTAAACCTAACACAAAATTTTATATGTAACTTAAAATGTGTTTACAAATAAACATTTTTTTCCATCTCTCTGTTTCTTTAAGCCTGTCAGGATTAGCCACATGTGATTAGCTAGTTGGCTCATAAACAAAGTTGCAAGTAATATTTTTTTAGCTTCTAAAAGAGTACATCACATAAGCTACTGGAGATCTGAAAGAAAGTATGAGAATTTCTCTCTCTGTTTTTGTTTTGCCTTTTTGAAATTTTTATTTTTCCATACATTTTATAAAATACACCACCTTTTTATAGAGCTTGACAGATTTGCTATTTGAAAGTAAATACTGAGGATAGATTTAAATTGCATGTACTATAGGTAGACATGTTCAAGAAAGTTGGGGATTTACTCTCTAAAACTGTGTTGTCCCATGGAGACATAAGCCACATGCATAATTTAAATTTCCTGGTAGATAAATTAACAGAAAATCAGTAAAATCATATATCCAACATATCTCAAATGTCCTTTAATAGGTAAACAATATACATTTATTAATGCTACATTTCATATTCATATATTTATTTATTTATTTACTAATCTTGGAAATCCAATGTGTATTTTATACTTACAACGTATCTCTGGACCAGCTGCACTCCAAGTGCTCAGTAGTTACGTGCAGCTAAGCAGTTCAGTTCTCAAAGCCACGCAAAGAAGCTCTTTCTCCAATTGGTTTGGTCTTGGCTCTCCTTCTTGTTATAGTTTTCTCCCTTCCTCTGAAATTTCATATGATAGCCCCATTCTCATGTCAGTCTCTGAACCTTTGTGACTTGGGCTACGCACAACAAATTTAGCCTCCTGGTCTCAGTGCTGCTGCCTTGCCCTGTCTCTGCCACCTACTTGGGTACTGAAGACTGTCCACCACTTCCTCCAGGAAGCACCATCTCTATGGGTTCCTGCCTACAAGAAGTTCAGACTTTGCTTACAAACATTTAGCCATGTCTAATCACTGATATTCTTAATCAATCATCAAATTGCAGCTGTCTCTTAATAGTTTACATAACTCAGTAGCTCTCAAATTATGCTTGTCTGAGTTGGATTATGGTTTTCCATTACCCAACTCCAGTAATGGGGGTTGCTTTCTAATTTATAGAAAATTTAAACGAATTTTAAAAAATTAATAGAAGGAATGCCCCAATGTAACTTTTAAATTTTACCCCTATAGCATATTTCTAAGAAAATTTTTTCTACTAATATTTCTCTTCAATTAGTACTAGTTGGCAGTGAAATAAATTTAATGCAGAGTAAATAATGTTAATGACAAACACTATCAGGTATTTTTTAGAAACATTATTTGCAATTTCTTTACAGTAGTGTATTTTGACATTTGCCAATCCATTAGTCCATTAGAATGTAAGTCTCAGACTAGAGGAACTTTTTATGCTTTTTAAACTACAGTGTCGCTACTTCTAGAATGTCTAGCACACATTAGGCTTGCAGTAAATATTTATTAATAAAATGAATTTTAAAGTCATCTTTTCTAGTCATAAATTTGTTCTTGCAGGTAGAAAGCTTCATGGAGCATTTCCACAAACAGTGCTATTATTATCAGGTGTTTCATGACCAAACTAGTTACAGCATCACTTGTGAAAAGCACCTCGACATTTTAAAGACAGCTCTAGGAGGGCCTCGTCACTTGAGGAAAGTTGGTTGTGTGTGCCTTGAGGACAACAGGGCTTCAGTATTTAGTCTTTCTCAGCTTCTTTTGAGTAAGAGAGCTACCTTTACCCAGAGTCAGCATTCTTCCATGGCCCTATCTTATTCATGTGGCTTCACAGCTCTTAAGAACAAAAGCAGAAAGAGAAAGGAAAGATGGTGTCAATCTCCTTATCTAAGTGAAAAAGTCAACGTTTTTTTTTAAATTTAATCTATTTCCCATTACCTTGGCAACAATTATGTTTGTTGCTTTATGTTCCCCCAGATAAAGAAATCATCTACCTTCATAGCTCTTTTCATCTTCTCGCCAGTGAGATAAACATGTTACATTTTCCTCCCTTACAGGTACATCTTCATCTGTTTTCTTTGTAGAAAAGTTAGAATGTAAAACAGAGCATGATGTATATTCATATAGAAATATCAAGTGGTTTCACATATACTTTTTGAAAATTGTAATTTTATGTATTGTTACTCCATTTTGTATACTGGATCTCATTGTATATTAATGTGTTCAATGAATTCTAATTTAGATAATCATATTCGATAAAATAAATTGCATCACTCTGGTGAAACACCTTTTTCTCCATGCCTCTTTGCCTTTTATTCTGTTTCTATTCTACTTGTGTTCACTTTATAAGCTTAATGTAAAATCACTTCTTTATGTGCTTCATATTTGAGAATGTTGTTGTGGTAAAAGGGACATATTGTTTGGATCAGGAGGGAAGAAAAACAAATTGCATTAGAAGCCTGCAAGAAAATAAATGCGTTCTTGGACTGTACTTCAGTTACACACTTGAGTATCCTCTGAGATAACTAGAGTTGCTTACTTGTGGTCAGCACTTGAGGTCAGTGGGCCAGGTGGGGTTTGAGGATGGGGTGAATGAGCATGGGGAGTTTATAGGCATTCAAGCTACAGAAATCCAAAGGCAGAATGCTTTACAAACAATTTTTTTTTCTGGAGAAAGGAGGTATTAATTGGGGAAATAATGAAGTGGATACTTGGTGAATTAGAGGAGTTCATTAAAAAAATAAAATAAAATGAAGATATTATCCAGGAATAATTTTTCTAGATCTTTCCTATGATTTATTTCATTCTATCATCCCAGCATTTTACCCTAAAATGTCTGGAAAGGCAAGTGGACACAATCCATTAGCAGAATGCCAGCTAACTTACCACACACGTACAAAGTCTAGAGAGCAAACCAAGGTTTAATTTTTCAGTACCTTTTGGCTCCGGCGAAGTCAGTGTCAAATGTAGCTTCTCCTTCGATCTTCCTTTTCCTATTCTGACAGCTTTGCCCAGGCCTCCTGCTACTCAGCCCCACCACTATCCTATTCTGTTTGGCACTGTGTGATCAAGATGGTTGAGGCATCACTCCTTCCCCTTAGCATTCTCCACTGGGGATGCTAAGAGGTTTGTTTTTGTGAGCACACAATTCTCCATGGAGGAAGTGCTAGGTATTTTAGATTGGCCAATATAGATTTTTCCATGAGACAAACTTTCTACTTGCCATTAAGCATCATCTCTCATAGCTGAAGTTCAAATGGTTATTACATTAAAACACTTCCTTCTCTGAAGTGGGAGGGGGAATAATTAGAGTTAATGAGACAGAAAACTCTGGGTTACTGTTCATTCATTTGTTGAACATTTAATAAGACTTACCTGTCACCATTCTATATACTGGAATATTAAAATTAATCTAATGTTGTCCTTTTTCTCAAGATTTCTTTTTTTATGGGGACAGCAAACATGTAAGTAGATGAGTCATATTGCAATGATCTAAATATATATAACAGAGTCTAAGTGAAAGACTATAAGGGCTAAATTATTTAATATTTCAGCAGGGAAAAAAAGTTGGGAGCTGAATATTTCAGGTAGCAATTTACCTGGAGAATCAGGGGACAATAGAGGCATCACTCTTTTAGCTACACTGTCCATGTGGTTCCCACAAAATTAAATATGATGATTAATCAACGTATCCCCACCCCACTGTGTTTAAAGCATGCCTTTGGAGAATATTTCTACAAATATGGGAGGGGCTTTATTAGAATTACGGAAACCTGTTTAATTATTGACCACTACTTTGAGAATCAGGACCAATTTAAATAAGGAAGAATGGGTCAAACACTAAACTTGATTTTATAAAGCCCTGGAATAAAATTCTTGGTCTATAGCTATCTTTTGTGACAGCTTAAAAAAAAAAGTTTCTACAAGGTATTTGGCATGTCCGCAGTTAAGGATGAAGAAACAGTAAATGTTTTAAATTATGGCTAGTTGCTTTATAGAAAGAAGTGGAACTTTTTGAATAGCAGAGGAGTGAAAAAAATTAGGATAAAATAGTTTAAATTGTTTTAAATTTTTTTCTTTTTTTAAAATAAAAATTACTTTGAAAAAATAATTTTTATTAATTGTTCACTCATTGTTGCTAGCAAGATAATTTTATTTAAAATGATTAAAAGACTATGAAATATCAACTCAAATGAAGAATTGCACCCACTGAACTGATGTCACTAAGCATTCCTGAATGCATAGCATGTCTGGAATTTTTTTTTATTTTTCTTGTACAGATGGGGGTTTTATTATGTTGCCCAGGCTAGTTTGAAACTCCTAGCCTTAAGCAATCTTCTTGCCATGGCCTTCCAAAATGCTGGGATTAGAGGCATAAGCCAATTTACAATTTTTACATTTTTAAAATTTTAAATTTTATAATTTAAAAAATTACCATTATCCCTCCAAAGTAATGACTCCAACATTACTCTCATGGCATCGTGAAAAGAGTGGTATTGGATCCTGGATATACTATGTCATTTCTGTGTCATCATGTGTAAGGTATTCTTGATCTTCAGTTACATAATCTATTAGGTGGTCTTTATAATACCTTTTTGATAGGTGCATTAGTCCATTTTCACATTGCTGATAAAGGCATACCCAAGACTGGGCAATTTACAAAAGAAAGAGGTTTATTGGGCTCACAGTTCCACATGGGTGGGAAGACCTCACAATCATGGTGGAAGGTGAAAGGCACTTTTTACATGGTGGCAGCAAGAGAGAAAAGAGCTTTTGAAGAGAAACTCCCCTTTTTAAAACCATCAGATCTTGTGAGACTTATTTGCTATATGAGAACAGCATGTGAAAGATCTGGCCGCATGATTCAGTTACCTCCCACTGGGTCTCTCCCACAACACATTGGAAATTATGGGAGCTACAAGATGAGACTTGGGTGGGGACACAGAGCCAAAGCATATCAATAAGTTTGTTGTGAGAATTAAATGTAATGACCTATGAACAGTGCCTAATATACAAACCTAAGCACTTGCCTGGATGACAAAAATTTGTCCCCAATTTCTTCTTTCTCTGGCCTCAAAGTTTTGAACTAGTTATCCAATTAAAAGTTGAGTATAACAGATGAACTAGCTCTGCGTTCTTCAAAGACTCTGGTTGCATATATGCTTTAAGGTGTATTCAGAAAATTTGAGCAAGTTAAAGAGAAAGAAGAATTGGTGAGCACCTTTCAGAGTAGTTTTCTTCTATACT